>NC_000019.10:32865874-33490874 GCF_000001405.40 Homo sapiens
CAGGAGAATCTCTTGAACCCATGAGGCAGAGGTTGCAGTGAGCCACTACAATCACTCCAGCCTGGGTGACAGTGAGACTGTCTCAAAAAAAAAAAAAAAAACCTGCACATTACACTGTATGTAAATTACACACCAATCAAGGAGGAAAAAAAAGTCCAACTCAAGCCCTACTCATAACACTCGTCCTCAGAAGCAGCCCCGGCCAGATCTCCAGAGCCTGAAGTTTCCAGCACCCATGTTCACCTGTCTGGGAAGAAGCTGGGCTTGGAGTCAGATCGCAGGGGATGAGGGGCTCCCAGCTGCAGGCTGCCACCCTGAGGACTCTGCACACACCAGTGGGATCCCTGGGGAGCAGCGTCTGCTTTCAGGGCCAGGGCGCACTTCCAGGACAGGGCGGGGATGGGCTCAGCTCTCCTCCTCATCTCAGCCCTGCCCAGGACTGGCAGTTTGGCTCCAGAATCCTCCCTCCTGCTGAGGGACTGCCTGGGTTCTGATGTGGGTGAGGTCTGCATTCGCCCTGAAGCTGCCTGACTGAGGAGTAGACCCAGCTCAGATTTTTGGTTTTTAGAGTCAGGGTCTCGCTCTGTCACCCAGGCTTGGAGTGCAATGGCGCGATCATGACTCACTGCAGCCTCGATCTCCTGGGCTCAAGGGATCCTCCCACCTCAGCCTCCCAAAGTGCTAAGGTTACAGGCGTGTGCCGCCACACCTGTCCCCAGCTCAGAAGACACATCTTGGGGATTTCTCAGCTGTGCTCTGTGGCCACTGGGGCCCACCAGGGTTCTAAGAGGCCCTTCCTGAGATCAGGCCTGAGACTGGCAGAGAGGGAAAGTGCTGCAGCCCATCGTCTACCTCCTGGGGGTCCCAGGCCAAGCCATTCAGGCCATTGCCAGCCCTCCGGTCAAGCCCTAAAGCCTTGGTGCCGTCCCTCCTCCATCCCCTCTGCTGCCAGGCATGGGAGCTCTCGGAGGCCCTGCCCACACCTCTGCCCTGGAAGCGGAAGCCATCCTGAGCTCACCTGGAGCTGCCTTTCCTCATCCTAGGAGCCTGAAGCCCTCCCTGCGCCTCCATGCTCAGCACCTGCTGCTCCCAACTGCCTGGGACTGGCGCAGTGTGCTGTGTTGAGCTCCTTTCTGCCTTCCCCCCAGCCCCAAGCTCCCTTTCCCTGCAGGCCCAGGGCCAGCCCCAGCTGCTCACTGCAGCCCAACTCAGAGCAGCTGTCCCTGGTAGATGCCTCTAAGACAGAACAGGCTATGCTGGGGGCAGTACTTCCCATCACTACAGCCATTCAGATATAAGGAGGACAGGCATTTAGAGGGGACTCAACCATCAGAACGCCCTCTCTGGCTGGGCACAGCGACTCACGCCTATAATCCCAGCACTTTGGGAGCCTGAGGTGGGAGGATCGCTTGAGCCCGGGAGTTCCAGACCAGCCTGGGCAACACAGCAAGATACTGACTCTACAGAAAGAATTTTTTTGAAAAGTTAAAAATTTGGCAGAGCATGGTGGTGTGCTCCTGTAGTCCCAGCTACTCAGGAGGCTGAGGCAGGAGGATTGCTTGAGTCCAGGAGGTTGACGCTGCAGTGAGCTATGATTGCACCACTGCACTCCAGCCTGGGTGACAGAGTAAGACCCTGACTCTAAAAAAATTTTTTTAAAAATTTTTAAAAAGAACGCCCTTTCTGACCATTCCTGGAAAGGCCATTAGTTTGAACAAAAATACTGGCCCGTCTAGACACTTGCTCAACACACAAAAGCACCTATTTATGAACTTAAAATAATATGCGGGCCGGGCAAGTTGGCTCATGCCTGTAATCCCAACACTTTGGGAGGCCGAGGTGGGCGGATCACTTGAGGCCAGGAATTGGAGACCAGCCTGGCCAATATGGTGAAACCTCGTCTCTACTGAAAATACAAAAATTAGCCAGGCGTAGTGGCACATGCCTGTAGTCCCAGCTACTCAGGAGCTGCTTGAACCCAGGAAGCGGAGGTTGCAGTGAGCTGAGATCATACCACTGCACTCCAGCCTGGGTGACAGAGCAAGACTCTGTCTCAAAAAAAAAAAAAAAAAAAAAAAAGAATATGCAGCCGAGTGCAGTGGCACACGCCTGTAATCCCAGCACTTTGGGAGGATCACCTGAGGCCAAGAGTCTGAGACCAGCCTGGCCAACATGGTGAAACCCTGTCTCTACTAAAAATACAAAAATTAGCCGGGTATGGTGGCGGGTGCTTGTAATCCCAGCTACTCGGGAGGCTGAGTCAGAAGAATCCCTTGAACCGGGGAGGTGAAGGTTGCATTGAGCCGAGATGGCAGCACTGCACTCTAGCCTGGGTGACAGAGCAACACTCCATCTCAAAAAAAAAAAAAAAAAAAAGAAGATGCAGAATTCCCTGGCGAGAGGGAAAGAGAAGTAAGTCCAGAGATTATCCCTTTAAAGATGTACTTCACAAATCAAAGAGTACATCTTCTGCCGTGTCACTAGGGATCGGCCCGGATTTCACTGCCTGCGCCCCTCGTTCAGACGCCCTTGCCTAACCTGCAAAGGGCCTGCCCCACCAGAGACCGCCTTACCTCCTTTTGGAGACTGGTGGTCTTAGGCTCTTGGCTCTGGATCGACTTCTCATCCTCTCTCCGCTTTCTCAGGCCAGTATCCCCCATGTTTCCTCCTGCTGGTTCCAGGAGACTGCAAGGAGGGCGCACAGCTAAATCTTGGTTCAGCAGCAGCAGACAAGACGCAAGTGCAAGCTCGGCCTGGACTAGGGGAGCTGGCTGCAAAAGCACAGTGTTGGTTATTGCTGCAGGTGGGGGCCGCTGCCAGTCCCTCAGGGCTCATGCGCTGGGCCCCAGAGTCAAAGTCAGTCATTAACATTGTCCAGGCAGGGGAACACAGCTCCCCGCTGCTCTCCAAAGCTCAGCTGCTTGCTTAGCTCTCTCCCAGACAGGCCCCGGGAGCCTCCTGGCCCACGTGCCTGTGCCTTGAAAGTCATTCTACCTCTATGGTCAACTTCATTTTTTTTCAAAAGTAAAAAGAAATATTTAACAACATCCCGGGCTGGGCACAGTGGCTCAGGTCTGTAATCCCAGCACTTTCGGAGGCCGAGGTGGGTGGATCACTTGAGCCCAGGAGTTTGAGACCAGCCTGGCTAACATGGCGAACCCCGTCTCTACTAAAAATGCAAAAAAAAAAAAAAAAAAATTAGCTGGGTGTGGTGGTGGGTGCCTGTTAATCCCAGCTACTCGGGAGGCTGAGGCAAGAGAAGCACTTGAACCCTGGAGGCAGAGGCTGCAGTGAGCCAAGATCATGCCACTGCACTCCAGCCTGGGCCACAGAGCGAGATTCTGTTTCAAAAAATATATATATAAAAAATTAAAAAATGAAAATATTGTGGAATGTATTTATCAGAATCAAGTCCAGGTAAGGAGTGTCTGTCTTATAATTCCTTCCCAAGATTAAAGGCACTCCCATACATCACAGATCCACAATACAGGTACTTTTTCTTTGTACTTTTTAAATTTTTACAATATTTTTTATAAAGACGGGAGTGTTGCTATTTGCCCCGGCTGGCCTCAAGCAGTCCTTCCACCTCGGCCTCCCAAAGGGCTGGGATTTCAGGGGTGAGCCACCACGCCTGGCCAGGTACTTTTTCATTGAGTGATGAAAGGAAAGAAAACATTGCCGAGGAAACCCAGTTCCAGACTGAACTAGGAGAAAACCATGCACTCCTGTACCCTCTCTCTAAATAAATTATCTGTCCAGGCCCCGGCCAGGAGAGCCATGAGCCTTTCTATCACCTACTGACCTTACTTACCTTCCTCCGTGACCCTGCAGAGCCGGAGGAGCTGCGGCCCAGCTGACCGCCCGTGCCTGCACGGTCCAACCCTAGAAATGGCCATGTCTTGTGCCCAGGAGCAAAGGAAGTCCAGAAGGTACAGAGGTCAATAAGGGTAATTATTAAACACCTTTTTTTTTTTTTTTGCAATGAAGCTTAGATACGCCACACAAAAAAGGGGAGGGTCAGGAACACCAATTTCTCTCCAAAACCGTTTTTGTTTTGTTCATTTGTGTCTAGGTCAGATTATTTTTTTAAAACCAGATGGTCCCAAATCGTCTACACTTTTTACCTAAAGATAAAATAAATTATGCCTTCTTTTATCTTTGGGAATCAGAGGAGATAAACTTTGGAACCAATTCGCTAATTGCCTTAATAGGCTATATTTAAAACCCAAGTCAGGCAGCTCAAACAGGAACCGCTGTGTGTGCGTAACTCAGCTGTTGGTCAGTTTCCTCCCCGCCCAGGAATTTCCCCCAAGCCAAGGGCCTGCCTCTGGCTGAGCAGGTGAGAGCGGCTGAGCCCGTCCCACTCCTCTTTACCAGTGATGGGGCTTCACCACTTGGAATCACAAGCAGGCCTGAGGCAATGCAGGGCCTCGTGTCCTCCCTGCAGCTGCGGCCAAATGCCCATCAGGTTTGGCTGTGGTGCTGTTCACGTAGCCATGTCCTGGCTCATCACAAGGGACACAAAACCTTCCCCTTCGGGGAAACGGAGGGGGACAGGCAACACAAGGCCAGGAAGCTCCGGTCCGCATCCAGGGCTGCCAGGGTCTGGATCTCTCTGGGAGGGAGCAGAGGTTCTCCCGCACTGCGATTGGACCTAGGCTCAGGCGGCAGCCTCAGGGGTCAGCACGAAGCCCTTTCAGATAGGGAAGGAAGCACCTTATGAGACCTTATGAGACAGCCTGGCACAGCATAAGCACTGCATCTGAAGCATCGTAGCTGTTACCTTCAGCCAAAACTCTGGTAGCTTTGCCTTGGGCCAAACTTAACTGCATCCCAGATATCAGATGGAAGCAAAGGTCAGGGATGGAAGGAGCTGGGCCAGTCTCTGGGGGTCAGTTTGGGAGCAGTTTGGGGCAAGCAGACCTGAGAGAGGCACAGGTTTCTCTGAAAGCCGTCTGCAGAGCACAGGGACCCTTGTTGTCCCAGAGGCACGGTCCTGATTTAGAAGTTCGTCACCTCCCATCTTGGGAGGGCCCACCTGTTTACCTGCCTGCCATGCCCAGAGCCCTGAGCAGAGAGGCTAGTGGCAGGTCCTGCCACCCTAGACAGAACCTGCCCACCGGCTTGCTGGGGTCACTCCTCCTAATGTTGCAGCACTCATCATAGTACCTGGCACATCCATGTTTGCAAAACACCACAGAATACCCCCTGGGTCAAAAGTGCTCCTGGCAGGCTGACAGGAGACCACGTGAGGACATCAGGGTGGGGCAGTGGTCCCCCGCTGGGGCCAGACAGCCCTGCAACCTCACCCACTACCCACATGGGCTCAGGCAGCACTGCCAGGATCAGGGTCTGAACCTGCGACGCAGGGCGAGCAACAGGCGCCTCCTCACGGAACACACTGAACTTGCATGTTCCATGAATGTCCGGGACCAGCCCTCTGGTCTTCCTGGGCCTCTTCCAAGTGCCGAGTCTGGAACATCGGGATGTGAGGGTCCTTTGTTAAGTCAGAAACCTCCACTTCAGTTCATTTTGGGTCCACGGTGAGCATTTCTTAAGCCTGTTTCTTAAAGTTGTGTTTTTCACCGCAGTCCCACCCTCTCCCTCCCTTGAATACACAGAAAGTATTCAAGTAATTCTCATAAGCTCTTCCTCATGGAAAATAATACGGATTTCATTTAAAAAGCAAAATTTTCCTCAGTTCTTGAAGACCATTGGTTCATTGTGTATCCAGTGCTTCTGCCATGTGACTGAAGTTTCACCTCCCTGCTGTCAATTTTTTTTTTTTTAGATGGAGCCTCACTCTGTCGCCCAGGCTGGAGTGCAGTGGCACGATCTCAGCTCACTGCAACCTCTGCCTCCTGGGTTCAAGTGATTCTCCTGTCTCAGCCTCCTGAGTAGCTGGGATTACAGGCATCCACCACCATGCCTGGCTAATTTTTGTATTTTTAGTAGAGATGGGGTTTCACCATGTTGGCCAGGTTGGTCTTGAACTCCTGACCTCAAGTGATCCACCTGCCTCGGCCTCCCAAAGCGCAAATCCTACTGTCATTTTTACCATTTTATTTATTTATTTTTGAGACTTGCTGTGTCACCCAGGCTGGAGTGCAGTGTCATGATCTCAGCTCACTGCAACCTCCGCCTCCCAGGTTCAAGCGATTCTCCTCCCTCAGCCTCCCGAGTAGCTGGTACTACATGTGTGACAATATACCCGGCTAATTTTTGTATTTTTAGTAGAGACAGGGTTTCATCATGTTGGCCAGGCTGATCTTGAACTCCTGACCTCAAGTAATCCACCCGCTTCAGCCTCCCAAAGTGCTGGGATTACAGGTGTGAGCCACCACACCCGCCCAACCACTCTATTTCTTAAGTTTCTGCTAAAGACTCTTGACCTTCATTTTCAACCCGTGCTTTTTCCCTTCCGATTGCAAAAATGCTTGCAGTGTGAAGATCTTCACACCATCTACATTTTATCTTATATTTGGTGCACATTTGATTTCAGTTGGGGAGGGTAAAATGCTTCTCTCCACCCTTTTGGGTTCTTTGGTTGGGCTTCGAATTGAGACTAATGGGAGGAAAACTGTTTTAATTATGTGTATATGCAACTGAGTCCCACAAAACAAGAGACTTGAAGAAGGGCCAGATGACTAAACCCTATATAGCATCCTGAGCTATATAAGGATTAGGGGCTTGGGGCTTCTGGGGCAGGTAGGGACTAGTAATGGGATGGTGAGGGGAGGAAATGCATGGCGAATAAAGGTCGTCTTGTTATGCAGATATAAGTCTCTCAGGTAATAAAAGTTGTCTCTTCCTGGTACAGATACTTGTACTAATGTAGATTTCCTTCATGACATACATTTCTTTTGCAAAGGGCAGCTTTTCAGAGCTACACCTGTTGTGTCTGCAGTTTCTCAGAATAACCAGCTCAAAATATTCCAAAGAAGTATAATTTGGGGTGATATATATCTAGTCTCCTACAGTCATATTTTGGGGGTGGTGTGTCCTGAGCCCCAACATTTCCTTCTCCTGTGATGGTTTGTGTCTGAGACAGGGTCTCTTGCTCCCATGCTAGAGTGCAATGGCGTGATCATGGCTCACTCCAGCCTTGACCTCTTGGGCTCAAGTGATCCTCCCATTTCAGCCTCTCAAAGTGCTGAGATTACAGGCGTAAGCCATTGCACCTGGCCTCCTGTGATGGTTTTAAAGACGTCTTTAATCCCATAGTGTCAGTCCATTTCTGCACAGCCTCTGGGCTGCCCAGCTGGGTGCCTTGTTCTCTAATTCACTGTCCTCGTGACAGAGGCAAGGTCTTGGGCAAACATTCAGGCAGAGGCTGAATCTTCCTTTACCGCTGAAAGCTTGTTCCAGACCTGCCTTCAAGTTTTCACCTTCTCCTATTCATTAAGTTCACTCGGTCTTGTATTCCTTCCCACTGCTGCTGACGGTAGCAGTTGGGGATTTGGAGGGGGACCCAAAAGACAGAAATAACTGGCATACTACCACAGATAGAAGAGTTGTTTGTTCCCTTACTACCTGAATTCCAACCAGAAGAACTTGTGATGAGTTAGCGATGTGCAAAGCCTTTCGATGTCAGGGACGTGCTGTCTAGCCATAAAACAATTAGCAAGGAAAGCATAAACATAATTTCAAAACTCTTATCTAGGAACAATCTATATATATCCAACAACTATTGGAATAGTACAATTCTGCCTTCGAACTTTGTCCATCATTTTTATGTGTTCCAAGTAATATGGTTTTGCATTAAATAACCTGCGTGGGGAAGACAGTTGCAGCATGCTGTCAAAACACGACTTCCCATCCTGCTCCCTTCCCCACCGACCTCGTCACGATTCATGGTCGCTGCCTCTTTTCTCAACCACGGTGGCCACACATGATGAAAGTTGTGATCGCTGCTGATTTTGGGGAAAGAGGGTTCTGTGTCATCAAACATCTTTAATAAAGAGTTACTATTTTGGGGGCCGGGTGCTGTGGCTGTGCGCCTGTAATCTCAGCACTTTGTGAGGCCGAGGCAGGGAGACTGTTTGAGGCCAGGAGTTTGAGACCAACCTGGGCAACATAGCGAGCGCCTGTCTTTACGAAAAGAATTTAAAAATATTATCCAGGCATGATGGTGTGCACCTATAGTCCCAGCTACTCTTGGGAGGCTGGGGCAGGAGGACTGCTTGAGTCCAGGAGTTCAAGGCTGCAGTGAGCTACGATCGTGCCACTGGACTCCAGTCTGGGTGACAGATGGAGACTCTAACATAGGAAGTTACCATTTTTTGTAATCTTGTTTCTGTCTGCCCAGCATCCACAACTTGGGGGGAACTGTCCCTTTCTGTGGGACACTGGTGGGCTACCAACCAAAAGACCTCACTTCTCTGGCCACACAGGAGGGCTCAGGATGTCAGGTCAGCCAAGAGGCCATTGTCTCCCAGGATTTGCTACCTGAGTGAAGCACAGGGTAGGCTGACGGTGTTCAACTACTGAGACCCTCACCCCAAGGCTATTCCAGCTTCTGTCCTTCTCAAAACATGGTGGAAGCCACAGAGTGTACATTTCCAAAATATTTCCTTCTTTCCCTTAACATTGGGCAGTATAGTTCTGTTGCTTGCAACCCAGCCCTGGTATGCTACATATACTACACACAGACCCTTCACTTTCAAAGAATTATTCTTTAATAAAATACTCAGGACCCTCCTGACCAGGTGAAATAGATGCTCCAGGCTCCTGATGACCCAAGGCAGCAATGCTGTCACCTCAGTGCACTCTCCCTGTCTCATCTATACCCTCTGTAGAGTGCTGACACACGGGTGGACTGTGGAACAAGGGGATGGCGGCCCAGAGCACCCAGCACAGACGCGGGGAGCCAGCCTGGGTCCTCAGTAGCAGGTGGCATGCCCAGTTCCAGGAAGCAGCCTCATGCGCTCCGTAGGTTTGAAGTCTCCATAGCCCAGCCTGGGTCCTCACTACCTCTGTCCTGTTGTTTGCAGACATTGGGCCTGCAAAGCAGCCCAGCGGGGCCCTGCAGGTGAATATCAACTACAAAAGCCGCCCTTCTTCTTTCTCTCCAAAACCCTCCTACCCAGTCCACCCCTAGTCAAAAATGAGGAAAAGAGCCGAGCCTGAGGCTGGGGATGGTGGCTCATGCCTGTAATCCCAGCACCTTGGGAGGCTGAGGTGGGCGGATCACTTGAGGTCAGGAGTTTGAGACTAGCCTGGCCAACGTGGCAAAACCCTGTCTCTACTAAAAATAAAAAAAATTAGATGGGCGTGGTGAGACACACCCTGTAATCCCAGCTATTCGGGGGGCTGAGGTGGGAGAATTGCTTGAACCTAGGAGGTGGAGGTTGCAGTGAGCCGAGATCGCACCACTGCACTCCAGCCTGGGTGACAGAGCGAGACTGTCTCAACTAAAAAAAAAAAAAAAGCCAAGCCTGGGAGGCTGGAAGGGCAGCAGGTTTCCTGCCCAGCTTTGGGGCCATGGACTCACACCTTGAGAAAACCAAGAGAGGCCTAACAAGCTGTACCCATCCCCTCTCCCACTCCTGGCTGCAGCCACTCCTTACCTGTGGACCCCTGCCCAGCTGTGACCCAGCAGAGAGGTGCCACAAACCTGGGCACACTGAGCCCTCCCCATGCCGCCCAGCCAAGTTTTGAGTGGATGATGTTTCCAGTCTTACTCAAGAATTCAGATGTCAGCCCAGCCCCATCCCAAGAGGCTCAGCCTCCTGCTGTGGGATCTGTATCCGGCTCAAGCCCTCCCTGCTGGAAGAGCTGCTTGGGCCCAGGGAGGGCTCTCCTGAGCCACCCACACTGGGGACTGTGCCTTTCATTCCCGCCAACGATACAGGTAGGGGAGGGGGTGAGGAGCCAGTGACAGCTGCGCTCGAGGCTAAATGCTAGGCCACCCTCGGCCTTAAATCTCTGTCCTCTCAACACAGTTATTGACAACACCACCAAGCATTGATGAGGATGCGGAGCAACCGGAACTTGCGCGGAGGTTGGTGGTGGGAAAGTAAAATGACACAAACACTCAGGAAGCAGGCCTGGGTGTTATTTCTTTTTTAATTGTCTATATAACAAAATCCACTGTTGTCACTGTTTTCCAGCATACAGTTCAGTGGCGTTAAGGGCATTCAGGACAGCTCTCATGACAGACTCACACCCACATGCACACCTGGTGCCCCAGCCTGCTTTGTCCACTGTCTCCATTTCCCCAGGGCTGCTTTTACTTTTTATTGTATTATTTTTGAGGCAGGGTCTCACCTGGTTGCCCAGGCTGGAGTGCAGTGGCATGATCATAGCTCACTGCAGCCTCAACCTCCCAGGCTCAAGTGATCCTCCCACCTCAGCCTCCTGAGTAGCTGAAACCATAGGCGCCATCACCATGCCCAGGGCTGCTTTTAAATAATGGCAAAGCCAGCAAGGCTCACTCGCGTGCCTGGGTCATGTTCTACAGCTGCTTGACCAGGAATCTTCCAATGCCGTATGAAACCTCACCAGGACCAAGAAAGAGAAGGGTTCCCTGCTCAGACCAGACACTTGCAGCATGGGGAAGGAGGAGCCCCTCCCAGCAGACCCAGTTCTCCTCTGTGCAGTCCGGCCTCATTTCCCACCCAAGCTCTGACCAAACCCCCTCCTGCTGCTCTGAGTGCCTGCTGTGCTCCTGGGGGCCCTCTCCACCCTTCTGTAGCTCCTGAAACCTTGTCCACTCTGCAAGGGCCGGGGCGTGCCAGTTCCTCCCAGAAGCACCCCAATGTTTCTGTCCTTTCCTGGAATCTCACAAGCACCCAGGTGCCTCTCTGCCTTGCCTGCCCCGCCCTCCTTGGCATCCTGGACTCGTGGCTTCTCTGCCCATTTCCTATGGCACCCAGCAGGAGGCTGGGCAGAAGATAGTGTCTGTGGGACACCTGCCCTTGCCCTGGTCACAGTGCCATCCAGGAGTCCCCATACTTGCAAAGTATGTTTGCACTGTGTGAAAAACTTAAAGCAGAAACATAAGAACAAAAGTGGACACTTCTCAAAAGAATAAAATGTTTGCATAAAAGGCAGAAAGACAGGGATGTCAACAGTGGTTCTCTAGGTCACGATGGCGGGAGCAGCATTCCTGCTGACAAGCACTCCTGCCCCGCGCAGCCACGCTGGGCTGCCGCCGCCTGTCAGCCTGTCTACAGGAGGCTGCAGAGCGGCCGTAAATGCCTTTGAAATAGCATCACAGTTATTTGTTAGGTCATCTCCTAGGGAGATGATACACAGTTTTCAATCCCAGTGAGTCTTTCTACCGCTTGTAAAATAAAATTAAATTACAATGATTCAACTGTTGAACAAGCTTATAGAGTCATAAAAGAACTATGATTTTCTATCTCACCCTTCCGTCTGGCAATCAAAGATCACACGTAGAACTTCTACACATGACCAAGGACCAGTACTGGGGCCTCCTTCCCACCTGAAACAAGGCAGGACTTCACTGCGAGGGGCTCTGAAAAGGAGATGCTGCAGGGTGCCACCCCTGAGTCCCACAGTTAGGGTCCTTTGTAGCCCAATGTCCCCAAGTCCCTCCAGCATGCCTGGGACTGAATGGTCCTGAGCGGCTGGGGTAATTTTCCTGAGGAGGTGGCACGTCATCTAACACACATGGGACAGAACCATGGCCCCCTGGTATGCTTCTTGGTGGTGGCAGTGGGGCAGGGACTCTATCTTAGCTCAAAGCCAGGGCTCTCATTACATGGGTGGGGAGCTGTGTGGCTCCAGAATCAATTACCTTCCCAGACCAGGCGCGGTGGCTCATACCTATAATCCCAACACTTTGGGAGGCCTAGGCAGGAGGATTGCTTGAAGCTAGACGTTTGAGACCAGCTTGGGCAACATAGCAAGACCCCATCTCTACCAAAAAAAAAATTTTTTTTTTTTGAGACAAAGTCTCGCTCTTGTTGCCCAGGCTGCCCAGGCTGGGGTATAATGGCGTGATCTTGGTTCACTGCAACCTCCGCCTTCCAGGTTCAAGCAATTCTCCTGCCTCAGCCTCCCAAGTAGCTGGGATTACAGGCACCCACCACCATGCCCAGCTAATTTTTGTATTTTTAGTAGAGATGGGGTTTCACCATGTTGGCCAGGCTGGTCTCGAACTCCTGGCCTCGGGTGATCCGCCTGCCTCGACCTCCCAAAGTGCTGGGATTACAGGAGTGAGCCACCATGGCTGGCCTACAAAAATTTTTTTTTTACAAAATTAGCCAGGCATGTTAGTGTATACCTGTCATCTCACCTACTCAGGAGGCTGGGATGGGAGGATCGCTTGAGCCTGGAGGTCAAGGCTGTGGTGATTGCACCACTGCATTCCAGCCTGGGTAACAGAGTGAGACCCTGTCTCAAAACAAACAAACAAAAGTAACAACTAAACAAAAGAGAATAAAGTACTTGCTCAGGAGGATAGAGAAGGGCTAGGGGAGAGGGCAGAAAAGGTTTGTACAACTTAGAGGGCATGAACAGCAGCAGCACCTTGTTTTTTTTGACCAAACAAGAAAAGGCCCCCAGAGCTCACGCACAGCTATCATCAGGGCCGGTGCCATGGCCTGGCTCCTCGGGTGACACTTCCCCATCTGACACATGGCACGAGGGCTCAGCTGCCCGCCCAACCCTTCCAGCACTTCCCAGCTGCAGATCTAGGAGCTGGAAGGCAGGCCTGCTCAGCAGGCCACCTACTCACCAGAGCAGTGGGTGTCATAGAACTCATCTCAGTGGCAATGTGGCCAGAGAACATGCCCTGGCTAAAACAGATTTCAGCAGCACGTTATTAAAATAAAGCACAATGGGCCAGGCGCAGTGGCTCACACGTGTCATTCCCGCACTTTGGGAGGCCAAGGCAGGAGGACAGATTGAGGCCAGGAGTTCAAGACCAGCCTGAGCAACATAGCAAGACCTCATCTCAACAAAAAAGAAAAAAATTAGCTGGGCCTGACAGTGCACACCTGAGGTCCCAGCTACTCAGGAGGCTGAAGCAGAAGGATCTCAAACATGTTTGAGGCTGCCGTGAGCTATGATTGCACCACTGTACTCCAGCATGGGCAACAGAGTGAGACCCTAGCTCTAAAAAAAAAAAAAAATTAAAAAATAAAGCAAAATGTTATCAATGGATTAAACTATGAGACCATTTATTTCTTCCCTGCCCTGCAGCGTTCAGTGGGCTTACGCACCTCCGGCTGCCACCATGGGCTGCCCTGCAGGGAAGGCCTGTGTGAGGCAGACCTTTCAGGCCAGAGGAGGCTACACCACGGGCTCCCGCAGATTCTAGCAGGTGGGGGCATGAGACTTCAGGTCATAGGAGCAGACATCGCAGCCGTCCAGCAGGTCTGCCTGAGAGACGCCATTGAGGCTGGGGGCAACCAGAGCTCTGGGGTTGTCCTGCACGCCTGTCCTCGTGAGTGTGTCCTGGAGAAGTTCTCGGATTCTTCGGTTTTCCCTGAAGGTAGATTCCCAAATAACTTCAAGTTCACCTTCCATTTCTCTGAGGGAAATAAGTTTAAAATGGCACAATTTTAAAAATAATATAGAGCCCATATGAATCCCAAAGTAGCAAGAACTCAAAACAGAAGAACGCTATCAGCAGGGAACAGAGCCCTCGGTGCCTGGGTTCTGAAGCAAGCGCTCAGTGTGGAATGAAGCAGCTGGTGCCCTGGGAATGGGGAGCAGCAGGACAGCCCAGGCTGGGGCTCAGTGTGGAATGAAGCGGCCAGTGCCCTGGGAATGGGGAGCAGCAGGACGGCACAGGCATTTCTCTTCCCTCTATGTTCTGCCCTTGACTTTGGCGCCAGTGCAATCCCTGTTTTCTCTCAAGAATGAACTTGGGCGTGTCGAATAAGGAACTGCAGGAACTGCAGGGCTGGCCTTGGCCAGCCAGACGCTCTAGCACGATGGCCTGGCCACAGGCACCCACACAGCCCCTCCTGTGTCCCGTCTGCTTGTCCACTGTGACCTGGCCAGCACTCAGTGACCTTCCACAGGTCTTCCGCTCCATACAGCCCAGAGCTAAGAGCGAGTCAGGGGGTGAGGTGGGGGACCTGAGGAGATAAGACTCATTGCCAAGATGGAGAAGATTGGCCTGGCCCATGTGCCGGGATGGGGAGGCCCTGAGGGGCCGAGGCATGTGAGGTTGGAAAGAGCCACAGGGCAGCGTTTCCAGAACCAGGATGCAGTGCCCTGTGGTGTGCTGGGGAGACAGGACAGATGAAGGTGGCCACATCCTCACAGGGCCACAGTCCACTGGGAATAGACCAGGACACGAGCCACACCTCACAAGGTGCTTAGCCCCATCGGGGAGCATGGCCAGGCTGGAGAGGCCAGCTCCTTCCCGGACACTGCCAGATGGTTCTGGAAAATGTTGGAAACTGGATTTGCAGGTGGACTTCGCACCACGGTTTAAAGAGCAGGACACTGAAGTTCAGGGAGGCCAGTGATGTGCCCACTTGGCCAGAGTCACTTTTCTTGTGAACGTTCCTTCCTTCCAAGGCCCCTGATGCCCACTGTGTGGTAAGAACAACTTAATTAAACTATGTCTAAAAAAGCCCCAGCCTGGGCAACATGTGAGACCTCATCTCTACAAAAAACTTAAAAATTAGCTGGGCCCACGTGGTGGCATGCACCTGTATTTCCAGCTACTCGGGAGGCTGAGGCAGAAGGATGACTTGAGCCCAGAAATTTGAGGCTGCAGTGAGCTGAGATTGTGCCACTGTACTTTAGCCCAGGCAACAGAGCAAGACCTTGTATTTAAAAAAAAAAAAAAAAAAAAAATTCCCCAGACTTTGGTTTTCTGAAGATATTTGGTAAATTATAGCAATCATGTTTAAATGTATGGCTGAACTCGAAAGAACAGGCAGTCTCTAAGGGCAGAAAAAATGAAGCCTAAACTGAAACCAAAGAGGCAGACAAAGTATCAGTTGCTTTGAGGACAAAAGTCAATGCCAAACCCTGGATGTTTGTAGACTGAGAGATCGTGCAGATCAAGAGTGACAGAAAATCTCAGGACCCACTCTTGTCCAAGTTTCTCTTCCTACTAGAGGCACTGTGAAGGTAGGTAAGTGGAGGATGTGAAGGACCCTCAAAGAAAGGAGGGGTGGGTGGGAGACCTGCAGATCTTCAAAGGAAACCTGTTCTGAAAGGCCAGGCATCACCTGGGGACTAGAGCCACCGGCCTGCTCTCAAATGGATCTGGAGTGAGTCTACACTGTTCCCCATGAGTGGGGATCCCCAGGCCCTGACTGCAGTGAATGAAGAGTTTAAAAAAGTTGGGCACAGTGGCTCATGCTTGTAATCCCTGCTACTTGGGAAGCTAAGGCAGGAGGATGGCTTGAGCCCAGGAGTTTGAGGCTGCAGTAAGCTATGATCACACCACTGCACTCCAGCCTGGGCAACAGAGCCAGACCCTGTCTATAAGTAGTAATAATAATAATAATAATAGAAATAACAGAAATAAAATACCTAATCAAAAATTAATAAAATCTCTCAAGAAAATGAAACAAAACTGGCTCATGCCTATAATCCCAGCTATACTCAGGAGGCTGAGGTGGGAGAACCGCTTGAATCCGGGAGGCGGAGGTTGCAGTGAGCCGAGATCGTGCCACTGCACTCCAGCCTGGGAGACAGAGTGAGATGCTGTCTCAAAAAATAAAATAAAAAGAAAATGAGACAAAATAAAAATATCAGTGAGATGGAAGGCAGCAGAAAAAAAGAGAAAGGCAATTAGAGGTGTGCATTGATTCCGGAAGTCCAGTTCAAACAAGAGGAATTTTTAAAAGAATAAAGAAGATGAGGAGCAAATAAAACTTGAGACCAATATTACATTCAGATCAGAGTAAAATGTAGAAACAAAATTAAACAATGGAACAAATAAAACAGGCCCAGAGGGTTTTAGCAGAACCCTCAATCAGACATTCAGACATCTCTGCGGGCCATGGCGCAGGGCGCATGCCCCACCTGTTCTGCTGCAGCGCCTGGTCCAGCACCTCCTGCTTGTCCTTCAGCACCTGGTGCAGGTGCCGCATCTCCTGCCGGTACTGGGCTGTCTTGCCGGCGAAGTCCTCCTGCTGCTCCAGCAGACGGTGACTGATGTCCCCCAGCTTCAGTGCTGCCTGCTTCTTGTAGCCCTGGTCGGGGGAAGGACTCTGTGAATGAGGGGACGCTGCCAGGCCAGGGTGGACAGTGCCTCCTGGCTGTGCTCCCTACCCACTCCTTGTGTGTCAGAGCCTTTAAAATCTAGCAACCCCGGATAAGTTTGGTCTGGGATTGCAAGTCTGGATCATAAAAGTCATAAAAAGTGACAAAAGAATTTCAGGTACAATAAAACCAAATTTTAATGTATATAAAGCCTAGTTCTTTATATGCTATAAATAAATGAAAACATAAAATATCACCATTGGAAACAGCAGTTCATGCTTCTAATTTCAGCACTATTACAGGCTGAGGCAGGCGGATCACTTGAGGTCAGGAGTTCAAGACCAGCCTGGCCAACATGGTGAAACCCTGTCTCTATTAAAAATACAAAAATTAGCCAGGCGTTGTAGTGCATGCCTGTAGTCCCAGCTACTTGTGAGGCAGAGGTGGGAGGATAACTTGAACCTAGGAGGCGGAGGCTGCAGTGAGTGTGATCACGCCACTGCACTCTAGCCTGGGTGACACAGTGAGACCCTGTCTCAAAAAAAAAAAAAAAAAATTACCATCACAGAACAAACTGGATGTTCTTGCAAATTAATCTACAACTGTATTTTTTCCAGGACAACTCTTATCCCTGCATCAACTGGTAACCTAAGAACTAATGCTGCCACTGGTCAGCACTGTTTCACCTTGACAAGACAGCCTCATTGAAGAATCCAACAAGGGCTGTCACTCTCTGTCACCAAACAGACAGCTGAGATGAAAGCCCGCTATTTACTTTCCTTCTTTCGTTTTTACTGTATAGTACTGAAGGTTCTGAATTTTCCTGTGAGCATTTTTTTTCTTTTTTTTTGAGACGGCAGAGTCTTGCTCTGTGGCCCAGGCTGGAGTGCAGTGGCGCAATATCAGCTCACTGCAAGCTCCGCCTCCCGGGTTCACATCATTCTCCTGCCTCAGCCTCCTCAGTAGCTGGGATTACAGGTGCCCACCACCACACCTGGTTAATTTTTTTGTATTTTTTTTAATAGAGATGGGGTTTCACCATGTTAGCCAGGATGGTCTCAATCTCCTGACCTCGCGATCCGCCTGCCTCGGCCTCCCAAAGTGCTGGGATTACAGGCGTGAGACACCGCGCCCGGCCGAGCATTTCTAAAATTATTGTCACAGAGAGTCTGACATGTAGTCCCACAGACTCATTTTTTTATAAGAAGCTCTGACACTCAGTTTATACATTCTCTCTGACCCAAGAATTGTTTAGTGCACAGTTTTTACACTTCCAAGTGAAATAACTTTTTGTTTTTTGATTTTGCTTATTAATTTCTGTTTTTAATATTTGTGACCAACAAATGCTGGCCGGGTGCGGTGGCTCACGCCTGTAATCCCAGCACTTTGGAAAGTTGAGGCGGGCAGATCACCTGAGTTCAGGAGTTCGAGACCAGCCTGGTCAGGAGTTCCAGACCAGCCTGGCCAACATGGTGAAACCCTGTCTCTATTAAAAATACAAAAATCAGCTGGGCGTGGTGGCACATCTGTAATTCTAGCTACTGGGGAGGCTGAGGCAGGAGAATTGCTTGAACCTGGGAGGCAGAGGTTGCAGTGAGCCAAGATCACGCCACTGTACTCCAACCTGGGCGACAAAGTGAGACTCTGTCTAAAAACAAACAAACAAAAAACAAATGCCTACATTATTTCTACTTTAGGGATTTATTGAGGCTTTCTTTGTAGCCAAGCAATGATCAATTTTTGTGTCTTTTATATATATGTAAATATACCCTGTTGATTATGTTGTTAAATCTTCTATTTTCTTATTTTGTTTAACATCTTGATCAGTCTTGGATTAAGAGAGGTGGATTATAGCTCCTATTACCAAGTTTCCATTTTTCTTTGTATTTCCTGTAGTCTACACTTCATAAATTTGCTGCTGTGTTATTTAGCGCATAGATACTCACAATTACTATAGATGATGATGTAGACAGGATCTCACTATGTTGCCCAGGCTGGAGTGCAGTGGCTGTTAACAGACCTGATCATTCTGCACTACAGCCTCGAACTCTCAGACTCAACTCAAGTGATCCTCCTGCTCAGCCTCCTCTACAGGGACCCACACACCCAGCTCATACTATATATTATTAACTGTAGTCTTTTAGTATTATAAAAATCTCCCCCTTTTTTTTGGTGTCATTTAGTGCTTTTGGTCTGAATTCTATCTTGGCATATGTTAAGATTTCGACCTTTACTTTCTTTGTGTTTGCAGAAATCTGGGTTATCTCTACCCATCCTTTCAATTTAAATCCTTCATGAATACTTTGTTTTAGGTTGGCTCTTGGGTCTAGTGTGGAATAGCATTTTGCTTTATGAGCCAATCCAAAAAATATTGTTTTCCCTAATAGGTGAATTAAGCTAATTTACATTTACCTATAGGACACATTTCTTTGGTCTCAATTTTGTTATTTTATGTTTGGTTGTTTTATGTACATATTTTTAAAAGATTTTAAACTAATATAGTCTTTTTCTTTGCTTTTTTGCTGTTATAATTCTACCATTTAAAAAAATTAAAACAATTTTTTTTAGAAACAGGATCCTGCTCCATGCTCTGTCCCTCAGGCTGGAGTGCAGTGGTGTGATCATAGCTCACTACAGCTTTAAACTCCTGGGCTCAAGATCCTCCTGCAGAGTTGGGAGTACAGGCGCTGGCTATCAAGCCCGGCTAATTTTAAACTTTTTTTTAGAGATGGGGTCTCTATGTTGCCCAGGCTGATCTTGAACTCCTGGTCTCAAGCGATCCTACTACTTCAGCCTCCTGAGGAGCTGGGATTATAGGCACGTGCCACTCTGCCCAGCTCTAATTCCACTATTTAGGAATAAAGCTCGATTCTTGTAGTTGGCTTTATTCTTACGCCTTTATATTACATGTTCTTAGTCCCCTGTTTTTAGATCGTATCCATTGGTTCCCTAACAAAAGTAACAATACATTAGCTCATGACAACGTTTTCTTCACTTTTCCCCTCCTTCTGTTCACCTGCTTAAGTATGCTTAAGCTCGTACCACTTGGTTTTTCAGCTTTAATGATATCCCTTGACTCTTATTACCTACGAAGAAATCAGCAAGTGCAATCTACTTTCTACCTTCCTTCCCCCTTTGCCCATCAGTTTCCTTGGTTGTATTATTACTACATTGTCAGAAAACATTTACATACAATTCTATCAGCCTTATTCCCGCTCTAAGTCTTATTTTACAGTTAAATATATTCTTCGCTCACTACAAGTTAATTTTGCCGAAGTTTCCCCAATTAACTCTTGGTTGGCAGGACTCATTGTTGAGACAGGGTCTTGCTCTGTTGCCCAGGCTAGAGTGCAGAGGCACGAACATAGCTCACTGCAGCCTCAAACTCCTGGGCTCAATCAATCCTCCCACCTCAGCCTCCCGAGTAGCTGGGACTACAGGCATGTGCCACCAAGCCTGGCTAATTGCTGTATTTTTTGTAGAGACTGGGGTCTCCCTATGTTGCCCAGGCTGGTCTCAGACTCCTGGGCTCAAGTGATCTGCCTGCCTTGGCCTCCCAAAGTGCTTGGATTACAGGCATGAGTCACTGTGCCTGGCCATTTTCTTTATCTTAAAGTCGTATGTCTTGGTGTCAATTTTCTGGGTCCATTCTGTGTCAGTTTTCCCTAGGTACATAATGTGCCCTTTCAGGACATAGATTCAAGTCTTCTTTTATTTCAGAAAGGTTTTTATGAGTTACAGTTTAGAGCAGAATAAGCCACTGTTTTGGTTTCTTCTTTGGAGGCTCTAGAAGTCAGTCTCTTAGATCTCCATCACTGTCCACCGAATCCTTTGCACATCTCCATTTCCACTTTCCTGTCTGTCTTTCTCGGTTCTAGCTGCATATCCCTTATTGCGCTGTTATGACATCTGTCTCCATAGAATTCAGACTGCATTTCTTAAACCGCTTCTCTGTCCCTTCTATTTCTTCCCTGGGTCATGTCAGTTCCCTCCCACACCCTCCTAGGCCTTGCTGCCTCTTCCTGAGGTCCTGTGTCTGCTCTGTGACATTTCTTCCTGGCTCTGACTGCCTCCTGAAGTCCTGTCTCTCCAGCTATCTCCAGCTCTCTAGCCAGCTACCTAGTGGTTCACTTTGGAGTATAGTTTTGATCTCCTTTGCGGCAACACTTTTCCTGGTAAGTTTTCAGCAGTTTCCGTCAGTAGGAACTTATGCTTCTATTTTTCTTCCTTTTCCTTAAACTGCTTTTATATGAAGGCCTCTGAATTCCTCTGGAATGAGAGGAGGTTCCTGGGAGGGTGGGAGCGACAGTTGGGCCAGAGTGTCCTTCCAGACTTCCCATGTTCCCACCACCCTCCACCTCGCAGCCCCATCTCCCACTCTCTGAATTCAGCCTGGTTTGGAGGGGCTTCTGCCTGCATCCCTCAGTTCCCAGATCTCGTCACAGCCCCGGATTTCCAAGGTGATGTCCTCCCTTTGAAGAGTGATATTTTGCAGGGATTTCCTGAAATGTCACCTCTGATTTCTCAAGCCTTTTCTCTTCATTCCCCCCGAGGCCCTGGCCTGTCTACCTTGGGGCCTGCTCACAGGTGTCTCCTCCGGGTGAGCCGGTTTTACTATTCCTGTTCAGATAAATGGTAACGCTATGGATTCCCCAAGCAAGGCCAACTACTCCGAGGATCACTCCTTCTCTTTTGGAAGTAAAAAGCAGGAAAATTAGAAAAAAAGAAAGAAAGAGAGAAAAGAAAAACCCCACAGGGGGATTTTAAATTACTCAATACTTCCATGCCGAGTCCCCTCATAAACAGCATGGCATAGCCCCTTCCCTTTCAGCCTTTCTTTTTTTTTTTTTCTTAAAGAGACAGGGTCCCTGCCAGGTGAGGTGGCTCATGTCTGTAATCCCAGCACTTTGGGAGGGCCGAGTCAGGCAGATCACTTGAGCTCAGAAGTTCAAGACCACCCTGGGCAACATAGCAAGACCTCATCTCTAAACAAAAAAAAAAAATACAAAAAAAAAAAAATAGCCAGACACCATGGTGCTTGCCTGTAGTCCCAGCTACTTGGGAGGCTGAGGCAGGAGGATCCACTGAGCCCGGGAGTTCGAGGCTGCAGTGAGCCATTGTCATGTCACTGCACTCCAGCCTGGATGACAGAGTGAGATCCTGTCTCTCCTTTTATTGGTGTTTTGTTTTGTTTTGGTTTTGGTTTTTTTTTGAGACAGGGTCTCACTCTGTCACCCAGGCTGGAGTACAGTGGTGTGACCTCGGCTCACCACAGCCTTGAACTCCTGGGCTCAATGGAGCCTCCCCCATCAGCCTCGAGAGAAGCTGAGACTACAGGCAAGCACCACCATGCCTGGCTAACTTTTTAAATTTTTTGTAGAGATTGGGGTCTTGCTATGTTACCAGACTGGTCTCAAACTCTCGACCTCAAGCGATCCTCCTGGCTGGGCCTCCTGAGTCACTGAGATTACAGCGTGAGCCACTGTGCCTTGCTTCATATCCTTTTTTCTTAAACAGCTATGCAGTATTTTATTGTGTGAATGAACCAAAGTTTATTGAATGAGGTGAGAGGTGCTATTCTGCCAGCAAAACCTTACAATACTTTTACTCTGTGGACTATTAGTGATGCACATGCAAAAGGTGTCATTTTCTTAAACACAAAAATCCACAGCAGTGAGCCTGCATTCCCATCTGAAAATGAAATCTCTGAGGCCAAATAACCACTTACCTTGACTTTTTCCTCTAACTTTCCCAGGCGAATGTTGCTTTTTATGACTTTATTAAGCACTCCATCCTTCTCACTTTCTAAACATTTTGCCTAGGGAGAAGGGTGATAAATGGGCTCTCAGTTTTACAGAAAAATTGAAATAACAAACAATTATTTTGCAAAGAGTGTTACTGCTACTGCTCACAATCTTCATTCTGCAACCTGTCCTGCCTCAACCCCTTCCCCACCCACTGTGTGAGGGCCTGGGCCTCAGGCCAACAGTTGAGGATGGGCAGGAACAGGGCATGTGGGGTGCCCTGCTCGACACAAAGAGAAGAATTCCAGCCCCACAGACCAGGGGAACGGGAGAGGCTGCAAAGGTTTCCAGAATGCATCTCTACTCTTATGGAATCTATCTTTCCTTCAATCGCATCCAAGGAATAAGTGCCAAGAGGCCAATCAACTCATAACTTGACTCATTTGAACAATTTCAAAATTAAGGATAACATAATATGAATGCACAATGCCGTTTCTCCAAGCCATACATGAAAGGCAATACATCCAGCAGAGATGACATCATTTGAAGTCGAATGATTTAAACTAATATCCAGGTTGGACGTGACCTGCTACATTCTATAAATTAACTATTTCAGATGCTAAAATAAAATAAGTAATGGTGAGCATTCTTTCCAAGGTAGGCTAGTGGTGACAAGTTTGATTTTCCAGAAGGAAAGCTAAGTCACAGAGAAATTGCTCCAGGTCACATGGAAAATCCACCCTAGAAGCAGGATTTAAAAAGATCTCAGGCCAGGCTTGGTGGTGTGCACCTGTAGTCTCAGCTACTCAAGAGGCTGAGGCACGAGAATGGCTTGAACCCAGGAGGCGGAGGTTGCAGGGAGCTGAGATCGCGCCACCGCACTCCAGCCTGGGCAACATAGCGAGATTCTGTCTCAAAAAAAAAAAAAGATCTCAGTACCTAAGACTATTGTGTCTCCCACAAAAATGTAATAAATGCAAGATGGTGCAGTCATACTTGGGGAAACTGAAAGTGATTTTTGTTTTTTCTTTTTGTTTTATTTATTTATTTATTTATTTTTGAGACAAAGTCTCGCTCTGTCACCCAGGCTGGAGTGCAGTGGTGCGATCTCAGCTCACTGCAACCTCCACCTCCTGGGCTCAAGAGATTCTCCTGCCTCAACCTCCTGGGTAGCTAGGACTACAGGCACGCGCCACCATGCCCAGCTAATTTGGGGAAACCGAAAGTGATTTGTAGCCAGAGGTCATCAGCAGAAACTTCCCAAGGCAGAGTGGAGTCCTCCCACTGTTGGTGTATGTACAGGGTTGGGTAAGGGCTCTCACGAGCTCCTGGAGACCAGGATGGGGTAGGGCAGGAGTACGTGGCTCAGTCCTAGGACAGGGCAGAGACTGGCAGAGCAGCCACTAACACCCCTGGACCTGGCTAGAGGGGCTGGCCTAGGCACTCCCAGGGTCAAGGGGCCTGCAAGGCTGTAGGGATGTGTCCACTCCAGACCTGGCTACAGAGGACCAAGAGCCCTGCCCAGACATCCTGGCAGCTCCCATGCCTCTCCCTGCATGGATAGCGGGTGTCTGCTTGGACACAAAAGTCCCTGGTGACAGGTGGAGCCAGGATGGAAGAAAGCAGCTCTCCCACACCCTACATTTCCGCTTTGACTCTGAGGGGCCTGAGGATTCTAAACTTGACAGCCAGGCCATGATAAAGGTCAAGGCAGGAGAAGGGAACACATTTTACTAACAGTTTGTTGGCTCAACAAGTAACTTTTAAATATCTGGAGACAGTCAGTGGCCTCCATTTGTATTTCCATCCTGGGCCCACAAATATTGGGGGTGGGCCGAGAGGAGAGTGTCTGAGGGTCTGGGAGGATCCTGACTTCGTTGTGGAAGCCTGTGATACTCCCTGGCCCATGGGAGAGGCATGGGGCCTGCACCCCAGGGACCGGGATTCCCTGCACGTCCTGCCCTACAAACAAGACGGCTTTGCGTTTACAGTGGCCTCAACATGTGGCGGGCAGGTTCCCAGGAAATCTCTGGATGAAAGGGTTTGTTCGGCCCTTTAGATTTTTCAGCAAGCTTTCTCTTGCCCTCTCCATGTCCCGGTGAGGAAGGCCAGCACACACAGCAGCAGAAGGGAAAATGGGCACTTAATGCTACCACAGAGAGTGCCAGGGTTCAGCTGCCTTTCAGAGGGGCAGCGCTGGGCCAGACACTTGAGTGCCTTCAAGGCTCCATCCATGCTGTGTCAAAGTCAAATTGCTTTCTGGAAGGCTCTGGAAAGGACTCAGAAGTCACCAGTAAAGTATGGCCAGACTGACCACACTCTTATCAGCAATTATTGTAATTTAAAAAACTGTTTTCAGCCGGGCACGGTGGTTCACGCCTGTAATCCCAGCACTTTGGGAGGCTGAGGTGCACAAAGTCAGGAGATCGAGACCATCCTGGCTAACATGGTGAAATCCCGTCTCTACCTAAACTACAAAAAAATTAGCCAGGTGTGGTGGCATGCGCCTATAGTCCCAGCTACTCAGGAGGCTGAGGCAGGAGAATCACTTGAACCCAGGAGGCGGAGGTTGCAGTGAGCCAAGATTGTGCCACTGCACTTCAGCCTGGGTGACACAGCGAGACTCCATCTCAAAAACCAAACAAACAAACAAACAAAAACCTGTTTTCAGGAGGAAGGCTCAGGGTGGCTGGCTGGAGGCACAGGATGTCAGACTCCTCCACACAGGAGAACCAAAACAGGAGTCAGTCATCGCACGGAGAACATCTAACGGAGACCACGGGAACTCGACAGGGGAGGGCTGGGCGGCACCCGCGCAATGAAGGAGAGGGAGACGACAGCCCAGACAGGATGGGTCTTGGTCGGGAGCCTGGAGAGGCTCCCCTGTGTCGGGAAAGGGTGAGAGATCCCCAGGGGTCCACATTCTCACCACACACTCCTGTGATCCCAGCCCCAGGGGAGCCCCTCAACCCCTGCAGGCCCTGAGACTGGTGCAGGGAGCTCCCTGGAGTCTGTGTGACCCCACTGCTCCAGAGCGGGGGCTCACGCTGGGTCCCACACTGACCCAGGTTCCAGGTAGCTGCAGCACAGTGGCATCATTTTGAGAGTCCAGCCCCCACCAGACTACATCCTGCCCTGGGACCCAGCAGCCCCTGCATCTCCACATCCCTGGAGCGCCACGGACATCTCCCCACATGCACCCGGAAGGCTGCAGCGGCGAGGCACCAGGTGGACCCAGTGGAGCAGCGGGTCCCCAGCACTCTACCCTACAGTGTCCTGCATACCCAGAAGAGTGTGGTGCAGTGCACTGAAGAGGCTGCCCATGAGAGCAAGGGAGCCGAAGCAAGTGCTCCCCAATCCTGAAACCTGCCTGGCTGGGGCCCCTGTCACTAACAGCAACCCCACCCCCTCCAGCCGCAGAGCCCTGCGCACGTGCATGTGCCCTGAAGACAGGCTTCCCCTGCCCAATGCCTCCATTGCCAAAGCAACCCAAGCACACCACCCAGGGCCTGGGGATCACCCCATCCTCTTCACCACAGCCTGCAGGGAGTGTCCCACCATGTTGGTTGCCCCAGGCACACACACAAACACACACACACACACACATACACCAATACAAAAAATTAGAATAAGTGACTGTTACACTTGATTTGCAGAAATCAATGAAAGGACATAATAAACATGACAAAGCAAGGCAATATGACACCTCCAAAGGAACATAATAATTCTCCAACAGCAGATTCCAACAACAACAAAAAGAAATTTATGAAATGCCTGAAAAAGAATTAAAAATAATGATATTAAAGAAGCTCAGTAAAATATAACAGAACACAAATAAACACTATAAAGAAATCAGAAAAACAATTCAGGATATGAATGAGGAATTCATCGAAGAGACAGATATAAAAAAGAACTAAACAGAAATCCTGGAACTGAAGAATTCAATGAATAAAATAAAAAATACAATTGAGAGCTTCAGTGATAGACTAGATCAAGCAGGAGAAAGAATTTCTTTTGCTTTTTAAATACTCAGTGAGATGAAAGAGAGAGAGAGAGAAAGAGAGAGAGAAACAGAGAGAGAGAGAGAAAAGGAGCAAAAGAAAGAGAGAAAAATTAAAAAAAAAAATGAAGCATGCCTTCTGGTGTTCCAAGGGGTGAAAAGAAGTTTAATGGCATAAAAAACCTACTCAACAAAATAAGTTGAAAACTTCCCAAGTCTAGCAAGAGATTTCGAAATCCAGATATAGGAAGCTCAGGTTCCCAAAAAGGTCTTCTCCCGACGACATTATAGTCAAACTGTCAGAAGTCAAATACAGAATTCTAAATATATATATATATATTTAGACATACATATATTTAGACATATATATTTAGACATATATATATTTAGACATACATATATTTAGACATATATATTTAGAATATATATTTAGACATATATATATATATATATATATATATATATATATATATATGTCTAGTTACATATAAGGAACTCTCATAAGACTAACAGCGTATTTCTTTCTTTTTTCTTTTTCCTTTTTTTTTCTTTTTGAGATGGAGTCTCACTCTGTTGCCCAGGCTGGAGTGCAGTGGCACTATCTCAGCTCACTGTAGCCTCTGCCTCCTGGGTTCAAGCAATTCTCTGGCCTTAGCCCCCAAAGTAGCTGGGATTACAGGCATGTGCACCACCACAACCAGCTAATTTTTGCATTTTTAGTGGAGATAGGGTTTCGCCATGTTGGCCGGGCTGGTCTTGAACTCCTGACCTCAGATGATCTGCCTGCCTCAGCCTCCCAAAGTGCTGGGATTACAGGTGTGAGCCACTGTGCCCAGCTAATAGTGTATTTCTCAGAAGAAACCTTACAGGCCAGGAGAGAATGAGACGATATATTCAAAGGGCTAAAAGAAAAAAAAAAAAAAAAAACCTGTCAGCCAGCCAAGAATACTATACCCAGCAAAGTTATCCTTCATAAATGAAGGAGTAAAGACTTACAGATAAGCAAACACTGAGAGAATCTGTCACCACTAGACCCATCCTACATGAAATGCTTAAGGGAATCCTACACCTGGAATTGAAAGGACGATATCTACTATCATGAAAACACATGAAATGATAAAACTAACTAGTAGAGCAAGCACACAAATGAGGAAGAGAAGGAACTCAAATGTTATCACTATAGAATAATAAGATAAATAAGAGGAAAAATGATACACAAAACAACCAGAAAACAATCAACAAAATGATAGGAGTAAGTCCTCGCATATCAATAGTAACCTTGAATGTAAATTAATTAAATTTTCCACTTAAAAGATACAGACTGGCTGAATGGATATCAGAAAAAAAAAACACGATTCAACTATGTGCTGCCTACAAGAAACACATTTCACTTGTAAAGATCCATACAGACTGAAAGTAAAGGGATAAAAAAATATTCCATGCAACTGGAAACCAAAAGCAAGCAGGAGTAGCTATACTTGCATGAAATAAAACAAACTTTAAGTCAAAAACTGCGTAAAGAAGGTAATATTATAATAATAAAGGGATAAATTCAATAAGAGGACATATACTCTAAACATATATGCACCCAACACCACAGCATCCAGGTATATAAAGCAAATATTATTAGATCTAAAAGGGGAGATAGACTACAATACAATAATAGTTGGGGACTTCAACACCCTACTCTCAGCAATCAGATCATCAAGACAGAAAACTAACAAAGAAACATTGAATTTAACTGCACTTTAGACAAAATGACCTAATAGACATTTACAAAACATTTCATCCAGTAACGGCAGAATACACATTCTTATCAGATATAGAACATTGTCTAGCATACACTGTGTGTTACGCTACAAAGCAAGCTCAACAAATTTAAAAATACTGACATCATGTCAAGTATCTTCTCAGACCATGGTAGACTAAAACTAGAAAGCAATAACAAGAGGAACTTTGGAAACTGTACAAACATATGAAAATTAAACAACATGTTCCTTAACAATGATTGGGTCAATGAAGAAATTAAGAAGGGTATCAAAAATTTCTTGAAACAAATGAAAACTGAAACACAACATACCAAACACAACATACCAAAACCTATGGGATACAGCAAAAGCAATGCTAAGAGGGAAGTTTATAGCAATAAATGCCTGCATCACAAAAGTGGAAAGATTTCAAATAAACAACCTAATGATGTACCTCAAGGAACTAGATAAACAAGAACAAACAGAACCCAAAATTAGTAGAAAGAAAGAAAAAACAAAGATCAGAGCAGAACTAAGTGAGGCAGGGTGAAACGTTCTTATAGTCCCAGTGACGCAGGAGGCAGGAGGATTGCTTGAATCCAGATGTTCAAGGTTAGCCTGGGCAACATAGTGAAAATCCACTGCTAACAAACTGAAAACCTAGAGAAAATGGATACATTTCTGGACAACATACAACCTACAGAGGCAGGATAAGTAAAGTTATGAGACCATACTGACTTGTCCCCTTTAGTGAAGCCCCACATGCTCCTTTCTCAGTGGGCTCCTTTCATGTGCGCCCTTGTATGTCAGCACCTAACTTATCTTAGCAAGATAAGTAGTCCCACAGGATCCCAGCCAACTACCAGGTGGTTACACGTTCCTGATACCCAATATGGCCTAGGAAAAAGAACAAAAATCCCTTAATCGTAATGTAGCTTCCCCAATCTCCAGCCAATCAACACCAAAAGCCCAAGAAGCTATTAACTACCAATTCCTGCCTGGGCAGGGCTAAAGATATCTCCAGGGTCCTGCATGTACAGCTAGGCACAAGGTTTAGCTTACAGTGAGCTTTTCCTCATTTTAATAGTAAAAAACACACCCTAGGTGGAGGTTTTATATGCTAATTATACATGTGATACATGTTAGAGCATGTACATGCTGAGTGCATGCACCAACCATAGTTCCACCTTTCACACTTGACCTCACCAATACTTTATGAATATGCATGCACAGCTCCTGTAAAGGGCATCCCCTTAAAATATTAGGGTCTGTCTCTTACTCTGTCTCTCAGAGTGACTTCTGCTATGCAATAGACTTCTTCACCTGCTCTTACTTTGGACTAGCTCTCAAATTCTTTTGTGAAGTCAAGAACCTGAACTGGCCCATTGACAACACTACCAAGATTGAATTAGGAAGAAATAGAAAACTTGAACAGACCATTAACAAATAATGAGATTGAATCATTAATAAAAAGTTTCCCAACAAAGAAAAGTCCAGGACCAGATGGTTTTTCTGCCAAATTCTACAAACCTTACAAAGAAGAACTAATACAAATTCTCCTCAAACTATTCCAAAAAAATTTAAGAGGAAGGAATTCTCTCTAATTCTTTCAGGCCAGCAATACCCTGCTACCAAAACCAGACAAGGCCACAATAAAAAAAGAAACCTACAGGCCAATATCCCTAATGAACACAGATGCAAAATCCTCAACAAAATACTAGCAAACCAAATTCAACAGTACATCAAAAAAATAATATGCCATGATCAAGTGGGATCAAGAGATGCAAAGACAGTTCAACATACACAAATCAATAAACATCATAGATCACATCAGCAGAATGAAGGATAAAAACCATATGAGCACACCAATGGAAACAGAAAAAAATTGGATAAAAATTCAACATCCTTCGTGATAAAAACACTTAATAAACTAGACATAGAAGGAACATACCTAACATAATAAAGGCCATATATGACAAACCCACAGCTAACATCATACCGAGTAGGGGAAAGCAAAAAGCCTTTCCTCTCAGAACTGAAACTAGTTAAGGATGACTACTTTCACCACTCTTATTCAGCACAGTACTGGAAGTCCTAGCAAGAGCAGTCAGGCAAGAGAAAGAAATAAAAGTCATCCAAATTAGAAAAGAGAAAGTCAAATTTTTTCTCTTTGCCAATGACATGATCTTATATTTAGAAAAAACTAGACTTCACCAAACGACTCTTAGATCTGATAAAAAAAAAAAAAGTTTAGTAAAGTTGCAGAATACAAAATCAATGTATAAAGATCAGTAGTGTTTCTATACACCAATAATGAATTCCCTGAAAAAGAAATCAAGAAAGCAATCCCATTTACAATAGCTACAAAAAAATACCTAGAAATAAATTTAACCAAAGAAGTTAAAGATTTCTACAAGGAAAGCTACAAACACTGATGAAAGACAATGAAGCTGATTCAAACTAATGGAAAGACATCCCATGATCATGGATGCGAAGAATTAACATCATTAAAATGACCAGACTCCCCAAAGCAATCAGCAGATTCAGTGCAATCCCTATCAGAACATCAATGACGTTTTTCACAGAAATAGAATAAACAATCCTACTTTATACATATGGAACCAAAAAGGAGCCTGAAAAGGCAAATCAGTCCTGAGCAAAAAGAACAAAGCTGAAGGTATTACCCTACCTAACTTCAAAATACATTACAAGGCTATAGTAACCAAAATAGCACAGTATCAGTACAAAATCAGACACATTGGCCAGTGGAACAGAATAAAGCACCAAGAAACGAGCCCACATATTTACTGCCAACTGCTTTTCAACAAAGGCACCAAGAACATACGCTGGGGAAAGGGCACCCTCTTCAATACATGGTGCTGGGAAAATTGGATATCCATATACAGAAAAATGAAATTAGATCTCTATTTCTCATCATATGCAAAAAATCCACTCACAATGGTTTAAAGACTTAAATCTAAGACCTGAAACTATAAAACTACTAGAAGAAAACATAGAGGAAGCACTCTAGGACTTTAGACAAAAATTTCATGGCTAAGACCCCAAAAGCACAGGCAACAAAAACAAAAATAGACAAATGGAACTATATTAAACTAAAAAGCTTCTGTACAGCAAAGGAAACAATCAATAGAATGAAGAGACAACCTGTTGAATGAGACAAAATATTTGCAAAATATTCATTCAACAAGAGGCTAATACCCAGGATATACAAGGAACTCAGTTCTCTCTGTCTCTCTCTCTCTCTTTTTTTTTTTAAGGAACACAACTCTTAATAGCAAACAAACAAACAAACAAAACCAATCCCATTAAAAAGTGGGCAAAGAATCTAAATAGACATTCCCCAAAAGCAGACATACAAATGGGCAACAGGCATATGAAAAAAATGCTCAACACCACAAATCATCACAGAAATGCAAATCAAAACCACAATGAGATATCATCTTACTCCAGTTAGAATGGCTATCATTAAAAAGACAAAAAATAACAGAGGCTGATGTCAACCTAAAATAATCAAAAGGGTGAGACTCTAGTTTAAAGAGAGTTTATTCAAGCACAAAGTTTGAGGACAGGCCACCCAGGAAGTAGATTCCAAAGAACAGAAGTCTGTGTTCTGAAGTGCACAAGTTTGGGATCGCTAATAGGACCACATGTAGGAAAGCTTAACAGAATTTCAGTGTCTTTCTATGTAAGACTGAATGCATAGTTACAACAATCTAATTAGTTGAGGCAGTCTTTTTCTTTCAGGAAAGGTATATTTAACATTCCACATTGAAGATATAACAGTCATGGGGTCATGGGTGCCATCTGGTCTTAGGTAGAAGAACAATAAAGGAAGCAAGCAGTTCATCTTTATAGATAGATGAGTGACTGGAAGGAGGAGAAGGTCTGGTCTCTGGTTTCTCCTAGTCATTTACAAAACAACAGCAATGAGGAAGAGAACTAACCTATAAGAAGCAGAATAGCCAACAAGCTACATTGCTCAGTCTCCAGGGCTTAACTTCCCCCTTTGCATAATACATTTAGAGGGTCCTGAAATTTTTTTTCTTTTCTTTTTTAAAATTGAGACAGGGTCTTGTTCTATCACCCAGGCTGGAGTACAGTGGAATGATCGACCTCCTAGGCTTAAGTGATCCTCCTTCCTCAGCCTCCTGAGTAGCTGAAACCACAGGCATGCACCACTATGCCTGGCTAAGTTTTTCGTTATTTGTAGAGACAGGTTCTCCCTATCTTGCCCATGCTGGTCTCAAACTCCTGGACCCAAGTGATCCTCCCACCTCAGTTTCTCAAAGTACTGGAATTACAGGAGTGAGCCACCATGCCTGGCCTGAAATTTTACTTTATTTTATTACACTGATGAGGATGTGGAGAAAAGGGAACTTTCATACACTGTTGGTGGGAATGTAAATTAGTACAGCCATTATGGAAAACAGTGTGGAGGTTCCTCAACAAACTAAAAACAATTACCATATGATCCAGCAATCCAACTGCTGGGTATTTATTCACAGGCAAGGAAATCAGTATATCAAAGGGATATCTACACCCCCATGTTTATTGCTGCACAATTCACAGTAGCAAAGATATGAAATGAACCTAAGTGTCCATCAATGGACAAACAGATAAAGAAAATATGCTCTATTTACACAATGAAATATTATTTGGCCATATAAAAGAACAAAACCATGTCATCTACAGCAACATGGATGGAACTGGAGGCCATTACGTTAAGTAAAATAAGCCAGACCTAGAAAGATAAATATGGCATGTACTCATTCATATGTGGGGGCTAAAAAAGTTGACCTCATGGAGGTGGAGATTATAATGATAGCTACCAGAGGCTAGGATGCATGTGGGTATGGGTGTGTTTGTGGGGGGCTGGGGGGCAGGTGGCTGAATGAAGAGAGGTTGCTTAATAGGTATAAGCATACAGTTAGATAGACGAAATAAGTTATCATGTTCGACAGCAGAGTAGGTTGACTAAAGTTAACAACAAAGTATTGTATATTTCAATATAGCTAGCAATGAGGACTTGAAATATTCTCCACACCCAGAAATGATAAATGCTCAGCTGGGTGTGGTGGCTCACACCTGTAATCCCAGCACTCTGGGAGGCCGAGGTGGGCAGATCTCTTGAGGCCAGGAATTCAAGACCAGCCTGGCCAATGTGGCAAAACCTTGTCTCTAGTAAAAATACAAAACCTAGCCAGGTGTGGTGGCATGCACCTGTAGTCCCAGCTACTCGGGAGGCTGAGGCACAAAAATGTCTTGAACCCAGGAAGCGGAGGTTGCAGTGAGCCGAGATCACGCCACTGCACTCCAGCCTGGGTGACAGCGTGAGACTCCATCTTAAAAAAAAAAAAAAAAAAAAGATAAATGCTTGTGGTGATGGATAGCCCAAATACCTGACTTAATTGTTACACATTCTATGCACATTACAAAATATCACATGTACCCCCACATGTGCATGTAAATATATTTAAAATATTTTTTAAAATGTAAAAATATTATGCATTAATAAAAAGATACAATTGTTTAAAAAGAAAAAAATGTTTTGTAACATTTTTTGAGAATGGTATCTCAAGACTGGTTTAATTAGCATTTTTTTTTTTTTTTTAGGGACAGGGTCTTTCTCTGTCTACCAGGCTGCAGTGCAGTAGTACAGTCATAGCTCACTGCAGCCTTCAACTCCCACACTCAAATGAACCTCCTACCTGAGTTTCCTGAGTAGCTGAGACTACAGGTGCATGCCACCATGCCTGGCTAATTTTTAAATTTTTTTTTGTAGAGATGGGTTCTCACTATGTTACCCAGACTGGTCTTGAATTCCTGGGCTCAAATGATCCTCCTGCCTCAGCTTCCTGAGTAGCTGGGACTACAGGCACACAGCACCATGCCAGGGTAATACAGTTGAAATTTTAAAATACAGATGGTTCTAGACTTACAACAGGGCTACATCCTGATAAACCCATCATAAATTGAACAAACTGTATATCAAAAATGCATTTAATCCTGGCAATACAGCAGATGGTTCCCAACTTATGATGGTTCAATCTACATTTTTTAAGCTTTATAATGGTGTAAAAGCAATGGGCATTCAGTATCAATGGTAACTTCATTATGAGTTGTAAGGAGTTCCTCAATTTATAATAAGATTACTTCCCAATAAATACATCATAAAGTCGAAAATTCCTAGGTGGAACCATCCATCGTAAGTCAGGGAATGCCTGGATAAAGCTTTTAATAGATCATTTTTTAAAATACTCTTAAAATCACATTTGCATATTAACTCGCAGTTTACTTGATGTAACCTTCAGGAAACTTACCAAACACATAAGACTGTCACGTTCCTGGGTTATGTTTTCTGCCAGGCCAACAAGGTTTGCCAGGTACTGATGAGCAGACATTTCGTTCCCCATGGCTTTTTCCACCTGCTTTTTGAGGACCTCAATTTTCTTTTGAGATTTCCTAGAGAGTTACCCCAAATGGTAGAATAAAAAGCCCATTAGTTTACATGGCTAGGGCATGGTGAATATCTGTATTACAAAAACAGCAAGTATGTTAGCATTTAAATGCTATTCTTCAGCAACCTAAATCTTCTATTAAGTTTCAAGGTGAGAAGAGGTAACTGAATTTAATTTGAAACCAAGCATAATTAGTGACCCCAACTCAAGTGAATAAGAGGAGTTGCAAATGTCTAACAATGAATAGGTTCATTTTTTTTTTTTTTTTTGAGACACAGTCTTGCTCTGTCACCCAGGCTGGAGTGCGGTGGCATGATCATGGCTCACTGTAACCTCCGCCTCTCAGGTTCAAGTGATTCTCATGCCTCAGCCTCCTGAGTAGTTGGGATTAGAGGCATGCGCCACCACACGCAGCTAATTTTCTGTATATATACATATATATATTTTTTTAAGTAGCCAGGGCTTCTCTATGTTGGCCAGGCTGGTCTTGAACTCCTGACCTCAAGTGACCTGCCCATCTCAGCCTTACAAAGTGCTGGGATTACAGGTGTGAGCCACCACACCTGGCCCATAGGCTCATTAAGTATTATTCTATTAACTTTCTGGCTTATGTTCTAAAAGGCACTTTCGAAAAAAAGATCCAGAAATTCCAAAGTAGACTTTTAGGAAATGGTTAGAAAAGAGCTCCTAGAACTTTGAATCTTAGGGTTATCAATATGACCATCAACCATATTTCAATTATAGACTTTAGAAATGTTGGTTAACATTGGTTAACAGCAACAATACTTATTATAATCTGATATCCAGTAATTTCAATTACCCTTTTCCATTTTATAGCCACTATTAGAAAAAGAAAAGATTAAAAGAAATGAAATGGAATATTCTTCATTTGTCTTTTTTTTTTTTTTTGAGACAGGGTCTCACTCTGTTGCCCAGGCTGGAGTGCAGTGGCGTGATCTCGGCTCACCGCAACCTCTGCCTCCCAGGCTCAAATGATTCTCCTGCCTCAGCCTCCCGAGTAGCTGGGACTACAGGTGCGTGCCACTACCGCCTGGCTAATTTTTGTATTTTTAGTAGAGACGGGGTTTTGCCATGTTGGCCAGGCTGGTCTTGAACTTCTGACCTCAAATGATCGCCTGCCTCAGCCTCCCAAAGTGCTGGGATTACAGGAGTGAGCCACTGTACCCAGACCATTTGTCTTTTTTAACTATTGAAAATAAAAGCAACTTAAAGGAAAAAAAGACACAAACCTATTGATTTTCTGTGCTCGTTCAAGTTCGGCTTCCAGTGCTTTGTTTTGCTCTGTCAAACTGTTCTTCTCTAACAGCAGGCTCTTCTTCTGCGCTTGCAGGACTGTCAGCTTCTCCATCAACTCCTCCATCTCAGCCCTTTCTTTCTCTTCTTCCTTCTGTAATTGGCTGAAGGACAAAAACATTACATGCTCGTATCCAGCACAATGAAGCTAAAATGGGGCAGTCACATAACGAGGAAGATGAGTGATAACAGCCCAGCCCTCCAGCCCCTGGGTGGGTCACTTGGAATGCCTCTGTGGAAACATCTCCCCATCCTGGGCCCTAGAGGACCTGGGACCAAGCTGCTAGACCACCGGAGAGAGGGTGTGGCTGGGCACACACTACGTGTGTGTCTGTGTGAGACAGGGTCTCACTCTGTTGCCCAGGCTGGAGTGCAGTGGCACAATCATGGCTCACTGCAGCTTCGAACTTCTGGACTCAAGCAATCCTCCTACCTCAGCCTCCCAAGTTGCTGGGACCACAGGCACACATGATACCTGGCTAATTTTTGTATTTTTTGTAAAGATGAAGTCTCACTATGTTGCCCAGGCTGGTTTCGAGCTCTTGGGCTCAAGTGATCCTCCTGCCTTAGCTTTCCAAAGAGCTCGGATTACAGGCATGAGCCACCACACCTGGCCACAAACTTCTTTGATGGTGATGATCTAACCTCTTTTTCTCCCACAGTTTTGGCTTATGTCTCTGTCTCTCTGTCTCTCTCTCTCTCTGTGTGTGTGTGTGTGTGTGTGTGTGTGTGTGTGTATGTGTGTGTATACCCTATTCCTTCCAAAAAATCTAAGATAGCTCTATTTTTTACATGGTTATAAATGCCAGATTTATTTAAAAAAAACCTGCTAAAACAATTTTTCCATAATAATGTAATTATAAATACATGTTTTTAAGACAAAAGAAACAAAGAACAAAGGGGCACTTATTTTGCTGAACACCAGCTTGGGTGTTACCGAATTTGCATAGAGAGTAACTTGGGATAGGGGCTGCATCCTTTACCAGCGCAGCAGGAATACACAACAATATATGATTTTAAGGTTTGTCAACTGTAACTGTAAAACATACAAAATCCAAGATTCATTTATTTCACTGAAAACTTATTTAACTATTATTTTATTGGATAAATTGTTGAACTGGATTAACGATAAAAGGTTAAAGAAGAATGTTGAAAATACCAAGACTTCTGCTTTCAGCCAAGATAGAGTTACAGAGACCAGATTTACTCCTCAGCTAAAAAACCAGGCAAAACAGAAGAAACAACAGTTTTCGGACTTTGGACAACAGGCGAGGCAGGACTGTGATCCCAAAGGGAAGGGAAAACAAGGTGAGTGCTGCAACTGCTCCCTCCACCTTCTTGTCTGGCAGACACCTGCTGAGCCCAGGAGCCAGAGATCCAAGAGCAGGAAGGTCAAGGCAGCTGGAATTTCCAGGGCAGGGCAGAGGGCGTTTCACGGAGCGAGAAAGGGCTCTAGAGACCTTGAAGGGTCTTTGGCTGGGTACTGATCTGTCCGTGTGTGAGAGGAAACTGCGTAAAGCCTAGGAAAGAAACACTACAAACAGTAGGCAGAACAATTTCTGACATGCACAAAGAACAGGAAATAGTTCATACCCCACCAGTCAGAATGGAAAGGCCTTATAATAAAAGAGATATTGGATAGAATCCTTAGAAGAGTGTTACTGTCTTAGCAGTGGGGCTAACTTAGCCCTAAGACTAGAGGTTGCTTTGGGCCCACCCTAACAAAAATCAGCTTTGAAAGAATCCAGCTTAGCCACATGCGGTGGCTCACACCTGTAATCCCAGCACTTTGGGAGGCTGAGGTGGGAGGATCCCTTGAGCCCAGGACCTCAAAACCAGCCTGGGCAACATAACAAGACCCTGTTTCTACAAAAAGAAAAAAAAAAAGAAAACAGAAAAGAAAGTAAACAAATAAATAAATAATCCAACAATTCTCTAGTGGCTTAAGTGTGCACCAGAATGAAATCTAACACTATTTAAAGCAATGCAATATGTCTAACATCCTGTAACATAAAATCTACACCATCCAGCACCCAATCAAGCATGAGAATAAGCAATAAAATATGATCCATGATCAGGAGGGGAAAAAATCAACAGAACAGATTCAGAAGTGAGAGAGATGATGGCGTTGGCAAACAAAGGTTTTTAGAAAAACATGCTCCTACATTTGAGAAAGAAGAGAAAAATAGCATGCTGGGGACAGAGACGGAGAATACAAAAAAGACTCAAATGGATCTTTCTTACAGAGATGGGAAAAATCATTACACAAAGTGAACAATATATTGGATGGGACTAACAGCAGATTAGATTGTAGAAGGATAGATTTGTGAAGTTGAAGAGAGATAGTAATAGACACTGTCTGATTGAAGCCCAGAGAGAAACAAGTGTGGGCTAAAAGTGAACAGAACAGTCAACAGGACAACATCAAGCAGTCCAGGAGAGGTGAGAGGGAAAAACAGAAGAGACCGTTCAAGAAATAATAGCCAAAAGATTTCCAAACTTGATGAAAAATACACACTGATAGCCCCAAGAAGCTTAATGAACTTCATGTAGAGTAAAGAAACCATGCTGGCCGGGTGTGGGGTCCCCCACTGTAATCCCAGCACTTTGGAAGGCCAAGGCAGGAGGCTCCCTCAAGGCCAGGAGTTTGAGACCAGCCTGGGCAACGTAACAAGACTCTGTCTCTACAAAAGATTTAAAAATTAGCCGGGAGCAGTGGCACATGCCTGTAGTCCCAGCTACTCGAGAGGCTGAGGCAGGAGGATCACTTGAGCCCAGGAGGTCAAGGCTGGAGCAAGCAGTGATTGCACCACTGCACTCCAGCCTGTCCAACAGAGCCAGACCCTGTGCAAAAAAGGGTCTGAAAGAAAGAAAGAAACCATGCTAAGGCATATCCCAATTAAAATGCTGAAAAACAGTGACAATGAAAAATTCTTAAAAGAAGCCTCAGAGAAAACACACGTTATCTTCAGAAGAATACAGATAACCGTGACAGCAGATTTTCATCATAAACGACGCAAGCCAAAAGACTATCAACAGCCAGCATCTTTAAAACTGAATGGAAAAAAACCCACAAACTACCAAAAACCTGTCAGCTTGGAATTCTTCACCCAGTGAAATCATGTAATCAATAAAGTTTCATAATTTTCCCAACGGAAGTACTGTAAATCTTTCCACATCTATTTGTGAAGCTTTGTCGATGGTTCCTTCCTTTTAATTAAAAAAATTTTTTCTCATGATGATAGCCTATCATTACCTTAGTTTTCAAAATATCATTTTCTTTCTTCCTTTTTTTTTTTTTTGAGATGGAGTCTCACTCTGTCACCAGGCTGGAATGCAGTGGCGCCACCTCCACTCACTGCAACCTCCGCCTCCCAGGTTCAAGCGGTTCTCCTGCCTCAGCCTCCCAAGTAGCTGGGACTACAGGCATGCGCCATCACACCCAGCGAATTTTTGTATTTTTAGTAGAGATGGGGTTTCACCCTGTTAGCCAGGATGGTCTCGATCTCTTGACTTCATGATCCACCTGCCTCAGCCTCCCAAAGTGCTGGGATTACAGGTGTAAGCCACCAGGCCTGGCCCAAAATACCATTTTCTACACATTTTTTTCCTACAAAGAAATACAATTAATTTTTATAAATTTTCTGTTTTGAACAATTTTGCTAAAACCTCTTATTTTTAATGATTTGTAGATTTGTTTTCTACAGATAGAATTATGTCATTTATGAATAATGACACTATTGTTTTCCCTTTTCCCAAACCTTCTAAGTTTTTCATGCCACGTGTGTCAGTTACCACTTGGTAGCCAGTGCTGTTAATGTTGTCAGAAATGGTGTCAGAGGGCAACCTTGTATTGTTTCCAATCTCAATAGGAAAGCTTTCAACATTTCCCTATTTGGTGTGATCTTTATTGTAGCTGTATTTTTTAATAGAACTTTAGAATGTTAGAATTTAATAGAAGTTTTACATCTACATTCATAAGTGAAATGAAAAGTAATTTTCCTTTCTTATATGATCACTGTTGGGTTTTGGTATCAAGGTTATACTAACCTCATTAGATTAAGGAGCATTAATTCTTTTTCTGTTTCTAGAAAGGTTTATGTAAGACTGAAATTATTTCTTCCTTGAATATTTGTAGAGCTCTCTAGTGAAGGTATCCAGGCCTGGAGTTTTCAAAGGAAGATTTTTTTTTTTAATTCAATTCTTTTAATGATTATAGGACTATTCAGGTATTCTTCTTCTTCTTGAGTCAGTTTTAAGGTAAGCTTTTCAAAGAATTTGACTATTTCATCTAAATTTTCAAATGTATTGACATAAATTATTTCTAGGTGCACACAAATTTAAATTTGTGTGAATTCTACTTGGTAAATTGAGCCTTTTATCTTTGTGAATCATCCTCTTTGCTTAGTATTGTTGTCTGTTCTGTTTGAGACAGGGTCTCACTCTGTTGCCCAGGCTAGAGTACAGTGGTGCAATCACTGCTCAGTGCAGCTTCAAACTCCTGGGCTCAAGTCATCCTCCTGCCTCAGCCTCCTGATTAGCTGGGATTACAGACGGTAAGCCATCACACCCAGTTAGTTTTTAAATTTATGGCAGAGACAAGGTCTCCCTATGTTACCCAGGCTGGTCTTGAACCTCTGGACTGAGCCACCATGCCTGGCCTAAGTAGTATTTTTTACCTTAACATCTACCTTGTTAGAGATTAAGATCTACCATGTCTATTTTGGTTTGTACTTGAGTAGTACTGCTTTTCCTGCCCTTTTACTTTTGACCTTTCTCTATCCTTATGCTTGGGACATATATCTTAAAGACAACACAGATGTGCTTTAGTTTACACTGTGACATTCTTTGTCTTTTAACTGGAGCATTTTATCCATTTAGCGTATCTACTGCTGGTATGTTTGGCTTTAAATCTAACATTTTACTTTTTGTTTTCTATTCGCCCCTTGCCCACCTTTCATTTTCCTGCTCTTATTTGGATTGTTTTTTAATCATTCTTTTTACCCCCATACTAGTTTAAAAGTTATATACATTGTTTCCAGAAATTTCATCATGCATATTTTCAAATTATAAAATTAGTCAACACTTTTATCCTCTTCTAATGATATAAAGACTTTAGAACACAAACTCCATGTGCCTTGTGCCTGATTATATGCTATTATTGTTGTGCCTTTTAATTTTATGTATTCTTAAATCCCCAAAGATATTATCATTTTATAGACTTAGTGTTCATTACATTTATCTATATATTTACCACTATCATTTACTTTCATTTTACTTCCTTCTTGCTTCTCAGGCATCCTGCCTTGAATCAACCATCCCCTCCTCAGGGGCCTCCCTTGAACACTGTATCTAAAGCAGTCCTCCTGACTGCAAGTCTCTCTCCATCTTATTATCCTCATATATAGATATATATATAAATACTAATAGTTACATATATAAATATATATACATACATATAATATATATATAAACAACATCTTTAAGAGTAAGAATTCTTAATTTTGGCTATTGTGTGTTTCAGTTCTAAAAATTCTATTTGTTTCTTTTTCAAATCCACTATGTCATGTTTTGTAGTTCCCTGAAGAAATTTTAGAGCTTCTCTGTCTCAAACTCCTGGGCCCAAGAGATCCTCCCGCCCTGGCCTCCCAAAGTGCTGGGATCACAGGCTTGAGTCACTGCGCCTGGCCTCACCCAGGACTTTCTTAAAACCCTCCCAGATGAAATGAAACACTTTTATTCCCTGTGGCTTAAGGAAGAAAGACCAGGGGCCAGGCATGGTGGCTCATGACTATAATCCCATCGCTTTGGTAGGCCAAGGCAGGAGGGTCACTTGAGAACAGGAGTCCAAGACCAACCTGGGCAACACAGCAAGACCCCATCGCTGCAGAAATACTTAATAATTAGCCCCGCACGATGGCGCGTGACTATAGTCCCAGCCACTGGGGAGACTGAGGCAGGAGAATCGCTTGAGCCTGGAGTTCAAGGCTGCAAGTGAGCCATGATTGAGCCACTTCACTCCAGCCTGAGACAAGATGAGATCATATCTTAAACTAAAAGAAGAGAATAAAGATAACACATTTTAGTCTAACATTCTGAGGACAGTCCATAAATGCTTTCCCTCCAAACATGTCTGTGGTTTCTCTATTTTTTTTTTTTTTTTGACGGATTCTCACTTTGTCGCCCAGGCTGGAGTGCAATGGCGTGATATTGGCTTACTGCAACCTCCACCTCCTGGGTTCAAGCCATTCTCCTGCCTCATCCTCCTGAGCAGCTGGGACTACAGGCATGTGCCAACACACCTGGCTAATTTTTGTATTTTTAGTAGAGATGGCGTTTCACCATGTTGGTCAGGCTGGTCTTGATCTCCTGACCTCAAGTGATCTGCCCACCTCAGCCTCCCAAAGTGCTAGGATTATAGGCGCATGCCACCACACTTGGCCAATTTTTGTAATTTTAGTAGAGACAGGCTTTTGCCATGTTGGCCAGGCTGGTCTTGAACTCCTGACCTCAACTGATCCACCTGCCTCGGCCTCCCAAAGTGCTGGGATTACAGGCATGAGTCACTGTGCCCGGCCCCATTTTTATCTTTTCTACTGTATTTTGACTGTACTTTTTCTGTTTAGATATGTTTAGATACACAAATACTTACCATTGGTTTATAGTTGCCTGCAGTGTTCAGTACAGTAACATGCTGTGCAGGTTTGTAGCCTAGGAGCAAACAGCTCCACCATCTAGCCTCTGTGTGCAGGAGGCTATGCCATGTGGCTTTGTGTGAGCACACTCTGTGATACCCACACAATGACGAAATCACTTAATGATGAGTTTCTCAGAATGTATCCCCATTAAGTGACACACGATTGTGTTTTGATAGCCCCCTAGATGTAAGTAAAGAAGGTATAAAAAGTTTAAAAAGAAGTCATTAATGGTGAAGGCAGGGGGAGAAATGACCATTTTAAAATAACAAAGATGCCACCAAATCTTTTTTCAGTGGAAATTGGAGAAAGACCTTTGTGGCTCAGAATGAACTGGCTGGGGAGGGAAAGCCTTTATGGCAGCTTTGGCTGAACAGCTTTGGGCTCAGAGTCGATAGATGGGTCAAGGGTAGAGGAATGAGAAGGATGGAGCCGGGAGTGTGACCCTAATGGGCTGTCCCGCGGAAGGGGCGGTGTTTGGAGAGAGAATTTATAACATGGAAGAGGGGCAGGAATTCATCAGAGCTCGAATATGTGGAATTCCATGAAGACCTAGTGAAAAATAGACAAAATGAGGAGTAGGAAACTGAGTGTTTTTGTTTTGGCTACAGAAGCTGAGGACACCTTGGAGCTTTGGAGGGCACTTCGGAGGGCAAGGGAGCAGAAGTGCCCTCCGACAGCCTCCACTAGGGAGCCCCTTCCCATGTTGGCATCATAATAGAGATAGGCCACATGCAGAATACTCACTGATTTATCAGCAAAGCAGCTGCTGAACCAGCGCTCACACCGGGGGAATGTCTGGGGAGGAGTTTGGGAAAGGGTTATGCCTCAGGCAAAGGTGAGGTCATGAGGACAAGATTTTTGTGTAGGGATAAAAGGGCTCATTGAACTTGTGTGGGGCAAGCCTCGAGGTGTGGTGTGTATGTGTTCTTTCACCTACCCTGGTTGAAAAGAAGGCAAATAATGGGTATTTTGTCTTGCTTTCTCTGCCCATTGGCAACCCTGCATGGAAGGAACAATGATGCGGGAAATGGCACAAGCTCATGTTCCTGGTGAGCTGTCAGTTGGCTTTGGATTGGACTGGCGGTCACATGTGGAAGCAGAGATGGCTCTCTTTGCTTTTACTATTTTCTAGAAAGATTGGGCTTACTCAAGATGAAGGTGGGAGAAAAACAAGGTGTCAACCCACTTCTCTAAGGAAATTTAGCAAACTCTTTTGGGGAGAGCTAAAGATTTAAGGGGACAGGTTGTATCTACAAAGGGAAGCCTTTATCCTGGCTTGTGGGAGACCTGTATCCTAAAGTAAAGCTGACCATTGCATGCACCTTATCTATATACACAGAGGCCTGCTCAGCAGCCAGGGAGATGCCTGCACAGGGAACCACCAGGGCAGAAAATCCCTCAACTGACACAGTACACACCAAGTACCAGTAGTTCCTCTTCCTAAAATCAGAACAGATGACTAGATGTGAACAAGCAACAAGGGTCATTAGGCATGATGAAAGAAATTGCAACATGAAAGAGAGATCCAGATAAGCAGAGAAGCTCAAGGGAAACTGAGATAACAGAGGACTAAGGAAGTTTTAAAAGAACAAAATGCCATGAGAAAAGAAAGTACAGTCACTAAATAAGAGCCAGACTAAACATGATTACCAGAATTTAAAAAATATCACAAGGGCTGAAAGATATATTTGAGGAATCTCTCAGAACTAAGGAAACAAACGATTGGGAAATGGAGAGAAAAGGTACTAGAAGTGGAGGACCCATCCAGGAGGTCCAGCCTTAGGTCATCAGGAACCTCAGAAGGATACGAGAGACACCAGAAAGGAAGAAGTGAATAGCTGAAGGGCATCTGCAGACCTCTGAAGACCTTGGTGGATTCACTGCAGAGGTACCCACTGCAGCGAATGAAAAAAAGACCCCCACACCTACACATATTCTAATGAAATACCAGTCAACCTAGATTGATGAGATAGGCCAGATGCAGTGGCTCATGCCTGTAATCCCAGCACTTTGGGAGGCTGAGGCAGGCAGAATGCTTGAGGCCAGGAGTTCAAGACCAGCCTGGCCAACATGGTGAAACCCCGTCTCTACTAAAAATACAAAAATTAGCCAAGCGTGGTGGCACACTCCTATAATCCCAGCTACTCAGGTGGCTGAGGCACAAGAATTGCTTGAACCCAGAAGGCAGAGGTTGTAGTGAGCTGAGATCGTGCCACTGCACTATTCCAGCCCCTGGGTGACAGAGCGAGACTCTGCCTCAGAGAGAGAGAGAGAGAGAGAGAGCGAGAGAGAGAGGGAGGGAGGGAGGGAGAGAGAGAGAGAGAGAAATGGTACACCTGTACAGGGCACTTAACCATGAATAGAGCTTGCAGGACTGGAAAGAAATTGCTCTGGGTGAGTCAGTGAGTGGTGGGTGCATGTGAGGGCCTAGGACATTACTGTACACTCTCGTAGACTAAATACTGTACAATTAGGCTACATTTAAATTATTTTTAAAATTGTTCTTTCTTCAATAATAGATTAATTTTAGTATACTGTAACTTTTTACTTTATAAACTTTTTAATTTTTTAACTTTTTGACTTTTTTATAACACAGCTTAAAACACACATTGTACAAATATTTTCTAATTTTATATTCTTACTCTCAAGCTTTTTTCTATTAAATTTTTTTTAAACTTTCTACACATTTTTTAAAAAAATGAAGAACAAATGCCACAGGAGCCTAGGCCTGCAGAGGGACAGGATCATCAATGTCACTGTCCTCCACCTCCATGTCTCATCCCACTGGAAACTCTTCAGGGTCAGTAACGTACATGGAGCTGTCACCTCCTGTGATAACAATGCCTGCTTCTGGACACGTCCTGAAGGACCCGCCTGAGCCTGTTTTACAGTTAACTTTATTTTGTTATAAGTAGAAGGAGTACACTCTAAAATAACAATAAAAAGTAGGGTAAATACATAAACCAGTAACACAGTCATTTACTATCATTATCAAGTATTATGTACTGTCCATAACTGCATGTGCTAGGCTTTCACAGGACTGGCAGTGCCGTAGGTTTGTTTACACCAGCATCACCACAAACACGAGAGTAATGCATTGCTCTACGATGTTACAATGGCTGTGACATCACTAAGTGATAGGAATTTTTTGGCCCCATTATAATTGTATGGGACCACTGTCGTATATGTGGTCCATTGTTGACTGAAGCATTGTTATGTGGTACATGGCTGTATGTTTTTGTAGTTATGACACTGCCACAAAAACACATTGGTCGCAGGAGCAGATGTTTGAGAAAAATAAAATTATAAAGATGAACATGATTTCAAAAATGTTTCCTTCCTCTACTACAACAAAAAAGCACATGTCTGGCCACACATGGTGGCTCATGCCTGGAATCTCAGCACTTGGAAGGCCAAGGTGAGTGGACTGCTTGAGCCCAGCTCAAGATCAGCCTGGGCAACATGGTGAAATCCTGTCTCTAATAAAAATACAAAAAATAGCCAGGTGCTATGGCACGTGCCTGTGGTCCCAGCTACTCAGGAGGCTGAAGCGGAGGATAGCTTGAGCCTAGGAGGTGGAGGTTGCAGTGAGCCAAGATCGTACCACTGCACTTCAGCCTGGGTGACAGAGGGAGATCTCATCTCAAAAAAGAAAAAGAAAAGCACGAGTCTGGCTTAGTCAGCATGTAATAGCAGAGTCAAAACCAGGCTCCAGTAATTGGAATCACTAGCATTTACTTAAGCACCAAGCTTCACATGCACTAGCTCATTTGTTGCCCCACACCAATGCTATGGAGGGAGAAGGAGGAGTTGGAGAGAAACAGAAGTCAATAGGTATTCAGTCAACCATTTTGAGCTGAAAGGCTCACCGTTTAAAACATTATTTCCCCCTTATTACAAAAGTGAATAGGACACTTGGAAATATAAAAACATACAAAAGGCCAGGCTGGTGGCTCACACCTGTAATCCCAGCACTTTGGGAGGCCTAGGCAGGCGGATCACTTAAGGCCAGGAGTTCAGGACCAGCTTGGCCAACAAAATACAAAACTAGCCGGATGTGGTGGTACATGCCTGTAATCCCAGCTATGAGTGGGGCTGAGGCATGAGAATTGCTTGAACCCAGGAGGTGGAGGCTGCAGTGAGCCAAGATCGCGCCACTGCACTCCAGCCTGGGTGACAGAGTAAGACTCTGTCTCAAAAAAAAAAAAAGGAAAAAAAAGAAAATTAAAATTACTCATTGTGATGGTTAATTTTATGTGTCACCTTGGCTCGGCTATGGTGCCCAGTTGTTTGCTCAAACACTAGACGTTGCTGTGAAGTATTTTGTTGATGTCGTTAACATTTACAATCAGTTGACTTTAAATAAAGGAGATTTACTCTCAGTAATGTAGGTGAGCCTAATCTAAGGCCTTAAGATCAAAAACAGGTTTCTCAATGAAGGAGTTCTGCCTCAAAACTGTAAGATGGAGATCCTGCCTGGGTTTCCAATGGGCTGGCCTGCCATATGAATTTTGAGCTTGCCTGCCCCCACAATTGTGTGAGCCAATTTTTAAAAGAAATCTCACTCTCTCTCTTTTTCTCACTATCCTATTGGTTGCTTCTCTCGAAAACCCTGGTTGAAACACTTACAATCTCATCTGCCAAAGATATGTTCTATTAATATTTTCCCATTCTGCCTTTTTTCTATGTACTTACAGTACATATGTAATTTTATATAGCTACACACATATAATTTTATAATTTATATAAAATATGGCCGGGCGCGGTGGCTCATGCCTGTAATCCCAGCACTTTGGGAGGCTGAGGCGGGTGGATCACGAGGTCAGGAGATCGAGACCATCCTGGCTGACACGGTGAAACCCCGTCTCTACTAAAAATACAAAAAATTAGCCGGGCGAGGTGGTGGGCGCCTGTAGTCCCAGCTACTCGGGAGGCTGAGGCAGGAGAATGGCGTGAACCCCGGGGGGCGGAGCCTGCAGTGAGCCGAGATAGCGCTACTGCACTCCAGCCTGGGCGACAGTGAGACTCCGTCTCAAAAAAAATTAAAAAAAATTTAAAAAATAGAATATATAAATATATAATAATAAAAAATATAAATATATAAAATATTCATATATAATTATACAAAATATTATATAATTATACATATATTAGTTACACATATTAATTATGTATGTTTCCTATACATAATTATCATATATACCATATGTATATATACCATATCTCTCTCTCTTACATACACACACATACAAGATTCTTTTTGACATGAGAAAATAGCCACCATATATATATATATATATTTTTTTGTTGTTGTTGTTGTTGTTGTTGTTGTTGTTTCACAATGTTGCCCAGGCTGATCTCAAACTCCTAGGCTCAAGCAATCCTCCTACCCGGACTATTACCAATTGGCCAATTACCAATTACATACATACCATACATAGGTATATATATACACGCACATACACATGTAATTATACAAACACATACATTTATACATACATACTAGAATGATCAACTCATTTCACTTTGCCTAGGACATTCCCAATTTTAGCACTATAAGTCCCACATCCTGGGAAACCCCTCAGTCCCAGGCAAACTGTTATGGTTGGTTACACACACACATACACACACACTTTTTTTTTTTTTTTTGAGACAAAGTCTCGCTCTTGTCCCCCAGGCTGGAGTGCAGTATTGCAATTTCAGCTCACTGCAACCTCCGCCTCCCAGGTTCAAGCAATTCTCCTGCCTCAGCCTCCCGAGTAGCTGGGATTACAGGTGCCTGCCACCATGCCTGGCTAATTTTTATACTTTCAGTAGAGACAGGGTTTCACCAGGTTGGCCAGGCTGGTCTCAAACTCCCCTCCTCAGCTGAACCACCCGCCTCGGCCTCCCAAAGTGCTGGGATTACAAGTGTGAGCCACCGTGCCCGGCCACACACACGTCTTAAAAAATAAAATTGTAATCATTTTCTATGTGCTGTTTTAAAACCTAAACTCATTACTTAAAATATATTGTGGCCAGGCAGGCACGCCCCTGTAGTCCCAGCTACTTGTGGGGCTGAGGTAGTAGGAGAACTGCTTGAGTCCAGGAGTTTGAGACCAGACCAGCCTGAGCAACATTGTAAAAAAACAGACATATGGTGGCTATTTTCCTATGTCAAAAAGGATCTTGTGTCACATCATATTTAATGACTGCATTTCCTTCCATTTCAAGGATATATCCTTTCATTTAACTAATTCCTTATTACTGGATATCTAGGTTTCCAGTTTTACTATTTTATTTATTTATCATTTTTTGAGATAGGAGACAGGGTCTTACTCTGTTGCCCAGGCTGGAGTACAGTGGCGTGATCTCAGCTCACTGCAGCCTCGATCTCCCATGTAGCTGGGACCACAGGCGCATACCACCACGCCTGGCTAGTTTTTGTATTATTATTATTTTTTTTGGTAGACATGCAGTTTCGCCATGTTGCCCAGGCTGGTCTCAAATTTCCAGGTTCAAGTGACCTGCCTGCCTTGGCCTCTCAAAGTGTTGGGATCACAGGCATGAGGCACTACCCCCAGCCCAGTTCCACTATTTTAAATTGCCTTTGGTTCTAAAACTAACACAGGCCAAAACAGTATGAAAAAAAAATCACAAACACCCAAAGTGCAGACTGCAGCCCTCAAGGAGAGCCAGGCTCTACTTTAATTTACCATTTATTACCAAAGTTATTAAAAGAAAAAAAAAGTCAGGCTGGGCGTGATGGCTTACACCTGTAATTCCAGCACTTTGGGAGGTCAAGGCAGGCAGATCACTTGTGGTCAGGAGTTTGAGACCAGCCTGGTCAACATGGTGAAACCCCGTCTCTACCAAAAATACAAAAATTAGGCAGGTGTGGTGAGCCGCCCCTGTAATCCCAGATACTCAGGAGGCTGAGGCAGGAGAATCACTTGAACCCAGGAGGTGGAGGTTACAGGTGCCGAGACTGCACCACTGCATTCTAGCCTGCGCAACAGAGTGAGAGTCCGTCCCAAAAAAAAAAAGTCCCAGTCTCACTTTCAGACACCTGTGCCACTATGCTGTGCATGACCATAGGTGAAGAAACCCAGAAAGAACTGAGCAACCTCTCTCCATTCTGCCTATAACCACAGGCAGAGTGACTCATTATACTCAAAAAGTCATTAAATCAGCTGGGCGCAGTGGCTCATGCCTGTAATCCCAAAACTTTGAGAGGCTGGGATGGGCAGATCACTTGAGCCCAGGAGTTTGGGACCAGCCTGAGCAACATAGCAAGACCCTGTCTCGAAAAAAGAAAAAAAAAAAAAAAGAAAAAACATTAAATCCTTACCTTTTTAATTCATTCACAATTGATTTATGAACTTCCACTGCGATTTTGCCATCCGAGTGTGTTTTGAGTTCTTGGCATTTGGCACGTAAAATCTCCAGCTGTTCCCTGTTCTCCGCCAGCTCCTTTTCCTGGCCGTGGGTTTTTGCCTCCAGGAGCATTAGTTGTTTAGTCAGCTTAGAAACTGAAAATCAAAAGAGGAAGATAAAAACTTGGCACAGAAGACCTCACAAAACACAATTATGGGCTATTAGGAAATACTAATGAGAGTCAGCTGATAAAAATGACCTTTTAAAGATCTTTTGAGCCAGACGTGGTGGCTCACACCTGTAATCCCAGCACTTTGGGAGGCTGAGGCGGGTGGATCACGAGGTCAGGAGTTCAAGACCAGCCTGGCCAAGTTGGTGAAACCCTGTCTCTACTAAAAATACAAAAATTAGCCAGGCGTGGTGGCAGGCGCCTGTAATCCCAGCTATTCAGGAGGCTGAGGCAGAGAATCACTTGAACCCAGGAGGCGAGAAGGCTCAGTGAGCTGAGATCACGCCACTGCACTTCAGCCTGGGCAACAGAGTGAGACTCTCTCAGAAAAAAAAAAAAAAAAAAAGATATTTTGGAGTGTTATAAATTAACACCAAAGGCTTTGTCCTTAGAAGTTACTGTCCATACTAGGCACAGTGACTCATACCTGTAACCCCAGCCCTTTGGGAGGCTGAGGGGAGTATTGCTTGGGGTCAGGAGTTTGAGACCAGCCTGGGTAACATAGTGAGACCCCATCTCTACATAAAAATTTAAAAATTAGCAGGGCATGGTGACATGCGTCTGTGGTCCCAGATATCCGGGAGGCTGAGGCAGGAGGACTGCTTGAGCCCAGAAGTTCAGGACTATAGTGAGCCGTGACTGGGCCACTGCACTCCAGCCTGGATGACACAGCGAGACCTTGTCTCCAAAAACAAAAACCAAAAAAGCCAAAAGAAATTACTATCTCTACATTAAGCACTCACTAAATATATACTTTTTAAAATAAAATCCACTATAATATTTTACCAAACATGATTCCAGTCTTCAAGGAACTGACTTTCCTAAGAGTAAAGCCTTAAATCACACCCAGGTGTGTAAGTATATGTCATAACGTTGTCCCTAAAGCTGCAAAATTTTCAAGATTTTTAAGGACATCAAACATGGCCAAACTAAGAACTGGATTTATTATTCTCCTTCCCTTTCGTCATTAAACTTTTATTTTATGTCTTGTATCTAAAGTAAGTCATAAATATTTTCATCCTGTGTTACATGGTTGCATGTAATAATTCCCAAGCGTCTGCCGACACTAGCACTTAGAGGTATTTATTATAGCATAAAACTGTACATCTCTCTACTCTATGAAAATATCTAATTGGTGGCTGGGCACAGTGGCTCACGCCTGTAATCCTAGCATTTTGGGAGGCCAAGGTGGGTGGATCACTTGAGGTCAGGAGTTCAAGACCAGCCTGGCCAACATGGTGAAACACCCCTACTGAAAATACAAAAATTAGCCGGGAGTGGTGGCGCGTGACTGTAATCCCAGCTACCCGGGAGGTTGAGGCAGGAGAATCGCTGGAACCTGGCAGGCGGAAGTTGCAGTGAGCCTAGATCATGCCACTGCACTCCAGTCTGGGCGACAGAGTGAGACTGTCTCAAAAAAAATAAAAAGAAAATATCTAATTGGTCAAAGTGAATCGCTGTTTCTGGGCAATGGGAAAATAGCACAGGCAACTCACTGAATCATAGAGGTCAAAAGGTTTTCCCTGCCCCATGTGACCAGAAATCCTCTTTCTGTTCAGATCTGGTATATTCAAGAAAATTAAGCTCAGTAAATAGGAAACTAATGTCATCCCTAACCCTGAAAACAAAGATAAGAGGCTCCACAACTCTGTTTCCCCTCTCCTCTTAACAATGCCGGAGTAAAGGCAAATACTCCTGGGCCATGCAGGTCTCAGGAGAAATCACATGGAGGAAACTCCTGTGTGCATCTCTGGGAGATGCTCTCATCTTTAAACACGACCTGGTTCTCAGAAACAGGAAGTGCTAGCCCTGCAACTGCAGCAACAGCAGGGGCTGTTCATGGACCTGCCATGCTGTGGAAGGGGCTGCCATTCCAAAAGCAGCTGGAGAGGGAAAACCTCCATCTGCTTCTCAGGGTGCCACAGCCTCATGCAAGATGGCTTGTGTTTCAGCTTCCCAGCCTATGCCATTCTTCACTAAGAAAGAAAAATCAGTAAAGCAAAGGGAAAAAATGCCACTATCTTTTGTACTCATGAATTACGGTTTTAAAGCAGAAGCGATGACTCTTAACCTGGCCCCCTTACAGTTGTGCACTGTCACAGACTATGAGGCTCCTAGGGGTTGGGGGAATGCATGGGAAGAGATGGGAAGAGGGACACTCTCGGAAGGTGTTTGATGGAAATCTAACCTGCAGTGATGTCGCCTCCCAGGCCCGCAGCTCTGAAGGAAGGAAGGACACAGGGGAACTGTTTAGAAAGTGAATGGTTCTGCTTACGCATCCAACAAACATCTGGGAAGAGACCCTGTGTTATTTCAGATGTTTACCTCACGTGATCATTCCCATTTCTAAGGTACTATTTTACCCCAAAACCAGTTCTGCTGAGTCTAGCACTATTACCTACGAGTGATTTACAAACCCATGGGATGATGAGAGACACTGTGGAGTCTGAAAAAGCAATCTATGCATTGAGGGTAGTGACGTGGAAAGGTTATAAACAGCCACATTCCAGTCAAAAATGCAAAACATGACTTCTCTCATTTTCAACTGGGGCCCCCGGCAGGAGAGAGATAGAAGGGTAAAATGACAATAGTGACATCAATGCATGACCAGTCCTCACTGGAAGGACCTCACCTTCTTGGAGGCGCTCCTGGTGGCTGTCCTTGGCTTTCCTTTGCTGAATCTCCAACTGCTCCAGCAACAACTTGTTTTCCTCTAAAACCAGTTTTGCTTGAGTCTGAAGCTGACGCCTGCAATTGATTTACAAGATGAAATACTGTGATTCAGGTGCTGAATGGTTACAGAAACACTCTGGAATCTAAAAGGAAGCAATGGCTGCATTACAGGTAATGAATATCAAGTCATGTCTTCATGTTAAACATATTAACACAGCAGCAAATCCTGCCATTTGCAGTCAGGCGAGGAAGGACAGCCGTGAAGTCTGAATTACGGACTGCTTCAGAAAACGCTTTCAGATGTAAAATTTCAAACATGTACAGAAGTAAAGAGGATAGAGTAGGAGACTCCTATGTGCACAATACCCAGCTTGAACAGTCACTAAATGGCTGATGAGGTTTCATCTGTATAAACCTCTAGTCCTGCTGCCCACTATATTATTCTGAAGCCCATATGGAACATGTTTAAAGAATTTAGAAAGTTCCCATTTCAATTTTAAAATACTCCTTTGTAATCAGTAGCATATTTGCAAAACAAAACAAAACAAAAAAACAAAAAAAACTGACTCTGTTAGCAGGCTTTGAAATGGTTTCTTTTTTCTTTTTTCTTTTTCTTTTTCTTTTTTTTTTTTTTTTTTGAGACAGAGACTTGCTCTGTTGCCCAGGCTGGAGTGCAGTGGCGCAATCTCGGCTCACTGCAAGCTCTGCCTCCCGGGTTCACATCATTCTCCTGCCTCAGCCTCCCAAGTAGCTGGGACTACAGATGCCCACCACGCCGCCTGGCTAATTTTTTTGTATTTTTAGTAGAAACAGGGTTTCACCATGTTAGCCAGGATGGTCTCGATCTCCTGACCCCGTGATCTGCCCGCCTCGGCCTCCCAAAGTGCTGGGATTATAGGCATGAGCCACCGCGTCCAGCCGAAATGGTTTCTTAAAACTGTATGAATCTGCCCCAGCTTTCCTCTCAGCACAAACAAATCCTCTCCTTCCAGTGCAATGTAAAACCCAGCCCAGCTCAGCCCTCAAGATCGCAAATTCTGATTAGAATGAGCTGAAGGGACCTTAGAAATCATCTAGTGAAATGCTGACCACCCAAAGTACACTGGGCGTTAAGTTTATTTACTAAAGCAGTAAATAATCTCGATTTTCCACTTGAAACCCTACAGGTGAGGAGGAGGAAGGAGAGAGACAAGATGAAAGGAGTCAGGCTGTAACAATGGTGTGGCCCCAACAGTGGTGTGCACTGGCTCCTGGGCACTGTGGGGGTGCCTCTTGCCTGCTACCAGCACCCAGGGAGTGGGCTGCCATGCTGTTGGGAGGGGGCTCGCCCAAAACTGGTCTGTGCTAGCCTCCTCATTCCCGCCACAAACTGGGCAGCTCCATGATGGTCTGTTTTATGTTTTAGACTTATTTATTTAGAGATAGGGTCTCACTCTGTTGCCCAGGCTGGAGTGCAGTGGTGAAATCTTGGCCCACTGCAACTTCCACCTCAGCTTCCTGAGTATCTGGGATTAGAGGCATGCATCACCACACCAAGCTAATTTTTGTATTAGTATGTTTTGGTAGAGACAGGGTTTCACCATGTTGGCCAGCCTAGTCTCGAACTCCTGACCTCAGGTGATCCTCCTGCCTTGGCCTCCCAAAGTGCTGGGATTACAGGCGTGAGCCACCATGCCCAGCCGCATTTTGGACTAATTTATAAGACTTTTTCTTTATTTGTTCATTCATTCATTTGTTCACGCCTTCCTTCCTCCCTTCCTTCATTCATTTCACTTTTTATTTTTTAGAAACAGGGTCTTGTTCTGTCACCCAGGCAGGACAGGAGTACAGTGGCGCCATCAGAGCTCACTGTAGCCTTGAATTCCTGGGCTTAACCGATCCTCCTGCCTCAGCCTTCTGAATAGCTAGGACTACAGGTGCATGCCATCACGCCCAGCTAATTTTTAATTGTTTTGTTTTTGTTTTTGTTTTTTTGAGACAAGGTCTTGTTCTGTCACCTAGGCACAGTGGTGTGATCATAGCTCACTGCAGCCCCGAACTCTTGGCCTCAAGTGCTCCTCCCACCTCGGCCTCCCAAAGCATTAGGATTACAGGGGTGAACCACTAAGCCTGAGCCATTTCTTTTTAAAATGAAAGGGATCAATCCCCCATTCCTAAAAAAGAGTTCAAAATCTCAGATTTGGTTTAACACTCCCTCTTATTTTGTTTTATTTATTTATTTATTTATTTTATTATTTGAGACATGGTCTCGCTCTGTTGCCCAGGCTGGAGTGCAGTGGCACGATCTAGGCTCACTGCAGCCTCCACCTCCTGGGTTCAAGTGATTCTCCTGCCTCAGGCTCCTGAGTAGCTGGGATTACAGGCGTGCACCACCACACCTGGCTATTTTTTATATTTTTAGTAGAGATGCGGTTTCACCATGTTAGCCACACTGGTCTCAAACTCCTGGCCTCAACTGATCCTCCTGCCTCAGTCTCCCAAAGTGCTGGGATTATAGGCGTGAGCCACTGTGCCCAGCCTCCCTCTTATTTTATAGAGAAAGAAACAGACCCATTAAGCCTGAGGTCACCCAGTGATTCAGGGGGAGTTAGGAAAAGAAATATACAAAATTTAGTTGCACCCCAGAAGTTCATTGAGAAATTACTGGCAACCAAGCAGAAAGCGTCTGCTGGGCCAGGTGCGGTGGCTCACGCCTGTAATCCCAGCACTTTGGGAGGCCGAGGCGGGCAGATCACCTGAGGTCAGGAGTTGGAGACCAGCCTGTCCAACGTGGTGAAACCTCGTCTCTACTAAAAATAAAAAAAAAAATTAGCCAGGCGTGGTGGTGGGCGCCTGTAATCCCAGCTACTCAGGAGGCTGAGGCAGGAGAATCACTTGAACCCAGGAGGTGGAGGTTGCAGTGAGTCGAGATCGCGCCACTGCACTTCAGCCTGGGCAGCAGAGCAAGACTCTGTCTCAAAAAAAAAAAGAAAGAAAGAAAGAAAGAAAGTGTCTGCTGAAGTGTGAAGTCCGTGTACCGAGTGCTGCATGCAGGTTTAGCAGCCGTGCAGGTGTGCAGGTACCGAGAGCGGCAAGGTCTGCCCACCAAGTGTGATGCTCCAGAGCCCAGAGACCCTCCTGCAGCTGGAGGGCAGTGAATTCAAAGTAAGAGGCTGGCGGCCAGGGAGGCCCTGAGCAAGCCTGACACTCTCCCCATGCTGGCGTGGGCCATCACACTGGAGCAAAGGGCAGATTTCAAATCCCAACAAATGCAGGATTGGGGAACACTGCGGGGCTGTGGATTTGAAAGCAGGGCCTGCCTTTCTTTCCTTTCTTTCACTGGTTTTATTTTAAGGAAACGCAGACAAGTTGGATTTGTGGCTGTATACAATGCTAGGGAAGGAATCTGGGGTTCCAGAATCTGCCAAGGTCTCTTGAGCCCCAGCCTGGCTAAGCTGCTTTCCAGTCCACTGTTCAAGGAGGGTGCGAGGGGAGACACACTAGGAACCCTGAAGGAAGAAAATCCAAGCTCAGCCAGGGAGGTCACAGAGCACCAAGACCCAGGAGCTGCCTGAGCCAGTCCCACCTGACGCATCGGTGACCACAAAATCAGGGAGAGCCAATGGTAAGAATGCTGTTGACTCAATTCCAGATTTCTAAACATCACATATAGAAAATACTTCATTTTTTCCAGTGATGTTAAGACATTTGAAAACACTAAATATAACATAGCTATTCAAAGTGAGTAATTTTTGTTTTCTTAGTCCTGCCTGGATATTGCTTTTAGGCTTTTCAAGACATGTACTTTCTCTAATTCAGTTAACAGGCATTTGCTGTTGCTGTGCTAGATGCGGGGCCACACACAAAAATGAGCAGGACATTGGTTCCTGCCCCTGAGGAGTTCACAAAGGAGAAGATGGAGGCAGATGTGGAGGCAGACAGGATAGGCAGGCGCAGTGTGGCAGGTACCGGGACAGGGCATGTGTTTAAGGCTACATCAGAACCGGAGACAAAGGGGCCGGGTGCAGTGGCTCCAGCCTGCAATCCCAGCACTTTGGGAGGCCAAGACGGGAGGATCACTGGAGCCCAAGAGTTCGAGACCAGCTTGGGTAACCCAGTGAGACTCTGTATCTACAAAAAATTTTAAAAAATGGCTGGGCATGGTAGCACACACCTGTAGTCCCAGCTACTTGGGAGGCTGAGGTGGGAGGATGGCTTTAGCCCAGGAGGTTGAGGCTGCAGTGAGGTATGACTGAGCCACTGCACTCCAGCCTGGGTGACAGAGTGAGACCCTAACTCTAAAAAAACATAAGAAACAGAGACGCCAGGCGCAGTGGCTCACGCCTATAATCCCAGCACTTTGGGAGGCCAAGGTGGGCAGATCACATGAGGTCAGAAGTTCGAGACCAGCCTGGCCAACATGGTGAAACCCCATCTCTACTAAAAATACAAAAATTAGCCAGGTGTGGTGGCACGTGCCTGTAATCCCAGCTACTCAGGAGGCTGAGGCAGGAGAATCGCTTGAATCCAGGAAGCAGAGGTTGCAGTGAGCCGAGATCACACCGTTGCACTCCAGCCTGGCCAACACAGCAAGACTCTGTCTCAAAAAAAAAAAAAGAAAAGAAACAGAGACAAGGGAGCAATAATGGCCTCTCCTGAAGGCAGTGCTATAGACAAGTGCCATTACAGTAGGACCCTAGAGGATGAGGAGTGCAGAAGGGGCTTTCGGAGGAAGGACAGATTGGAAGTGGGGCAACCTCAGTTGTCAGGGAATCTGCCAGGGCAGGCGGATGGAAGCTGGTCGTGCAAGCCTCATGAGCTTTCTGTTTTGGGAGGCCATTTTGAGCTTTCTGTTCTGAAACCCTGGGAGCCATCGCTGGGGCCTAAGAAGGGACGAGACTCTCCAGGTCTGAGATGGAAAAATCACCCTAGAAAAATACCAACTCAGAAAATAAAAAGCAGAAAGCAACTGTATTTCAGGTTTGAGAACCTACTTAGAATTTTAAAAGTCATCTTGAAAATGTAAGTTTAGAATAATTTATTAGGGTTTTATTGTACCTTATTAATTTCTTAGAAACTCTCCCGTAAAATATTTTAGTTAAGAATGTAATTATGTATTTGATAATTTTATAACATATTTTCCTGTTACCATTTGTTTTAAATTAGCAAAAGAGCAGAAACACAATGCCACTTGCCATTCCTCACTGGTAACAGCACTACTCTTATTTAACTCTTGGTGCAATTCTTCATTTTCTTTCACCACTTCTTGGACTCGCATCCTAAACATTCTCATTTCCTCCTGAAATAAAATGTACGTAAATTATAACACACACATACCCACGCATCTATATTTCTCAGTTCTGGTGCTGCTGCTGTGGCTAAAATCAAATGGTAACAGCCATTTAGCAAGGTCTCACAACAGGCCAGCCTTCAACTCTCGGTACCAGCACCAGTGGTGCCTGCTCTCAGGGAGCTTACGGTCTAGTGAGAAAGCACTAGGACCAAATGCAAGGCCAAGTACAAGAGGCAAAGAACCTGGGCTTTCGAGTATTAGATTCCTAATTTGCTAACATTGTTCTATAACTGCCGAATACTGATAGAAAAGGCAGAGATGCCCATCAACGCTGACATTTTTCCTTTGTTTGAAGATGCAGGAGAATAAATTGGAGGTTTTTAATATAAAAAATAAGACTTTTCATCCTTAATTAAAGCTAGATTTGGTGGGGAAGGGGTTAGTTAGTGTGGGAGTTGGAGGAAGCTCTTTTTTTTTTTTTTTTTTTGAGACAGGGTCTCGCTCTGTCACCCAGGCTAGAGTACAGTACTGCAATCACAGCTCACTGCAGCCTCAACCTCCTAGGCTCAAGCGATCCTCCCACCTCAGCTTCCCAAGTACCTGTACTACTATGCCTGGCTAATTTTTGTATTTTGTGTATAGACGAGGTTTCGCCATGTTACTCAAGGCTGCTCTTGAACTCCTAGGCTCAAGGAATCTTCCTGCCTCAGACTCCCAAAATGCTGGGATTACAGTCATGAGTCACCACATCCAGCCAAGGCTCTTAGTTTTGTCCATGACAACCATGAGAAAGTGTCTTACTAGCGTCATCAGTCTGCAGAGCTTCACTGGCCATTAGCCACAACACGAGGTCTGTCGCTGGGCCGGTTTTGATGCCTAACAGTCTATGTCTGTTTCAGCTCCCAACAGTCTGTGTGTGTGACACTTCAGCTGAGCCTCCTCCATCAGGGCTTTTCCAGCTTCCGTGTCCTGCGCTGTCCTTTGGTGAGAATCTGAGGTGCCAATATTTACTCTGGTGTGCCTGTAAAATATTCTACTCCCAGCTGTCAGGTGTTTATGCCTACACCCTTTTAACTTAAAGCAGCACTGCCAAGTAACTTCTCCTCTCATCTCTCCACCCAGACACACTCACTCACTGCTGGCAGTCCATGTGACTCTTTTTTGGAACAGGGGTCAGGCAAACTAAAGTGTGCAAACCAGCTGCCTGTTTTTATAAATAAAGTTTTATTTATTTATAAATAAAATAATGGGCCTCGCCCATTATTTACATGTTATCCTCATCTGCTTTCATGTTGCAACAGCAGGGCTGAGCAGGTGCAAACAGAAACTGCATGGCCTCCAAAGCCTAAAGTGCTTATTAACTGGCCCTTGACAGAAAGTCTGTGCTGACCCTGACTTAGAAGGAGCACCAAAAAAATAATATTATTAGCTATTAGGATTGTTATATATTCAATTAGTACAAGATTCATTCATGCTCTTAGAAAATTAAGCATCCAACACTCAGTCTAAATGAAAAGGATTAAAATTCCTTTCCATGGGACATGGACACGGGACAGCATCACTGATTAGGAACAAGCTGGGAGCCTCTTAAAGGACCCTCCCAGCTCAGGATCCCAGAACAACCAACATTTCTTTCGCTGGATCCTTCCAATTTCAGGGATCTATATGGACACTTAAATGAGGAACCCAGAGGAATGCAGGAGGCACAGGAGGCATCTACAACACCTACACAGGCTTGGCCTCCTGAAGTTAGAACGAGCTCCGCTGCGCGAAGTCATTCCCACAAAACGGCGGTGGACAAGGCAGAAATGGATAAAAACCTCACTTCTCCATTTCCAACAGCTCAGCAATCAGACTTCCCTGGGGTCAGCTCATCCTAGAATTAAGAAGCATCTAAGTTTGCCCAAAACATCTCCAGCCTTTCCTTCCCATGTCTGCCCAAATAGCCCTTTTTTTTTTTTTTTTTTTTTCGAGACGGAGTCTGGCCCCATCGCCAGGCTGGAGTGCAGTGATGCAATCTCGGCTCACTGCAACGTCCAGCTCCCTGGTTCAAGCTATTCTCCTGCCTCAGCCTCCTGAGTAGCTGGAATTACAGGTACGTGCCACCACACCAGCTAATTTTTGTATTTTTAGTAGAGACGGGGTTTCACCATGTTGACCAGGCTGGTCTTGAACTCCTGACCTCATGTGATCCACCCACCTCGGCCTCCCAAAGTGCTGAGATTACAGGCGTGAGCCACCGCGCCCAGCCCAAATGTCCCTTCTAATGGTGGTATTTGCAGCTGCACAGTAACAGGAAAGAAGCACTTCCCCCCTGCTGTCTTCCCTGCACCCCAAGATCTCAGCCCATATGGGCTGGCTGTCCAGAAAGCCATGGCTTCTCATGCAGCACTGCTCTGACCCTCCATACCTCTCCCCTCGCTCCCTATCCACCCCTCCTGCTCTGCCAATCACTCCCTTACTTCCTCCCCTCTTCCTTCTTTCCCTGCCTCCCACCCTGCCACACTCCTTCCTTCCTCCTTTCTGTCCTCTAATAAACATTTGGTTATCTATAATATGCTGGGTATACCTACATTCAAAATGTTTTTATAAAATTTGAAGCGGTCCTATATTTTTATAAATCTTGTGTCTTCTGGGACATTTGCCAGCCTACCTTGAGGGTGGCATTGAGCTCGTCCTTCTCTTTCATCATATCTTCATAAGCCAGCAACAATGGTGACAGGTACTTTATATCCAACTGAAGATAGAGAGTAAAGGAAGGTTAATATATTTCTTACATCTAAACACAACCAGAAAATTTTTAAATGGCAAGAAGTTATACTTTTTTGAAATGGTTTCTTTGGTTGCAGTTGTTATTGTTTTTTAACGACTCTCCCAGCTCAGGATCCCAGAACAACCAACATTTCTCTCCTTGGATCCTTCCAATTTCAGGGATCTATATGGCCACTTAAATGAGGAACCCAGAGGCATGCAGGAGGCACAGGAGGCATCTACAACACCCGCACAGGCTTGACCTCCTGCGGTCAGAATGAGCTCCGTTGCCCGAAGCCATTCCCACTCTGCCGCCCAGGCTCGCGTGCAGTGGCACGATCTCAGCTCACTGCAACCTAAACCTCCCGGGTTCAAGCGATTCTCCTGCCTCAGCCTCCCAAGTAGCTGGGACTATAGGCATGCACCATCACGCCCAGCTAATTTTTGTATTTTTAGTAGAGACAGGGTTTCACCATGTTGGCCAGGCTGGTCTTGAACCCTTGACCTCAACTGATCCACCCGCCTCAGCCTTCCAAAGTGCTGGGATTACAGACATGAGCCACCGCGCCTGGCCTGAAATGGTTTTTAATAGCTATGCAAATATACCCTGAAAATATGGGCCTGAAATTAAATAACTTTCACTTACCAACCAGGGTGGTATAGGGCCCTTGGATGGGAGGCCTTCAATATTTAAGCTCTAAGAACAAAACATGTATTGAAGACAAGTTAAACCACACTTCCTCTGAATTTTCAAGTCTTAGATATTCTTAATCTAGACTGGGCATTGCCCATCTATGCATTTATCTGTCTATCCATCTGCCTACCCACCCACCTACCCACCTACCCATCCATCCATCCATCCATCCATCCATCCATCTATCCATCCATCCATCCATCCATCCACTTTCCCATACACCTACCCATCTATCTATCTATATGTATATATGTATATATGAGAGAAATATTTTTTCTGAAATGTTTTAGAGTAATTTGCAGATATAATGCCCCTTTTCCTCTAAATACTTGTATTTCCTAAAAACAAAAACATTCATTTACTTAACCACAGTACTGTCATGAAAATCAGGAAATCAACACAGATAACAATACTATTTTCATATATATATATATATTACTGCTCCTTGCAGAGCAGGGGTACCCCATAGGCAGTGTGCCTAGAGTAGCCTATAATACTATTTTTTAACCTAACCTAACCTATATGTTATCTTCAAATTTCATCTATTTTCCCACTAATGTTCTTTTCTAATCAAGGATCCAATTCAGGGTCACATGTTGCATTTAGCTGTCAAGTCTTTTATGTCCTTTTTTTTTCCTTCTGAGACAGGGTCTCATTCCATCACCCGGGCTGGAGTGCAGTGGTGAGATCATGGCTCACTGCAACTTCTGCCTTCTGGGCTCAAGCAATCCTCTCACCTCAGCCTCCTGAGCAGCTCAGACTACAAGTGCATGCCACCACACCTGGCTAATTTTTGTATTTTTTGTAGAAATGGGGTTTCACCATGTTGCCCAGGCTGGTCTTGAACTCCTGGCCTGAAGTGATCCTCCTGCCTCAGCTTCACACAGTGCTGGGATTGCAAGTGTGAGCCAGCACACTTGGCTTTTTTTTTTTTTTTCTTTTTTTTTTTTTTTTGAGACAGTCTCGCTCTGTCGCACAGGCTGGAGTACAGTGGTATGATCTCGGCTCACTGTAACATCTGCCTCCCAGGTTCAAGCAATTCTCATGCCTCAGCCTCCCGAGTAGCTGGGACTACAGGTGTGTGCCACCACACCTGGTTAATTTTTGTATTTTTAGTAGAGGCGAGGTTTCACCATATTGGCCAGGCTGGTCTCGAACTCCTGACCTCAAGTGATCTGCCCACCTCAGCCTCCCAAAGTGCTGGGATTATAGGTGTGAGTCACTGCACCTGGCCTCCAGCCCTTTTTAGTCTTTTAAAATCTAGAACATATCTAGTGACTGTTTTCACTGGATATGGAACTTTTTAATGTCACATTGTTGAGTGTCTGGATTTTGTTATCTTCCTTTAAAGAGTACTGGTTTCTTTTCCTTCCGCCCTTCCTTCCTCCCTCCTCTCTCTCTCTCTCTTTTTCTTTCAACTCCTAAGTTGCTTGTGGATCACCTTCATGCTTCTGAGGCTTGTTTTTTCACCCTGGTCATGGTAGGTCTGTAGTAACCTTTCCTAAAAAGCTCTTTTAGCCATACATCTCAGGCACGGCCCTCCTGGGCTCTTGACTCAATGCAAGGTCTCTCCATTGTGGCTGGGCAGAACTCGAAGGTTCCCGGTGCTGTGTGAGCTCTGGGAACCATGCAGCTCACAGCTCCCTGTTCTTATTTTCTGCCCAGTATCTTGCAGTCTCATCCTACACATGTGCAGGGTGGTATTCCACAAGACTCCAAGGAGCCCCATGCAGATTTATATAAGTAGCTCTTTCTCTCCAGGACTCCATTCTTTCTGGTATTCTTGCCCTACGAATTCTAGTCTCCTCAGCTTCCCCAGACTCTCATCTCTGTTGAACTCAGGGAAGGGCTCAGCTCAGGCCCTTCCTCCCTGCTCTGTGATCTGAGACTGCCTCCAGACAGAAAGCAGATCACAGGCTCATCTATTTATCCTGCTACTCTTGAGGGTCATAGGCTGGTGCTGCCTGCTGTTCGACATCTGTAAACATTTGCATTACATATTCTGTCTGGTTTTCTATTTGTTTAGATTAGGAGGGAAAATCTAGTACAGAATCAATGGCCTAGACAAAATAATTATTTATTTCACAAAAGCTTTACAATGTGAACACCTTAATATCTATGTAATTACTCACTCACTCTGCAAACATTGGCAACTCACTAAGTCATTATGGACACTGCAACGCAACCCTTGTTTTCAAGGATTCTATGACCTAGTAACAGAAATAAAATCCACTAACACAAATGTACGTGATATACAAAAACAGTATAGGGTAGAATGCTATAAGTGCCTTAAGAGTGATTACAAACAAAAGTCTGCAATGGTTTAAAAGAGAGAGAGGGCCGGGCATGGTGGTTCATGCCTGTAATCCCAGCACTTTGGGAGGCTGAGGAGGGTGGATCATTTGAGGTGAGGAGTTTGAGACCAACCTGGCCAACATGGTGAAACCCTATCTCTACTAAAAATACAAAAATTAGCTGGGCGCAGTGGAACACGCCTGGAATCCCAGCCACTCAGGAGGCTGAGAAACAAGAATCACTTGAACCCGGGAGGTAGAGATTGCAGTGAGCTGAGATTGTGCATGCTGCACTCCAGCCTGGGCGACATAGAGAGACTGTGTCTAAAAAAAAAAAAAGAGAGAGAGAGATCAATCACTTCTGGCTGGGGTGATCAGGGAAGACTGTCTTGGAGAACATGGCATTTGCACAGGGCAGAAGACAACATGGGAGAAGGCTGTCCCTGGGCCTGTCTGCCCGCCCCATGGTCCTGCAGAAGGCCCTGACCTAGCAAGCAGGTTTTGAATTATAGGACCCTAAGAACTTTATTTGTTTTTGTTTAAAAGTTAGTATTATGTTAAGTGAAAGAAGTCAGTCACACAAAGTCATGTCTTGTATGATTTCATTTCTATGAAATGTTCAGAACAGACAAGTTCATAGAGACAGAAAATAGATTAGTGGTTACCAGGGGCTGAGCTGGAGGAATTGGGCAGCAGGGGAACATAGGGAGTGATTCCCAACAGGTATGACACTTCCTTTTTTTTCCTTTTTTTTTTTTTTTTTTGAGACAGAGTCTCACTCTCTCTGTCACCCAGGCTGGAGTGCAGTGGCATGATCTTGGCTCACTGCAACCTCTGCCTCCCAGGTTCAAGCGATTCTCCTGCCTCAGCCTCCCAGGTAGCTGGGATTACAGGTGCGCACGACCATGCCTGGCTAATTTTTTTGTATTTTTAGCATAGATGGGAATTCACCATGTTGGTCAGGCTGGTCTCAAACGCCTGACTTCAACTGATCCGCCCACCTCAGCCTCCCAAAGTGCTGGGATTACAGGTGTGAGCCACCATGCCCAGCCAACATTTCTTGATTTAACAAAAGTGCTCTAAAATTGACTGTGGTGATGGTTGCATAATTCTGTGACTACAATAAAAACCACTAAATGGTACACTTTTAAAATGGGTATAAATTGGATGGTATGTGAATTATATTTCAAAGCTGTTATTAAAAAAAAAAAGTGAAACGTAAGCCCTCCTTCAAAAAGCAACTCAGAAGCCCATGAGGCCTGAACTCCCAGGAGCCATGGGAGAACACCGTGTGCCTTCCCGCCTTCTACCCCAGCAAGAGCCCAGCCAGCGGTGCCTCCCTCTCCTGTGTCCACAGTGTCACTCACATCTTCACAGCCCCAAGTTCTGTAAGAGTAAGGACCTGAGCATCGGTTCATCTGGCACTCCTCCCGGCATCTCATGCAGTGACCTGCTCAGTGAGAGTGTGTGGAGTTGGACTCTGCAACTGTTCTTAGAACTGAAAACTCTGCTTTCCTTTCGAAGTTAATGCACTGACAACAGCTGCAACTTTCAGGAACGTGACTGAGAAGGGAGCAGCCGACATACACTTTCATTCTTTTACTTTTGTTATTTTTTTTTTAATTTTTGAGACAGGGTCTTGCTCTGTCACCCAGGCTGGAGTGTAGTGGCGCAATCTCAGCTCACCACACCCTTGACCTCCCATGCTCAAGAGATCCTCTTGCCTCAGCCTCCTGAGTAGCTGGGGCTACAGGCATGCGCCACCATGCTCAGCTAATTTTTTTAAATTTTTTATTTGTAGAGACTGTCTCGCCATGTCCCCCAGGATGGTCTCAAACTCCAGAGCTCAAGCAATTCTCCCGCCTCAGCCTCTGAAAGTGCTGGGATTATAGGCACAAGCCACCTCATCCGGCCTCTTTTACTTTGTACACTTCTGTATTGTCCCAATGTTTTACAGTCTTTATTGCCTTTATTACGGGGAAGAAGGAAGGGAAGGAGGCAAGAAACAGAATGGTCCTTAGAAACATTGTGCCTTGGACAGAGCTTTTCTTACATCAAATTATAATAAATAAGAACCTCTCAAGATTGGAAATCAATTCAACAGTAAAGGCTTAAAAATCTGAAAAGCTGATTTTCACAATCGGAAACGTTACCTCTTCCTTGGACAAATGCCTGAATTTTGTCTGATATCGACTGAGTTCTACATTCAAACGATGGACAGTCATTTTCAATCCATCATTTTCATCCACCAGTTCTTGAGCTTGTTTTCGCAGATAAAGTAATTCAGGTGCAGCAACTAGGGAAAAAAATTTAATATTATACTATAAGAAATAACATCCAATTTATCCAGATTTTATTAAATTGCAAATCGTTTGCTTTTCTCCCCTCTTTCACGCTCAGAGGCAATGAACTGTGTGTGCGTGTGTGTCTGTGTGTGTATGTGTGTCTGTGTGTGTGAATGAATAAAAGTTACAACGTTTTTTAACACTGAATAGTTAACGTTATATTGAAAGTTTGTGGAAGTTTTTGCATGTACAATAAAGTAAAATAAAAATTTCAAGTTGGAAAGGAATAGTCATTGTTTCAGATGACATAAGAATATGTGCTTTGAAAAATCATACAGAGGCCGGGTGCGGTGGCTCACGCCTGTAATCCCAGCACTTTGGGAGGCCGAGGCGGGTGGATCACGAGGTGAGGAGATCGAGACCATCCTGGCTAACACGGTGAAACCCCGTCTCTACTAAATATACAAAAAATTAGCCGGGCGTAATGGCGGGCGCCTATATTCCCAGCTACTTGGGAGGCTGAGGCAGGAGAATGGCGTGAACCCAGGGGGTGGAGCTCGCAGTGAGCCGAAATCACGCCACTGCACTCCAGCCTGGGCAACAGAGGGAGACTCCATCTCACAAAAAAAAAAAAAGAAAGAGAAAAATCATATAGAATACATGGAAAATGTATTAGAGCTAATAACCTTCCCACATAATAGCAATGTCCTATTAGAAAACAAAACAGAAAATAGATCCCACAAGGTAACAGCACAAATAATATATAGTATCTAAAAATAAATGTGCCTAAGATAAGAATTATGCAGGGTCTATGTGAAAAAAACTGACACCACCTTACTTAAAGCTATATTAGTTTTATATAAATAGAAAAAGGTATAGAGAAAATATTGGTGAATATTTATATAACCTTAGAGTTAAAAATGACTTAATACCAAGAGTGTAAGTCATAAAAGAAAAACATTTTATTGATTTAGCCCAATTATCAACAAACTAAGAAAATATTACACCTATGACAAAGGGATAAAATCTTTCATATGTAAGGAGTTCCTGCAAATCAATAAAAAGAAGTCAAGTGTCTCATTGTAAAGTGGGCAACTTGGCCATGATAGTGGCTCATATCTAAAATCCCAGTGCTTTAAGTGGCCAAGGAGGAAAAATCCTTGAGGCCAGGAGTTTGAGACCAGCCTGGGCAACACAATGAGGCCTCACTGCTATAAAAAAAATTAAAAAAAAAAAAAACTTAGCCAGGCATGATGGCGTTTGCCTTTAGTCCCAGCTACTCAGGAGGCTGAGGTGGAAGGATCACTTGAGCCCAGGAGTTCAAGGTTATAGTGAGCTCTGACCACCCCACTGTAGTCCAACCTAGGTGACAAGAGTGGGATGCTGTCTCTAAAAAATAAATAAATAAAGTGGGCAGCTTTATGAAAGAAAAAGAAAATGACTTGCAAAGATATGAAAAAATATTCAAGTTCAATAATAACAGAAATACAAATTAAAATACTATTTCTTTTTTTAACCTATAAAAGTAGCAAGGAAAATATAATCATTGGTAAGTCTACGGTAAAGGAGGAGCTTTTTTATGCTTCTCTTAGGGATAAAAACTGAAGTGAAATATATGTAAGCTAAGCATCAAGTTCCAAAAGAAGTATTGGAATCTCTGTTTTGTTTTTGTAAATTCAGCTTCTTTCCAACCTGAGGAATTTCTTTAGTGTAATAATGATATAGCAGATGAAATCAAATCTCAACAAACATAAGGATATTAACAAAAAAACCTGAAATATTACAACATAAATTACCAACACAAATATCACAACATAAAATATTAACTCTCAAAATAATTGAGTGAAGTCCTGCTCATTCCTCTAATAAAGGCACTCTGTCTGTCCCCACCTTCCTGTGACGACGCCTTCTCAGCCTCTTTGAGCTTTCTCTTCTCTTTTTCCATTCCCTTAAGTTTTAACTGTAGTTCTTTCATTGCTTGTTTCATTGTGTTTAGTTCAAGGGTAAGGCTTTGATTCATATTGTTTAGGTCCATATTTTCTTCTTTTAATGCCTCAAACTTTTCTCTGGTTATTTCTGTATATCTTTGACGTGCTCTACCAGTTATATCTGAAAGGGTTCAGGGGAAAATTTTACAATGTTAATTGATGTTGACAATGTTACATCAAAATCAACTGACTTTGTTCCAAAAACCACATCAGGCCTGGTGCCATGTTCTTTGGTCCCTGGGAAGGGAATGGCTTCTACAGGAAACAGTAAGTGGCCTGATGAAGTCACAGCGGGTGGCAGGAAGAGAGGTACTGAGGGGAGGCCAGAAAGGGAGGCCAGAGCTGCAGGAGGCCGTGCCTATTGTGATGTGGCATGGAAAGTTCATCTTGCAGGGCAGCAGGAGCCAGCAGGGCTTTCAAGCAAAGGTGTGAGAAGGAAGAGGCTCTGCTCTTGGGTGAATCCCTCAGGCCAGCAGGGAAGAAGGCAGGTTAGAATGAGGCCTAGCCCAACAGCTGAGGGGCAGCACTAGAGTGGGGACACAGAGAAAAGGACACATGAGAGCAGGACTCAGGGGCTGGTGGCTGGCTGGGTGCGGGCAGTGAGAGAGAAGCAGACCCAGGATGACCACCCAGGTCTGTGTCTGGCAGATGCTCCCCCAGATGAGGAGCACACTGTGAAGAGCAGGTGGGGATGGAAGATGAGGAGAGGCAGGCTTGGGTTGGTACAGAGGCCCAGAGTCCCAGGGCAGCCTCTGCTGGGGAGACTGACGAGCCACTGGCCTGTGGGCAGCACCTGAAGGCACCAGGGTGAGGAGAAAACCGAGGTCACATAGGACCTTAAGAAGGAAGAGCAAGAAAGTGGGGTGGAAACCAGCGCTGTTCCACGGGGAGATGTGCTCCGAAAGGTCACAGGAGGTGAGGCTCCCATGGGCCCTGGCCAGCGCACCTCCCAGGGGAGGGAGAGGCGGAAGCAGAGCTTCCACACAGACGAGGGCAGGATGGCTGGTGGCTCCAGAGAGCCTGGCCCAACCTCTGACACACACATATCCAATCCCTAACATGCAAAAGGTGAGGCTCAGAAATGGGAAACTCCACAGCTACATAGAAACAAGGGAACCCTGAGAAATCCCAGAGATAAAACAGTTGAGATGAGAATGAAGATGGGTGCCAAGCCTGAAATGTGCCAAGAGAGGGCAGCTAGAAAATGGGGAGGGGTGGCTCCAGGGATACACCTTGCCCTGGTAGGAGTGGAGACACAAAGTGGCCTAGAAAGAGCTGATGAGGCTGGGCCTGGTGGCTCGCACCTGCAATCCCAGCACTTTGGGAAGCTGAGGCAGGAAGCTTGCTTGAGGCCAGGAGTTCGAGACCGGCCTGAGCAACATAGCAAGAGCCCATCTCTACAAAAATCAATCAATAAATAAAATTATATTTAAAAAGAAGCAGCTTGAAGCAGCTGATGAGCTGTTGAGTTAGATAACCAGAGTGGGAATAGCAAGGGGTTAACCCACCTGACCCAGGCAGCAACAGCAGAAATGTGTGCCCCTCCTCAGGCAGAACACACAGGCCCTGAGGGCAGAAAGGCAGGGCAGGGGGCTGGAGAAAGCCAGGAGGAAGAGGGGTCCCCACGGATCCCGGTGGGCCTCACATCCTGTCCATCCCCATCAGTTGCTGGAGGCAGCAGTCGGTACAGCCTGGCAGCCTGCTGGCTCTCCCTCTTCAGGCAGGGTGCAGTAAACAGAGGTAGCATCCCCATGTGGGCCACAGGGAATCTCAGAGACCCCAAGAGGTATCAAACAGCAGAGCCAGAGAACACCAATGGCAAGTGAGAGAAGAGAAGGGGCTGCAACACAAACCCTAAGACTGGATGCGCATGGTTACAACTTTCAGAGAGACGTAGTCAGTGTCACAGAAATCATGGAAGTTAACGTTTGATTAACACCATAAACTGAAAGGATGGGCTGAGCCGCAGGATACACATCATGAAAAATGAATGCATGGCGCAGAAGTTGGAGCCCCAGCAATCGCCCAGAATACAGCATTGAAAATGCTGAGATTGAAAGGGTGCAAATAAAGTTAATCTGACGCGGAGGAGACTTAAACCAGGATTTTCAGAGCAGTGACACTGATGGCAGCAGTGGCCCATCTAGAGTGGCCACCGCACAGACTCTAGAGCAGGGAGGTGTGGCCCAAGCCTCTTGCTCCATGGAGCAGGCAGGAGCCCCGGCCCTCCCTGGGTGCTGCTGCAGCTGCCCAAGCCCGGCTGCAGACCCGAGAATCTCTGTGTTCTTGGGGGCCCAAGAAGGCCCCCACCACCCACCATAGGCTCCGAAGTGCCTGATCCCACTGCCTGGCTTCACCCCACTGTGGGCACCTGCTCCAGAGGTATGGTCAGGGCTGCATGCTCCACAGAGCCATCAGGAGCCGGGGACAAGCGGGAGCCCTGCCCCTTCTGAGTTGGTGGGGCAGGAGCTCATGGGGTGCTGCTACAGTTGCCCTCCCATGTGTAGGACCTGGGTGTCTCTGCAGTCTGCACCCTCGGGGGCCTGGGAAGGCTCCCGTGTCCCCGCAGGCTTATGGGTGTTTGCTCTAGCTGCCTGGTCTCTCCCTGCTCCTGGTGCCTGCTCCAGTCTTGCAGCAGGGTTGGAGCGGGGTTTAGGCCAAGCCTGGGCACTGTCACAGCCTGGCTGGGAGTGTGCATACTCAGGGCAGTACTGACACGACAGCGCCCTGCCGCCTCAGCCCCCTCCAGACTTTGGGCACCCATGAGCACAGGAGGGAAAGACAAGGGGGTGCTGAGGATGGCTCTGCACTGGCCTGCAGTTGCCCCTTGGTGTGAGCAGCCTGGGTGCCATGGACTGGGCAGCAGGAGGGAGACAGGTTCCTGGGCAGAAGCAGGCAGGTCCCCGGTGAGGCCCCGCCTTCAGGTCGGAGAGGGCCTGAAGGCTGGGGACCGGGTTGCCTGTCCCGTGGGACTGCAGTAGGAACTTATGGTGCCTTTTCCAGGCCCACCCATGGCCACCCATGGACCAATCGGTGCGCACTTCCTCCCTTCTGAGGCCCATAAAAGCCCTGGGCTTAGTTGGAGCAGAGCAGATGAGATGACCAGCTGCAGAGAGGAGTTCCCCTCTCTGCTGATAGCTGGAGATGTCAGAGGACCAGCAGCAGAGAGGAGCAACCCACTCCAGGGCCTCCTCTCTACTAGGAGCTGGTCAGAATAACCAGCTGCAGAGAAGAACAACCCTCTCCAGGGCTTCCTCTTTGCTGAGAGCTGCAGAGACAGTTGGGTGACCTGCCTTCAGAGAGGAGCCATCGACTCCAGGGGACCTCCTCTCTGCTGAGAGCTGAACACTTAACGGGACGACCTGCCTACAGAGAGGAGCTACCCACTGTGGGTCTCCTCTGAACTGTTCTAACATGCAGTAAAGCTCCTCTTCGTCTTGCTCACCCTCCACTTGTCTGCTTACCTCATTCTTCCTGGACGCAGGACAAGAACTCAGGCAAAGGCACACTGGCACCACAGACATTTCCGACCAGAAAAGCGACACCCCAAAGATCTTGTAACAATGTGGGACCTAACAGCAAAAATTATAACCTCCATTTTGGAAGCCACTGAAGCTCCCCAAACTGTTCAGGGGGCATAACCCATAAAGCATCTCTAGACCTCTCCCTCTGCCTTCAGCCTCAGAGCAGAGCCCATAACTGCACCTGCCTTCCCAGTACGGATCCCAGTACATCATGGGTCCACTCCTCCCACTGGGATCCCAGCACATCCCACAGGTCCTCCTTCCACCCCCAGGATCCCATTACATCCCACAGGTCCACCTCCCTTCCCCCAGGATCCCAGCATATCCCACAGGTCCACGTCCCCCCAGGTCCAACCCCCACCCTCCCAGGACCCAAGCACATCCTGTATGGACATACGTCCACTACCTAGTGTTTGGACCCTCTCTTTTGAGGCAAGGGTGAAAGTTCAACAACTAATACAAGAAAAAGAAAATGTAATCTTTATTTTCAGATAAAATTAATCTGGATATTCTCCAAAACAAGCTTTTCAATCATAATATAATTCAAAAGGCAAATACCTGGGGAGGGTGGAGGTTTCTCACATAATGGAGGTTTTTCATCCTAGGAAAGAAAGAACATAAGAGGAATAAGTGCAGAGCATTAGTGTTTTATAAAGTGGACACACGCAGCTAGGTCATTAGACAGCAGGTATATAAGCATGCTTTATTTCCTTCATTTTGACTCTTGTTCTTTGTTTGTTTTAGCTTTCAAAACTTTAATATGTACTATTTCTTTTTTTCCTTTTTTAAGACAGGGTCTTACTCTGTCACCCAGGCTAGGGTGCAGTGGTGTGATCGCAGCTCACTGCAGCCTCCAACTCCTGGGCTCATGAAATCCTCCTACCTCAGCCTCCCAAGTAGCTGGGATTACACATGGGCCATCACACCTAATTTTTTTTTTTTTTTTTTTGTAGAGATGGGGTCTCCTGTTGTCCAGGCTAGCCTTGAGCTCCTGGGCTCAAGGGATCCTCCTACCTTGGTCTCCCAACATGCTGGGATTACACTGTTTCTTATACCTGAATCTGAGACCTTAAGTGTCTTCCCCTCTGGTGGGCTCTCTGAGGCTATAAAGGAAGTCCTGCCTGAGCTTTCTTCCTGCCTTTCTGCACTGAGTTCAGTGACTGTCCTTACAGGTAGATCCCGTGAGTAGCGGGCTGTGGGCTCACGTTGAAAAGCATGTGCTAGGTAGGGCTGCAAGTGCTGAGCAGAGATGCCCTCAGCAAACTCCAGCCAGGCCTCTTCTCACTGGGATGGGCAAAAAGGACCCCATCAACTGCAGGGAAGCACATTTGCAAAATGCTGAGAAAGGAACAGTAAGATATTGCTTCTCAACCCCAAACCTAGAGGAAAGGGAAGGCTGTGAACTTTTGTTAATTTTTCCTTACATGGTGGTGTGATATTAAGTTTCTAATTTCTGCTGACAAAGTAGACAAGGTTATAAATTAACTCTGCAGAGAAATGTTTAATTTTTAAGTTCCTATGACATCGCACAATGAAAAACTTAAGTTAGAACTATTTCCATGTTTGCAAATTAGTTATTAAAATTCTCAGGCCAGGCCAGGTGTGGTGGCTCACACCCGTAATCCCAGCACTTTAGGAGCCCGAGGCAGGTGGGATCGCCTGAGGTCAGGAGTCTGAGACCAGACTGGCCAACATGGTGAAATCTCATCTCCATTAAAAATACAAAAATTAGCTGGGCATGGTGGCATGCACCTGTGGTCCTAGCTACTCGGGAGGATGAGGCAGGAGAATCACTTGAATCCAGGAGGCGGAGGTTGCAGTGAGCCGAGACTGCGCCACTGCACTCCAGTCTGGGTGACAGAGCAAGACTCCATCTCAGAAAAATATCTCAGGCTAGGCACGTCACATCATGCCTGCAATCCCAATGCCCTTGGGAGGCCAAGGCAGGAGGATCGCTTGAGCCCAGGAGCTTGAGACCATCCTGGGCAACATAACAAGACCCCATCTCTAAAAAAAAATTTTTTTTTAATTAGCCAGGAGTGGTGGCATGTGCCTGTAGTCCCAGCTACTCAGGAGACTGAGGCAAAAGAATCACTTGATCCCAGGAGATTGAGGCTACAGTGAGCTATGATCACACCACTGCACTCCAGCCCGGGTCACAGAGGGAGATCCTGTCTCAAAAAATAATTTTAACAAAAGATAAAATTGTCTATTCATTCCACATTCATTTTAATTATAAAGTAGTTTCTAACCCTTTAATACATTACTTTCATCATTAAACTATGGAAAATATCAATTTCCTCATGTTTTAAAAGTATTTAAGGCCAGGCACAGTGGCTCATGCCTGTAATCCCAGCATTTTGGGAGGTCGAGATGGGCAGATCACTTGAGCTCAGGAGTTTGAGACCAGCCTGGGTAATATGGTGAAACCCCATCTTTATCAAAAATACAACAAATTAGCTGGGTGTGGTGGCATGCATCTGCGATCCCAGCTACTCGGGAGGCTGAGGTGGGAGGATCGCTTGAGCCTGGAAGACGGAGACCGCAGTGAGCTGAGATTGCGCCACTGCACTCCAGTCTGGGTGACAGTGAGACCCCCTTCTCAAAAAAAAAAAAAAGCATTTAAAAGAAATATTCAACAGGAAAGAACTCTTAAGGGAAGATTTATTTTTGCCCCAAAATCACCGCCAAAGTTTCAACACCAAAGTTGTTGAAAATTTATGAAAAATTATGATAAAAACTCTATTTATTGAGAAAATCAGTTTTTAAAAAAAATGATCTTACCTTTAAATTCAGAACAGGGTGTTTACCATCTGATGAAGAAAAAGAGAGAGAGATAAACTTTTAAAGTAGATAATGAAATATGACAACTCAGAAAGTACAATCATAGAAATTCACCTTCTACAGAGGAGCTCGACAAGGCCCAGAACAGGGATAAAATTCACAGGGTCACAGGGCAAGTGGGTCCCAGAGCCAGGCTGGGGCCTGACTCTAAATTGTCATCTCTCTCCCATACCCATGCCTGACCACCATCCGTGGCTCACGTGGCTGCAGAACCAAAGCCAAACTCTTCAGTGTCTCCAAGCCCTTCCCATGCCAGGCTTCTCCTCTCCTTCCAACACCCCTCCCCATCACTCTCCACACATCTTCCCATGCCGGGCTCCTCCTCTCCTTCCAACACTCCTCCCCATCACGCTCTATACATCTTCCCATGCCGGGCTCCTCCTCTCCTTCCAACACCCCTCCCCATCACTCTCCACACATCTTCCCATGCCGGGCTCCTCCTCTCCTTCCAACACTCCTCCCCATCACGCTCTACACATCTTCCCATGCCGGGCTCCTCCTCTCCTTCCAACACTCCTCCCCATCACGCTCCACACATCTTCCCATGCCGGGCTCCTCCTCTCCTTCCAATACTCCTCCCCATCACGCTCCACACATCTTGCCCACCACTCCCTGGATGGGCCAACGCATACTCCTATTGGCCTACCCTCCCTAGATGCATCATCCAACCTGGTCAGAAAAATAGTTGTTCCTTGAAGCAAACTGTCTCAACGACAGAGAGGAAAACAAATCTCACCCACTTACTCATCTTCCACACATCTGTAATCCAGGTACCCTAGGAAGCAGGTGATCTTACACCCCAGTTTGCCTGTACACATTCATGTTGTAAAAAGTTGGACATCGAGTTGCTTTTTTTTTTTTTTGAGACGGAGTCTCACTCTGTCCCTCAGGTGGAGTACAATGGTGCAATCTTGGCTCACTGCACCCTCCGCCTCCCAGGTTCAAATGATTCTCCTGCCTCAGCCTCCCAAGTAGCTGGGATTACAGGCATGCGCCACGACACCCAGCTAATTTTTGTATTTTTAGTAGAGACAGGGTTCCCCCACGTTGGCCAGGCTGGTCTTGAACTCCTGACCTCAGATAATCCACCTGCCTCGGCCTCCCAAGGTGCAGGGATTACAGGCGTGAGCCACTGTGCCTGGCCCTGAGTTGCTTTTAACTTTCTACTATTAATTTGCAGAGCAGAAATAACCAGCTGAAAATAAACTGGAAACACATGCAAAAAATAGGTGAAAAAACCCTACAAAATTCAGACAACAGAAGAAAATGCTAGAGATACATACAAGATTCTAAATCTACTTCCTGGTTGGGCACGGTGGCTCATGCCTGTAATCCCAGCACTTTGGGAGGCTGAGGTGGATGGATCACTTGAGGTCAGGAGTTCAAGACTAGCCTGGCCAACATAGTGAAACCCCATCTCTACTAAAAACACAAAAATTAGCCGGGCATGGTGGCACTTGCCTGTAATCCCAGCTACTTGGGCGGCTGAGGCAGGAGAATTGCTTGAGTTTGGGAGGCAGAGGTTGCAGTGAGCCAAGACTGTAACATGACACTCCAGCCTGCGCAACAGAGCAAGACTCCATCTCAAAAAAAGAAATAAGTAAATAAATAATAAATCTACTCCCTGATGCATTGAGCAACTCGTCACTGAAGAGCTCATTTTTGGCCAAAGTCATCTTGATCAACTGTTTTTAACCAAACTGCTTTCAGTCAAATGTCCAGGGGCAGCCTGGACTGCTCTCCTGCGTTGGACACCAGGTGAAATCCTGCCCTGTCCTTCTGAGTTCAGCTTGATGAACCCTCCTTTCCCTACCACCTTCCCTAACTGAGAGACAACCACCTCTACTGCCCACCTTAGCACCCCAGACTACGGTTTGCAATCTGCATCTCCTCCTCTGCAGCTGGGATGCGAGGGGAAAGGCCTGTGGCTCTATCATCTCTGACACACGGCTGGCACTGAACAAATTTCCAATGAGCAAATGTTTAAAGTGATACAATAAGAAAAAATATATATTTTTAATAACACCTTTACAATAGTCTTGATTTGGTATCACACAATGCTACCTCAGATCTGACTGCTTTCATATTTAATGGAGTCTTCTATGTCCCCCTTAAATTCTTCACAAAATAAAATTGGGGGAGCAGGGAGTTACATGAAATAGAATGGCAAAAGGTTGACAGCTGGTCGGGCACACTGGCACATGCCTGTAACCCCAGCACTTTGGGAGGCCGAGGCAGGTAGATCGGTTGAGCCCGGGAGTTTGAGACCAGCCTGGGCAACAGAGCAAAACCCCGTCTCTACAAAAAATACCAAATTAGTCGGGTGCAGTGGAACACACCTGCAGTCCCAGCTACTCGGGAGGCTGAGGCAGAAGAATCACTCAAGCCTGGCAGGCAAAGGTTGCAGTGAGCTGAGATCACGCCACCACACTCCAGCCTGGACAACAAGAGCGACCCCGCCTCAAAAAAATAAGAAAATTGTTGACAGCTATAGAAGTGGGGAGATGCATAGGTGGACAAGTGGGAGTTCATTTTACTAGTCTCTCTACTTTTGTACACATTAAAAATGATCACAATAAAAAGTTTTTAAGGGGCAATTCAATTTTCCCAAAGGAAATCATGCTATTTTATCTTAGTCATGAACTTTTCAGAAAAAGAGTCTCATAAAGATTAAACTTACAATTTACAGCATCCCAAATTCATGTTGTATTTAATGTACATTTAATGTACACGCAGTTCACTTGGTTCTGTGAATCTACTTTGTGTCCTGTGTTCTTATTTATCATTTCTCAAAAAGATTTCCAGAGTCCTCACCCTCCTCATTTCTATTACCTATATGGGTGAGGGGGATAGACATAAAATAACAGCAAAAGGCTTCAATACTGGGCATACTCCTGCTGCATACAAGGTGTCATGCTGGGTCTATTCCAGTCTTTTTTTTTTTTTTTTTTGAGACAGGGTCTCACTCTGTCACCCAGGCTGAAGTGCAGTGGTGGAAACTGCACTGCAGCCTCAACCTGCCGAGCTCAAGCGATCTTCCTGCCTCAGCCTCCAGCTGCCAGGCTCAGATGATCTTCCTGCCTCAGCCTCCAGCTGCTGGGCTCAGATGATCTTCCTGCCTCAGCCTCCAGCTGCCGGGCTCAAGTGATCTTCCTGCCTCAGCCTCCAGCTGCCAGGCTCAAGTGATCTTCCTGCCTCAGCCTCCAGAGTAGCTGGGTCTACAGGTGTGTGCCATTATGCCGGCTAATTTTTTACATTTTTGTAGAAACGGGGTCTCCCTGTGTTGCCCAGGCTGGTCTCAAATTCCTGGGCTCGAGCAATCCTCCTGCTTTAGCCTCCTAAAGTCCTGGGATCATAGGCCTGAGCCACTGTGCCTGGCCCTATTCCAATCTTTATAGAAAGAAAATTCACATGACATGAACACATTCTTGCTGTCAAAAATTTTAATGACACAGATAAATCAAAATTCACCCATGACCATAATCCCTCGAAACCTTCCCCTCTCCAGAGGTAACCATGGTTATCAACTGGGTATGGTTCTTTTCAGATATATTTGAGCATATAAGGATGTAGTGGCTCATGCCTGTAATCCCAACACTGCGGGAAGCCGAGATGGGAGGATGGTTTAAGCCCAGGAGGTAGAGGCTGCAGTGAGCTATGATCACACCACTGTATTCCAGCCTGGGTGGCAGAGCAAGATCCTGTCTCAAAAAAAAAAAGTCAAACCCCACAACTCACCACGTTTCACATGCCTACATATAAGAGACATTAGGTAGTGGGGAGGGAGAGTAGCATGTGCACAGGTCCAGTGGCAGGAAGGAACACCACAGAGTTGAGGAAATAAAAGAACAGCAGAGTAGCTGGAAAGCAGTCAGCAGGGGCTGGCAGGCCAAGCAGATGGTGGGACACCATGGAAGAGATCCAATTTAAAAGGGTCTGGGGTATGTGGGGGTGTGAAGGGACGCATGTGGGGGTCCGTGGACGTGCAAGGGGACACTACCAGCTTTGTGCTTTGAAAAGATGGCTCTGGGCCAGATGAGGTGTCTCATGCCTGTAATCCCAGCACTTTGGGAGGCCAAGGCAGGTCAAATGTTTGAGCCCAGGAGTTCAAGACCAGCCTGGGCAACATAGTAAAACCCTGTGTCTAACAAAATACAAAAATTAGCCAGGCATGATGATGCACACCTGTAGTCCCAGCTATTCAGGAGGCTGAGGTGGGAGGATCAACTGAACCCAGGTTGAGGTTGCAGTAAGCCATGATCATAACACTGTACTCCAGCCTGGGCAACAGAGTGAGACCCTGTAAAAAAAAAAAAAAAAAGACTCTTCTTCTGACTGAGGGGATGAATGAATGAAGTCAAATGGTTACATGGCATAGAAGCTGCGAAAGGAAACCTGGGCGCAGCACACAACGAATGATAGCAAACTGGGGAGCAGGCTGTGAGTGCTTCGAAGAGTAAAGGGCCTAGACTGAGGAGATGACGGGTGGATGCCCAGGAAGGCAGGAGGAAACGAGATGTCCTGAGCCCAGGGAGAAGGTATGTTAACCACGTGGTATGCTCCTGAGACATCATCAGATGAAGCCAGAAAACCATCCAGTGCACTTAACTACATGAAGGTCTCTGGTCCAGTGGTGCGATGGGGAGGGAAGCCAAGCTGGAGAGGTATGAGGAGACATGGAGAGGGAGAAGGCCTGGAGAGGTGTATCACTTGACAAAGCTGTTAAGGAGAAGAAGGAGGAAGTACTAGCAAGAGGGGACTGTGGGATCAAAGAAGGGTCTGCAGAGAATCTAGGAAAGGGGAACAGCGTCCACGAGCATGAATTTGGCAGCTCTGACCAACGGTACAAGGGCCTTGCCCAAAGTGTGTTTGGTCTTCTTGGCAGAGGTCTCGCTAGAGTGCAGAGGGATGCACCAGGTGATGAAAGCTTCAGGCTTTAGACACTAATCATCACTAGCACTGATGGAAGCCACTGCACTTTACATTGTCACTTCATTTATGAGACAGACACTCTAGATTGAGGAGAAAATGAGGTAAGTAAGTTAGCCATGCCTAGAAACGACAGAGTCAAGGACCAAACCACCAAAAGCCAGGGTTCCTCATGTGTTGTCCAAGGATCACCCACAACAGACTCCTCTGTGTACTTGTGAAAAGTACAGACCCTTCGAGACCAGTCTGACCAACACAGAGAAACCCTGTCTCTACTAAAAATACAAAATTAGCCAGGTGTGGTGGTGCATGCCTGTAATCCCAGCTACTCAGGAGGCTGAGGCAGGAGAATGGCTTGAACCCAGGAGGCGGAGGTTGCAGTGAGCCAAGATCGCGCCACTGCACTCCAGCCTGGGCAACAAGAGTGAAACTATGTTTCAAAAAAAAAAAAAAAAAAAAAGTACAGACCTCTGGGCCCAGCCCTGAGCCACTAAATTACAGTTTGGGGTCTGGGGTTTTTCAGAAGTATGCAGGGGCTTTTAATGCCCACCACAAACCAGGCATCACTGCAGGAGCTGCAATCCCTCCCAACCACCACCTGTGTGCCAGGTGCACGTTCCCAAGTATGTGGGTGGCCACGGCCTCTCATCTCCAAATCCACCTTCATGGCCAGCTCATGTTACTGCAGCATTTCCACCCAGCCAGTTGGTACCATGGAAGGCTTCCTCTGTAGAGGGTGCTGGAGAGACGCTGGAGGAGCTGGGGCTTTGCTTTCTGATTCCAGCTTCCTCTGGCTCTTCCTTCCATGCATTAATTTCTTTTTTTAATTTCTGGTTTTAGAGTCCAAGGGTCTCACTATATTACCCAGGCTGGATTCGAACTCCCAGGCTCAAGTAATCTTCCCGCCTTGGCCTCCCAAGGAGCTGGGATTACAAATGGGATTTCATGCGCAGATCCTTTCTTTAATTTTTTGGGTGGCCAGCAACATGCAGTACCTCCCCATGGTGGCTTCTCCTGGCCCCCTATCCCAGTGAGTTTCATTAGGGCAGCCCCTCAGCAAACTTCTTGGCCACCCGGCAGGCCACAGCTACATCCTCTCCAGGAAGGTGTGGATCTTGGGTTCTGGCTGAGGCTCCTCCAGAGCTGCTTCCTCCTGAAGCATCAGCCCTAGGAGCAGTGGCTGCTCCCCTGAGCTGCTACTCCTGAATTCTTCAGTATTCTCTTTACTCCTTAGTAGGCAATCCTGTTGTTATTATTATTATTATTTTTAGAGACAGGGTCTCACTCTGTCACCTAGGCTGGAGTGCAATGGCACTATCACATCTCACTGCAGCCCTGACCTCCTTCCTGGGCTCAAGTGATCCTCCCATCTCAGCCTCCTGCATAGCTGGGACTACAGGTGTGAGCCACCATGCGCAGCTCCCAAACCTGTTATTATTAATCATTCTTTATAGTAAATTTTCCCTCTTCAAGTCATTGTGTGTGTTCTGACTCCTGATTGGACCTTGACTGATATATGCTACATCAGGCCACACAATGCAGATGTTACACAAGGCAGGAGAGAACCAAATCTGGGGACATAGAAAGACATTTGGCATGTGTTGTGAGATGAAAGAAAGGTAACAAAACAGCATGCACTTTATATACATATACTCTCTAAATTGTTAAAAATCTTATCTGTGGGAGCACAATTAAGTGTGTTTAGCTTTATGATATGGTCTGGCTGTGTCCCCACTCACATCTCATCTTGAATTGTAGCTCCCATAATTCCCTCATATTGTCGGAGGGACCCAGTGGGAGATAATTGAATCATGGGGCGGTTTCCCCCATACTGTTCTCGTGGTAGTGAATAAGTCTCATGAAATCTGATGGTTTTATAAGGGGAAACCCCTTTCTCTTGGTTCTCATTCTCTCTTGTCTGCTTCCATGTAAGATGTGCCTTTCACCTTCTGCCATGACTGTGAGGCCTCCCCAGCCACGGGGAACTATGAGTCCATTAAACTTCTTTTTCTTGATAAGTTACCCAGTCTTGGGTATGTCTTTATCAGCAGCGTGAAAACGGACTAATGCACTTTATATATTTATGTATTTTTTTTACAGTGAGACAGTATTACTTTTGTAATTTAAAAAGAGATGCACCTTTTACATAAATCTAATATTTAAAAAATACGCCAACTGACCAACAGGTGTTTTCTGGCCCCAGGATTATGAGGCTGGCATTCTGTGTTCCCTGAGAAATGATTTACAGAAACGTTTCCCTGAGCCCGAGCAACTCTAGGGCTGCTGATAAAGTAGTTATTGGTTGTCCACTTGATGCCTGGCTCTCCTTGTCACTTCTCAAATGTGAGCCACCTCTTAGGAAACTGAAAACTTTTCCCTACCTTTGTTATAACATGCTGAATTCTCTCATTGGGATAATCAAATAGATATATGTCCACGTACTCATTCACCCAACAGATCTTTCCTAGTGGGCCACTGTGGGCCAGGTCTTTCCCCAAGCACTGGGACTAGGGAGACCCTATCCTATCCCTACCTCTATTGCTTAAACCCAGGAGTTCAAGACCAGCCTAGTTAACATGGCAAAAAAAAACAGCACCTTGTACTTTAAAAACAACCTAATATCCAGAAGCAATTGACTGCAGAATAACTTTTCCTTTTTTTTTGAGATGGGGTTTCACTCTGTCACTCAGGCTGGGGTACAATGGTGCGATCTCAGCTCACTGCAGCCTCTGCCTCCAGGGCTCAAGCAATCCTCCCACCTCAGCCTCCTGACTAGCTAGGACCACAGGTACATGCCACCATACCTGGCTACTTTTTTGTATTCTGGTAGAGATGGGATGTCCATTTTTTGTAGAGAGAGTCTATGTTGCCCAAGCTGGTCTCAAACTCCTAAGCTCAAGAGATCTACCCACCTTGGCCTCCCAAAGTACTGGGATTACAGGAGCGAGCCACCACACCCAGCCTTATTTTCTTGAGACAGGGTCTCATTCTGTCACCCAGGCTGGAATGCAATGGTGCAATCATGGCTTGCTGCAGCCCTGACCTTCCGAGCTCAAGTGATCCTCCCACCTCGCCCTTCTGAGTAGCTGGGACTGTAGGCGTGCACCACCTTGCCTGGCTGATGTTTTTATTTTTACTTTTTGTACAGACGATGTCTCCCTGTGTTGCCCAGGCTGCTTTCAAATTCTTGAGCTCAAGGGATCCTCCAGCCTTGGCCTTCCAAAGTGCTAGGATTACAGGCGTGAGCCACCACACCTGGACCCTCATTTTCAATAAAAAATAAATTTCAATTATATTCCTAGTTAAAATCACAGAGCTACAGCATGAAGGGGCAATGGGTATGTTTTCCTAAAAATAAGCAATATTCATTATGAAAAAATGTTCTTATATTTTATAAAAATTGTGGTTTTTTTTTTCTACCTTTTTGTTGTGTCCGCTGTGGTGCAGGAGGGGAGCCTGGAAACCCATCTTGATGAGAAATATTTTCATCGTCTTCACTGTTCACCTCATGTAACAATGGCACCTTTTTGTTATAAAAGACAAAGGAGCAAAAAAGTGAGAAAGGTAACCTTTATATACAGCATGTCCTCCTAACAAATTCCAACATCTTTCAAACCTTCCCCACTGGGAGCTTCCTCCATGGGCACTTCAGCTGCTTTCCTCAGTGACACACAAAAGGCGTATATCAGGTGGGGCTGGATGACACTTCCAGGCCCTCAGGAAAAGCTTAGGGGGCAAAGGCAACACCATTAAAGTTATGCTAAGGCCACTGAGAGCTCCACATCCCAGCCATGTTGCCAGGGCAGCTTCCCTTCCTCATCCCTGCCAGGGACCACCCAATGCCACTCCACCCTGGTACTGACACCATGTTACTAGTTTCCCCCCACCCCTTTTTTTTGAGACAGGGTCTCCTCTGTCACCCAAGCTGGAGCACAGTGGTGTGATCACAGCTCACTGCAGCCTTGACTTCCCACGTGCAAGCGATCCTCTCACTTCAGCCTCTGGAGTAGCTGGGACCACAGGCGTGCACCACCACAACCAGGTAATTTTTTTTTTATTTTTTGTAGAGACAAGGTCTCCTTATGTTGCCCAGGTTCGTCTCAAACTCCAGGGCCCATGCGATCCTCCTGCTTCAGCCTCCCAAAATGCAGGGATTACAGATGACAGCCACTGCACCCAGCCTGTGTTAATCATTTCTATGTGGGACAAGCAGTGCTGACCTCCCCTGGGAGGACTCTCATTGAAGCCTCCTATGTTCACCAATTATGTAAGTCCACTGTAAATTTCATTTACTGAGGGACTCCCCTCTACTGACTGAGAGTAGCTCCTATATAGGTAACCATTCATGTTAGCTATATAGGAGCTGCTGAAATTTTGTTTCATCCCAACATGGCAGGGACACAGAGTTGTCCTTTAGAGAGGCCCATGGGCCAGGAATGGGACCTGCCGCTGATGAGGAGGAGATATTTCCATTGGCAGGAGCCTGGGGGTAGGGACAGAGGCTGCCTAAGAGGAAGAGAAAGAACAGTGAAGCAGGTCTTTTTTTTTTTCTTTTTTTAAGACATGGTCTCACTCTGTCACCCTGGCTGGAGTGCAGTGGCGCAATCATGGCTTGCAGCAGCCTTTACCTCCTGGGCTCAAGCAATCCTCCACCTCAGCCTCCCAGTAGCTAGGACTACAAGCGTATGACACCAAGCCCAGCTAATTTTTAAATTTTTTGTAGAGATGGGGTCTCAGTATGTTGTCCAGGCTGGTCTTGAACTTCTGGCCTCAAGTGATCCTCCTGCCTTGGCCTCCCAAAGGGCTGTGATTACAGGCATGAGCCACTGCACTCGACCTGAACCAGTTGTTACATGGTAAACTGTGACTGGCGCTGTCTGGGTGGGCTGCCCTTTGGCTCTCCTGATTCTTCAGTAAAATCTTGCTTTTGTGATCAGTTTGGCTTAGCTGGGCTGCACTGCAGGCAATGGAAGGGCTGTCCCTGGGGCTGACAAGGAGGTGGTGGCAGGGACTAGCAAGACGCCCATGAGAAGGGGCATTTCAGAGTAAGAGCTAAGGCTGCTACGTCCACCTGTCTCTGTGGACATGGTTCCAAGATGACCTGGCTCAAGAGAAGCAAACAGGTCTCCCAAGATACTCATCATTTGAAGAAAGAAAAAGTAAATGGCCCCGTACTTTTTTTTTTTTTTAATACAGACAGGATCTCACTATGGTGTCCAGGCCAGTCTTGAACTCTTGTCCTCAAATGATCCTCCCACCTCCACCTCCCAAAGTGGTGGGATTATAGGTGTGAGCCACCACGCAAGGCCGACCTCAAGCTTTTTTATCTCCCAGGAACAAACTTCCTTGTTCAACCTGTCAAAAATATATTAAGTGACTCACTATTCTCAAGGAAATGTGAAATAGGTAAGATGACTTAAAAAGCATTAGGGGCCAGGTATGGTGGCTCACATCTATAATCCCAGCACTTTGGGAGGCTAAGGCAGGCGGATCACCTGAAGTCGGGAGTTCAAGACCAGCCTGATCAACATGGAGAAACCTTGTCTCTACTAAAAATATAAAATTAGCCAGGTGTGGTGGCACATGCCTGTAATCCCAGCTACTCAGGAGGCTGAGGCAGGAGAATTGCTTGAACCCAGGAGGCGGAGGTTGCAGTGAGCAGAAATCGTGCCATTGCACTCCAGCCTGTGCAATAAGAGTGAAACTCTGCCCCCTTCACCCCCACAAAAAAAGCATTAAGAAGATGCTCAATATGGACAATCGTTTGGCAGTATCTACTGGTACTAAAGCTGATGGTACATATACCCTATGACCATACACATACCATTCCTCAGTATATACCCACCAGAAATACACAAATATGTACATCAAGGGACACATCGCCAAATGTTCACAGCAGCACTATTCCTAAGAGTCCCAAACTGGAACCAATTAAGTCTCTGTCATCAGTAAAATGAATAACTGAGTGGCACGGTTGTACAGTAAAATATACAGCAATGAGAACAAACCCGCCCCTGCTATACACAATAACTGAAGACTCCCAAACTCCAAATAATGCATATCGTCTAATTAAATGCATGTAAATTTTCAGAACAGGCAAAGCTAATCTCAGGTTATTTTTAAAGATTAAAGCTAATCTTGGCAATGGTTAACTCTGTGGGAAGTAGTGACTAAGAAGAAGGGTGATTTCTAGGGTACAAGTAATTTTTTTTTAATCTGAGTGGTGGCTACTTTTTGAAAATGTATCGAAATGTGCACTTATGATTTACTCACTTCTTGTGCATATTTTATATATCAATAAATAAGTCTACTAAAAACATACCTTCATAAAGAATTTGTGATACTTTATATAAACATACTTTAAAAGGCTTGGCTGGGCGCAATGGCTCACGCCAGTAATCCCAACACTTTGGGAGGATCACCTGAGGTCAGGAGTTCGAGACCATCCTGGCCAACATGATGAAACCCAATCTCTACTAAAAATACAAAAATTTGCTGGGCATGGTGGCGGGCACCTGTAGTCCCAGCTACTTGGGAGGCTGAGGCAGGAGAATCACTTGAACCCAGGAGGCGGAGGTTGCAGTGAACCAAGATTGCACCACTACATTCCAGCCTGGGCGACAGAGCAAGACTCTGTCTCAAAAGAAATAAACAACAACAAAAAATTATATATATATATATATATATATACACACACACACACACACACACACACACACACGCACACTACTACAGTTGTTTACTTAAACTTGTAGTAAAAGAATAAAAACACAAACTTCCAGGATGCACTCCAAATCCAAGAAAAGATGAGTTTCCAAGGAGGGAGTGGGGTTAGGGGACAAGGCAACATCTACCCTAATGGTAACATTTTATTATTTATTATTTTCTACTTTTCACATGTTAAAATTTAAAAATTTTCCTACTACACATGGCTCCTAAAGCCACCCTAACAGACTTGCCTAAAAAAACAAAATATCTGTCCTTCTAGCAAGGAAAGAGTCTCTGTAGGTCACTGTATCTCTTTCTTCCAAGGGAAATATTGTAGTAAGCTTTCCCTCTAGAACAGTGGAGAGATATGACTCTATGTGTAACATCGGTACAAAATAACCAGCCGGCAAGTGTGCGGGTGAGGAGCAGTGGGACTGATTCTGAGCCCTGCAGAGCTCGACAGGAGCACAGTTGTCCATATTGAGCTCTGGGCAGTGTCTGCCTATTCCAGAGCTGCTTGCTATGAGAAGCCTAATTCTATGTGTGAAAGTCTGTATATGTGGGAAAATGATGGTGAGTTCATGAAACAGCCACATAAGGATCCCTCAAAATAAGCTCCTGAAGACCATTTAAAATGTATTTTAGGGCCAGGGGCGTTGGCTTATGCCTGTAATCCCAACACTTTGGGAGCCCGAAGCAAGAGGATTGCTTAAGCCCAGGAGTTCAAGGCCAGTCTGGCTAACATAACAAGACCCTGGCCCTATAGAAAAAAAAAAAAAAAGCCAGTTGTGGTGCCGCGTGCCTAAAGCCCCAGCTACTCGGGAGGCTGAGGTGGGAGGATCACTTGAGCCCAGGAGGAGGTGGCTATAATGAGCTAGGATCGTGCCACTGCACTCCAGCCTGGGGACAGTGAGACCCCATCTCAATTTAAAAAAAAAAAAGTGTTTTAATATAGTAGGGGCTAATTAATATACATATAATCAATACCGGTGTAGCTTAATGCTGCTGGTCTATATGTACAGACACTATGAATAACACATTATAATGATGGTGAAAAAAAGAAAAAGGGGCTAGGCACAGTGGCTCACACCTGTAATCCAGGTACTTTGAAAGGCTGAGGCAGGCGGATCGCTTGAGGTCAGGAGTTCAAGACCAGCCTAGGCAACATGGAGAAACCCTGTCTCTACAAAAAGCACAAAAAATAGCCAGGCATGGTGGTGTGTGTCTGTAGTCCCAGCTACTTGGGAGGCTGAGGTGGGAGGATCACTTGAGTCCAGGAGGTTGAGGCTACAGTGAGCTATAATGGTGCCACTGCACTCCAGCCTGGAGGACAGAGCAAGACTCTGTCTCAAAAAAAAAAAAAAAAAAAAAGAAAAGAAAAAGAAAAGAAATGAAAAGAAAGAAAAAAATAAAGGAAAAAGGGATATGGTGCTATATTTTGCCATTAAAGAAATGTCATTATCTAGTTTCCAAAACCCTGGGAGCAGTTTAAAAATCGGGATTCGCAGAGCAGCTGGCAGTGGAGAAGTATGTTTCCTTGAATCTCTCTGTGTGCAGTGCCCTGATGTGTGACAGGGCAATGAAGGGAATTCCTCAGCGAGTCAGTGGGGGTCAGCTAAGATAAATGCACACAGGAGTTAGAAACGGGAGCGCTCACAGTAAACACTCAAAGCACGTCAGCTCCCATTGAGACACGCATGACGATCTTCCCCGTCAGGCATGAATTTAAAGAAAGGCTGCAGTGTGCAAAATGATACCATAAAAGTGATAGGAAATTTAGCTTCCAAGGTCAAAGAAAAGAACGAGATTGCTAAGCTGTGAATGGAACTCCACATTAACAATATGAAGATGTTAATCTTTGTTTTTGCAAGATAAAGGAAAGAAGTTTATGTTTTAATCTAACCAGATAGAAATGAGGCTGGACACGTTTAAAAAAATAAGCCCCAAAGCAAATGCTATCAAATGCAGAATAGAGAGAAGAAATCCTTAGCAATGCACTAATTTACCAAAAGTTAACATCAGGGTGAATGTCAAGAAGAAAACTGGGAACATAGAAAACACCTGATTTCTGTGTGGCACAGCGTACAGGTCATCACTGTGGCCTCCTCTGTCCTCCCGGGCACTGACATCCCCCAATTCCTTGCCGCTGGATGACAGCTGAGTTTCAATGTCCTCTTCGTCCCCATAGTCCAGTGTTTCAAAGGATGGCAAAGAAGATCTTCTTCCCATCTCACTCTGCCAATTTGGCCTGTATTAGAATATTCATGGGGAAAACAAACAAAAAGTCACTTAACACTTGACACTGATAAATATCTTTTTTTTTTTTTTTTTTTGAGGTAGAGTCTTGCTCTGTCGCCCAGGCTGGAGTGCAGTGGCACAATCTCGGCTCACTGCAAGCTCCGCCTCGTGGGTTCACGCCATTCTCCTGCCTCAGCCTAGTGAGTAGCTGGGACTACAGGTGCCCACCACCGCGCCTGGCTAATTTTTTTTTTTGTATTTTTAGTACAGATGGGGTTTCACCCTGTTAGCCACGGTGGTCTCGATCTCCTGACCTCGTGATCCGCCCGCCTCGGCCTCCCAAAGTGCTGGGATTACAGGCGTGAGCCACTGTGCCCGGCCAGTATCATGTATTAAATGCACTGCCTCCAAGTCCTTACCATAAATGTGGGATACTACAAAGTACACAGAAGCTAAAAGATTAAATTTTCCACCGTCCCATCTCTTTGTACACTTGGCATATCCTTCTAGTTTCTGTTTTTAGAGTTACTGCATACATATACAATTTGTCTTGTTATGAATAAGGGTTTTTTGTTTTTTTGTTTTTTTTTTGAGACAGGGTCTCACTCTGTCTCCCAGGCTGGAGTGAAGTGGTGCAATCATGGTTCACTGTAGCCTCAATCTCTCTGGGCTCAGGTGATCCTCCAGTCTCAGCCTCCCAATAGCTGGGACTAACCAAGCCCAGCTAGTTTTTGTATTTTTTGTAGAGACGGGGTTTCACCATGTTGTCCAGGCTGGTCTTGAACTCCTTGGCTCAAGGGATCCGCCTGCCTCAGCCTCCTAAAGTGCTAGGATTACAGGCATGAGCCACTGAGCCCAGCCTGTTGTTATTATTATTGTTATTATTATTTTGAGACAGAGTCTCACTCTGTCACCCAGGATGGAGTATAGTAGTGCAATCTTGGCTTACTGCAACCTCTGCCTCCCGGGTTCAAGTGATTCTCCTGCCTCAGCCTCCTGAGTAGCTGGGATTACAGGCACTCGCCACCACACCTGGCTAATTTTTCTATTTTTAGTAGAGATGGGGTTTCACCATGTTGGCCAGGATGGTCTCAAACTCCTGACCTCAAATGATCTGCACACCTCGGCCTCCCAAAGTGCTGGGATTACAGGCCTGAGCCACCATGCCTGGCCCCAGCCTGCTATTAATAAGTATTTTTATTTTTTAAATTGAGACAGGGTCTCATTCTGCCACACAGGCTGGAATGCAGAGGTGCAATCTTGGCTTACTGCAGCATCCACCTCCCCAGCTCAAGTGATCCTCCTACCTCAGCCTCCCGAGTAGCTGGGACTAGAGATGCACTCCACCATACCCAGCTAATTTTTTGTTTGTTTGTTTATTTGTATTTTTAGTAGAGAAGGGGTTTCACCATGTTGCCCAGGCTGGTCTCAAACTCCAGAGCTGAAGAGATCCACCCACCTCAACCTCCCAAAGTGTTGGGATTACAGGTATGATCCACTGTCCCCAGCCTATTAATGAGTTTTTATAGTCAACATTTTAAAAGGTAGGAATCCACTAGATATACCAGCTTAACCAGCCATTTTCCTTGCTTAGGTGGGGTTTTTTTCCTTCACTTTCCATTGTTGTAGATAACCCTGTAATAAACATCTGTGTGCAGATAACCCCTACTGTATTTAAGGTTACTCACATAAAACAAACCGCCATAGAGTAAATTCTTTTTTTCTTTATCTTTTTTATTTGAGATGGAGTCTCGCTCTGTCACCCAGGCTGGAGTGTGGTGGCGCGATCTCAGTGCACTGCCACCTCCGCTTCCCGCGTTCAAGTGATTCTCCTGCCTCAGCCTCCCGAGTAGCTGGGACTACAGGCGCCTGCCACCATGCCTGGCTAATTTTTGTATTTTTAGTAGACATGGGGTTTCACCACATTGGCCAGGCTGGTCTTGAACTCCTGACCTCAAGTGATACGCCCGCCTCAGCCTCAAAAAGTGCTGAGGTTACAGGCGTGAGCCACTGTGTCCGGCCCATACAGTAAATTCTTGAGTCAAATGGTGTGAACATTTTGTGTCTACATACATACTGCACAAAATCATTTCTCCAAGCTATAAATACACTGGTAATAATTTTCTAAAACTTGCCAAAACAACTTAAAACCCACTGTCTAAATTTGCATTTGTTACTGAGACTGAATGTTTTTCCATATACTTGTGTTCAGGTCCTTTGTCTGTTTTACTTCTGGTATGTCCATTCCAATTTGGTTCTTTTTTTTTTTTTTTTTTTTTTTTGAGATGGAGTCTCGCTCTGTCCCCCAGGCTGGAGTGCAGTGGCTCCATCTTGGCTCACTGCAAGCTCCACCTCCCGGGTTCACGCCATTCTCCTGCCTCAGCCTCCTGAGTAGCTGGGACTACAGGCGCCCGCCACCACGCCAGCTAATTTTTTGTATTTTTAGTAAAGACAGGGTTTCACCATGTTGGCCAGGATGGTCTCGATCTGCTGACCTCGTGATCCGTCCATCTCGGCCTCCCAAAATGCTGGGATTACAGGCGTGAGCCACCGCACCCGGCCTGTTTTTTCTTTTTTTATTTTTGTTTTTTTTTTTGAGACAGGGTCTCACTCTGTCATCCAGGGTGGAGTGAAGTGACAAGATCATACTGCAACTTTGACCTCCTGGGCTCAAGTGATCCTCCTGCCTCAGCCTCCCAAGCAGCTGGGACTACAGGTGAGCAACACCATGCCAGGATGATTTTTGTATTTTTTTGTAGAGATGGGGGTCTCACTTTGTTGCCCAGGCTGGTCTCAAACTCCTGATCTCAAGCAGTCCTCCCACCTCAGCCTCTCAAAGTGCTGGGATTACAGGTGTGAACCACCACACTTGACTTCCATTCCAATTTGAAATTACTAAAATTAATCTACTAAAATTAAAGTCCTGACTTTGCTTTTACTATAAATGTTTTTTCTGTTCTATTAATATTATTTTGCTTATATAAATTTCTTAAACATAAAAGCGATTAAAAAGGTTTTTTTACTTTCTAAATTCTTGGTGTAAAAGCAAATAGCAGTCATATCCCTGAAGAGGTGTGATAAGACTGGATATTGGATTTCACAGTCTTATTTGTGTGTCTATAGAGTATAGTCCTTCATTCATTAGGAATTTATTTTAGTGTATGACTTAGGCGAGGCTCAAAGCTGATTTCTAATACTGCTAATCAATATAGCACTGAATGCTTTCCTTCCCCTTTGAGCTGTGGGACAGGCTTTATTAAAGATTCAGTATGCTTGTAGAAACACTACGTTCACCTCAGGGCATTCCTGGGCACCTCTGTATCACTCAACTAGTCCTACACTGTTCTTGCTACTTTATCTATATGTTTTAAAATATGACAGGGCTGGGCACAATGGCTTTTTATTGCATCAATTGAGGGGTAGCTGTTGGGATGTTCGTGGTTAAAATATAATTTCTGGGCTCTGACTGGGTTGCTTTTTAGTCTCTTGTTTTTAGGGTTTGGCAAAGGTAGGTTTACCTAGGTTGATGGAAAAGTCAGAGATGGGGTGGTTGTGGATTTAATCGGAAATAGTTCTTGAAATTGAGTGTATGTGCGTGCATGAGCATGGCTCACACCTATAATCCCGCACTTTGGGAGGCCAAGGAGAGAGGATCTCTTGAAGCTAGAAGTTCAAGTCCAGCCTGGGTAATATCAGGAAACCCTGTCTCTACAAAATAAAAATAAAAATTAGCCTGGGCTGGGCACAGTGGTTCATGCCTGTCATCCCAGCACTTTGGGAGGTCAAGGTGGGCAGATGGCTTGAGGCCAGGAGTTTGAGACCAGCCTGGCCAACATGGTGAAACCCTGTCTCTACTAAAAATACAAAAATTAGCCAGGTGTAGTGGCGCACAACTGTAGTCCCAGCTACTCTGGAGGCTGAGGCAGGAGAATTGCTAGAACTGAAGAGGCAAAGGTTGCAGTGAGCCGAGATCATGCCACTGCACTCCACCCTGAGTGACAGAGCAAGACTCTGGCTCAAAAATAAATAAATAAATATAAAAACAAATAAATAAATTAGCCAAGCACGGTAGCAAGCATCTGTGGTACCAGCTTCTTGGGAGGCTAAGGCAGGAGAATCACTTGACCCCAGGAAGAGGAGGTTGCAGTGAGCCATGATTGTGCCATTGCACTCCAGCCTGTGCAACAGAATGAGATCCTGTGTCAAAACAAAACAAAAAAATCCCCCCCCCGCCAAAAAATAAAATACAATGGGGATAGTCCAGCACTCCTGTGGGTCAGACCATCTCCTCTGATGGTCTTACGTGCTTATTTTTTCCACTGAATTTTAGAACGATTTACTCGTTTTTAGTTTTTACTCAGCCAAAGTATAATGCTTACCAGGAAAAAAAAAAAGGTTAAATTCAAATATCTCAAAATGGTAGCAATATTTTTGGCCAAAACAAAAATAAAAACAAGCCCTAGAAGGAAATACATTAAGTATTTATATAATACTAATAGTAGGAAGGGTCTTACTAAATTTACAATTATTACAGAAAATGTAAAGAAAAAATGGATAGATTTTACTAAATATAAAATACAGAATATTTAGTATATCAAAAAAGCCTACACAGGCCAGGCATAGTGGCTCACACTTGTAATCCCAGCACTTTGGGAGGCCAAGGTGGGCGGATCACCAGAGGTCAGGATTACAGACCGGCCAACATGGCAAAATCTCATCTCTACTAAAAATACAAAAATTAGCCGGGAGAGGTGGCACACGCCTGTAATCCCAGCTACTCAGGAGACTGAGGCAGGAGAATCGCTTGAATCCAGGAGGCAGAGGTTGCAGTGAGCCAGGATTGCACCACTGCCCTCCAGCCTGGGCAACAGAGTGAGACTCTGTCTCAAAAAAGTCAACCCAACACAAAGGTGAATATACGTGACAATTAAAAAGGCAAATGTGGCCAGGCATGGTGGCTCACGTTTGTAATCCCAGCACTTTGGGAGGCCGAGGCGGGTGGATCACCTGAGGTCGGGAGTTCAAGACCAGCCTGACCAACATGGAGAAACCCCGTCTCTACTAAAAATACAAAAATTAGCCAGGTGTGGTGGCGTGTGCCTGTAGTCTCAGCTACTCAGGAGGCTGAGGCAGGAGAATGGCTTGAACCCAGGAGGCGGTGGTTGCAGTGAGCCAAGATTGTGCCATTGTGCTCTAGTCTGGGCAACAAGAGTGAAATTCTGTCTCAAAACAAAACAAAACAAAACAAACAAAACAAAAAAAAAAAAAACAGACAAATGTGATCGTGGATCCCTACTCCCATCCCTGCCCCATGCACCCTTAGAGACCTCCAGTGTCTTCCCACCACTCCAAAGGCAGACACCAACCCTCTAAACAGGACACCAAAGGCACCCCCAGCCTGGTCCCTGCCCACTCCTCCAGCCCCATCTCGCATCCCAAACATCCTCTTTCCACTGCCACCTGTGTCACACTCCCTCGTTTCTGTCTGGAAAGCTCATCCCAGCCCCACAAAGATCATGCCTAGCCCTTGAGCTGTTCCTAGATGATTCCTGTACATCCTAAGCTCTCCCCTTGACCCTTTCTTCCTCAGGAGGAAACCTTCCTGACCCCCTAGCCCTGTGTCAGCTCAAACCCAGGACAAGCAACAAAGGAAAAGATGATGAAGAAAAAAGGCTAAACTGCAGCTGCCAAGAAGATCAAATTAATGTGAATGTCCAGAGATACACGTGAGAGGTAAGGAGGGACCACTCTCACTGTTCAGGTTGCTGCACAAAGAAACTTACTAAGGGCTGGAAGCAGCGCTGAATTCATTAGCTCTGTGCCGCTGTGAAAATGGCCAGGACCCATACAAGTCAAAATCTAACAAGATCCACTATGGAGGAAATCCAGATCGCAGAGCAATTAGGTTGCTGGACAGTGTCCATTTGACATTGGTGATGAAAACCCAGTGACTAAGACTCTAGTCATAAATACATGCATGAGCACCCACGCACCCACACAGGTACACATGCACACACATGTACGCATGCACACATACACGTAGAGACCAGGCTGAGCCTGCCCCTCTTCCACTCTCAGAGGAAGCAGAGGCGGCGATCTGGTACCTACCGAGGCCTCAGCTGTGAGGTGGTGGCATAGGGCTCGATGAAGCTGTCCTGTTCAACACTGCTCACATCACTCTCAGACCGGGACCTCTGGCGAGGCTGAGGAATAGCAACCGTCCGCCCAGTCAATGTTGTCGCCAGAATGGCTGCTGCCAGAGCAGATCTGCGGACAAAAACATCCCATGGAGACAGTGAGACATGAACATTCCAGGTGAATGCTGAACAAGGTACATAAACTCATCAAGGCTTACCTTCTGCTGGACAGTGTCGACTGAGCATTTACTCTGCACCCATCATCTACCGCAGGCCATCAGACAATCTCATTTGATTCTCACACAACTGTATGACTACATATTATTGTCATCCCATTTTCCATAGAAATTAAATGACTTGTAAAGATTACCTAGCCAATAGGAGGTAGAACAGGGCCTCTAATCCAGGCAGACACAAAAGCCTACATTCAAGTAGTTTTCTTATTAGAATGGAAGATCAGAATGGAAAAAGAAAATGAGATATAGAAAGACTAAAAGATTTAAAAGGGGACTTTAAAAATACTTGTGAATTACTCAGGAATATTTTACAGGAAAGTTAGAGTAAACAGATTTACCCTCCTGCCTAAAAAAGTAAAACAAGGCCAGGCGCGGTGGCTCATGCTTATAATCCCAGCACTTTGGGAGGCCGAGGTGGGTGGATCACGAGGTCAGGAGATCGAGACCAGCCTGGCTAACACGGTGAAACCTCATCTCTACTAAAAATACAAAAAAATTAGCCAGGTGTGGTGGCGCGCACCTGTAATCCCAGCTACTCAGGAGACTGAGGCAGGAGAATCGGTTGAACCCGGGAGGTGGAGGTTACTATGAGCCTACATTGCACTACTGCACTCCAACCTGGGCAACAGAGCAAGTCTCCATCTCAAAAAAAAAAATAGTAAAACAAAACAAAAGACCACCGTCCCAGCTTGCTGCCTAGGAAAATTTCCAGGTCACAGCACAGGGAGGAGGAATGGGTGGAGCCAGGCAGACTCCCTGAGTTGCAGAGATGGAGCTGAGAGAATGTGTAGGATAGAGTGCCGGAAAGGAGAGAACTGCACAGAGAGAACGAGGAGATCTGCAGAAGGTCCCCTAGTTTCAGCGGGATACAGTGCAGCACACAAGTGTGAGGAAATTACCAGACAGTGGAGGAAGAACCATTCACCAGGATCAGAGGAGCAGTGCCAGGTGCTTACATACAGCCCAAGACGGCAGCTGCTCCCACCAGGAAGACTGGAGAAACCTATCATTCACAAGATGCCGGGTGCAGCACTCAGAAAGGTCTGGCCTGGGTACTGGGGAATAATTAGCCCTGGCTGGGCACTGCTCCACACCCCACCTAACAAATCATATAAGAAAGACCCGGCCAGGCACAGTGGCTCACATCTGTAATCCCAGCACTTTGGGAGGCTGAGGAGGGCGGATCATGAGGTCAAGAGATGGAGACCATCCTGGCCAACATGGTGAAACCCTGTCTCTACCAAAAATACAAAAAAAAAAAAAAATTAGGTGGGCGTGGTGGCGGGTATCTGTAGTCCCAGCTACTTGGGAGGCTGAGGCAGGAGAATGGCGTGAACCTGGGAGGTGGAGCTTGCAGTGAGCCGAGATCGCGCCACTGCCCTCCAGCCTGGGCGACAGAGCGAGACTCCATCTCAAAAAAAAAAAAAAAAAAAAGAGCATCAATCAGATGTGGGATAAAAACCACCATTTTTCATATTTTGGTTTTGGGGCTTTTTTTTGAGACGATCTCACTCTGTTGCCCAGGCTGGAGTACAGTGGCGCAATCACAGCTCAGTATAGCCTCAACCTCCTGGGCTCAAGTGATCCTCCCACCTCAGTATCTTGAATAGCTGGGACTATAGGCACACGCCACCACACCTGGCTAATTTTTATATTTTTTGTAGAGATGGGGTCTCAATATGTTCTCCAGGCTGGTCTGGAACTCCTGGGCTCAAGTAATCCTCCTGCCTCAGTCTCCCAAAATGTTGGGATTACAGCCATGAGCCACCACGCCCAGCTGCTGTTTTGTTTTAAATTACTACATTTTGGTGCAATTGTCACACAGCAATAAATAACTAATAGCCTTACCATCAAATGGTGCTGGAAAAATCAAATTTCCATATGCAAAAAAAAAAAAAAATCATGGATCTATACCTTACACACTGATATGGTTTGGCTCTGTGCCATTACCCAAATCTCCTCTCAAATTGTAATCCCCATGTGTCGAAGGAGGAAAGTGATTGGATTATGGGGGTGGTTTCCCCCATCCTGTTCTTGTGATAGTGAGCTCTCACAAGAGCAGATGGTTTTACAAATGGTAGTTTCTTCTGAGCTCTCACATGCTCGCTCTCTCTCATCTGCCGCCATGTAAGACATGCCTGCTTCCCCTTCTGCCATGATTGTTGGTTTCCTGAGGATTCCCCAGCCATGCAGAACTGTGAGTCAATTAAATCTCCTTTGCTTATAAATTACCACATCTGAGGTAGTATCTTTACAGCAGTGTGAGAACGGACTAATACACGCACCATCTACAAACACTAACTCTAAATGGATTACAGACCTAACTGTAAAGCCGAAAACCATAACACTTCTAGAAGAAAATATAAGAGAAAACCTTTGTGACCTTAGGTTAGGTAAATATTTCTTCAATATGAGATACTGAAAGCATGATCCATAAAAGAAAAAATTGTAAGCTGGACTTCATAAAAATTAATAACTTCTGCTCTTTGAAAGGCACTGTTTAAGAGAATGAAAAGACAAGCCATAGATAGAGAGAAAAGACTTGCAAATCACATATTTGATAAAAGACTTGTATTGATACTATATAATGAACCCTCAGGATGCAATAATGGAAAACAAGCCAGGGCTGTGATGTCTCCAGGAAACCCACAGTCTTCACCCAGGTCTCTGCTTACGTCTCCTGGATGAAAAATGTCATTGCCTCCAACTGAACATGATCCTGAGTCCAACGGCCTTCCCAAGATGGTTCTTAGATCTGCAACAGGACTTGTGACCAACAAGGAATGCCCAATTTTTATAAATGGGCAAAAGATGTGAACAGATGCTTTACTAAAAAAGATATAAAGATGACAAATAAGCACATGAAAAAAATGCTCAATACCATTAGCCATTAGAGAAATGCAAAATAAGACCAGGCGCGGTAGCTCACGCCTGTAATCCCAGCACTTTGGGAGGCCGAGGCGGGTGGATCACTTAAGGTCAGGAGTTTGAGATCAGCCTGGCCAACATGGCAAAACCACATCTCTACTAAAAATACAAAAATTAGCCGGGTGTGGTGGTGCATGCCTGTAATCCCAGCTACTTAGGAGGCTGAAGCATGAGAATCGCTTGAATCCAGGAGGCGGAGGTTGAAGTGAGCTGAAATCGTTCCACTGCACTCCAGCCTGGGTGACAGAATGAGACTCTGATCAAAAATAACAGACTCCATCTCAAAAACAAAAAAACAAAAATAACCACAATGAAATACTAGTACACGCTCATGAAATGTCCAAAATTTTAAAAACTGACCAAGACAACCCCTTGTGCTCTTTTATTCTAAACTGGGCCTATGAGAATGGATTCCACAAAGGAGGGCAATAAGAAGGGTTGTTCTGTCGTCAACAAGGTTGTGACCAGAAAGCACACTATCAGCACTCATGAGCACACCTATGGAGTGTGCTTTAAGACACTGCCCCTGGCATACACAAAGAGATCTGGAAATTTTCCATGAAAGAGCTAGGAACTCGAGATGTGTGCATTGATGCCGGGCTCAACAAAGCTGTCTCAGACAAAGGAGTAAGGAATATCCCTCACCCTATCTGTGTACCACTGTCCAGAAAGCGTAATGAAGATGAAGATTGATCAAACAAGCTCTGTACATTGGTTAGCTATGCAACTGTCACCACTTTCAAAAACCTACAGTCAATGTGGATGAAAACTAACCACTGACTGTCCAAGTTATAAAAGACCACACACACACACACACACACACACACGCACTCACACGCATGCACATGAACACACACACACACACACACACACACACACACACACACACTCTGACCAAACCAAGTGTTGGTGAGAATATGAAGCAACTGGACTCATATACTGTTGGTGGGAACATAAATGGGACAATGACCTTGGAAAATAGTTTGACAGTTCCTTAATAAATTAAATACCTGCCTAGTATAAGGCCCAGTTATAGATATTTACCCGAGAAATGAAAGTATGTATCCAAACATTTGTGTATACATTTTTTTTTTTTTGAGATATAAGTCTCGCTTTGTTGCCCAGGCTAGAGTACAGTGGTGCGATCTGGGCTCACTGCAACCTCTGCCTCCAGGTTCAGGCGATTCTCGTGCCTCAGCCTCCCCAGTAGCTGGGACTACAGGAGTGCACCACCACACCCAGCTAATTTTTGTATTTTTAGTGGAGATAGGTTTTCACCGTGTTGACCAGGCTGGTCTCAAACTACTAAGCTCAGGTGATCTGCCTGCCTTAGCCTCCCAAATTGCTGGGATTATAGGCATGAGCCACCACACTCAGCCAGTGTGTAAATGTTTACAGCAGCCTTTTTCTAGTAACCAAAAATTAGAAACAAACTAAATATCCATCAACAGGAGAATGGATAAACAAACTGTGGCATATTCATATAATGAAATACTACTCAGTAAGGAAAAGGATGAATTATTGACTTTCGGAACACGCGTTAATCAGAATAATCATGCTGAGTGAAGGAAGGCAGTGTATTTTATGTAACTCCACTTATATAAAATTCTAGAAAATACAAGCTAATCCATAGTGTGAGAAAGGAGATGAGAGGTTGCCTGGGGATGAACAGGAGCATGAAAGGTGGCAGAGAGGGGCAGGGGGAAGGAATTACAAAGGAGCATGAGGACCCTTGTCAGAATGATAGATATATTTATTATCTTTTTTTCTTTTTCAGGAGCTACCCTATTAATTATCTTTTTAAAATAAACTTTTTTAGAGGCAGGGCCTCACTCACAACAGCCTCACTGTTGCTCAGGCTGCAGTGCAGTGACATGATCATAGCTCACCGCAGCCTTTTCCTCTTGGGCTCAAGTGATCTTCCAGCCTTAGCCTCCCGAGTATCTGGGATTGCAGACATGCACCATCATGCTCAGATAATTTATTTTCTTTTGATTTTTGCTATAGATAAGGATTTGCTATGTTGCCCAGGCTGATCTTAAACTCCTGGGCACAAGCAATTCTCCTGCCTCAGCCTCCCAGGATCAGTTTACCCTAGGAGTTCAAGACCAACTTGGGCAACATAGTGAGACCTCCATCTCTGCAGAAAATTTAAAAAATTAGCCAGGCATGGTGGTGTGTACCTGTAGTCCCAGCTACTCAGGACGCTGAGACAGGAGGATCGCTTGATGCTAGGGGGTTGAGGCTGCAGTGAGTCACGTTCGCACCAATGCACTCCAGCCTGGGCAACAGAATGAGACCATATCTCGAAAAAACTTTTTGTTTTGGCCAGGCACAGTGGCTCACGTCTGTAATCCCAGGCACTTTGGGAGGCAGAGGCAGGTGGATTGCTTGAGCCCAGGATTTCAGCCTGGGAAACATGGCAAAACCCTATCTCTATAAAAAATAGAAAAATTAGTTGGGCATGGTGGTACATGCCTGTAGTCCCAGCTACCCGGCGGGCTGAGATGGGAGAACTGATTGAGCCTGGGAGGTGGAGGCTGCAGTGAGCCATGATTGCACCACTGCACTCCAGCCTGGGCAACAGAGCAAGATCTTGCCTTGAAAAAAAAATTAATAATTAAAAAAAAAAAAGAAAATGGGCTGGGTGCGGAGGTTGATGCCTGTAATCCCAGCACTTTCAGAGGCCAAGGCAGGCGGATTAAGAAAGAGGTCAGGAGTTTGAGACCAGTCTGGCCAACATGGTGAAGCCCCATCTCTACTAAAAATACAAAAATTAGCTAGGCGTGGTGGCATGTGCCTGTAATCCCAGCTACTCCGGAGGCTGAGGCAGGAGAATTGCTTGAACCTGGGAGGTGGAGGCTGCAGTGAGCCAAGATTGCGCCACTGCACTCCAGCCTGGGCAACAGAACAAGACTCCGTTTCGAAGGAAAAAAAAAAGAAAGAAAATTATGTGTATAATTCAAAATTCCCTGTTAACCTGAATACTTGGGCTTTAATGCTTTACATTTTTTTTTAAATACTCATTGCATTCAATCATGAAATGTGAGAAGTTCATGCACCTGAAAAGGAGAGACCTCAAGTCAGTCCATTATCCTCAGAGACACCATATTAATTGCATCATTATGGAATCGTGGTAAACATTTTGAAGGACATGATTCTAACCACCCTACTTATACTTTTCTGGGCAGTTTGAGCAGTTCCAGGATCCAGTACTTGGAGGCTGAGCACAGGGGTGACCTCAGTGCCTGCTCATCTGATACTCACCTTGGTCTCTCTGGAGATGGGTTGGGGCTGCGGGGAGGAGGTGTGCGTGGCACAGCTGCCTTCGGAGCAACGCTGGCTGCAGGTAAAAGGCCATGGATGATGTGTTTCTGCACAAATGAAATCCAACAGAAGTCACTGGGTTGGGTCACTGGATCACCTGAGTCTTGTCACCACTCTCCCTGGGCCTGCAAGGGGACACCTGCACTGGCCACCCATGGATCCAAACCCATCAGAAGCCCACTCCTCCCCTGCCATCCCCAGTCCCCATCAGGCCAGACAAGTGCACACAGCCAAGGAGCATCATGATAGCTGCTCATTGTGTGGCCCTCTTGTCCTTCCCTCCTCAGAGCTTCCCTGGCTGTCCCCAAGAGTCACCCTCTAGCTCTTCCATGTGTCCCACAGCACTCCCCCCAGTGATGTCTCATGTGGCTCCCCCTGCAGAGCAGGGCGACTTCCTGAGAAGCAAGTGATATCCTTATTGTTTTTCGCTTTGTTTTGTTTTTGAGATGGGGTCTTGCTCTGTTGCCCAGAGTGGAGTGCAGTGGTACGATCATAGCTCACCGCAGCCTCAAACTCCCGCTTCAGCCACACGAGTAGACGGGACTACAGATGTTCACCACCATGCCTAGGTAATTTTTGTATTTTTTTGTAGAGACAGGATCTCACTACATTGCCCAGACTGGTCTCGAACTTCTAGCTTCAAGTGATCCTCCCACCTCAGCTTCCCAAAGTGTTGGGATTATAGGTGCGAGTGCTGCACCTGGCCCACTCTCTTATCTTTATCAATCCTGGAACTCTAGCATTGAGCACATTGCCTCACACCTCATAGGGGCTTAATATAAGCTTTTAGGTGGCTTATCTCCAAGACGAGAGTAATGAAAACTAGCTCCTATACACAATGAAAGTCAGAGAGCTCCGCTTTAGGTAACTGTAACTGGGAGTCTCTGAGACGTTTCTGGGTCTAGTCCAATCATTTTCTTGGCACGAGCCATTCATTCACACCTACTAGAGGCAAAACACCATGACAGCAATGAAGAAACCTTGTCTTCATCCCCAAAGTGGTGAGAAGGGAGGAAAAACACCCAAATAATTATTACAGAACATAGAATTATGGAATGAGCCGGGAGAAAGGCTCTCACTAAAAATGAAAAAAAAAAAAAAGAGCATCAATGAGATGTGGGATAAAAACACTATTGTTTTCTATTTGAAGCCAGTAATTAGCACAAAGTGCTGGGGTGGGCAGGGAGGGAAGATTCCTCCAGGTCTGGGGCCAGCCTGGGAATTTCAAATGCTTTCCTTCGAGAAAATCACACAGGCGTTTAGACTGGGCTTTCAGAGATGCCCACTGGTCCCACATTTGGAAATGTGACGGAACAGCATTCTAGGAAGAGGGAACGGCATGAACAAAGGAATGGAGCAAGACATTGGTTGCAGTGCTCGGAAATCATAAGCACGATTCTCCGTTTTGCTAGACTAGAGGCATCTTCGAGGGTGGGGCTTGGGGGCATGGTGGGGACAATTCCCATGGGAAGGGCTTCCAGAGCAGATGGAGGAAATCCCAAGGCCTAGTGAGGAGCACCCACTGACAGTGGCCCCAGGAATGTTAGGTAGTGGTCAGCACGAGACACAAGGCTGGGAAGGGTGGCACAGAGTGGGGGCATCTTTCAGGAGTGAGGGATGGGCACACCTTCCAGTCATCTCCTACAGCCCCCACCACCGACTTGCACAGCCACCCACAGGAGCAGAAGCTCCAAGCAGTCTCTACCCAATACCCCCACTCTGTTTACCTCTGTGTGGCACCTGCCACCCTGTATTTGTCAAGTGATTCCACAGTTTCCATGTTTCCACCCTGCCCCCCTCCACCACCTGCTACACGACAAGAAATGGTTTTTGTTTGTTTGCTTGTTTTGGAGACAGTCTTGTCTGTCACCCAGGCTGGAGTGCGGTGGCACGATCTTGGCTCACTGCAACCTCCACCTCCTGGGTTCAAGCTATTCTCATGCCTCAGCCTCCCAAGTAGCTAGGACCACAGTCATGTGCCAACATGCCTAGCTAATTTTTGTATTTTGGTAGAGATGGGGTTTTACCATGTTGGCCAGGGTGGTCTCAAACTCCTGACCTCAGGCAATCCGCCTGCCTTGGCCTCCCAAAATACTGGGATTACATGTGTGAACCACTGCACCTGGCCAGAAAAGGTTTTCTTAACCTTTGAATCCCAAGGGCTGGCGTCCAGCAGGTCCTCCAAAAAGGCTGCATAAGATTTTTTTTTTTTAAAGAGTGAATCCCCCCTCATACCATCACAATCATTCCTAACTATGGTCCCCTCATCAATCCTGTCTCTACTGGGCATAAAAACCCTCATGGGCAGCACCACTCTCTCAACGGCAGGCAAATGTCCAGCATGGCTTATCAGGCTGATATAGGTTGGTTCCTACCAAGTGTTATGGGATTTTTGGGGTGTCGATTTTTCTGGCCGGAACCTCTGTGGCCACAGTGCCTTTGCCTGAGTTCTTGTCCTGCATCCAGGAAGAATGAGGTACACAGACAAGTGAAGGGTGAAGAGGAGTTTTATTTAGTGTTAGAAGAGCTCAGAGGAGTGGGTAGCTCCTCTCTGGAGACAGATTGTCCCATGAGCTCAACCATTCAGCTCTCAACAGAGAGGAGGCCCTGGAGAGAGTGGCTCCTCTCCGCAGGCAAGTCATTCCAATGTCTCTGCAGGTCTCTGAAGCTCGCAGCAGAGTGTAGCTCCTCTCTGCTGGCAGGTGGTCTCTGTAGCTTTCAGCGGAGAAGGTACTCCTCTCTGTAGCTGGTCACCCCACCGTCTCCAGCTATCAGCAGAGAGGGTACTGCTCTCTGCAGCTGGTCATCCTGTCCCCTCGTCTCTACCATCTTCATCCTCTGGCTATTCTCTGCGCTGCTCTGGCTGAGCCCAGGGTTTTTATGGACCTCAGCGGGGAAGAAGTGTGTGCTGATTGGGCCATTGGCAGGCCCAGAAAAGGCTCCACGAGTTTCCACTCTGGTCAGAGGGACTGGCAGCCCAGCCCCCAGAATTCAGGCCCTCCCTGGCCTGAGGGTGGGGCCTTACTGGGGACCCCACCCCCTTCCTCCTGCTGCCATTCATGGCTGCAGGTCTTGGCTCCGACTCCCCTCCAAGATCAGAGCAGTTGCTGGAGTGGAGAGAGGCCAGGCAGTGGAAGCAGACACCCCTGAGCCTGCAGGGATGGAGGGTGAAGGGGGCTGTCCTTCCTGGGATGGCCGATGGTGCAGGCTACAGAGATGCCCTCGTCCTGTGCCTGGGGGGGCAGCCACAGCTGCACCTGGGAGCTCCCACCCCGCCAACTTGGAAGAGGCAGGGCTCCCACTTGTCCCTGGCTCCTGCCTGCGCGGCTGCAGCTGCATCTGGAAGGGCAAATTCTGCCTGTTCCCGGCTCCCCCAGGAGCAGAGAGGCTCGGATCCACAGCTGCAGTTTGGGTGGCTGTAGCCCTGCCCAAGAGGGTGGGGCTCCTGCCTGCTCCATAGAGCAGAAGGCCTGGGTCTGCAGCAGCGGTTTGCGGCTCCAGTCCCAACTCATGAGGGACGGGGCTTCCACCGGCTCCATGAAGTGTGCAGCCCTAGCCACACAGCGTGATGGCAGCAGCCACTGCCATCACAAGGACCCAAATTCATTTCTTGCTTCCCCTCCTCTTCCTGCGCAGAGTCCCTGTGCTTCAGCACTCAGCGTGGGCTTCCATTTCCCAAACAGCAAATAATTCATTCTTTTTTAGGCCTTGGTATTTGCTGTCTTCTGCACCCAGAATTCTTTCCTTACTCCCTGCCAGGCCCAGGCCAACTCTCCAGGCTGACGTCACTGCCCTTCTGGTACACACATCAACAGCAGTTCTTGTTTTACCATTGTGTACAGAATTATTTATGGGCTTGTCTATCCTACAGACCGTGTGGCCATAAGCTGTCAGTTGTGGGTATCAGCACACAGCAGGGACTCATTAATGTTTGGGGCTTTAAATAAAAACTCAAGCCAGATGCAGTGGCTCACACCTGTAATCCCAACACTCTGGAGGCCAAGGTGAGAGGATTGCTTGAGCCAAGGTTTAAGACCAGCCTGGGCAGCATACCCAGACCCCATCTCTACCAAAAAAAAAAAATTATGTTTTTTTGAGGCAGAGTCTAGCTTTGTCGCCCAGGCTGGAGTGCAGTGGCACAATCTTGGCTCACTGCAACCTCTGCCTCTCGGGTTTAAGCGATTATCCCACCTCAACCTCCCGTGTAGCTGGGATTACAGGTGCCCACCACCACGCCCGCTAATTTTTGTATTTTTAGTAGAGATGGGTTTTCACCATGTTGGCCAGGCTAATCTTGAACTCCTGACCTCAAATGATCCGCCTGCCTCAGCCTCCCAAAGTGCTGGATTACAGGTGAGAGCCACCTCACGTGGCCTCTACAAAATAATTTTTAAAATTAGCCAGGCATTGAGACTTGGCAGAGTGTGAGGCAAAAAATAAAATAAATAAAAAATACCTAGGTGTGGTGGTGCACACCTGTAGTCCCAGCTACTCAGGAGCCTGAGGCAGGAGGATCACTTGAACCCAAGAGGTTGAAGCCACAGTGAGCTATGATCATGCCACTGTACTCCAGCCTGGGCATCAGGACAAGACCCTGTCTCTAAAACTAAATTAAATAATAAATAAATATAAGAATCCCCTTGGCTGCTACGTGGAGAATGGACCTAGGGGAAGGGCGAGAGTGGAAGCAGAGAAACCAGTGAGGATCTGCCGCAGCAGTCCAGACAGATGCTGGAGGCCGGGGTGTGGGTGGAGATGGGAACAGCTGGCAGATGTATGTAGTGGGTATATCGGATGGGACTTGCTGATGGGGTGTACATGGTGGGTGGAGGAGGGAAAAATGAAGAATGGCTATATCCAGCAGTGCAGCAGGTGTACGTCGTCCAGGAGTTAACTCCGGGCACGGGGACGAATGCTACAGGGGAGGCAGGGTGCTCCTGTCCAACTGTGGCCGACCCTGGGGCAGAAGATTGTTAACGCCGGGCACAGTGGCTCACGCCTGTGATACCAACACTTTAGGAGGCTAAGGAGCTCAAGACCACCATAGGAACATAGCAAGATCCCTGTTTCCACAAAAATATTGAACAATTAGCCGGGAGTAGTGGCGCGCGCCTGTAGTCTCAGCTCCTCGGGAGGCTGGGGTGGGAAGATCGCTTGAGCCCAGGAGTTCGAGGATGCAGTGAGCTATGATCGCACCACTGCACTCTAGCCTGGGCGACAGAGCGAGACCCTGTTTCTTAAAAAAAAAAAAAAAAGTTTAGAACACGAAAAATCAAGGCTTCCTCAACTGAAAACCACTTTCTCTTGTGCCGCCCCCTTGACTGGATCTCAGGCCAAACCCCAACCCGCCCCAACACTTTACCCCTAATTCCCGGCCCCACAGAGCCCCACGCGCGGCGGGCGAGCATCTACTTACGAAATGACTCCTGCGGCCTCTCCGAAATCCCAGGAGCATCCTTGCAGCGCGAGGAGAATGGACCGGGGCCTGGACTCATCAGCAGATCTATCCACAGCCAGGGACCACTCCCTAAAGCCCGCCGCAGGCCCAGCCCTCACGCTTTCTCTTCGCAATGGACTTTGCAGCAACCACGTCGGCCATTGGCTCAGCTCGGCCCTCGACCAATCAGAGCTAAGGTTACTTCCACACCGGTCGTTCTTGGCAACCAGTGGGTACCGTTCAAATCCCCGCCAGGGCGGAAACGTCCGCCCTTATCCGTTCTCTTATTGGTCAGGTTAGACGTCCATTTCTGACGCCACAGCCTATCCGGCGCTGCGGGAGGCGGAGGGCGGGCTGGATGAAGGACTGGGCGAGCACCGAGGGCGTGAACCCGGAAGGTGGCGCGGCCACCAGTAACATGATCTCTAGACTGGGACGGTGGGGTTCCTGCCGGCTGTATTCGGGCCTTGGACTGGACTGAGAAGCTACGGTGCGGATCCAGCTGGGGTATCAGGGGCTAGGCACGTGATGAAAATGAAGGACGCGGACACCAGGACAGGAATCTCCTGGTTCTTAGAGAATTTATTTCGCCACAAATAATTGGCAAACGGGATCTCGCTGTATTGCTCAGGCTGGTCTCGAACTCCTGGGCACAAGCGATCCTCACGCCTCAGCCTTGCCCAATGTTGGGATTACAGACGTGAGCTACCATGCCCAGCCCAGGATTCTTTTAAAACTTAAATCTGATCGTGCCTCTGGCCTTATTGGAATCCAATGCCATTACCACCTCCACCACCACACATCCCGTCTCCAGCCACCCTGGCCTTCATTCAGGCCTTTGTGTTTTCTTTTTCTTTTCTTTTTTTTTTTTTTTTTTGAGACGAGTCTTGCTCTGTCGCCCAGGCTGGAGTGCAGTGGCGCGATCTCGGCTCACTGCAACCTCCGCCTTCCGGATTCAAGCAATTCTCTGCCTCAGCCTCCCAAGTGGCTGGGATTACAGGTGCCCACCACCAAGCCCGGCTAATTTTTTTGTATTTTTAGTAGAGACGCGGTTTCACTATCTTGGCCAGGCTGGTCTTGAACTCCTGACCTTGTGATCCACCCGCCTCGCTCGGCCTCCCAAAGTGCTGGGATTACAGGTGTGAGCCACCGCGCCCAGCCTGTGTTTTCTTATTAGTAATTATAAAGGGAATCTTATTTGACAGTTCTTTGACAAATAATTCAGTTTGCAGAGGGGATCCTGCCCCAGAGGCCCTGGCTTGGAGTGGAATGCAGGGCCGTGTGCAGGAGAGCCTGCTCAAGTGCCGCCTGGCTTTTCCCTCCTTAGGTGGAGACCATCCATGGAAAAGAACCCCCCTGATGATACGGGCCCCGTGCACGTGCCTTTGGGGCATATTGTGGCCAATGAGAAATGGCGCGGGTCACAGCTGGCGCAGGAGATGCAAGGTCGGTGGCCTGCCCTCTGCCAGCCCTTTCCTCCCCTGACATATTAAAAAAAAAAAATCTGCCTATTATTGCCATCTTTTCATCCAAAGCTTATGGAACTCATTTTCTTCTCTGTATTTTAAGGGAAAATTAAGCTCATTTTCGAGGATGGCTTGACACCAGACTTTTATCTGTCGAACAGATGCTGCATTCTTTATGTCACCGAAGCTGATTTGGTGGCAGGAAATGGCTACAGAAAGAGGCTTGTTCGGGTTAGAAATGTAAGTATTAGGCTGGGTGCTGTGGCTCACGCCAGTAATCCCAGCACTTTGGGAGGCCAAGGCGGGTGGATCACCTGAGGTCAGTAGTTGGAGACCAGCCTGGCCAACATGGTGAAACCCTGTCTCTGCTAAAAATACAAAAATTAGCTGAGTATGGTGGCGCACGCCTGTAATCCCAGCTACTAGGGAGGCTGAGACGGGAGAATTGCTTGAGCCTGGGAGGCAGAGGCTGTAGTGAGCCGAGATCACGCCACTGCACTCCAGCCTGGGCGACAGAGTGAGATTCCAACTCAAAAAACAAAAAACAAAAACAAAAAAGAAATGTAAGCATTGGATTAAAGAAACTCGAACATTGATTTGTCTCACCCCACCCTTCCCTCCATCCCTTGGTATCATTTATTTAAAATCATTGGCCAGGTCAGGCACGAAGTGATAGCATTCTTAACCTGAAAAGCAATTTGGTTGCAAAATGACTTACTGTCTTTTTTCCTTTCAAGTCCAATAATCTTAAAGGAATTGTAGTCGTTGAAAAAACCCGGATGAGTGAACAATACTTCCCAGCCCTACAGAAGTTTACTGTGCTGGACCTTGGAATGGTGCTGCTTCCAGTGGCCAGCCAGATGGAAGCATCCTGCCTCGTCATCCAGTTGGTGAGTACCGATTCCTACACCTTCGTGGTAGTCCTGTCCTCATGGACACTCAGCTGCTCTCCAGAAGCAACCATCAATCCAATCTATGTCATTCTCTGACTTGGTTTATAAAATCTCTTCGAGGAATTTAAATGCGGAAGCTGCCTCTGCAGCCAGCTCAGCTTGTCACACACTCCAGGCAAGTGTATCACAAAGTATACAAGTTGGAGACCTGATTTTAGATTCTCAGGGTGTGATGGCTCCATCAGTCATTATCCTGCCCTTTCGCTGGTGAAAACGTCAACCTAGAGGCCAGGCGTGATGGCTCATGCTTGTAATCCCAGCACTTTGGGAGGCGGAGGCGGGAGGATCACTTGAGGCCAGCAGTTCGAGACCAGCCTGGCCAACATGGCAAAACCCTGTCTCTACTAAAAATACAAAAATTAGCTGGGCGTGGTGGTGGGTGCATGTAATCCCAGCTACTCCGGAGGCTGAGGCAGGAGAATCACCTGAACTGAGGAGGTGGAGGTTGCAGTGAGTGGAGATGCTCCATTGCACTCCAGCCTGAGCAACAGGAGCGAAACTTTGTCTCAAAAAAAGAAAGAAAGAAAGAAAATGTTAACTAGAAGCTGCTTTGTCTCATCCCGTATTTTTGTTAAGCATCAGCACCTTGTGCAAGTTTTTTTTTTTTCCCTTTTTTTTGAGGCGGAGTCTCGCTCTGTCCTACAGGCCAGAGTGCAGTGGTACAATCTTGGCTCACTGCCATCTCCACCTCCCGGGTTCAAGCCATTCTTCTGCCTCAGCCTCCCGAGTAGCTGGGACTACAGGCACGCACCACCACACCCGGCTAATTTTTGTATTTTTAGTAGACAGGGTTTCACCATATTGGCCAGGCTGGTCTCAAACTCCTGACCTCATGATCCGCCCACCTTGGCCTCCCAAAGTGCTGGGATTACAGGTGTGAGCCACCATGCCTGGGCAGTTTTTTTTTTTTTTTAGATAGGGTCTTGCTCTGTCATTCCAGCTGGAGTGCAGTGGTGCAATCTTGGCTTACTGCAACCTTTGCCTCCTGGGTTCAAGCGATTCTCCTGCCTCAGCCTCCCTAGTACCTGGGATTACAGGCACCCACCACCATGCCCGGCTAATTTTTGTATTTTTAGTAGAGATAAGAGTTTCACCATGTTGGCCAGGCTAGTCTCAAACTCCTGACCTCAGGTGATCTGCCTGCCTCAGCCTCCCAAAGTTCTGGGCCACCGCACCAACCAACACTTTTTTTTTTTTTTTTGAGATGGAGTTTCGCTCTTGTTGCTCAGGTTGGAGTGCAATGATGCAGTCTCGGCTCACTGCAACCTCCTCCTCCTGAGTTCAAGTGATTCTCCTGCCTCAGCCTCCCGAGTAGCTGGAATTACAGGTGCCCGCCACCACGCCCAGCTAATTTGTATTCTTAGTAAAGACGGGGTTTCTCCATGTTGGTCAGGCTGGTCTCGAACTCCCGACCTCAGGTGTTGTGCCCGCCTCAGCCTCCCAAAGTGCTGGGATTACAGTCGTGAGCCATCGCGCCCGGCCGCCAACACTTATTTTTAAAATCAGTTTAGTAGCTTACGCCTCTGATCCCAGCATGGGGAACATCAATTGTGTGTGTGTGTTGTTTGTTTTTTTCACTTTTGTTTTCTTTGTTATGTGTGTGTTGTTTTTAAATCACCCCCTCTGATGTGGAGCTAGAGTTGAGAGCCACATTGAAGATGCAAGCAGCCATGAATGGTTCACAGATCCCTCTCTACTATATCCCTTGCGTCACCGTTCCTAACTTTCCTTGATATAACACTGTTGTCTGCCTTAGTATAACCACCACTAACTAGACCAGGTTTCTCCTTTGAGGCAGGCTTCCTGCAGCTCCTGCGTGAAGTAGGCCTAGTTTAGGTGTAGCCATCATTTAATCCTGCACAACTGAAATGTTTCTTAATGGACCAACAGAAAGTGTTTGAATTCATCTGTGTGTTTTTCTAAACATTCTGAAAACGCACATTTTTGTAAATTAATGTCTTAACTCCTTTGTGTGGTTCACCTTTCAATAATTTTACTGATGTCTGAGAAATTATATTCATGATACATGAAAACATTTGTTCCCTTAAGTCAAGCTGAGCCAAATGGAAAAACGCAATTTCTACAAAACATATTTTAAGAAAACGGCCAGTCCTCCAGAGGGCGCTCACGTGCTGTTGCTTTCATTGTGGTTCAGGTTCAAGAGCAAACCAAAGAGCCCAGTAAGAACCCTCTTCTCGGGAAGAAACGGGCCCTGCTGCTGTCTGAGCCTTCGCTCCTTCGAACCGTGCAGCAGATCCCAGGAGTTGGAAAAGTTAAAGCTCCCCTTCTCCTCCAGAAGTTTCCAAGCATCCAGCAACTGAGTAATGCTTCCATTGGGGAACTGGAGCAGGTGGTCGGACAAGCAGTGGCACAGCAGATCCATGCCTTCTTCACGCAGCCCAGGTGAGGGCTGGCCTCAGGGCCACGGCATCTTCTCCTGAGACCACAAACACCAGGATCTTGTTTTCAGCTTTAAAAACCAAGAGAATGGGCCGGGTGCACTGGCTCACGCCTCTAATCTCAGCACTTTGGGAGGCCGAAGACAGCGGATCATCTGAGGTCAGGAGTTCAAGACCAGCCTGGCCAACATGGAGAAACCCCTAAAAATAGGAACAATTAGCCAGGCATGGTGACAGGTGCCTGTAATCCCAGCTACTTGGGAGGCCGAGGCATGAGAATCACTTGAACCCGGGAGGCGGAGGTTGCAGTGAGCTGAGATCGTGCCACTGCACTCCAGCCTGGGCACCAGAGCGAGACTCCGTCTCAAAGAAAACAACAAAAAAAAAAAAAAAAGAAAAAGGATTTTCTCCAGCAGCAACCAGTGAAAGATGAGGCGAGGCTTGAATGGAGCCCGTGGGTCGTCCTGCCTTAGCGTCTGAGTTCAGCTTGTGAAGTTAGTGGGCCGCAGAGGGCACTGCCTTCATTCTGCTAAGACGAAAAGGGCTGGTGGGATCTTCGCAAGAGAGTCAGGGACTCACACTCAGCAAAAAGCATTAGGGCCGATTTTAATGTGCGACCTTGACCTGCATCTGTCATGGAAAGTGCCTTCTAAAAAGCTTCAGTGGTGGATGTGACCATCTGAAGGAAACAAATGTACAAGGAAGCACTGTGTATCCTAAGCCCTGGGTTCCCAGAGTTTCACCTGCTGTTCATCAGGTCTGGCCTTCATATACCCGTACTGCGAGGGCTGTTTCCAATGTAAATAAATAACTGCGCAACAGTTCCTTCCTCCTTTCCTTTGTTCCTCCCTCCCCCCGGCCTTTTTTTTTGGCAGATGTACAGTTTGTTTATAATCACTGCATATGTCTTCTGCACACAGAAAGTATGAAGTCTGAAGTTCCCACTTAAAGTTGAAAACTCAACGGCCGGGCATAGTGGCTCACACCTGTAATCCCAGCACTTTGGGAGGCCAAGGGGGGTGAATCACAAGGTCAGGAGATCCAGACCATCCTGGCCGACATGGTGAAGCCCTGTCTCTACTAAAAATACAAAAATTAGCTGGGTGTGGTGGCACACACCTGTAATCCCAACTACTCAGGAGACTGAGGCACGAGAATCGCTTGAACCCAGGAGGTGGAGGTTGCAATGGGCCGAGATTGCACCACTGCACTCCAGCCTGGATGACAGAGTGAGACTCCATCTCAAAAAAAAAAAAAAAAAATTTAAAGTTGAAAACTCAACATGCATGAGGCAGAACAGGCTGTGTTTGTATATGAAAGGCCCAACAATGGAAGGATACAAGAAAATGATGGCAGCAGCTGCATCTAGTGAGGGAAGCAGGGGCTGGGGATCAAAAGGTACAAATTGCCCATTCAAAAAATAGACACAGGCCAGGCACAGTGGCTCACACCTGTAGTCCCAGCACTTTGGGAGGCTGAGGTGGGAGGATTGCTTGAGTCCAGGATTTCGAGATCAGCCTGGGCAACATGGCAAGACCCCATCTCTACAAAAAAATCAAAAAAATTAGCCAGGCATGGTGGCTCATGCCTGTAGTCCCAGCTACTCAGGAGGGTGAGGTGGGAGGATTGCTTGAGCCCGGAAGGTTGAGGCTGCCATGAGCCACAATTGCGCCACTGTCCTCCTGCCTGGGTGACAAAGCGAGACCCTGTCTTGAAAAAAAGACAAAAACAAAAAATAAGCACAAAGATACCATCTGTCTTAGAAAATACTAAGATAACTTGACAGCTTTTTAAGTTCTGCTTTGTGAAATGTTAGTAACTAAAAAAATCAGAACATTAGAAACTGTGTGCATTGGGGAGAAACAATTTGAAAGAGGAGGGAATGAAAATGAAATAAAAGTAAAAAGAAATATTAACTCGGGTAAATGAATATGTTTATTTAAATATGTATACAAGCATGGCCCTAGGAGCAGCAGATACACTTTCCCAAAGGTGGTTGCTTCCTTTAAGATATTGCACAATAGAAAATAAACTCTTGTCAATCCTTAAAATTAGTCTTCAATGCTATGTATTTTAGCTATGTAACTTGTACTGTGTCAACAGTGAACCTTATTAGATTCACGGTGTCATCGAACTTATAGCAAGATAAAAATCAATCAGTAGGAATGTCATTTTAAAAAGTAAAATAGTGGGACGGTTGTGGTGGCTCATGCCTGTAATCCCAGCACTTTGGGAGGCTGAGGTGGGTGGATCATTTGAGGTCAGGATTTCGAAACCCGCCTGGCCAACATGGTGAAACCTCACCTCAACTAAAAATACAAAAATCAGCCAGGCATGCTGGAGGGCACCTTGTAGTCCCAGCTATTTGGGAGGCTGAGGTAGGAGAATCGCTTGATCCCAGGGGGCGGAGGTTGCACTGAGCTGAGATCACACCACTGCACTCCAGCCTGGGCAACACAGCAAGACGCTATCTCAAACAAAAAAAGGAAGTCAAATAGAGCTTTAAACCTGAATCATTTACATCTTTACTTTATAAAATGTAAAACTACTTTTTTACCCAAGACTTAAAATATAGAATTATGTAACTTCTACTTTAAACAAAATGAAAAATGTTTTGAGTATCAAACAGTATATTATCTACCTTGTAGACAGCATCTTCATCTAACACTGCCACTGTGTTAGTAATTCTTAAATGACATCAAACTAGAAGAAAAGCTGCTCCTACATTGTTTTTATTTAATAAGACAAATTTGGCACTAGACTTTTTCTAGAAATAGCATTCATAGTCTATCGATATAATAGTAACATCTTGTTTTAGGTTAATGAATTCCTATTAGGAAGCAGCACTTTGGGACAGTTTTTAGTGACACTAATTTAATTCTATCATTACAGTCCTCTGACCTGCCTTAATTCCAGGATCATCTGAATTCTAGGTTAAGGAATGATTATTAGCCAAACCTGGAAACAACTACAAATTGTACTGATATAGGTAACCCCAATTTAATAGTGACTAAAAGTCATAATTGTCACCATTAAAAATAGCCATATTTCATATCTTCAACACTATTCTATTTACAATACTTTATATAATAAATAACTTACAGCAGTATAGTAACACACCTCAAAAAAGTTCTTTTTTCACTAATTCCTAGAGGTTTCTTGGTTACTTTCCTTCATAAAAACACATCAAATGTGAGTTTACACTATGAGAAAAACAGGATTTGAGAACAGATAGATAGATATTTTCCATTATGGCACAAACGTTTAAGGCCGAGTCAGCACCGGAAATGTTCAGGGCCTGAACATGTTTGTTTCCTCACATTAGTACCAAGAACTGTCTGAGTTGAGAAGGCTGAAAGGGGAGGGCAGCTTCTTCTTGACCTGAGGCCGTGCAGCCCCGACCGATGGGAGGCACAAGGTGCTGGCTGACTTCTGTCTGTTCTTGTTGGTGCCCCAACTCAGGAAGGAAAGCTTCTTGGAGATTTTCTTGGTTTTATCAGTTTTGTCGTCATCATCAATGGCTAAGCAGATCATGGAGTACGTTTTCTGCATTCCCACGGAGTATGTGGCACTCTTATTATGCTGCACATAGAAAAGTAAGAAAAAGGGCGTCAGGCATCATCAAGATAGATGATAAAAACTACGAAGTTTGGCCAGGCGCGGTGGCTCACACCTGTAATCCCAACAGTTTGGGAGGCCGAGGAAGGCGGATCACTTGAGGTCAGGAGTTCAAGACCAGCCTGGCCAACATGGTGAAACCCCATCTCTACTAAAATACAAAAATTAACCAGGTGTGGTGGTGGATGTCTGTAGTCCCAGCTGCTTGGAGCCTGGGCACAAGAATCACTTGAACCCAGGAGGTGGAGGTTGCAGTGAGCTGAGATCACACCACTGCACTCCAACCTGGGTGACAGAGCAGGATTCTGTCTCCAAAAAATAAATTGAACAGACATAATTCGGAAACTCAGGTGACCAATGCTTATATAGAATTAGGTTCTTAAAACAAGGACAAACTTTTTTTCTTTTTTGAGACAGGGTCTTGCTATGTTGCCCAGGCTGGTCTTAAACTCCTGGGCTCAAGCGATCTTCCTGCCTTGGCCTCCTGAGTAGCTGGGGCTCTAGGTGTGCACCACCAGGTCCAACAAGGATAATTTTTTGTTTGTTTTTTGTTTTTGTTTTTTAAGACAGAGTCTCACTCTGTCGCCCAGGCTGGAGTGTAGTGGTACGATCTCGGCTCACTGTAAGCTCCGCCTCCCGGGTTCACGCCATTCTCCTGCCTCAGCCTCTCTGAGTAGCTGGGACTACAGACACCCGCCACCACACCTGGCTAATTTTTTGTATTTTTAGTAGAGACGGGGTTTCACCCCTTCTCGATCTCCTGACCTCGTGATCCGCCCGTCTTGGCCTCCCAAAGTGCTGGAATTATAAGCGTGAGCCACCACGCCCGGCCCAACAAGGATAATTTTTAAGGAATGTACTCAATAGTAACAATTTAAGCTTAGGAGCCACAACTCATATTTTAAGGTTCTTCTTCTATTTGAGAAAGTAATAATACTCATGGTCACGAATATGAAAGTACAGGGTGGGGCGCGGTGGCTCACAACTACAGTCCCAGCTACCTGGGAGGCTTAGAGGGGAAGATTGCTTGAGCCCAGGAGGTTGAGGCTATAGTGAGCTGTGATTGTGCCACTGCACTCCAGCCTGGGCGACAGAGTGAGACCTCTGTCTCAAAATAAAAAAAAAGGGGGGGGGCGGGGGGAAGGGAAGAGGGGAAAGGAAGGGAAGAGGGGAAGGAAAGGGAAGAGGAGAAGGGAATGGAAGAGGGCAAGGGAAGGGAAAAAAAAAAAAAGAGTATGCAGTGAGCAATAGGTCTCCCTGTCACCTGGGCTTCTAAGGCCCTCCATGTTATACTTCTAGAGATGATGTACAAGTATTTCTATATGTACCTAAGTATATTACCATTCATTTTCTTAAAAGGAATATACTACACTATTCTACACCTGATTTTCTTTTTTTCTTTTTTTTCTTTTTCCTTTTTTTTTTTTTTTTTAAGATGGAGTCTCGCTCTGTCGCCCAGGCTGGAGTGCCATTTTTATCATTTTCAAGTGTAGAGTTCGGTGGCATTAATTACATTCACATCATTATGCTCCACTGCCACCATCCATCTCTAAAACTTTTTCATCTTCCTCAGCTGAAACTTTGTACCATTAAACACTCTCTACTATTAACTTTCCAAGAATCATGTAGGATTCAAACTGGAAATCTAAGGAAGCTTGCTTTCTGAAGACTTCCACATGGGCTATCACCGGCTTCTAAGGTTTGCCTAACATTGAGATTGTTTAGTTCGCCACATGTTTATTGATGGTCTACTATGTTCTGGCACTAAAATTAGGCATACAATATATCGCTGCAATAGTTGAGGACATTGTTCCTAATATAAACCCTAAGAGGGGCCGGGCACAGTGTCTTACACCTGTAATCCCAACATTTTGGGAGGCTGAGTTGGGCAGATCACTTGAGGCCAGGAGTTCAAGACCATCGTGGCCAACATGGTGAAACCCCATCTCTACTAAAAATACAAAAATCAGCCAGGTGTGGTGGTGCACACCTGTAATCCCAGCTACTCAGGAGCTGAGGCAGAAGAATCACTTGAACCCAGGAGGCGGAGGTTGCAGTGAGCCCAGATCACGCCACTGCACTCCAGCCTGGGCGATGGAGTGAGACGCTATTGCAAAAAATAAATAAATAATAAATAAATAAATAAAATAAACCCTCAGAGGAATCTGAGTTATGCAGCAATAAAGTAGGGGGTACTTCGAGCCCCTAAGGATGGAGATGCCTCTTCCTTTTCTGGAAAACTGACCGCTAACTCCACCATGTTTTACGGAGCACACACAATGTCATTTAAAACAATAATAAAACGAATAATCCTGGAGACAGATGTGAGGCCTGAAAGCATTTCCCAACCCTCAGCTGCTCAAAGTCCATTGTGTATCAAAACCACTGCCTTATAAATACCCTCAGTTCTCTTCCATCTGCCCCCACTCGCTCATCTCCACCCTCTGCCTCCCCTAGGGCCTGTATCTGAAAGGTTGTGCGTTGCTGGAGGACACTCACCAAGGCTTCCCTTGGAATTCTAACCTGACCCCAAACCTCTAATAGGCACCCATTTCCTGGCACTTCTGTGTGTCCCTAGTAATTTCATTTCCTTTTCTCCTGTATACTTGTTTCTTATCTTCGCTCTCCTCCTGAAGCCACTCACGCACCCTCCTGACATCCCTGCCGTATACTTCATGGCATCCGTCCCCCAAGACCAAGCCCTTCTGTGTGCCTGGATCCCATTCCCTCTCTCCTCCAGGCACCCTTGCCTCCCAGATCTCTACACACACACACACACACACACACACACACACACACACACTCCTGCAATGCGTACCATCACATTCTTTGAAAAGCTTTTCTTGGCCCAGATCTCTACACACACACAAACACACACACACACACACACACACACTCCTGCAATGCGTACCATCACATTCTTTGAAAAGCCTTTCTTGGCGGGGCGTGGTGGCTCACGCCTGTAATCCCAGCACTTTGGGAGGCCAAGGCGGGCAGATCACAAGGTCAGGAGATTGAGACCATCGGGGCTAACATGGTGAAACCCTGTCTCTACTAAAAATACAAAAAATTAGCCGGGCGTGGTGGCGGGCACCTGTAGTCCCAGTTACTTGGGAGGCTGAGGCAGGAGAATGGCATGAACCAGGAGGTGGAGCTTGCAGTGAGCTGAGATAGCGCCACTCACTGCATTCCAGCCTGGGTGACAGAACGAGACTGTCTCAAAAAAAAAAAAGTAAAGCCTTTCTTGACCCTGTTCCCCTCCAGGTCCACCCCAGTATCATACCCACACACACTCTCTCACTCCTGCAATGTGTACCACTACTTTCTTTTAAAAGCCTTTTTTTTTTTTTTTTTTTGAGACGGAGTCTTACTGTCACCAGACTGGAGTGCAGTGGCCCAATCTTGGCTCACTGCAACCTCCACCTCCAGGTTCAAGTGATTCTCCTGCCTCAGCCTCCCAAGTAGCTGGGATTACAGGCACATGCCACCACACCCAGATAATTTTTGTATTTTTAGTAGAGACAGGGTTTCACCATGTTGGCCAGGTTGGTCTTGAACTTCTGGCCTCAAGTGATCCACCTGCCTCAGCCTCCCAAAGTGCTGGGATTACAGGCGTGAGCCACTGTGCCCAGCTCCATTTACTGTTTCTTTCCCCACCACCCATTCCTCACTCAAATCCACCTGGGGTACCCCTCTAGAACTCTTAGGGCTTTACAGAGCACAGTTTAAAACCACTGTGTAGGCCTAACTCTTCCATCCTCTGGATGAGAAAACCGAGGCCCAAGGAGGGTATGAACGTGCTGAAGGTTACACAGCTTGTGAACGGCAGTCAGGGCCTAATTCCAGAGCTTGATTCCAAGCTTAGATTTGTTCAACTAGGGATCCCCACTGTAGTCAAGAGGGTAGCCAAGGGCAGCAGGTCATCAGTTCAGCCAGAGTGCTAGGCTAAATGTTCTCTTTATTTGATTTTGTTTGAAAGGCTCAGTCGCTAAAAACAGTGCTTGACTGTCATTATCTAAAATCCTTATCATAAAAATTAATAGACAAAAATAATTTTTAAAAAATTATTTTTAAAAAGCCAGGGGCTGGGCATGGTGGCTCACTCCTGTAATCCCAGCACTTTTGGGAGGCCAAGGCGGGCCAATCACCGGAGGCCAGGAGTTCAAGATCAGCCTGGCCAATATGGTGAAACCCCATCTCTACTAAAAATACAAAAATTAGCCAGACATCGTGGTGGGTGCATGTAATCCCAGCTACTCGGGAGGCTGAGGCAGGAGAATCGCTTGAACCCGGGAGGTGAGGTTGCAGTGAGCCAAGATTGCACCACTGCACTCCAGCCTGGATGACAAGAGCAAGACTCTGTCTCCAAAAAAAAAGAGCCAGGTACAGTGGCTCACGCCTGTAATCCCAACTATTCGGGAGGCTGATTCAAGAGGGTCTCTTGAGGCTAGAAATTCAAGATCAGCTTGGATAACTTAGTTAGACCTCGTCACCACAAAATTAATTAATAAAAGACAAAAGGAAATTACTTTTGGCCTGGTGCAGTGGCTCATTCCTGTAATCCTAACACTTTGGGAGGCGGAGGCAGGCAGATTGCTTAAGCCCAGGAGTTTGGGACCAGCCTGGGCAACAAAATGAGACTGTCACTACAAAAAAATTAAAAATTAGCTGGGTATAGTGGTGCACGCCTATAGTCCCAGCTACTTGGTAGGATTTTTTTTTTTGAGATGGAGTCTCCCTCTCTTGCACAGGCTGGAGTGCAGTGGCACAATCTCGGCTCACTGCAACCTCTGCCTCCTGGGTTCAAGCAATTCTCCTGCCTTGGCCTCCCAAGTAGCTGGGATTACAGGCGCCCGCCACCACCACGCCCAGGGTTTTGCCATGTTGACCAGGCTGGTCTCCAACTCCTGACCTCAGGTGATGAGAAGGGAGGATCTTTTGAGTCCTAGAACTCGAAGCTGTAGTCAGCTATGATTGCACTATTGCACTCCAGCCTGGGCAACTGAGTTAGACCCTGTCTCAAAACAAACAAAACAAAAAACAACAACAAAAGAAATTATTTGGCCGGGCATGCTGGCTTATGCCTGTAATCCCGGCACTTTGGGAGGCAAGGTAGGCGGATTGCTTGAGCTTAGAAGTTAGAGAACAGCTAGGGCAACACGGTGAAGCCCCGTCTCTACAAAAAATACGAAAAATTAGCTGGGTATGGTGTTCCATGCCTGTAGTCCTAGCTACTCAGGAAGCGGAGATGGGAGGATCACGTAAGCCCAAGAGTCAAGGCCACAGTGAACCGATATTGCGCCAGGGCAACGAGAGCGAGACCCTGTCTCAAAACAAAAAACAAACCTTCTTTTTTCTAGACAGGGTCTCACTCTGTCACGCAGGCTGGAGTACAGTGGCTCGATCTCGGCTCACTGCAACCTCTGCCTCCCAGGCTCAAGTGATTCTCATGCCTCAGCCTCCCACATAGCTGGGATTGCAGGCATGCACCACCACATCCTGCTAATTTTTGTATTTTTAGTAGAGACAGGGTTTTGCCACGGTGGCCAGGATGGTCTCGAACTCCTGGCTTCAAGTGATCCGCCGGCCTTGGCCTCCCAAAGTACTAGGATTATAGGAGTGAGCCACTGTGCCCAGCCTAAAAACATTATTTTTAAAAAAATTAAAGAGGACCTGCTAGGTGAAAAGAATAAACATCATGATCATGGTTATCATCATTATAATGTCTATTGTGGATTGAAATGTAGCTCCTGTTTGGCCCTCTTGTAAGGGCTTTATGTAAACTCAGTTTATCCTGAGGCTCACAGCTATTCCCTGACTTGCTGAAGGCCACACAACTGGTGGTGGAAAGCCAGGATACACATCTAGACTGTCTGAGTGCAGAACCCTTGCTTTCAGCTACTACAGCAGCCCCTTCCTTGGCCTGGTGTAACGATGTCACAGGCTTGAAAGTCAAGCCTTTGCACCTCTCACAGGGGGCAGGGCATGCCCCAGAAACTCAGGCCTCTGCTGATGGGGTCCCTACTCCAACCTTCAGTGTGTGGCTTGGCTCTTTTCTCTAACCTCCTTTTGGACAAACGTCTTTTCTGTTTCTGCTGGGGACCTTAATCACTTGTCCAGAAACTCCATGGATTTTGTCCCTAAAAATATGATTTCTTATGATCCCTTCTCCCAAGATGCTCTGAGTCCCTTGACTTTATCTTCTTTTAAAATTTGAAGTATGTCGGGTGAGGTGGCTCACGCCTGTAATCCCAGTACTTTGGGAGGCTAAGGTAGATGGATCTCGAGGTCAGGAGTTCGAGACCAGCCTGACCAACATGGAGAAACCCTGTCTCCACTAAAAATACAAAAATTAGCCAGGCATAGTGGTGCCCACCTATAATCCCAGTCACTCGGGAAGCTGAGGCAGGAGAATCACTTGAATCCAGGAGGCGGAGGTTGCAGTGAGCCGAGATCACGCCACTGCACTCCAGCCTAGGAAATAGTGCAAGACTCTGTCTCAAAAAAAAAAAAAAAAAATTTTGAGATATAATTCACATACATGCATAAAATTCACCATTTTAATACCCTTCTGTGGCTTTTATTTATTATTTTTATTTTTGAGACAGGGTCTTGCTCTGACACCCAGGCTGGAGTGCAGTGGTACAATCATAGCTCACTGCAGCCCCAACCTCCTTGGGCTCAAGTGATCCTCCTGCCTCAGCCTCCCAAGCAGCTGGGACTACAGGCATACGCCACCATGCCTCGCTAATTTTTTTTATTTTTTGTAGAGACAAGGTCTCGCCATGTTGCCCAGGCTGGTCTCGAACTCCTGGGCTCAAGCGAACATACTGCCTCAGCCTCTCAAAGTGCTGGAATTACAGGTGTGAGCCAGCATGCCAAGACACCAGTGATTTTTAGTATATTCACAAAGTTAGGTGACCATCACTACTACCTAATTTCAGAACATTTCCATCCCCCTAAAAAGAAACCTTCTACCTTATGACCCTTCAGCAGTCCCTCCCGACTCCCATTGCCCAGCCCCAGCACCATCTACTTTTTGTCTCTGGATTTGCCTATGCTGAGCATTTTATATCCATGGACTCAAAATCCATTGGCTCTCTGGCCCTCTCTCAACTGACTTCTGCTGCCACCTCTCCACCAAAGTGTCTTTTCATCCTGCTGCCAAATACAATAGGCACAGCTAAGGCGACCTCATTCTCCACCACTCAACTGCATTCAATGCAACCCATCACCCTCTCACTGCAAAGCTTTCTCCTCTTAATTTGAGAAGCTCCTTTCCTCCGACATCTCTGAACTCTCCTCCATTTTCTTTGCACTTGCTTCTCTTCCAACTGATCTCTAAATGTTTAGCCCTCAGCCCTAGCCCCCTTGCAGGGAGCTGCATTTTGTCTCACAGCCTCAAATATCATCCCTGTGCAATGATTCTCAAATATTTATTTCTAGCTCTGATTTCTTCCTCGAACTGTAAGACTTCACATTCGATCTCCTCCTTTATGCTTACGTCTGACTGCTAATAGCATCTGGAACATTCAAAACATGACTCTTGATTTCTCTCTCCTTCACCTCCCTCACACCCATTACCCATCATTATGAAAAATAACCAGGCCAGGCATGGTGGCTCATGCCTGTAATCCCAACACTTTGGGAGGCGGAGGTGGGAGGATCGCTTAAGGCCAGGAGTTTGAGGCCAACCTTGGCAATATATAAAGGCCCCATCTCTACCAAAAAAAATTTACCATAGATAGATAAACAAATTAGCCAGGCATAGTGGTACACACCTGTAGTTCCAGCTACTCGGGAGGCTGAGGCAAAAGGATTGCCTGAGCCTAGGAAGTCAAGGCTACAGTGAGCTACGATTGCACCACTGCATTCCAGCCAAGCAACAGAGTGAGACCCTGTCTCAAAAACAACAACAACAAAAAAAAAAACAAAACAAACAAAACAACAACAACAGAAAAAAGAAATTAAAGGTAGAAAAATAACCACTACCCATGAGATTGATCAAGCCAAAAACTGAGGCCTCACCTCCCTGTCCACTGTCTCCTTAACACAAATCATCCACAAATCCCCCATCAGCTCTACCTCCAAACTATGTCCCAGGGCCACTCATGTCTCTCTAACTCTACAGCCACCCCCATCACCTCAGCCACTAATGTCACCAGCCTGGACAAGTGCCATGGCCAGTCTCCGGCAGCAGACGCCCTTCTAAAACAAACATCACACCACGCCGTTCCCCTTCTGAAAGGGGCTTCCAAGTGGCTTCCAAGCTCCCACCATTGCCGCCAAGGCCTCCTTCTTACCTCACTTCCCATGGCTCCCTTCCTTGTCCTGGTGCTCTTGCCAAAAGGCCTTCTTTTTGCCTCTCCGGTAGGAGAAGCTTATTCTGCTGCAGGGGCTCTGTACCTGTAAGTGCCCCTGCCCAGAAGGCCTTTCTTGTCCCTCTGCAACTGGCTCGAACCTCCTGGTCACTCTCATGTCTGGTCCATCCCTGCCTAGATAGAGCCTCGCCCCCTCCCCAGTCATTCCACCCTGTTACAGGTCTTTTTTCCTTTACAGCACTTATCAAAATCCTGAACATTTATTTGCTGACTTTAATGCCAGCTTCGCTGGGGGGCAGGGACCTTATCTGTGTAATGTAAACTGGAGCTCTGACACCTAAGAGAGTGTCTGGCACCCAACTGATCCTCAATCAATATTTGTTGAATGAATAAATGAGTGTTGTTACAGAGGGAAGGTCGAGGGTACATCATTAAGTGTGGCAAAGTGCAGAGGAGAACGTCATTAAGTATGGCATGAATCCTAGCACTTGGGGAAAATTTTAGGGTTTTTTTGCAGACAGAGTCTCACTCTGTTGCCCAGGCTGGAGTGCAATGGCGCGATCTCCACTCACTGCAACCTCCACCTCCCAGGTTCAAACTGTTCTCCTGCCTCAGCCTCCTGAGTAGCTGGGGTTACAGGCGTGCACCACCATGCCCAGCTAATTTTTATATTTTCAGTAGAGACAGTGTTTGCCTTGTTGGTCAGGCTGGTCTTCAACTCCTGACTTCAAGCAATCTGCCCACCTCAGCCTCCAAAAGTACTCAGATTACAGGCATGAGCACCGTGCCTGGCCTCACGTGGGGAAAATTAAAGGCGGTAACTGTGCAGGTGAACTTGAAGACACTCAAATGCTTCCCAAATCTCCCAGGACATGGCTGACACTGCCTCTAGGGCGTACAGAGGGATTGTCTTAACTTTCACAGGTTGTCTTAAGCACTTCTGTACCATTAGAATTTTTTTTTGTTTTTTATTTTTTTCACTATGAGTATGTATTACTTTTGTAATTAAACAATTTGATCAGAAAAATAGATCAGTTGATTATTTTATCTACAGGATATTTTTAAAAGTTTGCTAGCAGGGTGCAGTGGCTCACGCCTGTAATCCCAGCACTTTGGGAGGCCAAGGTGAGAGGATGGCTTGAGCCCAGGAGTTCAAGACCAGCCTTGGCAACATAGCAAGAACCTGTCTCTACAAAAAAATAAAGAATAGGCTGGGCATGGTGGCTCACGCCTGTAATCCCAGCACTCTGGGAGGCCGAGGCTGGCAGATCACAAGGTCAGGAGATCGAGTCCAGCCTGGCTAACACGGTGAGACCCCCGTCTCTACTAAAAATACAAAAAATTAGCCAGGCATGTTGGCAGGCGCCTGTAGTCCCACCTGCTTGGGAGGCTGAGGCAGGAGAATGGTGTGAACCCGGAAGGCAGAGCTTGCAGTGAGCCAAGATTGCACCACTGCACTCCAGCCTGGGTGACAGAGCGAGACTCCGTCTCAAAAAAAAAATAAAATTAAAAAAGAAAATGAATAAAGAAAGAAAGAAAGAAAGAAAGAAAGAGCGAGCCAGGGGTGGTAGTGGGTGCCTATAATTCCAGCTGCTCGTGTGGCTGAGGTGGGAGGATCACTTAAACCCAAGAGATAGAGGCTGCAGTAAGCCATGATCATACCACTGCAAACCAGCCTGGGCAATAGGGCAAGACGCTGTCTTTAAAAAGAAAAAGTTTGCCAATTTTCTCTTTGACCCAAGGTGAGCACATTACAGTGATTACAAGCCTGGGAGTCCAGTCATTTGTACCATGTTACACAGGCAGGAGACAGAGGGTCTGGTAAACACCTCTGGGGCTGAACTCATGCAGATTTCACTCCACGCCACCACTGACTGCCCAGGGAGGTGTCAGCGCTCACCATGGATGATGTGGAGTCCAGGAGGCTCACGACTTTCATCTCGATCTCGTCCTCGCCAAAGCTCTTCAGCAGCTTCATAACCTCACTCAGCGTCAGCCACTTACAATCCACAAGCTGAATGGAGACAATATAATCTCCTTCCCGGGCTCCTGCCACCTGAAAAAGTATTGTTGAAATTAAGTCAACGTTTTGTTCACTCAAATCCTTGAATCAGTCCCCATTAACAAAATAGGTATTTGCGTAAGTTCGCATCAAGAAAGCAAAAATTCACTTTGGGTGGCTGAGACGGGTAGATCACTTGAGGTCAGTAGTTCAAGACCAGCCTGTACAACACGGTGAAACCCATCTCTACTAAAAATACAAAAATCAGCCAGGTGTGGTGGTGGGCACCTGTAGTCCTAGCTACTTGGGAGGCTGAGGCAGGAGAATTGCTTGAACCCGGGAGGCAGACATTGCAGTGAGCCGAGATCGTGCCACTGCCCTCCAGCCTGGGTGCAATTAAAAAAAAAAAAAAAAAGCCAAAATTGGCCAGGCACAGTGGCTCACGCCTGTAATCCTAGCACTCTGGGAGGCCAAGGCAGACAGAATACTTGAGGCCAGGAGTTCGAGACCAGCCTGGCCAACATGGCAAAACCCCATTTCTACTAAAAATACAAAAATTAGGCCGGGCCAGGTGGCTCACACTTGTAATCCCAGCACTTTGGGAGGCCGAGGTAGGCGGATCACAAGATCAGGAGATCGAAACCATCCTGGCTAACACAGTGAAACCCCGTCTCTACTAAAAACACACAAAAAATTAGCCAGGCATGGTGGCACGCACCTGTAATCCCAGCTACTCAGCAGCCTGAGGCAGGAGAATTACTTGAACCCAGGAGGTGGAGGTTGCAGTGAACCAAGATCGCGCCACTGCACTCCAGCCTGGGCGACAGAGTGAGACTGCGTCTCAAAAAACAAAAACAAAAACTAAAATTAGCTGAGTGTGGTGGCACGTGCCTGTAATCCCAGCTACTCAGGAAGCTGAGACAGGAGAATCACTTGAAACCAGGAAGCAGAAGCTGCAGTGAGCCCTGAGATCGCGCCACTGCACGATCGCGACTCACTGCAGCCTCCACCTCCCAAAGTCTAAAAAAAACTAAAAACATAAAACAAACAAAAGAAAGACAGTAAAAATTAATCCTTTTCTTTTAGGGAATGTAGCACCCATGAGGCCCTTCACATCAAGTCAGGCCTTTGACATGGGTGAACCCACCCTAAATTCAATCACCCAGATATCTGTGTTTGCTGCCAATCAAGAAAAGCATGTGCTTACCGAGGCAGAGCAGTAAGGATCCAGGAAGTGAACCTGAACGGGGGCGTTCCCTCTCAAGGTGAACCCCAAGTCCCCTTCTTCTGCAGTGAAGCGGATGCTTCGAGGAGGCGTCCACCGCTTGTTAGCCGAAAACACAGATAAGGGGCCCTTTGGAAGAGAGCATCGTTAGGTGTAGGATTTGAAGGCTGGATCAGACGCTTGAAAGCTAAAGGGAATTTTGCCTGCTGTCCTTGAAGATCTCACTTGGCCTTGTTCAGGGACAAATGACACATCTGGGGGCATACATGCTACAGCAGTCATGCGAGAACCTGGAAAGCCATCTTCTCAAACATACCCAATATATTTTCAATAAAATTATCTTTTAGGCATTGTATTAATTATCTTTTTCTCTTTTTTTTTGAGACATTGTCTCACTCTGTCGCCCAGGCTAGAGTGTGGTGGTATGATCTCGGCTCACTGCAGCCTCTGCCTCCCGGGTTCAAGTAATTCTCCTGAGTAGCTGGAATTACAGGTGCGAACCACCATGCCTGGCTAATTTTTGTATTTTTAGCAGAGATGGGGTTTCACCATGTTGGCCAGGCTGGTCTCAAACTCCTGACCTCAGGTGATCCGCCCGCCTCAGCCTCCCAAAGTGCTGGGATTAAAGGCGTGAGCCACCGCACCCGGCCAAAATTATCATAAATAAAATCTCTAATATAAAAAATGTAAGACTAGGCATGTCATGCCTGTAATCCTAAGCACTTTGTGTGACCAAGGCAGAAGGATCGCTCGAGGCCAGGGGTTTGAGACCAGCCTAGGCAATATAGTGGGAACCATTCTCTACTAAAAACATAAAAGAATTAGCCAGGCATGGTGGTGCACGCCAATGCTCCCATCTACTCAGGCTGCTGAGGCAGGAGGACTTCTTGAGCCCAGGAGTTCGAGGCTGCAGTGAACTATGATTGTGCCACTGCACTCCAGCCTGGGTGAAAACAGAGTTAGACCCTGTCTTAAAAAAAAAAAAAAAAAAGGAAAAAAATCTCAGGCCAGGCACAGTGGCTCATACCTGTAATCCCAGCACTCTGGGACGCCTAGGCAGGAGTATGGTTTGAGCCCAGGAGTTGGAGACCAGCCTAGGCAAGACCCCATCTCTACAAGAAATGAAAATTAGTTGGACATGGTGGTGTGTACCTGTAGTCCCATCTACTAGGGTAGCTAAGGCAGGAGGATCGCTTGAGCCCAGAAGGTTCAGGCTGCAGTGAGCTATGATCATGCCGCTGTAATCCAGCCTAGGTGACACAGTGAGACCATGTCTCTAAAAAAACTAAAAAATATTTTTAAAAAATTTTAAATAGACAATACCTAAAAACTACCTTTAAAATATGCTATGGGGCCGGGCACAGTGGCTCAGGCCTGTAATCCCAGCACTTTGGGAGGCTGAGGTGAGCGGATCACTGGAGCCCAGGAGTTCAAGATCAGCCTGGCCAACATGGTGAAACCCCGTCTCTACTAAAAATACAAAATTAGCTGAGCGTAGTGGCACAGGCCTGTAATCCCAACTACTCGGGAGGCTGAAGCTGGAGAATCACTTGAACCTGGGAGGCGGAGGCTGCAGTGAGCTGAGATCGCACCACTGCACTCCAGCCTGGGCAACAGAGTGAGACTCTGTCTCAAAAAACAAATAAATAAAAATAAATGAATAAAATAAAATATGCTATGGTCTGAATGTTTGTACCCTCCCAAAGTTTGTATATTAAAATATTAAAATTTTATTAATATTTATTAAAATTTAAAATGTATATTAAAATCATCAATGTAATTATTAGGAAGTGGGGCCTCTCGAGAGGTGATTCAGTCTTGGGGTGGAACCCTCAAGAATGGGATACATGCTTTTAAAACAGGCCCAAGGAAGCTCATCACCTTTTCTGCCATGAGGACACAGGTAGAAGGCCCCACCTATAAACCAGAACATGGGCCTTCAGCAGATACCGAATCTGCCCATACCTTGGTCTTGGACTTCCCAGCCTCCGGAACTAAGAAATATATTTCTGCTGTCATAAGCCCCCCAGTTTGAGGCATTTTGTTATAGCAGCCCACATGGACTAAGACACCATACTCGCCAAAGTGAAGAGCTGTCCCCTTAGGTCATTTGAATGTAGAGAGCATTCAACATACCAGCTTCTGGAAGAAGTCCGTGACTGTCAGCTTGGAGAACTGGGGCAATATAATGTCAACCTCTTGCTCAGTTTTAGCTAGAATAGAGGATTAGAAATGGGAGGATAAACGTTTCTGTAATTGAAAGTGATCCTAATAGTCCAGTGTTGTGGCTCACGCCTGTAATCCCAGCACTTTGGGAGGCTGAGGCAGGTGGATCACTTGAGGCCATAAGTTCAAGACCAGTCTAGCCAGCATGGTGAAACCCCATCTCTATTAAAAATACAAAAATTAGCCAGGTATGGTGGCAGGTGACTGTAATCCGAGTTACTTGGGAGGCTGAGGCAGGAGAATCACTTGAACCCAGGAGGCAGAGGCTGCAGTGAGTTGAAGTCATGCCACTGCACTCCAGCCTGGGTGACAGAGTCAGACTCCGGGGGGAAAAAAAAAGTGATCCTTGGGAAGGAGACAGTACAGAACTTTCTCTTAGTCACACATCCTTCCCCTCGGTTTAGACAAGTAGCAGAAGAAGATGGAACAGAGCTCAACCCCCGACCTAGGGTGAACTGTACCTTCCATTTGGGTGCCTCCAGTGAGCCATGGGAGGTATAACTCCTTCCCGAGCTGGGACCAAGGAGTGATAACCAGACACATTCCCATGGGGTTTCCTGATACTTAAGGGGCTTAGTGGGCTTCTCTGGCACTCATAAAACCCTAATGAGGAGGCCAGGCACGGTGGCTAATGCTTGTAATCCCAGCACTTTGGGAGGCCACGGTGGGAGGATCATCTGAGGTCAAGAGTTCAAGACCAGCCTGGCCAACATGATGAAACCCCATCTCTACTAAAAATACAAAAAATTAGCCAGGCGTGGTGGCATGCGCCTATAGTCCCAGCTACTTGGGAGGCTGAGGCTTGAACCAGGGAGGCAGAGGTTGCAGTGAGCTGAGATCACGCCACTGCACTCCAGCCTGGGTGAGACAAGAGCGAAATGACCTCTCAAAAACAAACAAACAAACAAAAAAACCTATTGAGAAGTCATCTATGTTTCAAGTGTTGTTGTTATGGAAGTTCCATGCCTCACTGGACACAGTCCTGGGATACCGTGCTTTCTGTTTTCATCATTATTACTATTTTGAGACAGGGTGTCGCTCTGTCGCCCAAGCTGGAGTGCAGTGGTGGGATCACAGCTCGCTTGCAGCTTGACCTCCTGGACTCAAATGATTCTCCTGCCTCAGCCTCCCGAGTAGCTGGAACTATAGGTATGCACCACCACACCTGATGAATTTTTTTTTTAATTTTTTGTAGAGATGGGGTCTCACTATGTTGCCCAGGCTGGTCTCAAACTCCTGAGCTCAAGTAATCCTCCTGCCTCGGCCTCCCAAAGTGCTGAGATTACAGGTTTGAGCCACCGTGCTTGACCTTTTCATTATTAATGTGGTATGAGGATTTCCCAGTGAAAAGGAGGTTTGGCAAATCATGACCACTGACAGCTACATACCCCCACCAGCATCTTCACAGCAGGCTCGGACTACCCTTAACATAAGGCTGGTCAATTTCTAACAAAGGATCCCAGGGCAGGCTGATTCTACACGAGAACAAACAGCATAAAAAGTGTATCTAGGCCAGGTGTGGTGGCTTACCCTGGTAATCCCAGCACTTTGGGAGGCCAAGGCAGGTGGATCACTTGAGGTCAGGAGTTCGAGACCAGCCTGGCCAACATGGTGAAACCCCATCTCTACTAAAAATCCAAAAATTAGCTGGGTGTGGTGGTGGGTGCTTGTAATCCCAGCTCCTCGGGAGGCTGAGGCAGAAGAATCACTTGAACCCGGGAAGCAGAGGTTGCAGTGAGCCGAGATCACGCCACTGCACTCCAGCCTGGGCAACAGAGCGAGACTCCATCTCAAAAAGAAAAGAGAACTCCAGGGCAAAAGCAGCACCTCAGTCCCTACCCTGTGCAGCTCTCCTTGTGCCAAGCACACAGCGAGGGCTCGCTCAACCCCCACAGGCCAGGCGTACTCTTTCCGCGGCACAGGCACCCCCACAGAGGGAACACAGTCTAGGCTACTCACCAACAACACTGGGGGCGTCGATCAGGTTCAGCAGGTCATCCTCCTCCTGGTGCTGGGCGTACGTGAGCCGGGAGCGTTCCTGTGCGGCACACAGCACCTTCTGTAGCACCTCAATGCTCCGCAGCTTCTTGCAGAGGCTGGCCTCCCGCACCGACTCCTCGTGATGAGCCATGGCTCTGCGCAAGTGGGACTTCCCTGCAGACGGAAGCCAGCACCCACGTGACTTGCAGATCCACCAAGCAGAGCATAAAGGCCCAAGGGGCAGCCCAAGAGGTTGGATGTTCTCTTTTCTAAAGGATCTGCCTGGATAGCTAGAGCCTGTGATACCCTACCTTGTTTTAACCTGAGTGACTCTCTCCTAGCAGAGAGAGCCGGACAGACTCCATTTTAGTTTCTTCACTTGCAGCCCCCACTTATCCCCCTTAAGAGAATAACTAGTGTAAGCTGACTCCAAGCACACCCAGGAATGCAAACTGCTGATAAGATACTGAGGCAGGCTGTACCAGCAGCTCCTGGGGATGTGCTCAGTGGCAGGTACCTAAAGCCCCTGCATTTATCTCTTAGTGATAGTTTAAGCCCCTGCACCTGGAACTGTGTATTTTTTGTAACTGCTTCTATAACCAATTACTTTTTTTTAACTTTTTGCCTATTCTGCTTCTGTAAAATTGCTTCAGTTAAACCCCCCTCCCCTATTTAGACCATAGTATAAAAGAAAATCTAGCCCCTTCTTCGGGCCCGAGAGAATTTCGAGCGTTAGCCGTCTCTCAGTCACCGGCTAATAAAGGACTCCTGAATTAGTCTCAAAGTGTGGCATTTCTCTATAACTCGCTTGGTTACAACAAGCCTTTTATTAAAATATTATTTTTTTCATTTTATATTTTATATTTAGAGACAGGGTCTCACTTTGTTTCGCACGCTGGAGTACAGTGGTGCAATCATGGCTTACCGCAGCCTCAAACTCCTGGGCTGAACTGAACCTCCCTCTTCTGACTCTTGAGCAGCTGGGACCACAGGCATGCACCACCACACTTGGATAATGTTTTCACTATCATCATCATTTCATTATCATTGCTATGTTGCCCAGGCTGGTCTCAAACTCCTGGCCTCAAGCAATCTGCCTGCCTTAGCCTCCCAGACTGCTGGGATGACAGGCGTGAGTCACCGCGCCCAGCCCAAGCCTCCCTTCAATGCGTATGTAATAACCTCACTTGTGTCCATAAGATGTTCACTCAACAAATATTTACCAAATGTGCTGGGCACTAGAGATAAAGCAACGAGTAAACAAACTGCCCCCACATTCATGGAGTTTACATGTAGTGGTTGACGACAGATAACTAACAAGACAAGAAATATGTAATGGATGGGGTGGTGATGAGGTTATAGGGAAAAATAAAGCAGGGTAAGCGGAGATGGTAAGAGAAGACTGGGAATGGGGTTGTCCTATGATGGGTGACAGAGAAAGGCTTTTTTTTTTTCTTTCTTGAGACGGAGTCTTGCTCTGTCACCCAGGCTGGAATGCAGTGGCACGATCTCGGCTCACTGCAACCTCCACCTCCCAGGTTCAAGCAATTCTCCCACCTCAGCCTCCCAAGTAGCTGGAACTACAGGCACACACCACCACATCTGGCTAAGTTTTTGTATTTTTGGTACAGACGGGGTTTCTCCATGTTGCCCAGGCTGGTCTCAAACTCCTGACTTCAAGCCATCCTCCCACCTCTGCCTCCCAAAGTGCTGGGATTGCAGGTGTGAGCCACCACACCCGGCCAAGGAAAGCTTTGTGATATGGTCCTTTTTGAGCAGAGCCCTGATTGATGTGAAAGAGCAGCAGGTGCGAGGGCCCTGGGGCAGGGGCACGTGCAGGTTTTCAAGGGCAAGGAGGAGCTAGGGTGTGCCTGGAGGCAGGGAGGGTGGGAGAGAATGAGTGCAGGGAAGAAAGAGCCAGGCCAGATCATGGCGGACCTCACGCGTGTGAGATGAGGGCTCTCGCTCCTGTTCTGCGTGAGACGGGAGCCCACTGGAGTGAGAGCAGGGGACTGATGTGATCTGACCTGCACGACCAGGCTCTGAAGGGGCAGCAGGAAAACCCGCTATGAGCAGGGCAAGCCACGTGACCTCTCTGGGTCTCAGTTTCCTCAGCTGTAAAATGGGGATGCCACGAGACGCACCTCATAGTGTTGTGTGGGGTTTAAGTGAGTGAATGTTTGTTAAATAAGCACTGTACACATGTGGCTTCCACCAGGGCAGCAGGATTAAAGTGGCCAGATTTGAGATATGTTTTCTAAGTACAGCCAAAGGGATTTGCTAATCAAATGTAGGGTGAGAAAGTAAGACAAGAGGTTAGGTGTGGTGGCTCATGCCTGTAAACCCAGCACTTTGGGAGACAGAGGCAGGAGGATCGCTGGAGGCCAGGAGTTCAAAACCAGCCTGGGCAACATAGTGAGACCGCATCTCTACAAAAACCTTTTTACAATATTAGCCGGGCGTGGTGGTGCATGCCTGTAGTCCCAGCTACTCAGGAGGCTGAGGCAGGAAGATCACTTGAAGCCAGGAGTTCGAGGCTGCACTGAGCTGTGATTGCACTACTGCACTGCAGCCTGGGGGACAGCAAGATGCTGTCAAAGAAAACAAATGAAAGAAAAGGAAAGAGGAAAGGAGGGAGGACGGGTAGATGGGGAGGAGAGAGAGAGAAAGGAAAGAAGGAAAGAATAAAGGAGAGAGGAGAGGAAAGGGAGAGAAAAGGAAAGCAACAAGGAACAAGGAAAGGAGAGGAGAGGGGAGGGGAGGAGGGGAGAGGGGAAGGGTGAGGGGAGGAGAGGAAGGAGGGGAGGGAGAGGGAGGACCAGAGGAGAGAGGAAAGGAGGGGAGAAGAGAGGAGGAGAGAGAAGGGGAGCGGAGGGTAACAGGGGAGGGAAGAGGAGAGGAGAGAACAGGAGAGGAGGGGAAGGGAGGGGAACAGAGGGGAGGAGAGGGGAGGGGAGCAGAGGGGAGGGGATGGGAAAGAGGAGGAAAGAAAAGAAGCGTGGAGAGTGAGTCCAAGGTTTCTGGCCTGAGCACCTAGAGGGGTGGGAGTTGCCATCACTGAGACGGAGAAGCTGCGTATGTGTGCATGGGTGGTGCGCAGAGGGGCAGGTTAGGGTGGTGGAGGTGAGGTCTGCACATGGGAAGAGATATTCACACTGAGACATGGCAGAGACCAAACCAGGACACTGCATTACCAGTCATTAGGTGTTCTTGGTAATTCAGCCATGCATAAGGAAATCAACAAACGTCTCCTTCCCTGTTAGCGTGACACATGCCACCCTGTGGACCCCAAGGGAGATGGTTAAAGTCCTGGCTCCACAGTGGGAGGCCTGGGTGCTATGGAACCCATGAGAACACAGCCTGGGAAGCCCTCTGAGGCTCAGGACCGCGCCTCATGACTTCTGAACCCAAAGTGGCCACGATGACTCGGAACACCCCCCTCTCCCGGGCCCTCTTCAGGGACCTCTCTGTGGCTGGCTGTGAGCAGGACCAGCTGGGCACCAAGTGGGGCCCACATCTGGGTGCAGGGGGACACGCACCCAGCTGTCGGCGCTGCTGATCATTCTTCAGTGTGGCCAAGGGTGTCAGCCCCTCTGGCATGTGGTCGTAGAGCTGGGACAGGCACTTCTCCTGGTGGTCCAGATCCGTGCCTGGCTTCACTGCAAAGAGAACCACAGGTTAAATCCCCTCTCATGGACCTGGCCACAGACCCACGTAGAGATTTCTCTACCATGTCTCCAGCTTCCTTTTTTCTGCAGTTTCACAAGGCATTTGGGATCATGGGTCTCCTTTCTGCCCCCGGACACACCCCAGGCCGTCTAACCCTCAAGGTTTTCTTTTCTTTGAGACGGTCTCACTCTGTTACCAGGCTGGAGTGCAATGGCACAATCATAGTTCACTGCCGCCTTGAACTCCTGGGCTCAAGTGATCCTCCCACCTCACCTCCTGAGTAGTTAGGACTACAGACATGCACCACCACATGCCAGGCTAATTTTTAAATTTTTTTGTAAAGACAAGGTCTTGCTACATTGCCCAGGCTGGTCTCAAACCCCTGGGTTCAAACGATCCTCCTGCCTTAGCCTCCCAAAGTGCTGGGATCAAATGTGTGAGCCACTATGCCTGGCTACCCCAAAGCTCTTGCTCACTGGGACCAGTCACACTCCAGAGGTTCATAATTTTTTTTTTTTTTTTTGAGATGGAGTTTCGCTCTGTCACCCAGGCTTGGGTGCAGTGGTGTGATCTTGGCTCACTGCAACCTCCACCTCCCGGGTTCAAGCGATTCTCCTGCCTCAGCCTCCCGAGTAGCTGGGATTACAGGCACATGCCACCATGCCCGGCTAATTTTTGTATTTTTAGTAGAGATGGGGTTTCAGCATCTTGGCCAGGCTGGTCCTGACCTCGTGATCCACACCGATTTCGGCCTCCCAAAGTGCTGGGATTATAGGCGTGAGCCACCACACCCGGCAAGGTTTGTAATTTGACCCTGAGCCCCCACACGCTACCTCCTCCAACTCACCCACCACACAGAACCTCCTGGCATAGCCCAGACCCTGTCATGCCCGGCCTGCACCCCTCTGCGGGCCTGCACACCTGCAGCAGAGCCCCTTCCTGCTTCAACCACACCCTTCGTGGCGCGCATCCTGCTCTCAAACCTCACAAAACCACTCTCCACTTCCCCAGCACCCTCCGCCTCTGTTCTGTGCTCAGACACTTTACTCCCTCTAGGCTGACCCTTCCCTCCTGTGCAGATGGAAAAGTTGAACTCAAATGTCACTGCCTCTAAGAAGCCATCCATGACTGTACCATGGAGTCCACCTGCTGCTGCATTTGTGTCTCTACAGCAATCACCGAGGCACTATATGGTATTTCTATTTGTTTTCACATCTTGTCTCACCTAATAGACTATATAGTACTAGGAGTGGCGGCTCACACTTTCAGAGAACCTACAGTATATAAAGCATTATTGAGCTTTGCGTACAGGCCCTTCGTTTTCGTTTTCATGACAGCCTGTGAGGCAGGTTCTCTCCATATACCCATTTTACAGATGAGAAAATTGAGGCAGAGGACAGCTAAGTAACTTGCCCAAGGTAAAACAGCTCATTCATGGAAGAGCTGAGATATGAACCCAGGAAGTCTGGCTCCAGAGGCTGTCTTTTTAATTCCTTGGGAGGCTGCCTGGATTAGTACTCATTAGATCAAAAATCCCTGGCCAGGCACCATGGCTCATGCCTGTAATCCCAACACTTTGGGGAGGCCAAGGCAGGACAACTGCTTGAGGCCAAGAGTTTGAAACCAACTTAGGCAACATAGTGAGACTCCATCTCTATAAAAAAAAAATTTTTTTTAATTAACTGGTGTAGTGGCATGTGCCTGTATTCCCAGCTATTTGGGAGGCTGAATTGGGAGGATCGCTTGAGCCCAGGAGTTCAAGAAGGCAGTGAGCCATGATCATACCACTGCACTCCAGCCCCATCTCTAACAATAAAATAAAATAAATAAAATAATAAAATAAAATAAAATTCCGATCATCACAGATTTTTTTTGCATTAATTTTTATTTTATTATTATTAGTTTTTTTGAGATGGAGTCTTGCTCTGTCACCCAGGCTGGAGTGCAGTGGCACAATCTCGGCTCACTGCAACCTCCACCTCCCTGGCTCAAGCCATTCTCCTGCCTCAGTCACCCGAGTAGCTAGGATTAGAGGCACGTGCCATGCCCTGCTAATTTTTGTATTTTTAGTAGAGACAGGGTTTCACCATGTTGGCCAGGCTGGTCTCAAACTCCTGACCTCAAATGATCTGCCTGCCTTGGCCTCCCAAAGTGCTGAGATTACAGGCATGAGCCACAGCACCTGGCCTGCATTAATTTTGATTCTTTTAAAATATTACCTTAAAATGTTACTTATCTTGATGCCAGCATTTTTGGCCTTCCCTTAGATTCTAGATTCCAGGTGAAAATTCATCCTCTTGCACCCAGGCAGAATTAAAGGTGCCTCTTCTTCCTCCCTCTAAAGAAGCTTATAACCCCTAACCCCACCATGGCCTGTGCGGCAGCTGCCTCAGTCATGGGTCACTCCCATCCTCTGCCTTCAGCCTGTGAGCATCTCCAGGGAAGGCAGTTAGCTCTCACTCAGCTCAGAATCGCCCCTGGGGCAGCTGGACCACAGCCCTCGCCAAACTCCCGAACCCCCCAGGCCTTACCCTGGTGGTCGATGAGGAGGATGGCAGTGAAGTAGTGGGCCAGGGCCGCGTAGTGGTGGGCCTTCACGCAGGCTAAGCTGGCCCAGGAGTAGGGGATGTTCTCTTTCACCGGCGCCTGGCTCATGGCTGCGTGTAGCTGTTGGTAGACCTCTCCCACCTGAAATAGAAGGGACACTGGGAAGGGGCAGCCCGGCACAAGGGCCCTCATGAACCCATTTGCAGAGAAAGAGCCCTTTCTTCTTCCCATGCAACAGCCCCTGCCAGGGGCTGCTCCAGAATCTGGGAGCAACTCCAAGAGACCCCTCGTTCTGTCATTGTCACAGTTAACAGGGGGATCAGGCTGCTGTCATTATGCTGGTTTTTAGGTTAAGCTGCAGATGGAATCAGTGATCTGTATCTGAAACACCAACACTTGCCAAGAAAACTCAAGCCAGCAGTACTGGCCGGAGCTGGCACAATGCCCAGGTCACAGGCAAGCTCCCATGGGAAGGCCCCGCTACTTCCAGTGCTCCTGTGCCAGCATCTCCTGCCCACTCCCCAAAGTCACAGGAACCAGGGAGTCCTACCTTAGCAGCCTCCTGAGCCACCTTCACCAGCATGAAGAATTCATTCCGGATCCCAGGAAGGCTGATTTTCTCAAACACGCTTTCTTGGGCTTGTGCAAGCATCATTTTGACGAGCACGCTGAGCATGGCAGGGCTCATGTCGTAACTTGGAGTATGGGTAAATGTGTCTTTCAGGTAATTTAAAACCCCTAAAAGTGGAAAATGTTTTGCCCATTAGTTCGGGTTCATATTTACTTCATCACGTTGCTATAGAGAAAGATAGGAGGCCGAGTGCGGTGGCTCATGCCCATAATCCCAACACTTTGGGAGGCCGAAGTGAGCAGATCACTTGTATCAGGAATTCAAGACCAGCGTGGGCAACGTGGTGAAACCCTGTCTCTACAAAAAATACAAAAATTAGCCGGGTGTGATGGTGTGCGACTATAGTCTCAGCTCCTCTGGAGGCTGAGGCAGGAGGATTGCTTGAGCCCAGGAGGCAGAGGTTGCAGTGAGCTGAGATCTCACTACTGCACTCCAGCCTGGGTGACAGAGCAAGACTCTGTCTCAAAAAAAAAAAAAAAAAAAAAAAAAGGAAAAGACAGGAGAAAAAAAAAAGAACCGGTGTCCTACAACATATTAAAAAATTTGATTCTCAATTATATGGTCCAGCAATTCCACTCCTATGATATATATCCCCAAACAATTGAAAGTGGGGGCTTAAATGACACTTGAACACCCGTGTTAATAGCAACATTATTCACAAGAGCTGAAAAGTGGAAACCACCCAGACGTCCATGAGCAGATGAATGATTAAACACAATGTGGCCTATCCATACAACAGAATATTTTTCAGCCTTAAAAAGGAATGAAATTCTGACACATGGTACAGTGTAAATAAGGACATTATGCTAAGTGAAACAAGCCAGTCACAAAAGGACCAATATTGTAGGATTCCATTTAGATAAGGTACCCGGAATAGTCAAATTCACAGAAATAGAAAGGAGAATAGAGGTTAGCTGGGGCTGGAAAAGCGGGCAATGGGAAGTTATTGTTTAACTGAGTACAGAGCTTTGCTTTGGATGATGAAAAAGTTCCGGAGATAGCTGGGCACAGGGGCTGCTGCCTGTAATCCCAGCTATAAAGGAGGCTGAGGTGGGAGGGTTGCTTGACATTAAGAGTTCAAGACCAGCCTGGGCAACGTACTGAGACCCCTGTCTCTTAAAAAATATATACTTTTTAAAAATGTATTTATTTTATTTATTTTTGAGACAAGATCACACTCTGTTGCCCAGACTGGAGTGCGGTGGCACAATCATGGCTCACTGCAGCCTCAAACTCCTGGGCTCAAGCGGTCCTCCCACCTCAGTCTCCTGAAGAGCTGGGACTACAGCCATGTGCCACCCTACACCAAGCTAATTTTAAAATTTTTTGTACAGATGGGGTGTCCCTATGTTGCTCAGACTGGTCTCCACTCTTGGATTCAAGTGATCCTCCTGACTCAGCCTCCCAAAGTGCTGAGATTACAGGTGTGAGCCACCTTGCCTAACCAACAAAAAAAGTTTTTAACTTCTGGAGATGTTTAGTGGTAATGGCTGCACAACACTATGAATGTACAAATGCACTTAATGCCATTGAACTGCACACTTAAAAATGGTTAAAATGTGCTTCTGGTTGGCAGGATAATTTTAAAATTTTTAAAATTTAAGATAATAATTAAAATGGTAATTTTATGTTCTGTGTTATTTTACTATAATAAAAAAACTGGTTAAAATAGTACATTTTAAGTTATATATGTATATTTTAACACTATTTATTTATTTATTTATAAATAAACACCCAGGCTGGAGTGCAGTGGTGTGATTTCAGTTCACTGCAACCTCTGCCTCCCAGGTTCAAGCGATCCTCCTGCCTCAGCCTCCCAAGTAGCAGGGATTACAGGTGTCCACCACCACACCCAGCTAATTTTTGTATTTTTAGTACAGACGGGGTTTCACCATGTTGGCCAGGCTGGTCTCGAACTCCTGACCTCAGGTGATCTGCCTGCCTCGGCCACTGAAAGTGCTGGGATAACAGGCGTGAGCCACCCCACCCAGCCTTTTAACCCAATTTTTAAAAATTGGATTACCTTCCAAAACACATCTCTATTGAGTAAAGAAACCAGCCTGCTCCCCACAACTCCTGTGTCACCTGGGACAAAATTCCATCACGACAGGTATGGAGATGCAAGCAGACGGCAGGCAGAAGGACTAAGGGGCTCACAGGGGACCAGGCTCACACATAAGATCTGAGTCATTCAGCAGTCCAGGGCTTTTCCCCTGGACCTCAAGAAAGATCTATTCTGGCCAGGCGTGGTGGCTCATGCCTCTAATCCCAGCACTTTGGGAGGCCGAGGTGGGCGGATCACCTGAGGTCAGGAGTTCAAGACCAGCCTGGCCAACATGGCAAAAGCCCATCTCTACCAAAAATACAAAATTAGCCAGGTGTGGTGGTGCACGCCTATAATCCCAGCTACTCCGGAGGCTGAGGCAGGAGAATCACTTGAACCCGGGAAGCAGAGGCTGCAGTGAGCCGAGATCTCGCCACTGCACTCCAGCCTGGGCGACAGAGTGAGATTCTGTCTCAAAAAAAAAAAAAAAAAAAAAAAAATCTCAATCCGTCTGCTCCAATGGAAATTTTCATGCTGCAGCCTTCCTCTGACTTCTTTGTAGTTTAGAAAATTAACTGTCCAAAGCGCTAACTGACAATCAATCTGGAACTGAAATAGAATCTCTCATATGAATCCCATCCAACTGGTTCCTCTGGTTTTGTTGCTGAGCAAAAAAAAAAAAAAAAAAGCCCTGCCCTGCGGAGGGATGGCACCTGCTGTTTTGAGCTGCGAGCTCCATGGGGGTTCCCTCACACTCCCCACTGTTCTCCTACTTGCTTCATTTCGTCTATAGTTTGTCTCCATTGATATAATCTCAGAGACAGGACACAGAGTGCCTGCCTAAGATTCCTCAGAAAGATGAGTCCAGAAAAAAGATTTACAGCAAAAGAAATCAACTCATACTTGGAATCTTAGCATATCGCTTCATCCCGATAGACCAATCTTTTATTTTTTTAATTAATTAATTATTTTTTGGGACAGGGTCTTGCTCTGTCGCCCAAGCTGGAGTGCAATGGCGCGATCTTGGCTTACCACAACCTCGGCTGATCCTTCTGTCTCAGCCTCCCAAGTAGCTGAGACTACAGGCATGCACCACCAGGCCCAGCTAACTTTTGTACTTTTTGTAGAGATGGAGTTTCGCCTTGTTGCCCAGACTGATCTCAAATTCCTGGGCTCCAGCAATCCACCCACCTCAGCCTCCTAAAGTGCTGGGATTACAGGCATGAGCCACCATGCCCAGCCTATTTCATTAATTTAAAAAAAAAAAATTCTTTTTAGGGATGGAGTCTTACTCTGTCACCCAGGCTAGAGTACAGTGGTGCAATCATAGCTCACTGCAGCCTCAAACTCCTGGGCTTAAGTGATCTTCCCGTCTTAGCCACTGGAGTAGCTGGAACTACGGGCATACACCACCACGCCTGGCTAATTTTTAAATATTTTGTAGAGATGGGGTCCTCCTGTGTGGCCCAGGCTGGTAGGACCAATCATTATAACATCAGAAATTTCACGATGAGTCAAAGTGGCAAAGCTATGGTTCTTCACAAGCTTGCAGGGCAAAGTGATATCAAACAATGATCCACACGGGTGGAAGGGGATCACACCCCAAAGCAGAATGTCGATGATCAGCCCAGAAGGCAACACGCTATAGAGCTAGCGTGGGGAACACACTGTGGTCTACACTGTGCCCTGCTCTTGCATCCATCCCCACGTGGAGTCTGACCCAGACACAGCCCTGCTATGGGGGAGCAAGGCAGAACCCGCAGGCACAGGTGAGCCAAGCCAGGCTCACCCACAGCGCTGGGTCTGTTGACCCCAGTCCTCTATAGGTGTAAGCACTAGGCTGCTTTTCTCCTCAACACCGCACCTCATTCTCATACTAAGATTACCTGAGGTCAGGAGTTTGAGACCAGCCTGGCCAACATGGCAAAACCTCATCTCTACTAAAAATACAAAAATTAGCCAGGCATGGTGGCAGGCGCCTGTAATCCCAGCTACTTGGGAGGCTGAGGCAGAAGAATTACTTGAACCCAGTAGGCAGACGTCGTAGTGAGCAGAGATTGTGCCACTGCACTCCAGCCTGGGTGACAAGAGCAAGACTCTATCTCAAAATAAACAAATAAATAAAATAAAATAACAAAAGACAGTTCCCAGAAGAAGGGAACTGAGCTATGAGACATCCTTTGAATGCATCACTTGACAAAGGGTTGAGAACACCCACCTCATGCTGGAGAAGTTGGCAGAATGCAGGTGATATAAAGGCATGGAGGGGCAGGGTGCGGTGGCTCATGCCTGTAATCCCAGCATTCTGGGAGGCTGAGGCAGGCGGAACACCTGAGGTCAGGAGTTCGAGACCAGCCTGGCCAGCATGGCGAAACCCCATTTCTACTAAAAATACAAAAATTAGCCAGGTGTGGTGGCGGGTGCCTGTAATCCCAGCTACTCAGGAGGCTGAGGCAGGAGAATTGCTTGAAACCAGGAGGTGGAGGTTGCAGTGAGCCGAGACCATGCCACTGCGCTCCAGCCTGTGCAACAAGAGCAAAACTCCATCTCATAAATAAATAAATAAATAAATAAATAAATAAATAAATAAAGGCACGGAGAGTAATACGCACTGATAAGGTACACCTAATACAAGAAAAAGAAGCCTACAGTTTCACTATTTGGGAAAAGTTATTCTGCTCTTCATGACAGTGTTGAAAGAAACAGTTATGCACTGCCATCCCAGGGGCCACTTGTCTGGAAAAGATCGTCAGCCACAGGATTCACCATGTACATCAGCCATCCCAGACTGAGGTCTGAACCACCGAGCAAGTTTTTTTTTTTTTTTTTGAGATGCAGTCTGGCCTCGATCTCCTGACCTTGTGATCCACCCGCTTTGGCCTCCCGAAGTGCTGGGATTACAGGCGTGAGCCACCGCGCCCGGCCGGAGCAAGTTTCTTAATGGGAAGTTACACCAGAGCTGGAGACTGGTCTGGCCCTTGCGAGGGATGACCTGTAGATTCTCTTCAGTGGGGGGTCCCCTGGTGCCACCGGGTGGGGCCAAGGCTCCGTCTGGTCAGCCCTGGAGGAGACATACCTGCGGCTCTCTGAAAGGCATCTATGGCACTCTCCAGCCCAGCCTGCGTCTGCCGATCACACCGGGTCCCAATCTGGGTGTAGAGGGCCCCAGTGTTGAACAGGACACTGGCCTTCTCCAGCAGCAGGTTCTGCTGGCTGACCGGAACCCCGGTGAGAGAGTCATACCTATGTGAAAGAAATGCATTCCGAGAATACAGATTACTTGGCTAGTTAATGCTACAAGTGGAAAAAATTCTTTTTTTTTTTTTTTTTAAGAGTCAATATCTCACTCTGTTGCCCAGGCTGGAGTGCAGTGGTGTGATCATAGCTTACTGCAGCCTTCAACTTTAGGGCTCAGTTGATCCTCCCACCTCAGCCTCATGAGAATAGCTGGCATTACTGGTGCATGCCACCATACCTGCCTTTTTTTTTTTTTTTAATTTTTGTAGAGATGGGGTCTATGTTACCCAAACTGCTGTCAAACTCCTGGGTTGGCTGGGTGCGGTGGCTCACGCCTGTAATGCCAGCACTTTGGGAGGCCGAGGCAGGTGGATCACCTGAGGTCAGGAGTTTGAGACCAGCGTGGCCAACATGGTGAAACCCAGTCTCCACCAAAAATACAAAAATTAGCCAGGCATGGTGGCGGGCGCCTGTAATCTCAGCTACTCAGGAGGCTGAGGCGGAAGAATCACTTGAACCCGAGAGGCGGAGGTTGCAGTGAGCTGAGATCGCACCACTGTGCTCCAGCCTGGGCGACAACAACAACAACAAACTCATTTCTTCAGTAAAAGTCAAGAATGCATGTGCACTGAGGCTTTTGTTTCCAAGCAAGATGACAGGACTAATCACACTGACCGCCACAGCCACACACAAAAATATCTGACGGGGTAACTGGATAAACACACCATGGGACATCCAGACAATGGAATATTACTCAGCACTAAAAATGGAGAAATGAACCAGCAAGCCATGAAAAGATGCAGAGGAAACATTACTAAGTGAAAGAGCCAACCTGAACATTGCTACCTACTGTATACGCTGTGTGATTCCAACATTCTGAAAAGCCAAAACCCTGGAGACAGAAGAAAGATCAGGGGTTGCCAGGACTTAGGGGGAGGGAGGGAGGGGGAGCACAAAGGATTTTTCCAGTAGTGAAACTCTTCTGTATGACACTGCAAAGGTGGATCACTGTCATTCTATGTTGGCCAAAAGCCACAGAATACACAAGTGCAAGAATGAACCCTAATGGAAACTATGGACTCTGGGTGATAATGATGTGTCAGGTAAGTTCTTCAATTATAAAAAAAAAAAATGGGCTGGGAGCGGTGGCTCATGCCAGTAATCCCAGCACTTTGGGAGGCCAAGGCGGTATGGCTTCTCCTAAATGAAATATGGCAATTACTAACCCCTCATAATTCTTTCTGAAATCTAAAAACTCAGGATTTGTTTTAATTTGTTTTACTTTTTATTTTTTCAGACAAAGTCTCACTCTGTTGCCTAGGCTGGAGTGCGGTGGCATGATCATGACTCACTGCAGCCTCAACCTCCTGGGCTTAAGAGATCCTCCCATCTGAGCCTCCCAAGTAGGTGGGACTACAGGCATGCACCACCCATGACCGGCAAATTTTCTCTAATTGTTTTGTAGAGATAGGGTCTCACTGTGTTGCCTAGACTGGTCTCAAGCTCCTGGGCTCAAGCGATCCACCCACCTTGGCCTCCCAACCTGCTGGGATTACAGATATGAGCCACCACACCCAGCCTAGGACTTGTTTTATTTTTATTTTTTTTATTTTTTATTTTTTGAGACAGAGTTTTGCTCTTTCGCCCAGGCTAGACTGCAGTGGCGCCATCTCAGCTCACTGCAGCCTCCACTTCCCGGATTCAAGTAATTCTCCTGCCTCAACCTCCCAAGTAGCTGGGATTACAGGCACCCACCACCATGCCCAGCTAATTTTTGTATTTTTAGTAGAGACAGGGTTTCGCCGTGTTGGTCAGGATGGTCTTGAACTCCTGACCTCAGGTGATCCACCCACCTCGGCCTCCCAAAATGCTAGGATTACAGGCGTGAGCCACCGCACCTGGCCCTAGGACTTGTTTTAAAGTTTACTCATGAACCAGGGGGTGTGCAGACAGCTTCTCCCTAATTCATGACTAAGGAGAAACCACCTTTCGCCTTTTCGGCCATGCAGACAGCCTGGTGCATTGTTAGGAAAAGTCATCCCCCTTTCCTTTGCTTTCCATGAGGAAGGCATTAGTAGCCACCCATCAGCTGTAGAAACATTGAATTCTGATATGCCCCTGATCTTCTAGGATGTGTTCTCCTTTCACTGACACTCCTAACGACACTCAGAGAAGGGGTGCAGCATCTCCAAAGTACTTTTTTTTAGGTTGTTTTTTTTTTTTTTTGACACAGAGTCTCACTCTGTCACCCAGGCTGGAGTGCAGTGGTGTGATCTTGGCTCATTGCAACCTCTGCCTCCCGGGTTCAGGCGATTCTCCTGTCTCAGCCTCCCAAGTAGCTGCGACTACAAGGCACGCGCAACTATGCCTTGCTAATTTTTGTACTTTTTACTAGAAGCAGGGTTTCACCATATTGGACAGGCTGGTCTCGAACTCCTGACCTCGTGATCTGCCTGCCTTGGCCTCCCAAAGTGCTGGGATTACAGGTGTGAACCACCACGCCCAGCCTTTTTTTTTCTTGTTTGAAAAAGGGTTTCACTCCTATCATCCAGGCTGGAGTACGGTGGTGTGATCTCGGTTCACTGCAACCTCCGCCTCCCGGGCTCAAGTGATTCTCCTGCCTCAGCCTCACAAGTAGCTGGGACTAACAGGTGCATACCATCATACCCAGCAAATTTTTGTATTGTTTGTAGATATGGGGTTTTGCCACATTGTCCAGGCTGGTCTCAAACTCCTGGGCTCAAGTGATCTGCCTGCCTCGGCCTCCCAAAGTGTTGGCATTACAGGTGTGAGCCACTGTACCCGGCCTCCCAAGTATTTAAACTATACTAACCTTTGAAAATACCAATTGGGTCTACGGCCATACCACCCTGACGTGCCTGATCTTGTCTGAAAATACCAATTGTGGAGAAGAATCAAATGCTCTACTTCCTTTTTTTAAATCTGATCTAAGCTGAGTGAGTAGCTCATGCCTATAGTCCCAGCTATTCAGGAGGCTGAAGCAGAAATATCACCTGAGCCTAGGAATTCAAGACTAGCCTGGGCAACACAGTGAGACCCCATTTCAAAAGAAACCTGATCTATTTCTGTTTGGTGCTTTTGCCTCACTGGATAAGACCTGATTTTCTCTCTCTCTCTCACTCACACATACACATGCATGCCCCTGTCCAATCTGAGATAAGAATCTCGCTTCTGGCTAATTCCACTTCAGAGCCCCCGTGCTTCCCCAGTGATACAACGAGCAAGAAAAATGTCTCTTCTCCTTGGCTCGCTTGTTCTGAGAAGCAAGAGGCCACAGTCTGTTGGAGCCATCTCCCCTCGGATCACCTTCATAAATAAATACCAATGTATTGACATCTTTTGAGACTTCCCCAGATAAATGCAAGATAGGAAAGGGGGCTGAGGTGCACAGGGGCACCCGCAGAGGGGCGTCTGTGATGCTGAGGCTCCAAAATTGTGGCTGCCATAACACGTGAAGCGCCAGCGCAGACCTCAAGCACCTACCAGGTGAACAGGAGTCCCATCTGCCGTGTGGGCGGGAAGAATCGACTCTCGACAAAGCCCAGCTGGATGAAGTATGTCATCAGCAGTTCCACCCCGGCCTCATCCCGGCTAGGCGTCCGACAAGCCTGCAAGGAAAAGAACCCAAGAGGGCATGAGCAGAGGAGGACACAGCTGATGGCCCTTCCCAGAAGGTGCCCTGCACATACCAGCAGGTGCCTGTAACTATTTCTGCAGTATGATGACCTCGCTACTGGCATCGTAAACTCTGGGAGGGGTGGAAAGAACCTGGGAGGAAGTCAGAAATCCTGGAATCCAGTCCCAGCCCTGAGGCAGGGCTCTCCCCTTCTATGGTTTTCCTTCTTTTTTTTTTTTTTTTTTTGAGACAGAGTCTTGCTGTCACCCACCCAAGCTGGAGTGCAGTGGTGCGATCTTGGCTCACTGTAACTTCCACCTACCAGGTTCAAGTGATTCTCCTGCCTCAGCCTCCCGAGTAGCTGGGATTACAGGCGTGTAGCACCATGCCTGGCTTGTTTTTGTATTTTTAGTAGAAACAGGGTTTTGCCATGTTGGCCAGTCTGGTCTCAAACTTCTGACCTCAGGTGTTCCACCCGCTTCAGCCTCCCAAAGTGCTGGAATTACCAGCATGCACCACCACGCCCAGCTAATTTTTGTATTTTTAGTAGAGACAGGGTTTCACCATGTTGGCCAGGATGGTCTGGAACTCCTGACCTCAGGTGATCCGCCCACCTCCACACCCCAAAGTGCTGGGATTACACAGGCATGAACCACCGCGCCTGGCCTCCTTCTACAGTTTTCTTATGCAGCAAGTGGAATGGATGATTCCAGCACCCCCCAACCATCACCTCTATCCACCCGCGATTCTGTTAAGACCACAAGCGTGCAATAATGGGGTTCCCTGAAGACTCGGAAAAGCCACCCTCCCCTCTCTGCTGCACACAAAAACTTACTTGTCTCAGATCCATAAGATCTGCAATTTCATCTTCATATAAATAGCCATCTTCACTGTAATGTTCCAGGATAAAATCCTTAAAGAAAAATGAGGTCAGATGTTATAAAGTGTGGCTGAAAACCATATGTGTGCATAATAGTAATATGTCAATTGTGAACCCATTTTTAAAAAGGCAGAATAAAGAAAAACTTATAGTGATTTTCAAAGTGGGGGAATTTATTTTCTTAATTTATGTAGTTTTTTTTAATACGGAGTCTCTCTTTGTAGCCCAGGCTGGAGTGCAGTGGCACAATCTCGGCTCACTGCAACCTCTGCCTCCCGGGTTCACGCAATTCTCCTTCCTCAGCCTCTCAAGGAGCTGGGATTACAGGCGCCCACCACAATGTCTGGCTAATTGTTGTATTTTTGGTAGAGACAGAGTTTCACCATGTTGGTCAGGCTGGTCTCAAACTTCTGACCTCAGGTGATCCCCCCACCTCGCCCTCCCAAAGTGCTGGGATTACAGATGTCAGCCACCGTGCCCGGCCATAGTTTTTTTTTAAAAAAACAAAAACAAAAAACAAAAAACAGAGTTTCACTCCTGTTGCCCAGGCTAGAGTGCAATCTTGCGATCTCGGCTCACTGCAACCTCCACCTCCCAGGCTCAAGTGATTCTCGTGCCTCAGCCTCCCAAGTAGCTGGGATTACAGGCATGTGCCACCATGCGCAGCTAATTTTTGTATTTTTAGTAGAGATGGGGTTTCACCACATTGCCCAGGCTGGTCTCAAACTCCTGGGCTCAAGCAATCCATCTGCCTCAGCCTCCCAAAGTGCTGGGATTACAGGTGTGAGCCACTGCAACACACGCCTATGTTTTTAAATGTTGTGCTGCTTCAGTAAAAGTGAGAGTTGAAGTAAATTTTTTGCTTAAAAATGTCTTTGTGTCTGCGCATCGTGGCTCACGTCTGTAATCCCAGCACTTTGTGAAGACCAGGCAGGTAAATCACTTGAGCCCAGGAGTTCGAGACCAGTCTATGGCCTATACATTCAACTATACTGCAAACACTGCAGCTATTCAGGGGCTCAGACTTGCAATTCTGGGCCTCCCTCAGGACCCGGACAAGTTTCCCAGCACAGATCCTGAGGGTAGGACTGTCAATAACAGTCTCCAGATACAGGTTTCCTTTGCCAAGAAGACCCTTAACCATGTTATAAAGGCATTTTATTTTATTTTACTTTATTTTATTTTATTTTATTTTATCTTTGAGGCAGGGTCTCACTTTGTTGCCTCGGCTGGAGTGCAGTGGTGCGATCGCGGCTCACTGCAGCCTCAACTTCTCCAGGCTGAAGCAATCCTCCTACTTCAGCCTCCCAAGTAGCTGGGACCACAGGCACGTGCCACAAGCTAATTTCATTTTTGTGTTTTTTAATAGAGATGGGGTTTTGCCCTGTCGCCCCACCCCCGCCCCTACAAGTGCTGGCTCCCCCAAGCTGCAAGAAAGGTGATCACATAGATCGCTCAATTATGTCTTCCCAAGTGACTGTGAGTAACCTCTTTACACAACTTTTACATTAAAGCTCCTCCTGTTTTTGTGTGTTCAACATACAGACACACAAACAGACAAACACTTGTCTTACAAAAATGGATTTGTACTAAATACACAACTTTGCTGTGCCTTCTTTTTCTTTTTTTAAGAGATGAGGGTCTTGCTCTGTCGTCCAGGGTGGAGTGCAATGGTGCAATCATAGCTCACTGCAGCCTTGAACTCCCGGGCTCAAGTCATCCTCCCACTTCAGCCTCTCCAGGAGAGGGGACTATAGGTGTGCACCACCACACTCAGCTAATATTGTTATTTTTCATAAAGACAGAGTCTTCCTATGTTGCCTAGGCTGGTCTCGGACTCCTGGCCTCAGGTGATCCTCCCACCTCAGCTTCCCAAAGTGTTGGGATTACAGGCATGAGCCACTGCACCCAGCTGACTATGCCTCTTTTCTTTAAACTTGGCCATGGGCTGGGTATGGTGGCTCACACCTGTAATCCCAGTGCTTTGGGAGGCTGAGGTAGGTAGATCACTTGAGGTCAGGTGTTCCAGACCAGCCTGGCCAACATGGTGAAACCCCAACTCTATTAAAAATTTAAAAAATAAAAAAATAAAATAGCTGGGCATGGTGGTTAAAAGGGGTCAGGTGTAGTAACTCATGCCTGTGATCCCAGCACTTTGGGAGGCCAAGGTGGGAGAATCACTTGAGACCAGGAGTTTGAGACCAGCATGGACAACACAGTGAAACCCCATCTCTACAAATAATAAAAAATTAGCCAGGCGTGCTGAGGCAGGAGGAGGATCACTTGAGCCCAGGAGGTTGAGGCTGCAGTGAGCCATGATCACATCACTGCACTCCAATCTTATGAAAGTCAAAGAGGATTTTGATTAAATTTTATATGTGATCCTGAATTTGAAACTTAGTAAACTAGGGTAGATTAACGTACTTAGTGGGATAAAAAAATTATCTAACTGGCCAGGCACGGTGGCTCACACCTGTAATCTCAGCACTTTGGGAGGCCAAGGCAGGTGGATCACTTGAGGCCAAGAGTTCAAGACCAGCCTGGCCAGCGTGGTGAAACCCTGTCTCTACTAAAAATACAAAAATTAACCAGGCATGCTGGCAGGTGCCTGTAATCCCAGCTACTCAGGAGGCTGAGGCAGGAGAATAGCTTGAGCCCAGGAGGCAGAGGTTGCAGTGAGCTGAGATTGAGCCATTGCACTCCAGCTTGGATGACAGAGCGAGACTTCGCCTCAAAAAAAAAAAAATCCTAACTGAAACCCACTGTGAACATTAGGGACAAAATGAGAATTTCTACCATCACTGTTATTACTTAGCCTAATTCCAAACATTCTCTAGCCCACACATTAAGAAAAATAAGAGACATAAAATATTAGAAAGAAACAATCAAAATAATTTTTTGCAACGTAACAGCATGTTTATAAAACCCAATAGCATCAACTGAAACATTACTAAATTAATAAGAATTCAATAAAGTGGCAAAGAATTTAACACATGAAAGTCAATAGTAAAAAAGAAAAGTCAATATTCTTCCTTTCTTATACAAGCAATAACCAATTAGAAAAACTTAGCAGACAGCCAGGTGTGGTGGCTCACATCTGTAATCCCAGCAGTTTTCAAGGCTGAGGTGGGCGGATCAGTTGAGGTCAGGAGTTTGAGACCAGCCTGGCCAACAAGGTGAAACCCTGTCTCTACTAAAAATACAAAAAATTAGCTGGGTATAGTGGCAGGTGCCTGTAATCCCAGCTACCCAGGAGGCTGAGGTAGGAGAATCACTTGGACCTGGGGGGCAGAGGTTGCAGTGAGCCAAGATTGTACCACTGTACTCCAGCCTGGGCAACATAGTGAGACTCTGTTTCAAAAACAAACAAACAAACAAACAAAACCTAACAGAGAAATAATACCTTTCACAATAGCAACAAAAGTACATTTCTAGGGATAAAATTAATATAATTAAGCAGAAAACTGTTAAACTTTACTGAAGAACAGATGTTATTTCATTTTCTTTCATTGATTCGAAATTTTTTTTTTTTTTAAATGAGACAAGTTATCATTCTGTTTTCCAGGATGGAGTGCAGGGGCTCAATCATAGCTGACTGCAGCCTCGACCTCTTGGGCTCAAGCAATCCACCTCAACCTCCCAAGTAGCTGGGACTAAAGGTGTGAGCCACTGTGCCTGGCCCTATTTCTTTAAAATAAAACAAAATCGGCCAGCTGCTGTGGCTCACGCCTGTAATCCCAACACTTTGGGAAGCCAAGGAGGGTGGATCACTTGAGGTCAGGAGTTCGAGAACAGCCTGGACAACATGGTGAAACCCTGTCTCTACTAAAAATATAAAAATTAGCTGGGTGTGGTGGTGGGTGCCTGTAATCCTAGGTACTCAGGAGGCTGAAGCAGGAGAATCGCTTGAACCTGGGAGGCAGAGGTTGCAGTGAGCCAAGATTGCGCCACTGCACTCCAGCCTGGGCAACAGAGTGAGACTCCCTCTCTAAATAAATAGATACATAAAATAAAATAAAACAAAATCACACTGTGAAGCTTCACTGATTATAAAACATCACACGGACACACAAGTCAGATTTGAAATGGAACTGCCGTAATTCAGTCTGCTGAACCACTTCTGCAGTACCTGTGTTTCTATCAAATATGGAAGGGAAAAAATACAACAGAAAGTCCGTCAAACGTTCTCATTTTCATATGACTGACATTTGTAGAGTCTCTTTTAGGCTAAAATGACATGGTTGGAAGCCTGTGCCGAATGGCAGTTGGCCATGTCCACAACATGTGAATATTTTCATTTGCTTTAATGTGGAATTCAGAACATGACCCAGTTGAATCCTTAAAAATGCCTATAAAATTCCTAAGTTTCTCCAAGAGACTCTTCCTTTAAAATGCTTGCATTCTTGGCCGGATGCAGTGGCTCACACCTGTAATCCCAGCACTTTGGGAGGCTGAGGCGGGTGGATCATCTGAGGTCATGAGTTCAAGACCAGCCTGGCCAACATGGTGAAACCATGTCTCTACTAATAAAAATTAGCCAGGTGTGGTGGCACATGCCTGTAATCCCAGCTACTTGGGAGAATGAAGCAGGAGAACCGCTTGAACCCAGGAGGCAGAGGTTGCAGTGAGCTGAGATCGTGCCATTGGACTCCAGCCTGCGCAACAAGAGTGAAACTCCATCTCAAAAAAAAAAATGCTTACATTCTTGTAGCACAGCACCAAGCAACAGACAAATTAAATCGTAAAGAAACTTCTACAACAGCAGCAACAGACATTTCTAGACATGTGGATTGTTTTGAGTCCCACAGACCAGTGGCAAGTCACATCTATTTTTGCATTTATATATATACACATTACACATATATTTTAAATAAAAATAGAGATGCGGCTGGGTGTGGTGGCTCACATCTATAATCTCAGCACTTTTACTGGAGGTGGAAGCAGGAAGATCACTTGGGGCCAGGAGAGTTCAAGACCAGCCTGGGCATCATAGTGAGGAGACCCCATCTCTTAAAAAAAAAAAAAAAAAAAAAAGAGAGAGAGAGATGACTGGCCATGGTGGTTGACGCCTGTAATCCCAGCACTTTGGAAGGCCGAGGTGGGCGGATCACCTGAGGTCAGGAGTTCGAGATCAGCCTGGCCAACATGGTGAAACCCTGTCTCTACTAAAAATACAAAAATTAGCCTGGCACGGTGGCTCATGCCTCTAATCCCAGCACTTTGAGAGCCTGAGGCAGGTGTATCATGAGGTCAGGAGTTCAAGATCAGCCTGGCCAGGATGGTGAAACCCCGTCTCTACTAAAAATACAAAAATTAGCCGGGCGTGGTAGTGGGTGCCTGAAACCCCAGCTACTCAGGAGGCTGAGGCAGAGAATTGCTTGAACCCAGGAGGTGGAGGTTGCAGTGAGCCGAGATCACGCCACTGCACTCTAGCCTGGGCAACAGAGCGAGGCTTCATCTCAAAAATATATATATACACACACAAAAATTAGTTGGCCATAGTGGTGCATGCCTGTAGTCCCAGCTACTCAGGAGGCTGAGGAAGGAGAATCGCTTGAACCCAGAAGGTGGAGGTTGCAGTGAGCTGAGATCGCACCATTGCACTCCAGCCTGGGCAACAGAGTGAGACTGTGTCTCAAAAAAAAAAGAGAGAGAGAGAGAGAGACAAGGTCTCATTCTGTTGCCCAGGCTGGTCTCAAACTCCTGGCCTCAAGCTGTCCTCTTGCCTCAGCCTCCCAAAGTGCTAAGATTATAGGCATGAGCCATTGCATCTGGGCATAAGTCTCAGGTAAAAGTTCAGGCAGGCTGTGGCAGTGTGGCATAAAGCTGCAATTCCCGAATTGTTTTCATTGCTTTCTACCCAGAATACAAACTTTCCAGTAAACTTGAGTCCTGAAACATTCAGAATACCAACTTCCCTTCTCCAATTCCAAAATAAACCCCAAACTCACAGGATTTAAACAAGGCAGCAGTCAAAAAGGCCTCTATTTATGTCAAACAACTCACTGTCTCTGAGAATGAACGTCAAGTGCTTCCAAAGTATTAACCAATTGCTTTTAAAAGTAGTAGTTGGCCGGGAGCGGCGGCTCACACCTGTAATCCCAGCACTTTGGGAGGCCGAGGCGGGTGGATCGAGTTTGAGACCAGCCTGGCCAACATAGTGAAACCCCATCTCTACTAAAAATACAAATTAGCTAGGCATGATGGCGGGTGCCTGTAATCCCACCTACTCAGGAGGCTGAAGCAGGAGAATCACTTGAACCTGGGAGGCGGAGGTTGCAGTGAGCCGAGATGCCGTCATTGCCCTCCAGCCTGGGCAACAAGAGCGAAACTCCAGCTCAAAAAAAAAAAAAAAAGAAAGAAAGAAAGAAAAAAATAGTAATAGTCAAAATGTCATAAGATGTTTTCTTTTCTAAACTAAAAGTAGTCCAAGATGAGCCAATTAAGAGGATTATCATGGAAAGTAAAATAAGCCAGGCACAGTGGCTCATGCCTATAATCCCAGCACTTTGGGAGGCCAAGGCAGGAGGACTGCTTGAACCCAGGAGTTTGAGACCAGCCTGGGCAACAGTGGGAAACTCTGTCTTTACGAAAAATACAAAAATTAGCCAGGCATGGTGGCTCACGCCTGTAATCCCAGCACTTTGGAAGGCCAAGACAGGTGGATCACCTGTGGTCAGGAGTTCGAGACCCACCTGACCAACATGGAGAAACCCCGTCTCTGCTAAAAATACATAATTAGCCAGGCATGGTGGCACATGCCTGTAATCCCAGCTACTCGTAAGGCTGAGGCAGGAGAATCGCTTGAACCTGGGAGGTGAAGGTTGCGGTGAGCCGAGATCACGCCATTGCACTCTAGCCTGGGCAACGAGAGCTAAATTCCATCTCAATAAAAAAGAAAGAAAGAAAGAAAAATGCAACAATTAGCCAGGCACGGTGGCACACGCCTATAGTACCAGCTACTCAGGAGGCTGAAGTGGGAGGATCACCTGAGCCCAGGAGGCAGGGGTTGCAGTGAGCCGAGATCATGCCACTGCATGCCAGCCTGGGTGAAAAAGTGAGACTCTGTCTCAAAATAATAAAGAAAAAGAAAAAAAAAAAGAACGTAAAATATTTCTTCAAAGCAATTTTCATGATACTAGGATTAATTCCTATAACCAATGCCTGGGCTGCATGGCGCAAACTTGGGCCACCCTGCACCTCATCCCCTTTCCCCTCCTTGATGGAATTTGGAGGTGACTGGTTAAAAACTCAAACTGATGGAGTTGAAGAGGGAAGGAAGAGGAGGGTATTCCAGGCACAGGACGGTCTCCCAGCCCCAGCATCGGGGCATGGTCTCTCCTGTGTTCTCCACTGAAGCACCTCTTCCACTTCCCACTTGAAACCCCCACTGACCCAAAGGCCCCGCAGGCAGGGCTTGTGGCATCTCTGGCACCCAGCACAGTGCCAGGCACAGGTGGGCTTATGAGGATCTGCAAATGGGAGAGGAGTCCAGATACCCAGGAATGTGGCTGGGGGACACACAAGCAAAGACTCTGGTTATTCAAATATTTAAGGGGAGTGAATTGACATCTTTGATTTCCTTTGAAATTGCATTACAAATAAGACAGACTGATAATAGCCATTACTTTCGTTCTCTTTTTTTTTTTTTTTTGAGACACAGTTTCACTGCTGCCCAGGCTGGAGTGCAGTGGCACAATCTCAGCTCACTGCATCCTCTGCCTCCTGGGTTCAAGCGACTCTCTCGTGCCTCAGCCTCTCGAGTAACTAGGATTACAGGCATATGCCACTATGCCCAGCTAATTTTTTTTTTTTTTTTTGAAATGGGATCTCACTCTGTCGCCCAGGCTGGAGGGCAGTGGCGTGATCTCGGCTCCCTGCAACCTCCACCTCCACCTTCCAGGTTCGAACGACTCACCTGCCTCAGCCTCCCAAGTAACTGGGATTACAGGTGTGCACCACCACGTCCAGCTAATTTCTGTACATTTAGTAGAGACAGGGGTTTTACCATTTTAGCCAGGCTGGTCTTCAACTCCTGAGCTCAAGTGATCCGCCTGCTTCAGCCTCCCAAAGTGCTGGGATTACAGGCGTGAGCCACTGTGCCCGGCCTTTAGCCATTACTTTCAATGGAAAAACTGCAATTACCTTCAAACCAACCTAACAGACACAAGAATGCGCAGATGGACAAATATGTCAGGAAGCAATGCTGGCAGTATGTTCTTGGAAGAATTGAGTACACAGGAGTTTGCTATAAAATTCTTAAAATTTTTTGAAAAGTTTGGAAATTTTCATAATAAAATGTTAGAGAAAAAACTTTAGCTATTCTTCTAAAGACATAACCTAAACTGGTTATATGATTTAAGAAAAAAATACACTATTAATAAAAGAGGATATAAGTTTTAAATTTCAAAGCATGTCCACTACAGACCCTCTTTGACTTGGCCTCTTGGGAAAGGCCCTCCTGGGTTTCCAACCTGCCTTGTCCAAGACCCAGGAGGAGCTTCAGAAGCCATCAAAGGCAACAACAAAAATATGGCAGGAATAAACATATAAATTATGCATGTAGCTGGCTGAGAAGGGCCTCAGGGTCACTCTGTAGATATCAACTGACTCTGCCTGTTGAGCCTAAGGCCATTGCAAGGGATACATATTTTCTCTATCTCCATTTTTTTTCTTTTTTTTGGAGACAGGGTCTCATTCTGTTGCCCAGCCTGGAGTGCAGTTGTATGATCACAACTCACTGCAGCCTCCAGTTCCTGGGCTCAAGCGATCCTCTTGCCTCAGCCTCCCAAGTAACTGGGACTACAGGCATGCGCCACTGCAAATGGCCTATTTCCATTTTAAACACTGAGTCTGGTGCCCATGGCTTTGAGATTTACCTTGAGGACGACTGCAAAGTCGACGTCTTTCGTTTCCTTCAGGCCAAGAGGAATCAGGGGAATCGTAAATGCCTCCCTATGAGGAACACAACAAGGTATGTATGAACACCCCCAACCGGACCCCTGTGCACCCCACGGCCTTGCCCTCAGCAGCCCAAGCTCAGGTGTGTGCCCCCTCCTTACCCCATCCTGTACTCACCTGGCTGACAGGCTCATTTTCCATAAGGATGACTCTGGTCATGCCCCACCCTCTGCTCTAAAACTGACCCCGCTCCCTAAGACTGCTGGACCACCCCTCCTAACACATCAGGCCCCTGGCATCTTGACACTGATTTATCTTCCAGTTTCAATGCCTCAATGGTTCCTTTTTTATTTTATTATTATTTTTTTTAGAGACTCTTGTTCTGTCGCCCAGGCTGGAGTGCAATGGCGCAATCTCAGCTCACTGTAGCCTCTGCCTCTCGGGTTCAAGCAATTCTCCTGCCTCAGCCCCCCGAGTAACTGGGATTACAGGCACACGACACCACACCCAGCTAATTTTTGTATATTTTTTTAGTAGCAATGGGGTTTCGCCATGTTGACCACGTTGGCTAGGCTGGTCTTCTGACCTCAAGCGATCCGCCCACCTTGGCCTCCCAATGTGCTGGGATGACGGGCGTGAGCCTCTGAGCCCAGCTCAGTCTCAATGCTTCTTTCGGCAGCTGTGCTGAGAGTCTATTGTGTGCCAGGGTCTGTGCCTGGTGCACTTGCTGCTCCCACCTGGGTGCACCACCCTGCTGCCTCCTTTGTCAGCTCCTCACCCCCACCTCCTCTGCCCCCCTCAGCGGGCCCCACAGCTGTGGAAGCTCTCCAATACCCTCACATTTGCAACTCTGGGTTCATAGGGGCCTCTTCTTTGGGAAGTGTCTAGGCGTCCCACCACCGGCACAGGAGATGCCGTCAGGGCAGAAGCCCCATCTGACACCGAAATGCACCTGCCTCCCAGCCCAGGGTCAGACACCCTCCACCTCCTCTCCCCCAGCTGACCACTCCGTAACCACAGGTCGCCTGGGGAGTGCTCCCTGAGCCTACATTCCTAGGGGCAGGGCCAGAAGGAAGTGAATGAAGCTCAGGCTGTGTTTTGCAAACAAGGATTTAGCTCCCTGACCTGTAACAGGAGACCTCCTTGGGCTGCTCAGCCCAGCCCCACAAGAAGGCCAGGAAGGCTGGGCAGGGCGAGGGGACAATGCAGCTGTAAGCTGAACCTGGCTCTGCAGTGCAGCTGTGCTACAGCCAGGTGAGTCCCATCCGGGGGCATGGAAAGCCGGATCCTGCTGAAGGCTCCTCCAGGCTACTCAGGGCAGGAAGCCAGGTTTGCAGCTGTCCAGGCAATGAGAAGAGGAGGAGCGAGTGTCCTGAGTCCCAGCTCCAGGGTACCCCAGCCCCAATGTGGCAATGACAGCGCCCTCTAGGTGCCTTCTGGCCTCCCTGAGTTTTCCCATCTGCACCATGAGGTTATTTCTTTCCCACCTACCTCCTAGAAGACTGTAAAGATCAACCATGCTAAGAAAGAAACAGTCTACTTTGAAAACACAGTAGTGCAGGCCAGGTGCAGTGGCTCACGCCCATAATCCCATCACTTTAGGAGGCTGAAATGGGTAGATCACCTGAGGTCAGGAGTTCAAGACCAGCCTGGCCAACATGGTAAAACCCCGTCTCTACTAAAAATACAAAAACTACCTGGGCATGGTGATGTGTGCCTGTAATCCCAGCTACTCAGGAGGCTGAGGCAGGAGAATCACTTCAACCAGGAGGTGGAGGTAGCAGTGAGCCAAGATCACGCCACTGCACTCCAGGCCTGGGCAAAAGAGCGAGACTCCATCTCAGGAAAAAAAAAAAAAAAGAAAAAAAAAAGATCAACCATGCTAAGAAAGAAACAATCTACTTTGAAAACAGGGCCAGGCATGGTGGCTCACACCTGTAATCCCAGCTCTTTGGGAGGCCGAGGCAGGCGGATCACGAGGTCAGGAGATCGAGACCATCCTGGCTAACGGTGAAACCCCGTCTCTACTAAAAATACAAAAAATTAGCCAGGCAAGGTGGCGGGCGCCTTTAGTCCCAGCTACTCGGGAGGCTGAGGCAGGAGAATGGTGTGAACCCGGGAGGCAGAGCTTGCAGTGAGCCGAGATCGTGCCACTGCACTCCAGCCTGGGCGACACAGTGAGACTCCATCTCAAAAAAAAAAAAAAAGAAAAAAAAGAAAACAGAAGAGCGCAGGACCCAAATGCATGGTGCCGTGTTGAATCTGCACAGCTCTCCCTCTTCCCAATGACACAGGGCAGTGACTGGCCACTCTAGAGCCCAGGGACCAATCCAGAGACCTTCGGTTCACTCTGTGGGAAGCCCTGTGTTGCACGTCCCTGCTCTTCGGCATGGCAAATGCGAGTGTGGAACAGCCGACATTTATTCCCAAACCTTGGCCCCATCTCGCCTCCTCCAGAACCTGAACCTTTTGGACAAACACTGGAATTGAACACCAGAGCATAGGCTGGGAGAACCTTCCATTAGCTGTCGCACTGACTGGGCGTTCAAAACTGCACAGGAGGCCGGGTGTGGTGGCTCATGACTAATCCCAGCACTTTGGGAGGCTGAGGTGGGTGGATCACGAGGTCAGGAGTTCGAGACCAGCCTGGCCAACATGGTGAAACCCCGTCTCTACTAAAAATACAAAAAATTAGCTGGGCATGGTGGCATGCGCCTGTAGTCCCAGCTACTCAGGAGGCTGAGGCAGGAGGATTGCTTGAACCTGGGAGGCGGAGGTTGCGGTGAGCCGAGATCATGCCACTACACTCCAGCCTGGGTGACAGAGAGAGACTCCATCTCAAAAAAAGATAAAACAAACAAACAATAAAAACCGTACAGGAGCCCACAGGTAAGCCAGGCATGTGGTGTCACAAAGGGAAGAGCCAGCGAGGTTTCACACACTGACGCCTCCCCTCCAGCTCTGAAACCACCCCGGTGCCCTGCAGAGGACCAGCACCAGGAAACACACATTCCATAGGTGACTCAAGGTTCCCAAATCCCGGGAGCTATTTTCCGACTGAGTTTCCCCTGGGGCCCACCTACTTTTTGAGAAGTCTCATGCCCACACTGAAGAAGCACGTAAACCCTTCTCTGAACTGTCTCAAAGTTATTTCTCCTTAAAAAGAAGCATTTCGCTTAGGGTTCTGTTTTGTTTTTGTGTTTTTTGAGACAGGACTTTTTTCTGTTGCCATTACTACAGTCTCGACCTCCCTGGCTCAAGTGATCTTCCCACCTCAGCCTTCTGAGTAGCTGAGACTACAGGTGTGCACCACCATGCCCGGCTAATTTTCCTATTTTTTGTAGAGATGGGGTTTCACTATGTTGCCCAGGCTGGCCTTGAACTCCTGGGCTCAAGCGATCCCCCACCTCAGCCTCCTGAAGAGCCGGGATTACAGGCATAAGGCAAGAGGGGCATTTCTTTCATAGTTAGATCTCCATTTTTGGAGATGTATTGCAATTCTGAGGGATGGTGTTGTTGGCTTTCACGTTGAAGAAATCGATTCCAAAATTGAGTTATGGAGAATGATACAATAGAGTGCCTTCAAAATTGACCTAGGGGCCAGGCACAGTGGCTCACATCTGTAATCCCAGCACTTTGGGAGGCCAAGGCGGGCAGATTACTTGAGACCAGGAGTTCAAGACCAACCTGGGCAACATGATGAAACCCTGTCTCTACTTAAAAAAAAAAAAAAAAAACAATTAGCCAAGTGTGATGGTGCGTGCCTGTAATCCCAGCTACTCAGGTGGCTGAGGCACAAGAATCGCTTGAACCCAGGAGGTGGAGATTGCAGTGAGCTGAGATCGCTCCACTGCACTCCAACCTGGGTAAGAGAGGGAGACTCTGTGTCAAAAAAAAAAAAGGAAATACAACCTTAAAAGGAGACTGGTGTGTTACTTTAATTTGGATTTTTCTGTTTCAGTTTGTCCCTCCAGCTAGGAAACAGACTGCAGTCCAACGTAAGTACAGTGCACAGAATCTCTGTGTGTGCATAGTGGCCTCCCCTTACAGGGTCAATTTTGGCCTTTGGCCTTAATCCCAAAGTATTTGTGTATGCTTTTTGTTCCTTGGCAAATAAATGAGGAAATAATTAGCCAACATTGGAAAGGTATTGTCCTAACAATGTCCCTTTAATATTTCTTAGGAAAGTTATGGTGACCCACTAAAATATCCTTGCTTAATGTCTGTTCAGTTGAATTTAATAACATATCTTGCTAATGTTTGCGTGTCTATGAAATGTGACTACGCGGAATTACTGAAAATTAACTATAAAATCCAAGGCATCTAACTTTTAAACTTATCTTGGCTCATCACGTATATTTACACTAGATTTTATACTGTGTTCATTTGTTTTTTTTTTTTTTTGTCTGTTTGTTTTGAGACAGAGTCTTGCTCTGTCAGCCGGGCTGGAGTACAGTAGTGTGATCTCGGCTCACTGAAACGTCCAACTCCCGGGTTCAAGCAATTCTGCCTCAGCCTCTGAGAAGCCAGGATTACAAGTGTGCACCACCACGCCTGGCTATTTTTTTTTTTATTTTTAGCAGAGACGGGGTTTCACCATGTTGGCCAGACTGACCTCAGGTGATCCACCCGCCTCAGCCTCCCAAAGTGTTGGGATTACGGGAGTGAGCCACCGTGCCCGGCCTCACAAATGCCTTTTTGTCCAACACTGCAGGTATTTCCCAACAAATGGGCTCATCCCTTCCAGTCTAGCACCTCACTCAACCCCAAACCTGATGGTTCTCTCACTTCCGAAAGTGGGGGCTGCCACACCCCAGTCTAGAACGCTATCTGACCTCTTTGTGCAGCACCCTGGATGTACGAAGGATCTCTGGCTCAGAGGCTTTTGGAAGGTGTGCTGCTCCCACTTACTCTGTGTTCTGATAGACGCCCACCGAGATGTTCAGCCCCTCCAGCTCTTCCTTGAGCATCTGCAGGTCTGAGTTGACGAAGCTCAGCTCCAGCCGCACTTGCTCCCGCACCTTTGAGTTTGTGGCCACTCTGTTCAAAGAGAAGAGGGAGAGAAGTGCCCTCAGCCAGGTATCCTGGCTTCTAGGTGAGCAGACCCAATCCCCAGTCCCTGCAGGGAGGATCAGGGCACAGCTTGCAGAGGAGGGCCAGGAGTGTCGGTTAAGGTATCCCAGGGACACAGGGCACCTACCCAGCTTGCAGCACACCTGCCAGTACGTGGAGCTGGGGACACAGGCAATGACACTGTGAGCTGCAGACATGAACTCTATGACATCCTGCAAACACTCAGTCTTGAGAAGAGAAAACAAAACTGCTCCCAGCCATGCCCTAAAATACCATAAGATACCCACTTGAAAAGAAATGAATGATTCCAGCCGGGCATGGTGGCTTACGTCTGTAATCCCAGCACTCTGGGAGGCCGAGGCAGGTGGATCAGCTGAGGTCAGGAGTTCGAGACCAGCCTGGCCAACATATAGTGAAACTCTGTCTCTACTAAAAAATACAAAAACTAGCTGGGTGTGGTGGTGCATGCCTGTAGTCCCAGCTATGCAGAAGGCTGAGGCTTGAACCTGGGAGATAGGGGTTGCAGTGAGCTGAGATTATGCCACTGCACTCCAGCCTGGACAACAGAGCAAGGCTCCCTCTCAAAAAAAAAAAAAAAAAAAAAAAGAAATGAATGATTCCTTTCGGTGGGAGAAATCACAGTACATAAATAAATAAACATAAAATTTGTTTTAAAAAAAGAAAGAAATGGATGATTATAGCTGGGCATGGTGGTGCATGCCTATAGTCCCAGGCAGGAGGATTGCTTGAGTCCAGGAGGTTGATACTGCAGTGAGCTATGATCACACCACCGCAATCCAGCCTGGGTGACAGAGCAAGACACTGTCTCTAAAAGCTAAAATAAGATAAAATGAAATAAAATATAAAAATATATAAGATAGAAAGTAAAATAAAATAAATGAATGAGAAAATGAAGGGAGAGGTAATGCTTCCCAATTCATTCTGTAAGACTAGTATTAGCAATCCAAGCCTAGCAACATATAAATAGGATTGTACACCATAACTAAGTGGGATTTATCCCAGGAATGCAAGGTTGGTTTAACATCTGAACATCAATATAATATAATATATTAACAGAATAAAGGACAAAAAAACACATGGTGACTTCAACAGATATTGAAAACACTGTGACAAAATCCATCACAGATTCATAATAAAAATTCTCAACAAAGTAGGAATAAAAGAGAATTTATGAAATCTGATAAAAGACACCTACAAAAACCCACAGTTAACATCACACTTAGTGGTGAATGACTGCTTTCCTCTTCTCACCAGGAACAAGGCAAAGATGCCCACTTTTGCTATTTCTAATCAATGAGGCAAATAAAGAAATTAAAGGCATCCAGATTAGAAAGGAAGAAATAAAACTGTCTTTATTTACAGATGGCACTATCTTATATATAGAAAATCCTAAGGCATCCATAAAACAAATATTAGTACTAATAAATTTAGCAAGGTCACAGGGCATAATCAATATACAAAAATCAATTCTTTTTTTTTTTTTTTCTCTAGACAGGGTATCAGTCTGTCACCTAGGCTGGAGTGCAATGTCACCATTATGGCTTACTACAGCCTCAACCTCCCAGGCTGAAGCCATCCTCCAGCCTCAGCCTCCCAAGGAGCTGGGACTACAAGTGCACACCACCACGCTGGCTAATTTTTGTGTTTCTTTGTAGAGATGGAGTCTCACTATGTTGCCCAGGCTGGCCCAGAAATCCTGGGCTCAAGCAATCTTCCTGCCTCAGCCTCCGAAAGTGCTGAGATTACAGGCATGAGCCACTGTGCCTGGCCAATTCTATTTCTATATACTAGCAATGAACAATCTTAAAATTGAGAAAACCATTCCATTCACAATAGCATCAAAAAGAATAAAATACTCAGGAATAAACAAAAGAATCACAAGACATGTAAACTGAAAACTACAAAACAATGCTGAGATATATTAAAAGAAGAGCTATTCTATGTTTATGGATGGGAAGGCTCATTATTGTCAAGATATCAAGCCTCCTTAGTTGGTACATTCATTCAATGCAACCTCAATCAAAATCCCACTAACCTTTTTAATAGAAATCGGCAAGCTGATCCTAAAATTCATATGGAAATGCAAAAAAAACCTACAATAGGCAAAATAATTTTGAAAAATAAGAACAGAGTTGGAAGACAATTGATTTTAAAATTTACTAAAAAGCTGGGCTGGGCATGGTGGCTCACGTCTGTAATCCTAGCATTTTGGGAGGTTGAGGTGGGTAGATCACCTGAGGTCAGGAGTTCAAGACCAGCCTGGTCAACACGGTGAAACCCCATCTCTACTAAAAATACAAAAAATTAGCTGGGAGTGGTGGCGGACACCTATAATCCCAGCTACTCGGGAGCCTGATGCAGGAGAATCACTTGAACCCGGAAGGCAGAGGTTGCAGTGAGCCAAGATCGCGCCACCGCACTCCAGCCTGGGCAACAAGAGCAAAACTCCATCCCCAAAAAAAAAATTAAAAATAAACTTACTAAGAAGCCATAGTCATCAAGATAGCATGGTACTGACATAAAGATAGGCAATGAATCAGAATAAAAGTCCAGGAATAGGCCGGGTGTGGTAGCTCACGCCTGTAATCCCAGCACTTTGGGAGGCCGAGACGGACGGATCACGAGGTCAGGAGATCGAGACCATCCTGGCTGACATAGTGAAACCCTGTCTCTACTAAAAATGCAAAAAATTAGCTGGGCATGGTGGTGGGCACCTGTAGTCCCAGCTACTCGGGGGGCTGAGGCAGGAGAATGGCGTGAACCCAGGAGGCGGAGCTTGCAGTGAGCTGAGATAGCACCACTGCACTCCAGCCTGGGCGACAGAGCGAGACTCTATCTCAGAAAAAAAAAAAAAAAAAAGAAGAAGAGTCCAGGAATAAATGTTTACATTTATGTAGTAAATCTTTACAATTGATTTTGAACAAAAGTGCCAAATCAATTCAATGTGGAAAAGATTATTGTTTCAACAAATAGCGCTAAAGCAGGTTGACATCCATAGGTACGTCAGGGTCCCTAAAACCACCCCCAAGTTCAGTGTTAATCTAGGAGGACTTGCAAAAGCCATGGCTATGGTTTACGACAGCAAAAGACACAAAGCATAATGAGCAAAGGGAAAGGCACATGGGGTGAAATTGGGAGGAGGCCCGGCCCAGGCTTCTAGGGGTCCTCTCCCAGTGGAATCCCACAGACCGTGCTTAACTCCCCCAGCAAAGAGTTGTGACAACACACGTAAAATGCCATCTACCAGGGAAGCTCAGAGACTCCGTGTCCAGGGTTTTTACTGGGGGCTGATAGCATAGGCACCTCTGCCTAGCATGCTCCAAAATTCTGGATTCCCAGAAGGAAGGCAAGTGGTTCCACATAAACCACACCATTTGTACAAACAGTTCAGGCACAGTGAGTCAATCTTATCAGTCTGGGAATGGTGAGAACACTCGTAAAATCGAAGTCTCTGCCCTCACCACGTGTGACAACACTCTTCCTCTTGTGGCCCTGGAAGTCCACACACACGCACATTTGGACTGCCCCAGAAAATAAGATACTGGAGGCTCAGCTTGATGAATTTCATCAATTTAGAGATGTTTGTGTGTGTATGGCTATGGCACCAGTAAGAAATACATTTTAAGCCAGGTGCAGTGGCTCACATCTGTAATCCCAGCACTTTGGGAGGCCGAGGCACGCGGATCACTTGAGGCCAAGAATTCGAGATCAGTCTGGGCCACATGGTAAAACCCCGTCTCTATTAAAAAGACAAAAATTAGCCAGGCATAGTGGCACACGCCTGTAGTCCCAGCTACTCAGGAGGCTGAGGTATGAGAATCGCTTGAACCCGGGAGGTGGAGGTTGCAGTGAGCTGAGAGCGCACCACTGCACACCAGCCTGGGTGACAGAGCAAGACTCCATCACAAAAAAAAGAAAAAAGAAATACATTTTATTTTACAACTCAGTACATGCATGCACACACACAGACACATGCCCCTGCAACAAAAGTCTCACAGAAGTCATAGGCGTGATCCACTCCAGCATAGTCTAGTCTACTCTAATAACTTCTTTTTAAAACACAATTATGTTTGCAACCCTCCAATTCTCTGATTATCTGACACCAACTGGGTATCCAACAATTCAATTCGATTCTGACCCCAGCTCCCGGCGTAAGCACATACCCCACAGAGTAGGGGCTCGGTCCCACAAGGCTGCCCCCATTTTAGGGACCAGTCACACATCCTGGGAGAGAGGGGGATACTTGTGCTTCTGACTGATGAGCTGTCAATCAAAGGTTCCCACTGCCACCTCCTCAGGTTTGGTAATTCACCAGAAAGACTCCCAGAACATAGGAAAGCACCTGATGGACCAGTACTGGTTTATGTTATTCAATTCAGGAACAGCCAATTGGAAGAGGTGTACACGGCAAGTTATGGTGGGAGAGGGGCAGGGCTTCCATGCTCACTCCAGACACCTCAATGTGTTCACCAACCCAGAAGCTCCCTGAACCTCATCGTTCAGAATTTTATTCTATTCTATTCTTTCTATTCTATTCTATTCTATTCTATTCTATTCTATTCTATTCTACTCTATTCTATTCTATTATTTTTGGGAGAGGGTCTTGTTTTGTCACCCAGGCTGGAGTGCAGTGGCACATCATGGCTTACTGCAGCCTTGCCCTCCAGGGCTCAAATGATCCTCCCACCTCAGACTCCCAAGTAGCTGGGACTACAGGCATGCACCACCACACCCGGCTAATTTTTGTATTTTTTCACCATGTTGCCCAGTCCAGTCTCCAACTCCTGGGCTCAAGCAATCCGCCTGCCTCAGGCTTCCAAAGTGCTGGGATTACAGGCGTGAGCCACGACGCCCAGCCTTATTTTATTTTTTTGTATAGATGGTGTCTTGCTATATTCCCGAGGCTGGTCTCCAACTCCTGGGCTCCTGGGCTTGAGTGATCCTCCCTCACCCTCCTGAGTAGCTGGAACTACAGATATGCACCATTGCGCCTGGCTAACGTAGGTTTTTTGTGGGTGTGTGTGAGATGGAGTCGCCCAGGCTGGAGTGCAGTGGCGTGATCTTGGCTCACTGCATGCTCTGCCTCACGGGTTCCAGTGATTCTCCTGCCTCAGCCTCCCGAGTAGCTGGGACAGTGATTCTCCTGCCTCAGCCTCCTGAGTAGCTGGGACTACAGGCGCCCGCCACCACGCCCGGCTAATTTATTGGATTTTTAGTAGAGAGGGGTTTCACCATGTTAGCCAGGATGGTCTTGATCTCCTGACCTCGTGATCCACCTGTCTCAGCCTCCCAAAGTGCTGGGATTACAGGCGTGAGCCACCGGGCCGGTCTTTTTTTTTTTTTTTTTTTTTTGAGGCAGAGTCTCACTCTTTCCCCCGGGCTGGAATGCAGTGGTGCGATCTCAGCTCACTGCAACCTCCACCTCCCAGGTTCAAGCAATTCTCCTGCCTCAGGCTCCCGAGTAGCTGGGATTACAGGAGCCTGTCACCATACCCAGCTAATTTTTGTATTTTTAGTAGAGACGGGGTTTCACCATGTTGGCCTGGTCTCCACCTCCTGACCTCAGGTGATCCACCCACCTCGGCCTCCCGAAGTGCTGGGATTATAGGCGTGAGCCACCGTGACCAGCCTAATGCAGGGTTTATGGAGGCTTCATTACGTATAGATGATTAAATCATTGGCCACTGGTGACTGAGCTCGATCTCCAGCCTCTCTCCCTTCTCCAGAGGTGGTGTAGGGAGGAGCTGAAATTTCCAGCCCTCTCACCATGGCTTGTGCTTTCTGGGGATCAGCATCCATTCTAAAGCCTCCCACCAAGAGTGATCTCATTAGCATACAAAAGATACTTTTATCACTCAGGAGCTCTGTGCCAGGAACACAGGAACAGGACAAAGACCAAATATTTATCTTTTATTATGCCACAGCAAAGCACTGAATTGATGTCATTACACACCACAGGTCACAATCTGCAGCTTGTAAAACCTGTGCTACAAAGAGCTTATTGAGAAAACGACTGATCCTGTAGCTGATAATGTTCACAAGGATTGGGGTGGGGGCGGAATCCTCCCATCCCTCAGTATCAGGAATGGGTTCATTTCTTCTTACAAATGGGATTCCTTTTGTCTAGTGAATATAAAATGTGTTCCAAATATATTCCCTTCCTCCTATTGCCTGCCAGGAAGCTCAGAGACAAACCATGGCTCACATTTCACAAAGTATAGAGGACTTTGTGGCATGCACTAGCCTTACCTCCAGCTAAATCTCTCCTTTATTCTTCTTTCTCTTGCCTTCATATCTTCATTCACTCCTGATTTAATCTTACATGTTGTATGAATATGTTAAGGTACTTCAAATCTACTTTAAAATGAGGGAAGATAAATAATTATAATTCAATTATAATTCCTAGAGGACAAGCCTTCTTTCTCTTGGTATTTTTTTCCTAGAATCTGGCATAGCCCTTTCCACATCATGGGGGCGCTGAACAAATTTTAGTTCATGGAAGAACAAATGACAGAGTGAAGACTACTCCCTCTAGGCAGTGAGGGAGCTGATTGGTGCTTAGTACCACAGTAGGTTCGACTTAAATATAAAAACTAAGGCTGGGCACAGAGGTTCACACCTGTAATCCCAGCACTCTGGGAGGCCAAGGTGGACAGGTCAACTGAGGTCAGGAATTCAAGATCAGCCCGGCCAACATGGTGAAACCCCATCTCTACTAAAAATACAAAAATTATCTGGGCATGGGGGCACACGCCTGTACTCTCAGCTACTCGGGAGGCTGAGGCAGGAGAATCACTTGAACCTGGGAAGCGAAGATTGCAGTGAGCAGTGATCACGCCACTGCACTCCAGCCTGGCGACAGAGCGAGTCTCCATCTCAAAAAAAATAAAAATTAAAATAGGCCGGGCACAGTGGCTCACACGTATAATACTAGCACTTTGGGAGGCCGAGGTGGGCAAATCACCTGAGGTCAGGAGTTGGAGACCAGCCTGACCAACGTGGAGAAATCTCGTCTCTACTGAAAATACAAAATTAGCCGGGCATGGTGGCAGGCACTTGTAATCCCACTACTTGGAAGGCTGAGGCAGGAGACTCGCTTGAACCCGGGAGGCACAGGTTGCGGTGAGCCGAGATCGCGCCATTGCACTCCAGCCTGGGCAACAAGAGCGAAACTCCGTCTCAAAAAAGAAAAAATAAAATAAAATAAAAATAAATAAAAACTGAGACCCTAAGAACCCCACCAAAATCCCTAGAGAGCTTCCACGTAATGCCAACTCTTTATTTTTCCACCTTTATATATAAATTTGCCATGTCTCCCCCCTCCCATCTTGGCAAAACATTTTTTTTTTTAATAGAGTCAGGGGTCTAAACATATTGCCCAGGCTGGTCTCAAACTGCTAAGACAAAGCAATCCTCTTGCCTCATCCTCCCAAAGTGCTAGGATTATAGGTGTGAGCCATCGCGCCCGGCCTGGCAACAATTTTTGATTTAAGATTTGCCACAAGGCCAGGCGCGGTGGCTCACGCCTGTAACCCCAGCACTTTGGGAGGCCAAGGTGGGCGGATCACGAGGTCTGGAGTTTGAGACCAGACTGGCCAACACAGTGAAACCCCGTCTCTACTAAAAATACAAAAGTTGGCCGGGCGCGGTGGCTCATGCCTATAATCCCAGCACTTTGGGAGGCCGAGGTGGGCAGATCACGAGGTCAGGAGATCAAGACCATCCTGGCTAACACAGTGAAACCCTGTCTCTACTAAAAATACAAAAAAATTAGCTGTGTGTGGTGGTGGGCGCCTATAGTCCCAACTACTCGGGAGGCTGAGGCAGAAGAATGGCGTGAACCTGGGAGGCAGAGCTTACAGTGAACAGAGATCCTGCTACTGCACTCCAGGCTGGGTGACAGAGCGAGACTCCGTCTCAAAAAAAAAAAAAAAAAATACAAAAGTTAGCTGGGCATGGTGGCACACCCCTGTAGTCCCAGCTACTCAGGAGGCTGAGGCAGGAGAATCGCTTGAACCTGGGAGGCGGAGGCTGTGGTGAGCCAAGATCATCACACCACTGCACTCCAGCTTGGGCAATAGAGCAAGACTCCATCTCAAAAAAAAAAAAAAAAAAAAAGATTTACAAGAAAGCCAGGTGAAGTGGGTCATTCCTATGATCCTAGTGCTTTGAGAGGCTGAGGCAGGAGGACTGCTTGAGGCTAGGAGTTCAAGACCAGCCGAAGCAACATAGTGAGACCCTGTCTCTAAAACAAATATGTTTTTTATTTTAGTTTTTATTTTTGAGATGGAGTATTTTTGAGATGGAGTCTTGCTCTGTCACCCACGCTGGAGTGCAGTGGTACGATCTTGGCTCACTGCAACCTCCACCTTCAGGTTCAAGTGATTCTCCTGCCTCAGCCTCCCAAGTAGCTGGAGTTACAGTGTGTGCCACCACACCCAGCTAATTTTTTGTATTTTTACTAGAGATGGGGTTTCACCCTGTAGGCCAGGCTAGTCTTGAACTCCTGACCTCAAGTGATCCACCTGCCTCTGCCTCCCAAAGTGCTGGGATTACAGGCGTGAGCCACCACACCCAGCCAATTTTTGTATTTTTAGTAAAGACAAGGTGTCACCATGTTGCCCAGGCTGGTTTTAAACTCCTGGCCTCAAGTGATTCTTGAGGATCAGCCTCCCAAAGTGCTGGGATTACAGGCTTGAGCCACCACACCTGGCCTAAAAATTTTTTTTAAATACATTTCCAACAAATCAATGAGCTGCCCTTAAGATGTAGACCTCTTTAGGTTGGTCACTTTGAAACTGTTGGCAGCCAGGTGGGGTCTCAGGGTTGGTTTCTGTAATGCTGACCTTTGGTGCAACCATGATTCAGAAATCAACCCTGGCGTCTGAGCTTCGTTGCTAGCACAGGTGTAGGTCAGAGGCGTTCGAAGGACAGCGACTCCATTTTGAGTGAGGGCTGGAAAAAGAGGCTGAGACTTGCTGGGCTGCATTCTCAGAAAATTAGCCATTCCTAGCCTCTAAATGTTTACAGTAAAGGGAACAAATTAATAATGTTTTCTAAAACAGACCCAGACCTGGGAGTGTCCAGATATCCCGATATCTGGAGAACAAAGGCATTCCTCAATTTTGCTTTAAAGATAATAATATCGGGCCGGGCGCCATGGCTCACGCCTATAATCCCAGCACTTTGGGAGGCCGAGGTGGGCAGACCACCAGGTCAGGAGATATAGACCATCCTGGCTAACACGGTGAAAACCTATCTCTACTAAAAATACAAAAAAATTAGCTGTGTGTGGTGGTGGGCACCTGTAGTCCCAGCTACTCGGCAAGCTGAGGCAGGAGAATGGCATGAACCCGGGAGGCAGAGCTTGCAGTGAGCAGAGATCAGGCCACTGCACTCCAGCCTGGGTGAAAGAGCCAGACTCCATCTCAAAAAAAAAAAAATTAAAAAAAAAGATAATAATATCGATTCCTGCAAAATATAGTAAGAAAGAAAATTAATTTTTTTTTTTTTTTTTGGTGACGGGAGTCTTGCTGTGTTGCCCAGGCTGGAGTGCAGTGGCACAATCTTGGGAGGCTGAGGCAGGAGGATTACTTGAGGCCAGGAGTTCAACACCAGCCTGGGCAATATAGGGAGACCCCCATCTCTACAGAAAATTTGAAAATGAAAATTAGCTGGGAATGGTGGTATACGTGTATAGTCCCAGCTGCTTAGGAGGCTAAGGCAGGAGGATCACTTGAGCCCAGGAGTTTGGGTCTGCAGTGGGCTAGTGAGAGGTGACAGCGTGCTGGCAGTCCTCACAGCCCTCGCTTGCTCTTGATGCCTCCTCTGCCTGGGCTCCCACTTTGGCGACACTTGAGGAGCCCTTCAGCCCGCCGCTGCACTGTGGGAGCCCCTTTCTGGGCTGGCCAAGGCCCGAGCCGGCTCCCTCAGCTTCTGGGGAAGTGTGGAGGGAGAGGCGCGGGCGGGAACCAGGGCTGCCCGCGGTGCTTGCGGGCTAGCGCGAGTTCCAGGTGGGCGTGGGCTGGACGGGCCCCGCACTAGGAGCCGACGTCCGGCCCGCTGGCCCCGGGCAGTGAGGGGCTTAGCACCTGGGCCAGCAGCTGCTGTGCTCAATTTCTCGCCTGGCCTTAGCTGCCTTCCCGTGGGGCAGGGCTCAGCACCTGTAGCCCGCCATGCCTGAGCCCCCCCGCCACCCTCTGTGGGCTCCTGTGTAGCCCGAGCCTCCCCGACGAGCGCCGCCCCCTGCTCCACGGCACCCAGTCCTATCGACCGACCACCCAAGGGCTGACGAGTGCGGGCGCAGGGCGCCGGACTGGCAGGCAGCTCCACCTGCGGCCCTGGTGTGGGATCCACTGGGTGAAGCCAGCTGGGCTCCTGAGTCTGGTGGGGACGTGGAGAACCTTTATGTCTAGCTAAGGGATTGTAAATACACCGATCGGCACTCTGTATCTAGCTCAAGGTTTGTAAACACACCAATCAGCACCCTGTGTCTAGCTCAGGGTTTGTGAATGCACCAATCAACACTGTATCTAGCTACTCTGGTGGTGACTTGGAGAACCTTTGTGTTGACAATCTGTATCTAGCTCATCTGGTGGGGACATGGAGAACCTTTGTGTCTAGCTCAGGGACTGTAAATGCACCAATCAGCACCCTGTCAAAACAGACCACTGGGCTCTACCAATCAGCAGGATGTGGGTGGGGCCAGTTAAGAGAATAAAAGCAGGCTGCCTGAGCCAGCAGTAGCAACCTGCTCTGGTCCCTTTCCACACTGTGGAAGCTTTGTTCTTTCACTCTTTGCAATAAATCTTGCTGCTGCTCACTCTTTGGGTCCACACTGCCTTTATGAGCTGTAACACTCACTGCGAAGGTCTGCAGCTTCACTCCTGAAGCCAGCGAGACCACAAACCCACCGGGAGGAAGGAACAACTCCAGACGAACAACTCCAGACGTGCCGCCTTAAGAGCTGTAACACTCACCGCAGAGGTCTGCAGCTTCGCTCCTGAGCCAGCGAGACCACAAACCCACCAGAAGGAAGAAACTCCAAACACATCCGAACATCAGAGGGAACAAACTCCAGACACGCTGCATTTAAGCACTGTAACACCGCGAGGGTCCGTCGCTTCATTCTTGAAGTCAGTGAGACCAAGAACCCACCAATTCCGGACACACTAGGATTGCACTGCTACACTCAGTGTGGGCAACAGAGTGAGACCTCCTCTCAAAAAATAAATAAATAGGCATGGTGGCTCACAGCTGTCATCGCAGCACTCTGGGAGGCCTAGGCACGAGGATTGCTTGAGCCCTGGAGTTTGAGACCAGCCTGAGCATCATAGGGAGACCCAGTCTCTACAAAAAAATTTTTAAAATTAGCCGAATGCCAGTCAGGTGTGGTGGCTCATGTCTGTAATCCCAGCACTTTTGGAGGCCGAGTGGGCGGATCACTTGAGGTCAGGAGTTTGAGAACAGCCTGGACAACATGGTGAACCCCCTCTCTATTAAAAATACAAAAATTAGCTGGGCATGGGGGTGCGTGCCTGTAATCTCAGCTACTAGGGAGGCTGAGGCAGGAGAATCGCTTGAACCCAGGAGGCAACAGAGCGAGACTCCATCTCAAAAAAAAAAAAAAATTAGCCTACTATGGTGGTACACACCTGTGGAGGCTGAGGCGGGAGGACAGCTTGAGCCCAGAAGGTTGAGGCTGCAGTGAGCTGTGATCATACCACTGAACTCCAGGTTGGGCAACACAGCAAGACCCAGCCTCAAAATGAATAAATATAAAAATTTTATTTATTTATTATTTATGTATTTATTTATTTTGAGACGGAGTCTCGCTCTGTCACCCAGGCTGGAGTGCAATGGCATGATTGCAGCTCATTACAACCTCCGTCCCCCTGGTTCAAGCAATTCTCCTGCCTCAGCCTCCCAAGTAGCTGGGATTACAGGCGCACACCACCACACCCAGCTAATTTTCTTTTCTTTTTGTTAAGAGACAGGGTCTCACTCTGTCACCCAGGCTGGAGTGCAATGGCGCGATCTCGGCTCACTGCAACCTCGAACTCCTGGGCTCAGGGGATTCTCCAGCCTCAGCCTCCCGAGTAGCTGGGATTACAGATGTGTGCCACCACGCGTGGCTAATTTTTGTATTTTTAGTAGAGACAAGGTTTAACCATGTTGGCCAGGCTGGCCTCAAACTCCTGACCTCAAATGATTTGCCCGCTTCAGCCTCCCAAAGTGCTGTGATTACAGACTTGAGCCACCACGCCTGGTCTAAAAAGTTTTTTTTTTAAAGTAATACATGTGTATGTTGCATTCTGTCCCCATTTGTTTTAGTGTAATTATTTTTCTCCCAAGTCTTTTAATAAAACTATCCTTCCAGGAATAAGCACCACATTGACATAGTGACTTGCCGCAGCTTCAGCGACCTTATTAGAGCAGCTTAGCCTTAGTCCATCTGATCCCAAATCCCGCTCTGCCAGGGTTTCAGGAGGCTGGAGCGAGGACTGTCCCATCCCCTGCTGAGGTGGCTGATCAGCCAGACCGGCAGGACATCTGCTCCCAGCCTGTCTCTCAATGGAGGAAGGTGGGCCTTGATGTTGATGTCAGCCCCAAAGGCTATGGAGGGCCTGCAAACCCCACCACAGACACACACCAGCCCTCCCACAACTGACGGTGTGAGCTGTCATCAACCTCAAGTCACTCTCATGACAGCCAAGGCCACCTCACGTCACTCCTGACCCAGAATTTCATCACCCCCGTCCAGAGGTCACAAACTAAACTGAAGGCCCGAGGGACTTGTTCACCTGGCTCTCAGGATGTTACTATCCCCCCTCTGAAACGAGTCCCCAAAACTTAAAAATTCAACAATCGGCCAGGCACAGTGGGTCATGCCTGTAATCCCAGCACTTTGGGAGGCTGAGGCAGACAGATCACTTGAGGTCAGGAGTTTGAGATCAGCTTGGCCAACATGGCAAAACCTCGTCTCTACTAAAAATACAAAAATTAGCCGGGTATGATGGCGCATGCTTGTAGTCCCAGCTACTCAGGAGGCTGAGGCAGGAGAATCACATGAACCTGGGAGGCAGAGGTTGCAGTGAGCTAAGATCACGCCACTGCACTCCAGCCTGGGTGACAGAGCAAGACTCTGTCTCAAAAAGAAAAAAAAAAAAAATTCAACAATCAGATTAAAAACAAAAAAAAATTCCTAACTTCTCCTGGAAAAAAAAAAAATTAGAAGATACAGCAACTCTGGCCCTACCCTCCATGAGGCAAACTGCAGTTGCCTCATCCAGACAGGGCATATGCTGTGCACTTCACCACAGTCCCCACCACTCCCTGTTGTCTCACAGCACAGAATCCAGCCCCATTCACTCATTTAAAGCCCACCTGATCCCTGTAAACCTCGGAGCAGGTCACTTCTGATCTAGCCCAACAACTCTCAGCACAACAGGGGAACCTGAAGCCCAGAGAGGTTAAATGACCTGCTCTTGTTCAAAGAATCAAAGAACTAGTTAGCTAAAACTAGTTAAAACTAGGCAACCTGCCTTTTTTTTTTTTTTTTTTTTTTTGAGACGGAGTCTTGCTCTGTGGCCCTGGCTGGAGTGCAGTAGCGCGATCTCAGCTCACTGCAAGCACTGCCTCCCAGGTTCACGCCATTCTCCTGCCTCAGCCTCCCGAGTAGCTGGGATTACGGGCACGTGCCACCACACCCGGCTAATTTTTTTATTTTTAGTTTTAGAGATGGGGTTTCACCATGTTGGCCAGGATGGTCTCGATCTCTTGACCTTGTGATTCGCCCACCTCGGCCTCCCAAAATGCTGGAATTACAGAAGTGAGCCACAGTGCTCACCGGCCCTGCTTTAAATTTCACAAGGACTGCCTCAATTTCAGATAAACTTCATCATATTTCTACCCTAGCTTTTCTCAAGGGAGGGAAGCTGGGAGAAGACAGAATATTGTCTCTGGTTGGCCTAAATGAAAAAGTACGGTCAGGCATGGTGGCTTACACCTGTAATTCCAGCACTTTGGGAGGCTGAGGCAGGCAGATCACCTGAGGTCAGGAGTTCCAGACCAGCCTGGCCAACACCGTGAAACCCTGTCTTACTAAAAGTATAAAATTTAGCCAGGCATGGTGGCACATGCCTATAATCCCAGCTACTCGGGAGGCTGAGGCACAAGAATCACTTGAATCCAGGAGGTGGAGGTTGCGCAGGTGAGCTGGTATCTCGACACTGCACTCCATCCTGGGAGACAGAATGAGACTCTGTCTCAAAAAAAACAAACAAACCTGAAAAAAGTGCATTTGAAATATTTGATGGCTTCCTAAAAAAACTCCAGGAAGCTCATGGACTCCCAGCTGGAATGGATCAGAGAAGGGGAAGACTTTGAAGGATCATAAAATCTGGTTTTTCAAGTGCCTGCCTAGCCACGATACCCTCTGACAGTCCTCAGATAAGGGCTTAGCACCCCCATTTCCATTCCTGCATTTCTGGGGACACCTCCAAACATCCCCCACCCCTATTCCAACAGATCTACTTTCCTTTGGGGGCTGCGGTAGGAAACCTGGGAACCAGAAGACAAACAGAAGGAAAGCAGGGCCTAATTTACAACTGAAACCACCCATGGCCTGCAGAGACAGCCACGTAATGGGTCGCCCAGGGACACTGAGGGGCCAGAGCGGAGCTTGGCAAAATGCCCTATTTGTTTTCGGGAAACCGTTGGTGCTTGTTGAGTCAGATTAATAAATACCTTCAGGGTTTCCTCTGACAACATTCTCCAGCAAGGGGTACTTTGAACCTTTAGGCCACTGTGAGAATCATTAACAACCCCCCACTCCTGCCCCTGCCAACCCAACCACTGCCAGTTTAACAATGAGCTTGAGTCAGGCTCGGGCCTCAGAAAGGGTGACTGCTGTTGTCGTTAAGAGAACAAGGCACACAAAACTGCCCTAGTTCCTGCCTGAGAAAGTCCAAGTTCCCTGCTCACAGGGGCCTCTCTGACCACCCTCTGTCTCTAAGGCTGGCCATCCTGGGCCAACCTCTATGATATTCAGAGTTCATTATTCCCTAGAAAACATCACTTCCCTAGGTGATCTGATTTGTTTACTTGTCTATAAAAGTCTCCTCCCATCCTCCAACAAGAGAAATCACAAAAGCAGAGCCTCGCCTGATCTTCAGGCACCTCAACTGTGCCTGCCACTTAACAGGTGCTCAATAGCCAGGCACAGGGGCTCACTCCTGAAATCCCAGCACTCTGGGAGGCTGAGGCAGGAGGATCACTTGAGGCCAAGACTTTGAGACAAGCCTGTGCAACACGGTGAAACCCTGTCTCTACTAAAACTTTAAAAAATTCAATTAGCCAGGTGTGCTGGCACGTGCCTGTAGTCCCAGCTATTTGGGAGGCTGAGGCAGGAGAACCACTTGAACATGGGAGGCAGAGGTTGCAGTGAGCCAAGATTGAGCCATTGCATTCCAGCCTGGGCAACAAGAGTGAAACTCCATCTCAAAAAAAAAAAAAAGGTGCTCAATGAATCCATGAATAGGTAAATCAATTGTTGTCCACTCCTAGGAAAGCCATACACCATCAAGGCTGCCCACCTGCCCCCTTGGCCACAGAGCAGGCCTGTCCAAGGGTCAACCAGAACCCTAGGCCACAAAACATACCACGGCCTTCCCAGCACATGACAGGGAGTCCCAAAATCGGGGGCCTCTCTCACGTCACACAGATGACATGAGTTGCTCTCTGCTATGGGAGTGGACAATTCCCATGTCCAAACTTGTCTTGGGATAGGGACACTGCTTGACTTTTTAAAAGCCAAAACGCTACAGTATTTTTCCCAGCCTCCTCCAGTAACAACCTGCTTTGCACCCAGTTGCAAAAGGAGCTGGAGAAGAGATTCCCAGACAAACTTCCCACCCAGGACCTCAAGTCATCAGGTATTCCGTGAGTAACAAAAGCAACACAGGCCAGGCACAGTGGCTCATGTTTGTAATCCCAGCACTCTGGGAGACCAAGGCAGGAGGATCACTTGAGGACAACAGTTCGAGAACAACCTGGGCAACACAGCAAGACCCTGTCTCTACAAATAATTTTTAAAAAATCAGTCGGGCATTGGCCAGGCACAGTGGCTCACGCCTGTAATCCCAGCACTTTGGGAGGCTGAGGCGGGTGGATCACGAGGTCAGGAGTTCGAGACCAGCCTGGCCAAGTTGGTGAAACCTCGTCTCTACTAAAAATACAAAAATGAGCCGGGCACGGTGGCGGGCACCTGTAATCCCAGCTACTGAGGAGGCTGAGGCAGGAGAATCACTTGAACCTGGGAAGCAGAAGTTGCAGTGAGCCAAGATCACGCCACTGCACTCTAGCCTGGGTGACAGAGCAAGACTCCGTCTCAAAAAAAAAAAAAATTAGTCGGGCATGGTGGTGCATGCCTGTGGTCCCAGCTACTCAGTAGGCTGTTAGGAGGATTGCTTGAAGAGCCCAGGAGGTTGGGGGCTACAGTGAGCTGTGATTGCACATTGCACTCCAGCCTGGGCAACAAGAGCGAAACTCCATCTGAAAAAAAAGAAAAAAGGTGGCATGACGCCAGACGCAGTAGCTCGCGCCTGTAATTCCAGCACTTTGCGAGGTGGAGGCAGACGGATCACTTGAGGCCAGGCGTTCAAGACCAGGCTGGCCAACATGGTGAAACCCCGTCTCTACTAAAAAGACAAAAAATTAGCCAAGCATGGTGGTGCATGCCTGTGGTCCCAGCTACTGGGGAGGCTGAGGCAGGAGAATCACTTGAACCCAGGAGACACAGGTTGCAGTGAGCCGAGATCACGCCACTGCACTCTAGCCTGGGCGACAGAGCAAGACTGTCTCCAAACAAACAAAAAACAAGGCGGCACGGGGCTAACCATGGTCTCCAGTAGAACTCTGAAGGAAGAAGAAACTCTGCACTCTTTGTAAACAGAGTGCTGGCACATTGTCTTTTGTTGCATTTCGTTGCCTGGAGAGGGTTTATAGAGGTCTAGACACAGGTAAGGCTTCTCTGAGTTCTATGCTGGGTAAGTAACTGTTTTACCACGAGAGCATACTAATGAGTGCCCTAGATCACGGGGGTGTACTGAGCCCTCTCATTAGCAAGGTGGACACTGGCAATAGAAATATCCCCTCTCCTTCCTTTCTGCTTTTCTTTCCTTTATATATTCAATAAACATTTACCAAGCAAATTCTGCACCAGGCATAGTGTCAGGCAGTGGAGAAAATAGACAAGTCCCAGAGAAAGCCAGAAAACAAACCTCGAGACAAAAATTGGGCTTCCCATCAAGATGGCTGACTGAATTGAAGCCAAATGCCACACCGTCTGCATCTATCTCCCACCCACCCAATCCCCAAACACACAAACAGGCGGGGTAAAATATCTGTTTTCAACATAACCAAGCTATAGGCAAGAAAGGGACGACTCCAGATGCCAGAAATGAGGAGGAAACCCAAAGCTGAAACCAAGAGCCTGGCCTGGGAGTTTAGGGAACAGATGACTAGGACTCAGGAGAGGCAGGGAAGCCAGAAGACACCTACTTCAGAAGGTTTTCCGCTCCGGTCCTCATCCGCACGGCTTTCAGGATCTGCTGATTCAAAGCAGCTCTTTGATTCTGCAATTTACTCCGGCCGGTTTGTGCAAGGGGATTACAGCCCTGAGGAAAAATAAGAGATGCCCCTTCAGAGGTCGGCCACTCTAAAAATGATGACAGGGTTTAATATAATGGAAAATGTTTAACTTTAAAAATAATCTTTTCTGAAAACAAAGCATCTACATAGAAAATATTGAAAAGTATAAAGAAAAGTCGCTCATAACAACACAATTGCAAAACAGCCACTGTGAATTGGTCTTTCCTTCTCATCTATTTTATTTATGTAATTTATTTTAGAGACAAGGTCTGAGCTAGGCACTGTGGCTCATGCCTGTAATCCCAGAACTTTGGAAGGCCAAGGCGGGTGGATCACCTGAAGTCAGGAGTTCAAGACCAGCCTGGCCAACATGGTGAAACCCTGTTTCTACTAAAAATACAAAAAATTAACCAGGTGTGGTGGTGGGCGCCTATAATCCCAGCTACTCAGGAGGCTGAGGCACGAGAATCGCTTGAACCTGGGTGCTGAAGGTTGCAGTGAGCCGAGATTATGCCACTGCACTCCAGCCTCGGCAACCAAAGTGAGACGCTGTCTCAAAAATAAATAAATTAATTAAAGACATATCTCTAGGGCAGAGTTATAAGATCAAACCTTTCAGGGCTACCCATGGGCCAGCCCAATCATCCTCCAGGACAGAAAGGCACCCACACCCTTGTGACCGCTTTCCCCCTCACTGTTACTGAGTATCTACTTTTTTTTTTTTTTTTTTTGGAGATGGAGTCTCGCTGCGTGCCTAGGATGCAGTGCAGTGGCGCGATCTCGGCTCACTGCAATCTCCGACTCCTGGGTTCAAGTGATTCTCATGCCTCAGCTTTCCAAGTAGCTGGGACTACAGGTGCATGTCACCATGTCCAGGTAATTTTTGTATTTTTAGTAGACACAGGGTTTCGCCATGTTGCCCAGGCTCGTCTTGAACTCTTGACTTCAAGTGATCCACCTGCCTTGGCCTCCCCAAAGGGCTGGGATGGCAGGTGTGAGCCACTGCGCCTGGCCTACTTTTTTTATTTAGTAACAGCTTTATGGAGATATAATCCATATACCATACGTTTTGCCCTTTTAAAATAAACAATTCATTGGTTTTTAGTATATTCAGGAGTTACAGAACCATCAGTGCTATCTGATTTTTTTTTTTTAGATGGAGTCTTGCTGTGTCATCCAGGCTGCAGTGCAGTGGCACAATCTCGGCTCACTGCAACCTCTGCCTCCCAGGTTCAAGTGATTCTCCTGCCTCAGCCTCCCGAGTAGCTGGAATTACAGGTGCCCACCACCACGCCTGGCTAATTTTTGTATTTTTAGTAGAGACAGGGTTTCGCCATGTTGGCCAGGCTGGTCCTGAACTCCTAACCTCAAGTGATCTGCCTACCTCAGCCCCCCAAAGTGCTGGGATTACAGGCGCGAGCCACCACGCCCATCAACCACTATCTGATTTTAGAACATTTTCATCAGCCTAAAAAAAAAGCAAGTAGCCATTAGCATCGCTCCTCATTTCCTTTTCCCCTTAACCCCAGCCCTAGGCAACCACCAATCTACTTTCTGTCTTTACAGGTTTGCTTATTCAAGATTATTTCATATAAACGGAATCATATAATATGTGGCCTTTGCATCTGGCTTCTTTCATTTGCCATGATGTTCTCAAGGTTTATCCAGGTTGTAGCATGTATCAGAACTTTGTCCGTTTTTGTCCCTGAATAAGATTTCATTACATAGATACACCACACTTGTGTACTTTATCCATTCATCATTCATCATACAATGGGCATGGGGAGTGTTTTCACTTTTTGACTATTACGAATAAGGCTGTTTATGTGCGTACAAGGTTTTATATGGATATGTGCTTTTGTTTCTCTTGGCTATAAATATAGAAATAAAATGTCTAGATCAGGTGGTTTTTTTGTTTTGTTTTTATTTTTGATTCTGTTTTTTTGAGACAGAGGCTTGTTCTGTCGTCCAGGCTTGAGTGCAGTGGCTCGATCTCGGCTCATTGCAACCTCTGTCTCCCAGGTTCGAACGATTCTCCTGCTTCAGCCTCCCGGGTAGCTGGGATTACAGGCGTGCACCACCATGACCAGATAATTTTTGTATTTTTAGTAGAGAGGCGGGTTTCATGATGTTGGCCAGGGTGATCTCAAACTCCTGACCTCAAGTGATCCGCTTGGCTTGGCTTCCCAATATGCTGGGATTACAGGCGTGAGCCACTGAGCCCGGTCTAGATCATATGATTTATTCTATGTTTAATGATTTGAGGAACTATCAGGCTCTTCAAAGTGGTTATACAATTTTACAACCCAACTAACAGGATGAGAGTTCCAATTCATCTACATCTCACCAATACAGGTGCTGGTCTATCTTTTTTATTACAGCTACCTTATGTGTGTGCTGTCTCACATCGTGGTTTTGAATTGTGTCTCCCTGACAGTTAATGATGTTGAATATCTTTTCATGAACTTATTGGCCAACTGTATATCTTCTTCGAAGAAATATCAATTCAGATCCTTTGCCCATTTTTTTTTTTTGAAACAGGGTCTCAGTCTGTCACCCAGACTGGACTGCTGCAGTGGTATGATCTTGGCTCACTGCAACCTTCACCTCCTGGGTTCAAGTGATTCTCCTGCCTCAGCCTCCTGAGCAGCTGGGACTACAGGTGCATGCCACCACGTCCGGCTAATTGTTCCATTTTTTGGTAGAGACAAGGTTTCACCATTTTTTTGCCAGGCTGGTCTTGAATTCCTGACCTCAAGTGATCTGCCCATCTTGGCCTCCCAAAGTGCTAGTCTTACAGGTGTGAGCCACCACACCCAGCTCTCCTTTGCCCAGTTTTAAACTGGATTGTCTTTTTATCTGTCTGGTTGAAAATTATTTTTAATTTCTGTCAAGTTGACATGCAAAAATAGATAGCTCATTCTTCTAATTTGTATGTTTATTATAACAGTGAAGGTAAAGGTTTTTCCATATAATCTTGACACTTTAATTTCTTTTTCAACAAATTGTCTGTGTTCTCTGACCATTGTGCCCTGGGGTATTTGGATTACAACGCTTCACGCTAAAAGTTTAAGATCAGAATAAAAGCTGCATTTTAGCTGAATGGTGTTCTTCCCACCCCAGACAGGTAGAAGCCTCAGGACCTGGGATACGCCCACATTCCTCTTTGCCGCTTATCTCTAGGTCCTGCCCACTGCGGTTACTCCCTGGGAGCGGTCTGGCGGGTAGTATTACGTGGTGAAGAGACTGCCCTTTCTCTCTCCCTGAGTCACATCTCAGGCCTGCACACACCTGGCCTCTCCGACCTCTGCCCAAGCCACACCCATGGCCTGGACCCCAGGGAGGGAGATGTGAGTTATCTATAGCGGAAACCTCCTCAGGAATCCCAGTATTCTCCTTCCACAGAGATTTCTCATTCTTGGCCAGAATGGTCATGGTAGCTCACAACTGTAATCCCAAGCACTTTGAGAGGCTGAGGCCAGAGGATCGCTTGAGGCCAGGAGTTTGAGGCTGCGGTGAGCTACAATTGCGCCACTGCACTCCAGCCTGGATAACAGAGTGAGACTCTGTCTCTACAAATAATAATAAAAATTTTTAAATAATAATAAAAATAAAAGACTTCTCATTCTCATTTCCCATCAGGTCACCACCACCCATCCCCCACATAGCCCCACAACCTAATTTTCCCTGTCTCGCAAGGACACTTTCCCCCAAGTTCAAATTGCACAGATATTCGGAATTCGAGTTGGCTTCTGTAGACAGGCTGGAGTGCAGTGGTACGATCTCAGCTCAGTACAGCCTCTGCCTCCTGGGTTCAAGTGATTATCCTGCCTCAGCCTGCTGAGTAGCTGGAATTACAGGCACCCACCACCACACCCAGCTAATCTTTCTATTTTTAGTAGAGATGGGGTTTCACCGTGTTGGCCAGGCTGGTCTCGAACTCCTGACCTCAGGTGATCCACCCGCCTCGGCCTCCCAAAGTGCTGGGATTACAGGCATGAGCCATGGCATCCAGCCCTGGAATGGATTTTAAAATTAATATCGTTTAAAGCATTAAACGGTTTCCAATTTTGTCTTTCTTCAGATTTAAGATTAAAATATCTTTGGCCGGGCATAGTAGTTCACGCCTGTAATCCCAGCACTTTGGGAGGCTGAGGCGGGTAGATCACCTGAGGACAGGAGTTCGAGAACAGCCTGGCCAACATGGTGAAACCCTGTCTCTACTAAAAATATAAAAATTAGCTGGGCGTAGTGGCATGCGCCTATAATCCCAGCTACTCTGGAGGCTGAGGCAGGAGAATCACTTGAACCCGGGAGGCAGAGGTTGCAGTGAGCCAAGATAACACCACTGCACTCCAGCCTGGGTGACACAGCGAGACTCAGTCTCAAAAAAAAAAAAAAAAAAAACTTTAATGTTAAGCTATTATAATTAAATATTAAATAACTAAAATAACTGTTCATCTCTTTCCTTTCCACTTCCAAAAATGACGACGATTCAGTTTGACTCTGAATTACCTGGATCACCACTGCTGTGTTTCATTTTACAGGGAAGCTTGAATAACTAATTCCTTTACGTACATTCCCAGAGCTCAGATAAGCAGCCATTCCAAACTACGGATAAGAATGTTTTTTTTTCTGTTCGTATACTTTCCCCAACTTCTGCTGGCCTGGAATCAGTACGCCCTAACCAGCCCATAGATATGTGGTCAGGTTTCTAGATAAGGCATAGGAACACTTAGGGTTAGATTTGACTGAGTAATTGGGCCCGAAACCACATTACTTATTCCTGACAGGTAGGAATGTTGGGCTTTGCTGGGGAACACAAGAAACACCCACGGGGCTGTGTGTGGAAACTTCCCTGAGAGGTAAATCTGGACAAGACTGTCAGAAAGACTCCCTGGCATCACCAGAAACTATTGGCCATCTACTAGCCCCTGCCAGGGGCTGCTCTGTAGGGGACAAGGTGGCGGGTCCACCATCCCCACCCATACATTTCTCACCCCACCCCCTATCTTGTGTAATAACGAGACCTTAGCCCTGAACAAACAGCTTCCAGAATAGCCTCTGCAACTCAGAGACAGGGATTGGTTCTCAACAGAACACAAAGCCGCTCTGAGACTGGAGTGAGGGTTTGCACCAGGGACTGGGGCTAAACCTCTCACACCTGTGGGGCCAACTGAGCTGTCCTGACCTCGGGATCTGCTGTTGACAAGTTCTACAGTGAAGTGAGACTTTCTCCTCCACAGAGTCTATTCCCTTCCCACACTAAGGTTCGGACATTTCCGTCAGTCCCGAAACTTGAAGAGTGGGCAAACAGCCAACACCCAAGAAAAGCAAGTACTGAGTGAACCCCCGTGTCATCACCAGCTTTACAGGCAACTCCTGGGGTCGGCCCGCTTATGTGGACCCTGGTACAGCATCTCGGATCCCATGGTTCTGCAGCAAGGAGGCTATATGAGCAACTTGAGATCCTAGAGGCAGGCAGTAAAAGTTGGGGTGGGATTTAAGACCCTGTCCTTCCTGCTGCTCCAGGATGAGCGGTGAGGCGGTGTGAGCGGTAGGAATGCATGCAACCCCCAGACACCCCTTCATGGGTGATGGCTGCCCACCATCACCCCACATCTTTTGGGGGAACAGTGATGCCAGCCCACTCTCCCGCCTCATAGCCCATGATGGCCTGGTGGGGGGCAGGGGTGTGTGTGTAAATCCATGCTCCCCCAACATCCTTTCCAAAGGGAAGAACATCTGACTTCTGCCTGGCCCATTGGAAAACCAAAGCCTGAAGATCAGGGTCAATCGAAACCCATCAGGAAGAGGTCCTCATTGGCCTTGAACCTGGGAGGCTGTGACACTGAGCAGTTGCAGCCACCTTACCACCAGCAGAAGAGTGTCTCCCTAGACAGGGAACCAACCCCAGGTGGGCTGAGCTGAGAAACAGATTTGGCGATGTCATCTGAGCCCTGGATCAAGCTAGGCCTGAAGCCATCCCTCTGTACTTTTCATTTACAGCAACCAATTCATTCCCTTCTTTGTATCTCAATTTTCTGAATTGAGATACAATTTATATATAATAAAATACACATATTTTAAGTATATAGTTCAATGAGTTTGAACAAACATATAAACCTGCGTAACCATCACTCCTATCAAAATACAGAACACAGAACATTTCCATCATCCCCAGGCAACCAATACTCTGATTTCTATCACCACATATTTTTGTCTGCTTTTGAACTATGTAAATGTAATCAGATAGGATGTAGACTTTTATGTCTGGTTTATTTTGCTCAATACCATGTTTTCAGATTCACCCATGCTGTTTCATTTACCAGTAGTTTGTTCCTTTTTTTGTTTTTTTAGACAGAGTTTCGCTCTTGTTGCCCGGGCTGGAGCACAGTGGCGTGAACTCGGCTCACTGCAAACTCCACCTCCCGGGCTCAAGCGATTCTCCTGCCTCAGCCTCCTGAGTAGCTAGAATTGCAGGCACCCGCCACCACACCCGGCTAATTTGTGTGTTCCTTTTTTATTGTGGGATAGAATTCTATTGGAGGAACATACTAGGGTGTGTTTATCTGCCAAAGTTATTTTGGATTAAATTTTCTAGCACCTGCAACTAAAAAAGTACTAACTCAAATAAGTTTACCTAGAGTGAAAACTCTTTTCTTTCCTTTGAGACAGAGTCTCACTCTGTCACCCAAGCTGGAGTGCAGTGGCATGATCTCAACTCACTGCAACCTCCGCCTCCTGGACTCAAGCGATTCTCCTGTCTCAGCCTCCTGAGTAGCTGGGATTACAGGTGCACACCACCATGCCCGGCTAATTTTTGTATTTTTAGTAGACACAGGGTTTTGCCATGTTGGCCAGGCTGGTCTCAAACTCCTGGACTTAAGTGATCTGCCCACCTCGCCCTCCCAAAGTGCTGGGACTACAGGTGCGAGCCACCGCACTGGCCTAGAGTGAAAACTCTCTTTACAGGTCACTTACATGCCCTTAATGTACAGTCAGATTGTTCACCTGTAAGACACGTATTTAAGAGCAGCACCTAGACAAAGCCCACAGGCAGGAAGACTGTACTTCCAGGGATCATTTCTACAGTTCGTTACTAGAGAAGTTTCTCTGTACGTGTACAGCAACCGTTTATATTAGTGTGGCACACACCTATCTGAAAGCTTTGAGTGCAGCAATGCGGATTCACCTTGCTTGTAACTACTGTTCTTAAGCTCATAAAACAGCTAAATAATGTGGTGTAACAACTAAATGTGTGCCCAGAGAAAAGCCTCAGAATGTTATCCTAGGTGAAATCTGTTCAGTGAACAGACAGATCACAGCTACAGTGACATTTCTGCCACTGTTACAAGTTTCTTACAAAGTGAGAAAGTGGCTGTCTAAAATCAGACAAAGGCCTGGTGTGGTGGCTCACGTGTATAATCATGGCACTTTGGGAGGCTGAGGTGGGCGGATCACTTGAGGTCAGTAGTTTGAGACCAGACTGGCCAACATGGTGCAACCCTGTCTCAAGCAAAAAATACAAAACTTAGCCCAGGCGTGGTGGCGTGTGTCTATAGTCCCAGCTACTCGGGAGTCGGAGGTTGCAGTGAGCCGAGAACTTGCCACTGCCCTCCTGCCTGGGTGACAGAGTGAGACCCTGTCTCAAAAAAAAAAAAAAAAAAAGAATTAAAGTCAGAAAGAGAGCCCTTACCAAAAACTGACCGTGCTGGCACCTTGATCTTGGATTTCTAGCCTCTAGAACTGTGAAAAATAAATTTATGTTAAGTTAAAAAAAAAATATAAAACTGGAGGCAGGCACTTAATTAGGAAGAAAGGAAAGGGTGGTCAAGCTACTCCTGGAACAGGGCAGTTTTTCTTCCCCTATGGGGGCCCTGCTCCATTCTGGGCAGTGCCTGGCACCTGCTTCCCCTCCACTATAGGCAATAGTATGGGCCCTTCTTCTGCACAGCCAAAGATAAAGCTCACACATGCAGAGGTGTTTCCAGCAAATTTAGGGCAATGTGCAAGCTTGGGATCTAAAGGTTCAGGCGTAAAACTAAGTGAGAGATGACACGGTAGGGCTGGGCCAGCTCCCAGCCAGAGAGACCTTCCCACGGGATACAGGAAGGCAGGTGTTTTTAGCTGCTTCTCCAGCAAAGATTATTTTCTCTGCCTTTCTCACTCCTTCCTGGTTACGCAATCCCTCACTCAACCACCAAACTCTGGAAAACAGAATTGCTTGTTTATAAGTCAGCCAGAGCAATCAATGAGAAAGCACAGAAAATAGCATGCAGTACACTGCAATACACACATACATCTAATTTAACTTTTCACCACACTGGAGATTCAGGGCAGGCTGGGTGGAAAGAATCTAGCTTGTCCATGTCCATAAAAATAAAAACATGAATTCAGTACTTGTCAACAGCCCTCCTGCCCTTCCAGGATCTCTGCCAGGTGTCAGGGCTGGAGGTGAGGGCCCAGCCGCCTCCCCCGGGAATCCCAATCCATTCACACAGGGGTGGAGGGGGGCTCGATATGAGTCAACACAGCCATAATCTTTAGTTACGAGCTCCCTTCAGTCTCTTCCAGAAATCTCTATAAACCCCTACTGTGTGCCAATCACAGTTATTTTTCAATATGCTGAATAACTTTTTTTTTTTTTTGAGACGAAGTCTTGCTCTGTTGCCCAGGCTGGAGTGCAGTGGTGTGATCTCGGCTCACTGCAACCTCCACCTCCCGGGTTCAAGCGATTCTCCTGTTTCAGCCTCCTGAGTAGCTGGGATTACAGGAATGTGCCAACACACCTGGCTAATTTTTGTTTTGTTTTGTTTTGTTTTGTTTTAGTAGAGACGAGGTTTCACCATGTTGGCCAGGCTGCTCTCAAACTCCTGGCCTCAAGTGATCCACCCACCTCAGCCTCCCAAAGTGTTAGGATTACAGGTGTGAGCCACTGCGCCCAGCCTTGAATAACTAGGCTTTTACTGTGCCTCCCACCACATCAAATCGTGAACATTTCCATGAATCAACTGTATTTCCAGACCAATGATCTGCTTATTTCAACTGGTAGGACACACTCAACAACAGTTTTAACAGTTTTGCTTTTTTTTTTTTTTTTGAGATGGAGTCTCGCTCTCTTGCCCAGGCTGGAGTGCAGTGGTGCGATCTTGGCTCACTACAACCTCTGCCTCCTAGGTTCAAGCGATTCTCCTGCCTCAGCCTCCAGAGTAGCTGGGATTACAGGCGCACACCACCATGCCTGGCTAATTTTTGTATTTTTAGTAGAGATGGGGTTTCACCATGTTGGTCAGGCTAGTCTTGAACTCCTGACCTCGTGATCCACCTGCCTTGGCCTCCAAAGTGCTGGGATTACAGGCGTGAGCCACTGTACCTGGACACCCAGCTAATTTTTGTATTTTTTACTAGAGACGTGGTTTCACCATGTTGGCCAGGTTGGTCTTGAACTCCTAAGACCTCAGGTGATCCACCTGCCTCAGCCTCCCAAAGTGCTGGGATTACAGGTGTGAGCCACCGCGCCCAGTCTCTTGTTTTTGAGACAGGATCTCACTCTCTTGCCCAGGCTGGACTGCAGTGGCGTGATCTCCATTCACTGCAGCCTCAATATCCTGGGGCTCAAGCAATCCTCCCACCTCAGCCTCCCGAGAAGCTGGGACTACAGGTCCACACCACCACACTTGGCTAATTTTATTGTATTTTTTGTAGAGACAGAGTTTTGTCGATGCAGCCCAGGCTGGTCTTGAACTCCTGAGCTCATGTGATCTGTCCACCGTGGCCTCCTAAAGTGCTGGGATCATAGGTGTGAGCCACTACATCCAGCCTTGTTTTTTTACCACCTGCCCTTTTTTCTTCTTTGTTTTTTTTTTTTTTTTTTGAGACAGAATCTTGCTCTGTCACCCAGCAGGCCGGAGTGCAGTGGCACAATCTCAGCTGACTGCAACCCCCACCTCCGAGGTTCAAGCGATTCTCCTGCCTCAGCCTCCCGAGTAGCTGGGATTACAGGCACGCAGCACCACACCCGACTAATTTTGCATTTTTAGTAGGAACAGGGTTTCACCATGTTGTCCAGGCTGGTCTCGAACTCCTGACCTCAAATGATCCTCCTGCCTCGGACTCCCAAAGTGCTGGGATCACAGGTGTGAGCCACTGTGCTGGTCCCCTTTTCTCTTGTTACAATCAAATGGAAACCTGGCCATAGGGAACTCCGAGGGTCTGAATGGGCAGCCCTGAGGGACTCACATCATTCACCGTGGTGTCTCCGTCCCTGGTGCTCCAAGTGGGGAACCTTGTCCTCACTTGGCACCCATTACTGCTGCTCTGCCAGACACCCAGCCTCTGGCTGAGCGGTACCTGCAGTTCGACTGTGTCCTATGGCTACCTCCAATGCAGCCTTTGTGTCACGGGACGCTGGTACCTGAGCCAAAGGAGGAAGTGTTGATCAGGCTAAAGCCAACGCCCAGTAGCATCAGGTGGTGTCGTGGCAACCATCCAAATGGCCCCAGGAAACAAGGGACATTTACAGTGTTATAGTTCATCACGTTGTCTCTCCTCTGAGTCACCCTGAAAATTCTGTTTCTGCCAGGGGATACCTCCCAGCCAGGATCCCACAGTTGAAGACTGTTGGTCAGGCAGACCCTCGGGGCTGATGGTGGATACCATGCAGCTGGGCAGACCCTCCCCTCTCCAAGGCCACAGTCAGCCTGGATCCAGCCTGGCCTTTAAGATCTGGCTTAGGGCTGGGTGCAGTGATTCACACCTGTAATAGCCCACCACTGAGATGGGAGGATTGCTTGAGGCCAGGAGTTGAAGACCAGCCTAGGCAACACAGTAAGACCCCATCTCTACAAAAAATAAAAATAAAAATCAGCCAGGTGTGGCAATTTTTAATCACATCTCTAGTCCCAGCTAGTTGGGAGGCTGAGGCAGGAGGATCACTTGAGCCCAGGAGGTCAAGGCTACAGTGAGCTACAACGGTGCCACTGCACTCCAGCCTGGGTGACACAGCCAGATTCTGTCATCTTTAAAAAAAAAAAAAGCTGTTTTAGACCATCATGGGGAATCAGGAGTGGGGTCAGCATCACCAACCTTTACTCTCCTCTGCCTCCCTCCCTCTCCACCTGGGAATTGACTCAAGGGTCCAAGGGGATGGATCTAAACAGCCGGAGGGGTAGTATCAGTACCAATAGAGCTGGAGCTGCTGATCCCACATGACCCACGCTGTTCCTGGTGGACTCAGCCCATCAGAAGGCTTCCTCATCCACACAAGCGTTCATAAAAGATGCACACAAGTGTCTAACACGAAATTAGCCCTCACTAAGATGAATGCTGCTCATTCATCAAAGAGTAGATCCCTGCTCCTTGCAGAGAGAAGACTGCAAGGAGCTTCTGGGTTAAAAAAAAAAAAAAACAACAACAAACAAAAATTCTCCTTCCTTCTCTGCCGGAGCCTCCAGGAAGCCCAGAGTCAACAGGGACCATAAACCAGGACACAATGAACCCGGAGGCCCTGTCCAGGCTGGAGGTTTCTGTGAACAAGAAACAACTTCTCCTACAGCTCTTGAGTAAAAACAATGGAGCTAAATTCATTTTGGGGCATTAGCATTCCCAAAGGATGAAGAGGCAGAGATAAGAAGTGACAATGCCTCACTGTGTACTCACTCTCCTCTTCCACATAGTGCCAAGACCTTTCATTTTGGGCCTTTCAATGGCCCTGGGGAAAGGCTTTCTCTAGTTTGTTTCCAGCTGCTTTTCTTTTCTTTTTTTTTTCTTTTTTCCTTTTTTTTTTTTTGAGACGGAGTTTTTTGCTCGTTGCCCTGGCTGGAGTGCAATGGCGTGATCTCAGCTCACTGCAACCTCTGCCTCTCAGGTTCAAGCCATTCTCCTGCCTCAGCCTCCCGAGTAGCTGGGATTACAGGCATGCACCACCACACCCAGCTAATTTTGTATTTTCAGTAGAGACGGGGTTTCTCCATGTTGGTCAGGCTGGTCTCGAACTCCCAACCTCAGGTGATCCACCCACCTCAGCTTCCCAAAGTGCTGGGATTACAGGCATGAGCCACCACCCCCGGCCTTCCAGCTGCTTTTCTTCATGGCCACAACAGATTTTCCTGTGAGTTTTAGTACTGTGGGGTACAGGGGCAGTTGCAGAAAAGGAATCTCTATCAGGATGCAGCATTCTAGAAAATTACATTACTCTGCATTTAACTACAGGCCAGAGAACAATAATTCTTCCAAGATTTTCAGTAGGAAGAGCATAAAAATCTGGGGAAAAGAAGTTGCATTTCCACTTCTTGAGAAATTATAGTAATATAAGTTGAGAAAGTAATTTATAATAATCTTATAGAGCTGTACCTCTGTTTAAACACAGTAACATAATGAGAAAGAAAAAATATAGTGAGAAGCCAGGGAAAGCTGGGTGCGGTGGCTCATGCCTGTAATCCGAGCACTGTGGAAGGCTGAGGCTTGGGCCCAAAGAGTTCGAGACCAGGCCGGGCGCAGTGGCTCACGCCTGTAATCCCAGCACTTTGGGAAGCCGAGGCGGGCAGATCACAAGGTCATGAGATTGAGACCATCCTGGCTAACATGGTGAAACCCCATCTCTAATAAAAATACAAAAAAAAAAAAAAAAATTAGCCGGACATGGTGGCGGTCGCCTGTAGTCCCAGCTACTCAGGAGGCTGAGGTAGGAGAATGGCGTGGACCCGGGAGGTGGAGCTTGCAGTGAGCCGAGATGGTGCCACTGCACTCCAGCCTGGGCAACAGAGCCAGACTCTGTCTCAAAAAAAAAAAAAAAAAGAGTTCGAGGCCAGCCCAGGCAACACAGTGAGACCGTCTCTACAAAAAATTTAAAAATTAGCCAGGCTTTGTGGCTCATGCCTGTTGTCCCAGCTACTCAGGAGGCTGAGACAGGAGGATCACTGGAGCCAGGGAGGTTGAGGCTGCAGTGAGCTATGATCATGCCACTGCACTCCAGCCTGGATGACACAGCAACACCCTGTCAAAAAAGAAAGAAAAGACAAGAAAAGAAAAGAAAAAAGTGAGAGACATGATTTTATAATAGACCTGAGGCTGGGCATGATGGCTCACGCCTGTAATCCCAGCACTTTGGGAGGTCAAGGCAGGCAGATCACCTGAGGTCTGGAGTTCGAGACCAACATGGAGAAACTTTGTCTCTACTAAAAATACAAAATTAGCCGGGCATGATGGCACATGCCTGTAATCCCAGCTACTCAGGAGCCTGAGGCACATCACTTGAACCCAGGAGGCAGAGGCTGTGGTGAGCCAAGACCGTGCCACTGCACTCCTGCCTGGGTGACAGAGCGAAACTCCATCTCAAAAAAAAAAAAAAAGATAGAAAAAAAAAAATAGACCTGAAAGGTTTCTTTTTTCAGAGACCTCCCAAGGTACCAGCCCAGACCAGGAGATCTGTACTGCGGGTGTCCATTTCCAACCTGAGGCTAAGTTATGTCTTGAGGCTCTGTACAGCCAAGTCATCCTACCTGATTCCAAAAAGACCAATTAACAAGGGGACTCCTGGGCTCGGCGCAGTGGCTCACACCTGTAATCCCAGCACTTTGGGAGGCCAAGGCGGGCAAATCACTTGAGGTCAGGAGTTCAGGACCAGCCTGGACAACATAGTGAAACACCATCTCTACTAAAAATACAAAAATTAGCTGGGCATGGTGGCGGGTGCCTATAATCCCAGCTACTTGGGAGGCTGAGGCAGGAGTATTGCTTGAACCCCGGAGGCGGAGGATGCAGTGAGCCGAGAGTGCACCACTGCACTCCAGCCTGGGCAACAGAGCGAGACTCCATTTCAGAAACAAAAAAAGCCAAGAGGCTGATTCCTTTTCAAGCATGGCCGGAGCCATCCCAACAAAGCACCAATTCCCAGCACTGCTCAGCACTCCAGGAAACGAGACCTGCTGGGAACTGCTGCCAAAGAAACTGTATCGAGTCAGGGTCTGGAATGCCCCAGAACCTGAGGAGGGGTCAGGCACTGAGCTGTCGCTCCATAAATCCTTTTCGGATGAATGGAGCATAATGTCATTTTAAAGAAAAGGGGAGGGAAGGCATGACACAGAGAACAGGATGAAAGAGAAGCCTGACTTCAGTGGAAATTCATTTGATCCTTAAGTGTGCATAAAATCCCAATAGTCACCAGGCGCAGTGGCTCATGCCTGTAATCCCAGCACTTTGGGAGGCCGAGGCAGGTGGATTACGCAGTCAAGAGGTTGAGACCATCCTGGACAACATGGTGAAACCCCAACTCTACTAAAAATACAAAAATTAGCTGGGCGTGGTGGCACGCGCCTGTAGTCCCAGCTACTCAGGAAGCTGAGACAGGAGAATCACTTGAACCCGGGAGGCGGAGGTTGCAGTGAGCCAAGATCCCGCCATTCCATTCCAGCCTGGCGACAGAGCGAGACTCCGTCTCAATAACAACAAAGAAATCCCAATAGTCAAAATACAGGTCCAGGTGCAGGGACTCACACCTATAATCCCAGCACTTTGGGAGGCCAAGGTGGGTGGATCACTTGAGGTCAGGAGTTCAAGACCAGCCTGACCAACATGGTGAAACCCTGTCTCTACTAAAAAATACAATTAGCCGGGCATGGTGGCGCACATCTGTAGTCTCAGCCACTCAGGTGGCTGAGGCATGAGAATCGCTTGAACCCAGGAGGTGAAGGTTGCGGGGAGCTGAGATTGTGCCACTGCACTCCAGCCTGGGGGACAGAGCAAGACTCTGTCTCAAAAAAAAATAATAATAATACAAGATGGGAAGCCTCATGGGTTCTCACTCACTGCCCCCGGCTGGCTCAGCCACCCAATCAATGCAGCAGCTGTTGGCAATCTTCACCCCCCGCCTCGACTCCTGGGCCCCATCCCCAGCTCACCTTCTCCCTGAATCTCCAGCCATTCCCCACCCAACTTCTTCACTTTTGTTTTTTTCTTTTATCATTTTTTTTTTTTTTGAGACGGAGTCTCGCTCTGCTGCTCAGGCTAGAGTGCAGTGGCGCGATCTCGGCTCACTGCAACCTCCACCTCACAGGTTCAGGCAATTCTCCTGCCTCAGCCTCCCGAGTAGCTGGGATCACAGGTGCCCGCCACCACGCCTTGCTCATTTTTTGTATTTTTAGTAGAGACAGGGTTTCACCGTGTTGGCCAGGCTGCTCTCAAACTTCTGACCTCAGGTGATCCGCCTGCCTCGGCCTCCCAAAGTGCTGGGACTACAGTGTGAGCCACTGTGCCCTGCCACACCTTTGTCTTTAACCAGCTCTGGACTTCCACATTCTAAAACAAAGCTGCCTTCTCTCTTCTCAGCTCCCCTCTTTCTCCAGCAATATCTTCCCTGCCCTTCTCCCCCTGTACCCTGTCACACTGACTTTTGTCCCCAATTCTCCAACCATGCATTTCCTAACGACTCCTAAAGAACTAAATCTAGGACCTTCCAGCATTCTTCTGACTTGTCACGCCTTGCTCGACTAACAAGACTGACCTCTCAGCTTCCTAGACCTGGCCACCCTTCTGGCTTTCCTCCCACCTCTCTACCCACCTCTTAAGCGGAGGATCCTTTCTAGCCCAGATCCTTTCACTCAATACCCCAACTGCCTCCCAGTTGGTGCCACCCAAAACTGCATCTCCAGCCAGGGCGCCTGCATGGCTGCTGGGCCCATGGAGTGGGCTCTCTGCTGGGACCGCCACATGGATATCCCATGAGGGCCATCAAGTCTACACACTAGCCTCCGCGTTCACCCGCATTCATGGATCTTGAGGAGGCGCATGACCAGACACCTCAGGCAGGCATTGTGACGTTTTTTTTGAGACAGGGTCTCATTCTGCTGTCCAGGTTGGAATGCAGTGGCGTGATCTCGGCTCACTGCAGCCTCCATCTCCCAGGCTCAGCGATCCTGCTGCCTCAGCCTCCTGAGTAGGTGGGACCATAGCTGGGTGCCACCACACCTGGCTAATAGGCAGGCATTTTGGATTCTCATTGGCAGCTCCTTCCCTGCCAATCACATCAGTTCTTTCCCTCTCTGCCAGATATTGCCCTTTCTCCAGCTCTATCATTCCAACCTCCTCATCACTAGAATCCCTGCCTTCTGTGTGGACCCCTGGTCTGAGCTAAGGGTGCAAGCTGGTGGAAAGAATGGGTGATTGAGGCTGTGTTTACACGGCCGTTTCTTTGTTTGTTTGTTTGTTTTTTGTGAGACAAGGTCTCACTCTGTCATCCAGGCTGGAGTGCAGTGACATGATAACAGCTCACTGCAGCCTCAACCTCGTGGGCTCCGGATATCCTCCCACCTAGGCCTCCTGAGTATATGGGATTACAGGAACACAACACTATGCCAGGCTGATTTTTAAACTTCTTATAGAGATGGGGTCTTGCTTATTGCCCAGAGTGGGCTTGAATTCCTGGCCTCAAGCAATCCTCCCACCTTGGCCTCCCAAAATGCTGAGATTACAGGTGTGAGGCACTGCACCCCACTCACAGCACTGTCACTGACTGCATCATCAGTAGTCCGTAAAAGAGAAGGAAGGGCAAAGATGATAGGTATTACAAGGGGCTAAATCCTCCCAATGCCTCCCTGCCTGGCTCCACCATAGCTTCTTTCCCATTCGCCACCCATTCACCATTCACGTGTCAAAGCGGTCTTTTTCTTACACAAATCTCACAGGTCTGGTCCTGCTTTAAATACTTTGATGGATTCCACAGTTCCCAGGTCAAGCAAGATGCATGACCCTGAACTGCCTGGCTCCCACAAACACCTCCACACCCTGGGGGGGCCTACAAAGCACTCACAAGTCCACAGCTCTGTCCAAGCTGTTCCCTCTTCCTGAAGGGCTCTTTCTCTCCTTTCACCTGGACAGCACCTGCCTTTCTTTTTTTTTTTTTTTTTTTTTGAGACGGAGTCTCGCTCTGTCACCCAGGCAGTGGCGCAATCTCGGCTCACTGCAAGCTCCGCCATTCTCCTGCCTCAGCCTCCCGAGTAGCTGGGACTACAGGCACCCGCCACCACGCCCGGCTAATTTTTTGTATTTTTAGTAGAGACGGGGTTTCACTGTGTTAGCCAGGAAGGTCTCGATCTCCTGACCTCGTGATCCACTAGACTCAGCCTCCCAAAGTGCTGGGATTTTTTTTTTTTTTTGGGTTGCAGGGGTACGGAGTCTCACTCTGTTGCCCAGGCTGGAGTGCAGTGGCACAATCTCAGCTCACTGCAACCTCCGCCTCCTGGGTTCAAGCGAGTCTCCTGCCTCAGTCTCCCAAGTAGCTGGGATTACAGGCGCCTGCCGCTACACCCGGCTAATTTTTATATTTTTAGTAGAGACAGGGTTTCACCATGTAGGCCAGGCTGGTCTCGAACTCCTGATCTCAAGTGATCCACCTGCCTCAGCATCTCAAAATACTGGGATTACGGGTGTGAGCCACCACGCCTGGTCAGCACCTGCCTTTCATTCGGCCATTTGGTTTTGTTTTGTTTTCATTTTTATTTTTAAAATTTTTTATAGAGCCAAGGTCTTGCTATGTTGCCCAGGCTGGTCTGGAACTCCTGGCTTCAAGAGATCCGCCTGCCTCGGCCTCCCAAACTACTGGGATTACAGGTATGAGCCACCACACCCGACCCTCATTTGCTTTAGGTCAAACTGGCTCAGGTCATAGATCAGGAAAGATTCAGCATCAACACCTTTTATTTTCCTAGGATAAATAGACTCTTCGAACTGGTATGACTTAACATGGAGTAGCACAACAATTGTTACAAGGTCTCATTTTCAAAATTGATGATTTTAATTGTAAAACAATGATTCCTCTTATTTTGCACCCCTGATTCTCTCATCCAACACCAGAGAAACTGCATCTAAAAAACACCCCACTTTAGGAGGCCGAGGTGGGTGGATCACCTGAGGTCAGGAGTTCAAGACCAGCCTGGCCAACATGGCAAAACCTTGCCTCTACTAAAAATACAAAAGTTAGCCAGGCGTGGTTGATATGCGCCTGTAGTCTCAGCTACTGGGAAGGCTGAGGCGGGAGAATCACTTGAAACTGGTAGATGGAGGTTGCAGTGAGCCGAGATCGCGCCACTGCACTCCAGCCTGGGTGACAGAGCGAGACTCCATCTCAGGGGGAAAAAAAAAAAAACACCTGTAGCCGGGCGCAGTGGCTTACACCTGTAATCCCAGCACTTTGGAAGGCCATGGCAGGTGGATCACTTAAGGTCAGGAGTTCAAGACTAGCCTGGGCAACACGGTGAAACCCCGTTTCTACTAAAAATACAAAAAATTAGCCAGGTGTGGTGGCAGGCGCCTGTAATCCCAGCTACTTCGGAGGCTGAGGCAGAACTGCTTGAACCCCGGAGGCAGAGGTTGCAGTGAGCCGAAATCACACCACTGCACTCCAGCCTGAGCGACAGAGTGAGACTCTGTTTCATAATAATAATAATAATAATAATAATAATAATAATAATTAATAAATGAAAAACACCCAACTGTGCACCTTTCCTAGCTCTCTTGCCATCCACTCTTTCCCAGTGCGGAGCAAGAAGTCCTCCCCTGGGCTCACAGACACGGAGGGCTCCCACAGGAAAATGTGTTCTGGGAGGCTTGGGACCACCCCTCACAGGTGTGCTTCTCTTGCTGCCATTTTCCCCCAGGTGCTGCTGGAGTTCCAGAGCTACACCTGCTCAGAGAACAATCTGGGGAGGAAATGTCCCAGAAAGAGGCAGCAACTTGCGGGAGGCCACACAGCAATTTTGTGGGAGTGGCAGTCAGGCCCCGGGGCCCGAGGACAGACATAGGAATTCCCAGGCCAGGCCTCCTCCTGCAATTCCATGGCCTGTGATCCTCTGTCCCAAACGCCACACATAATTAGAAGTTATAATCCTGTAATTCCATGATGACATCTTTAAACTTAAATATACCTCAAAACTACTTTTTTTTTTTTTAATGCTAAAAGCAACTTCACAAAAAAGAAGTTTTCCCACTCTGCCCCACACTGTCCTGCCCAGGGCTCCTCACCAGTGAGCAAAGCCCACAGTCTCTCTGTGTCACCTGGGAGAAGGAGGAAGATGCCAAGACCATTTAAGAACTGGATCCTAAGGCTTTGAACAATTAAGAATTGATTCGTTTATGGGAAAGTTTCACTTCCCTATTTATAATTATGCACTGTCGTATCTATTATAAAAACGAAAATCAACAACAATCTCTCCACCCTCTCAGTGATCCCTGGCCAAGGGCCAAAAGCTATTTTTAGACTTGCTCAGGACCTAGAGGGAGGAAGGCTTGGAAGGCATCACCATGACTCCCGGCTCCAAAGCATCTTTGTAGCCCAGGCCCTGCCGCCTGCGGGTATCCCAGGGCCCCTGCTCCACAGGCTGGGGTCGCTTTTGAGGGACTGAGCTCCCTGACTGTTATCTTCTGGGCCCAAGAGCTCCTGGACATGCCAAGAACCTGCGAGGCCGGCACCCGCCACCCGCCGCCCGCCGCCCGCCGCCCGCCGCCAGCCCCCGCCAAGTCTCCCGGACAACAAGACAAATCCGCTTTGGCACACAGTGAGACGCACAAGACCGTGGGCCTCACCTGCGGTGCTCACGCCCTCCTGGACGACCCGGAGCGGAGGAGGGTGCAACGCCGGAGGCTCCCTCCCACCAGCAGCTCTCCCCTGCTCCCTGAAAAGTCCCACAGGCGGACTTTGGAAGCATTTTGGAGGCAAAAAGAGACCGCCGGCCGGGCGCAGTGGCTCACGCCTGTAATCCCAGCACTTTGAGAGACCGGGGCGGGAGGATCCCTTGAGCCCAAGAGTTCGCGACCAGTCTGGGCAACACAGCGATACCCCAGTTCTACAAAAAATTAGCGTGGCGAGGTGGCGCGCCTGCAGTCCCAGTTACTCGGGAGGCTGGGGCGGGAGGATCGCTGGAGGCCAGGAAGTCGAGGCTGCAGTGAGCTATAATCGCGCCACTCTACTCCAGCCTGGGCGACAGAGCGCCTAAAATAAATATGAGACCGCCAACACGCCTGGGATGGTCTGTCTCCACCCGCGCTCCCACCAAGCGCTCTTGCAACGCGCCCAGAGGCCAAGGGCGCCAGCGCAGCCAGGAACGGGTCCTTTCCCCAGGCACCAGGGATCGCAAGCGAGGGGTGGCGGGGGGTGGGAGGGGGGAGACCCAAGCACCCCTCCAGGTCCTCCGCCCGCACCTGCGCGGAGCGGCCACATGCGCCTCCCCTACTCCCCGCCCAGTCCCGGATGCCACCTGCCCGGGACGCCGGGGACATCGCCGCCCCCACTCCTCCCCGCCAGCCTCCGTCCGGCCAGCGCCGGCCCAGTGCGCCCCCTCCCCCTCCCGGCCTAGTGGACCCCGACTGCGCGCTCCCACGGCCCCTGCAGGGCCCGGGGGAAAGGAGGTCTGGAGCCCGCAGGTCCCCGCCCGCCCGCCCGAAGCCGCCCACCTTCCGAAAGTAGCCGTCGTTCTCCTTCTCCAGCGGCTGGGGGGCCGCGGGCAACAGCGCGTCGGTCATGCTAGCGGCGCGGGCGCGGAGGGCGGACGGCGGACTGAGGCGCGGCGGCTGAGGCTGGCCCGAGAGGACGTGCGGCCCCGCCCCTGTCCCCGCCCTTCCCCGCCCCTCCACTCCCACCCCGTCCCGCGGCCCTTCTAGCCCCGCCTGAGGCCGAGCACTGGAGCCCTGGAGACGCGCCCCGCCCCGTCGCGGGCCCCGAACCCGCGCCCCTTGAGGCGCTCGTCACCCGGAGAGCTGCGCCCTGGGCGCGGCGCCTCGGGGTTGTCTGTGGGCGTCGTGGCTGACTCAACTTTGCGAGTGCCGCGAGAGCGCAGGAAAGGCACTGGGGTCTCAGGGGCCGCAGCGAAGCCCTGGCTGTGGACCTGCACCCTGCCCTGGAGCCCGGGGAGTCAGTGAGGAAGGCGTGGATCCAGGCGCGTCCCTCCTGGGTGAAGCCCGTGCGCCGCGGGGGAAGGGGCCAGACTCGACGCCACGTCGAGGGCGCGGCGGGAGCTCTGGGCCCTGGGCCCGGCGGTTTGGAAAAGCTTTTCCCAAGAGGGGAGCCCATGGCGGAGGGAGCGTTGACTGCCCCGCCGAGCGCCTTGCCCGGACTACTCGGGCTTGTTGGCATGGGATCAACTCAGCCGATTCCCTGTCCGCGCTGCAAAGACGAGTGGGATCCGCTGGGCTCGCGGACTGCCCTGAGAGAGGGGACCAGGAGGGGTTTTGCGCCCCAGACACGGCAGATGTCCTTGAGCACAGTTCTTTTTTTTAAGAGATGGGACCTCGCTCTGTCGCCCAGGCTGGAGAGCAGTGTTGCGATCTCGACTCTTTGCAGCCTCGACCTCCCAGGATCAAGCGATGCTCCAGCCTCAGCCTCCCAAGTAGCAGGGGCTGCAGGCGCGGGCCAACGCGCCCGGCCTTTTTATTTATTTTTTTTATTTTTTTATTTGAGACGGAGTCTCGCCCTGTCGCCCAGGCTGGAGTGCAATGGCGCGATCTCGGCTCACTGCAACTTCCGCCTCCCGGGTTCAAGCGATTCTCCTGCCTCAGCCTCCCGAGTAGCTGAGACTACAGGCGTCCACCACCACACCCAGCTAATCTTCAGTAGAGACAGTTTCACCTTGTTGGCTAGGCTTGTCTTGAACTCCTGACCTTGTGATCTGCCCACCTCGGCCTGCCTCCCAAAGTGCTGGGATTACAGCTTTTGTTTTGTTTTGTTTTGTTTTGTTTTTAAATAGATGCGGGGTCTCACCATGATATCAAGGCTGGCCTCGAACTCCCGACCTTAAGTGATCCTCACTCGTCTCGCTCTGTCGCCCAGGCTGAAGTGCAATGGCGCGATCTCGGCTTACTGCAAGCTCCGCCCCCCGGGTTCATGCCATTCTCCTGCCTCAGCCTCCCGAGCAGCTGGGACTACAGGCGCCGGCTACCACGCCCGGCTAATTTTTTTGTATTTTTAGTAGAGACGGGGTTTCACAGTGTTTTCCAGGATGGTCTCGATCTCCTGACCTCGTGATCTGCCCGCCTCAGCCTCCCAAAGTGCTGGGATTACAGGCGTGAGCCACCGCACCCGGCCGTGGAGCACGGTTCTTAACCACCTCCGTTTTCTAGGCTGCAAAATGGGGCTCTTTTATTATTCTTGGATTCTTTTTTTCTCGGGCTGATGGAGGGCAGTAGGACAAAAGTGAGTGTTGGAAAGTAGGGATGAACTTAGTTTAGGAGGGAAAGGGTGACCCATGGGGACAGGGTTTGTATCAGTCTGCCACCAACCTCCTGCTGGCTGCTAGACTCTGTGGGCAGACGCCTGGCAGCACGTGAAGCCAGGACCTTGCCACCTAAGCAGGGACACCCAGCCCGCGGGCCATGCTCCTCCCGGCCGCTGCTTACTGTTACAACTGCTTCTCCCCCAGCAAAGGGACCGCCCTCAGCGGTCGCGATAGATGCCACAGGTGGAACAGAATGCAATGTGCTGCAAAACCAGCCCAGCGTTAACATATCTTTAAAAAAAAAAAAAAAAAGTCCGGGCGCGGAGGCTCACGCCTGTAATCCCAGCACTTTGGAAGGCCGAGGCCGAGGCCGAGGCTGAGACTGGTGGATCACCTGAGGTCAGGAGTTTGAGACCGGCCTGGCCAACATGGTGAAACCCCGTCTCTACTAAAAATACAAAAATTAGCCAGGCGTGGTGGTGGGCACCTGTAATCTCAGCTACTGGGGAGGCTGAGGCAGGAAAATCACTCAAACTCGGGAGGCGGAGGTTGCAGTGAGCCAAACCGAGACCTTGAGACTGCCCACTGCACTCCAGCCTGGGCGACAGAGTGGGACCTTGTTTCAAAACAACAAAAAACGTTAGTCATTGGAAACATAGTAGAGGTTGCAGCTGTCAGGGACGTTTCTGAAGCCAGTGTCTTCGAGCCTATGCGCTTCCTAAACCGCACGTGAAGCTACTGGGTTGGTCCAAAGGTAATTGCAATTACTGGGTGAGTTGTGCCAGTCACAGAAATGTAATCAGGAATTCAGCTCCTGTAGCCTGAAAGGACAGAACACCCTCATCCAGATTTAATCCTGCAGGTGCTGCCCCAGGACCTCCACCAAAGCCCCTTAGGAGCTAAGTCCTTGAGGATTGAAGAAAAACTCCTCCGGGGAAAAAAAATTACATTAAAAAAAAAGAAGAAGAAGAAACAACTATCAATCTAATTTCAGCACTCACAGGTCACACTATTACTTGTAAACAGCTACTACTGTTTCAAGGATCAGGAAGTTGTGGGCCACTCTCTTACCTTCATAATACTAATAAACGTATCAATAATAGAGCCTCTACTCTAGCCAGGGAGTTTATAGATACTATGTTTCGTTCTTGAGACCCTTCTGCAAATAAAAGCAATAACCTTCATTCAACAGATGAGAAGAGCAAGGCTCAGAGCAATGAAGTGGCCACCAGCACTCCCCTTGCTGGCTGAGGTCATTGCCTACCACCTTTGGATTTTTGCCATCTTTTTCTGCCAACTTAAAGCTCAAATTGCCTTTACAATTTGTCGCACATAATGCCATCTGTACTGCTGTTAACTTAATAATCTTTTTTTTTTTTTTTTAAGACAGGGTCTTGTTCTGTCATCCAGGCTGGAGTGCAGTGGTGCAATCTTGGCTCACTGCAACCTCTGTTTCCCGGGCTCAGATGATCCTCCCACCTCAGCTTCCCAAGTAGATGGAACCACAGGCATGCCCCACCACACTCGGCTAATTTTTTTTTATTTTTTGTAGAGACGGGGTTTCTCCATGTTGCCCAGGCTGGGCTGGAACTCCTGAGTTCAAGTGATCCTCCCACCTCAGCCTCCCAAAGTGGTGGGATTACAGGCATGAGCCACCACGCCTGGCCAATAATCTTTTTTTTAAATTACTTTATTTAAACAAATTAATTAAATTTATTTAGTTAGTTTTTGAGACAGTGTCTCGCCCTGTTGCCCAAGCTGGAGTGCATTGGTATGATTATAGCTCACTGCAGCCTCCAATTCCTGGACTTGAAGGATTCTTCTGCCTCAGCCTCCCAAGTAGTTGGGACAACAGGTGTGCACCACTAACTTGGCTAATTTTTAAATTTTTGTAGAGATGGGGTCTCACTATATTGCTCAGGCTGTTCTCAAACTCCTGGGCTCAAGTGATCCTCCTGCCTTGGCCTCCTAAAGTGCTGAGATTACAGGCATGAGTCACTGTGCCTGGCCCAAATTTTATTTTAAAAGGCAACTATATCACAACCATAAGGGGAAAACCAGTGATACTTTCCCTGTTAGAGGAGAAACATAAAAGTGAATACAATAAAGGGCAAAATATATTATTAAATCTAGCCAGATATCATTGCCTTTTTGAGTTGTTCCTTTTGTTAAAAAGGAAGAAGAGACCAGGCACAGGCTGGAGTGCCGAGATCACACCACTGCACTCCAGCCTGGGTGACACGAGTAAGACCCTGTTTCAAATAAATAAGTAAATAAAAATAACAGCCAGGCATGGTGGCGCATGCCTGTAGTCTCAGCTACTCAGGAGACTGAGGCAGGAGGATTCCTTGAGCCCAGGAGGTGGAGGCTGCAGTGAGCTATGATCGTTGCCACTGCACTCCAGCCTGGGCAACAGACCAAGACCCTGTTTAAAAATAAATAAATAGGCCGGGCACGGTGGCTCACGCCTGTAATCCCAGCACTTTGGGAGGCCGAGGCTGATGGATAATCTGAAGTCAGGGGTATGAGACCAGCCTGACCAACATGGTGAAACGCCGTCTCTACTAAAAAATCAAAACATTAGCTGGGCCTGATGGCACAGGCCTGTGATCCCAGCTACTCAGGAGGCTGAGACAGGAGAATTGCTTTAACCTGGGAGGCAGAGGTTGCAGTGAGCCAACATCGCGCCATTGCACTCCAGCCTGGGCAACAAGAGCGAAACTCCGTCTCAAGAAAATAGTAATAATAAAATAAATAAATAAATAGGCCAGGCGTGGTAGCTTACGCCTATAATCCCAGCACTTTGGGAGGCCGAGGCAGGAGGATCAGGAGGTCAGGAGTTTGAGACCAGACTAACCAACATGGTGAAACCCCGTCTCTACTAAAAATACAAAAATTAGCCGGGCATGGTGGCATGTGCCTGTAATCCCAGCTGTTCAGGAGGCTGAGGCAGGAGAATCACTTGAACCCGGGAGGCAGAGGTTGCAGTGAGCCCAGATTGCGCCACTGCACTCCAGCCTGGAAAACAGAGCAAGACTCTGTCTCAAATAAGTAAGTAAATAAATAAATAAATAATGTAAAAAATAAAAAGGATGAAGAGTAAGAAAAGGACGCGTGGTGTTAAACACACACCAGCCCACCCAAAGACTACCTCCTGAGCATCTTCAGAGGAAAACGGGCTCCTCTCTGTGTAAGTCCCAGCGGGGCATTTCCTGGCCATGTGAGCCATCTGAGTGTCAGTGCTTGGGGCTACATCTGCGCAGAACCAGACATCTTTAGACATTCTCATGACTCATTGCACTGGTACCCACAGGTCTGTTCTTTTATCTCTGATCCCACTTTGACCAGGCAATTAGAACTGCCGCCGCTGACCCAACAGGACAGCAGCATCTCACCTCCTATTTGTCAACCCCATTGGTGGTCTGTGCAACAAGAACCACCCATGAGCCCCTGTGCTACTAACAAAAGAGTTGGGTGGGAACTTCTGAGCTATGCAAAAGATTAAAATCTCAACTGCAAACAACTGTTTTGTTAAGTCTCATTTTACCATCTGGTTTAGGTCAGCAGGTGCCTGTCCAGGGACCCAGTTGGGTGCCTGTCCAGGGACCCAGTTCCTCCAAGTAAAATTCAAGTGTCACGTCCTAAGACCTTCTTGTTGACAAAGGAATGTTGGTTTTTGAGGGCAGCCTGAAATAACATCCTCTCTTGGGGAATCTGATGAAGTTTGCCAAATTAAATGCAGAAATTATAAGATAATCCTTGAATGAATAAAATTCACTGCAAATAGTAAACTCAACTTTGCAATTTTTTTTTTTTTTTTTTGAGACAGAGTCTCCCTCTGTTGCCTAGGCTGGAGTGCAGTGGCACGATCTCAGCTTACCGCAACCTCCACCTCCCAGGTTCAAGTGATTCTCCTGCCTCAGCCTCCCTAATAGCTGGGATTACAGGCGCGCACCACCACGCCTTGCTGATTTTTTGTATTTTTAGTAGAGATGGGGTTTCAGCATGTTGGCCAGGCTGGTCTTGAACTCGTGATCTCAGGTGATCCACCTGCCTCGGCCTCCCAAAGTGCTGGGATTACATGCATGAGCCACCATGCTTGGCCCATTTTGCAATTTTTGTAAAAATAATTCTTAGAAATTACCAGGCCCAGTGGCTCTCACCTGTAATCCCAGCACATTAGGAGGCCAAGGCAGGAGGATCACTTGAGCCCAGGAGTTCAAGACCATCCTGGGCAACATACTGAAACATCCATCTCTACAAAAAAATTTAATTAATTAGCCAGGAGTGGCCGGGCGCAGTGGTTCACGCCTGTAATCCCAGCACTTTGGGAGGCTGAGGCGGAGGGATCACTTGCGGTCAGAAGTTCGAGACCTGCCTGGCCAACATGGTGAAACCCTGTCTCTACTAAAAATGCAAAAAATTAGCTGGACTTAGTGGTGGGCACCTGTGATCCCAGCTACTCAGGAGGCTGAGGCAAGAGAATCTCTTAAACTCAGGAGATGAAGGTTGCAGTGAGCCAGGATCGCACTACTGCACTTCAGCCTGGGCAACAGAGTGAGACTCCATCACACACACACACACAAAAAGCCAGGAGTGGTAGCACATGCCTGCAGTTCCAGATACTCAGGAAGTTGAGGCAGAAGGATTTCTTGAGCACAAGAGTTCAAGACTGCAGTGAGCCAAGATTACACCACCGTACTCCAGCCTGGGCTACAGAGCAAGATACTGTCTTATAAAGAAAAAAAAAAAATTGGCCAGGCGCGATGGCTCACACCTGTAATCCCGGCACTTTGGGAGCCTGAGGTGGGTGGATCACGAGGTCAGGAGATCGAGACCATCCTGGCTAATACGGTGAAACCCCGTCTCTACTAAAAATACAAAAAATTAGCCAGGTGTGGTGGCATGCGCCTGTAAGGTCCCAGCTACCCAGGATGCTGAGGCAGGAGGACGGCGTGAACCCGGGAGGTGGAGGTTGCAGTGAGCTGAGATGGCACCACTGCACTCCAGCCTGAGCGACAGAGTGAGACGTCGTCTCAAAAAAAAAAAAAAAAAAAAAAATTAAAATTCTCAGAAATTTAAGCCATTTGGTGCCATGGAGGAACACCAACTAGAGAGGACCACATCAAGTTCAGCAGGCTCAAAGTCCCCTTAGCCACACCCTTTTGGCCCTCACAGTCTCAGTTTTCCCCACTTTACTAAATATATATATACATATTTTTTTTTTCGAGATGGAGTCTTGCTCTGTCCCCCTGGCTGGAGTGCAGTGCAGTGGTGTGATCTCAGCTCACTGCAACCTCTGCCTCCTGAGTTCAAGCTATTCTCCTGCCTCAGCCTCCCGAGTAGCTGAGATCTTAGGCATGTACCACCATGCCTGGCTAATTTTTGTATTTTTAGTCAGGCTAAATTATATTGATCAGGCTAGTCTCGAACTCCTGATCTCAAGTGATCCGCCCGTCTCAGCCTCCCAACATGCTGGGATTACAGGCGTGAGCCACCGCGCCCAGTCTACAATAAATTCTTACACATAGCTGTCATTTCCTGCATACTTATTCCGTGCCAGGTGCTGTCCTAAGTACACTGCATGCATTAGCTCAGTTCTCCCACAACCCTGTGAGGTAGGTACTTTATCATCCCCTTTTTACAGAGAAGGAAGCTGAGCCTCAGAGGTCACCAGCCTCCTAAGTGGCAGAGTCAGGGCTGTCTGATGCTATGCTATACACTATACTGTATTACACTCTTCCCTAGTACTTAAAAGGAAAAGTGTTTTGACATATAGGGAGGAAGTGATTGTGGATTAAAAATAAATGAATTACAAGCCTGGGCAACATGGTGAAACTGTATCTTTACAAATGATACAAAAATTAGCCAGGTGTGGTGGCACGTGCCTGTAGTCCCAGCTACTTGGGAGGCTGAGGCAGGAGGATTGCTTGAACCTGGGAGGTGGAGGCTGCAGTGAGCCCAGATGGTGCCACTGCACTCTAGCCTGGGGGACAAAGTGAGACTCTGTCTCAAAAAAAATAAAAAAATAAATAAAGAATAAATGAATTACAGGGATGGCAAACAATACCAAGTACTGGTGAGACTGTGGAATCTCATATATTGCTTATGGGAGTGTAAATTGGGATGACCACACTGGAAAATTGTTTGACATTTGCTACTAAAGAATATATGTGGGCCAGGTGCCGTGGCTCATGCCTGTAATCCCAACACTTTGGGTGGCCGAGGTGGGTGGATCACTTGAGGTCAGGAGTTAAGACCAGCCTGGCCAACATGGTGAAACCCTGTCTCTACTAAAAATACAAAAATTAGCTGAGCATGGTGGTGGATACCTGTAAGCCCAGGTACTCGGGAGGCTGAGGCAGGAGAATCACTTGAACCCGGCAGGCAGAGATTGCAGTGAACCAAGATCATGCCATTGCACTCCAGCCTAGGCAACAAAAGTGTAACTCCATCTCAAAAAAAAAAGAAAATATGCATGCAACTTATGATCCAGAAATTCCAACTCTAGGTAGATACACAACAGAAATGCATACATCTATTTACTATAAAACAGGAATCAGAATATTCACAGCTGCACTATTCAAAATAGCGTGGCCAAATGCGGTGGCTCACGACAGTAATCCCAACACTTAGGGACGCAGAGGTAGGAGGATCGTTTGAGCCCAGGTGTTGAGACCAGCCTGTGCAACATAGTGAGACCCCATCTCTGAAAACCAAAAAAAAAAAAAAAAAGCCTCTAACTAGAAAGTACCCAAATGCCAATCCACTATAGAACAAATGAGTGTGAATGGTGGTATATTCACACAATAGAAAATTGCACACAATGAAAATTAACACATTGCTATTATGTGCAACAACATGGATAAATGTCACAAAAATATTATTGAGCAAAGAAAACTAGACACAAATACTGTATCATTCCATTTTATTTGTATTTATTTATTTTTTTCCTGAGACTGTGTTTTGCTCTTTCGCCTAGGCTGGAGTGAAGTGGCAAGATCTCTGCTCACTGCAACCTCCACTCACCGGGTTCAAGTGATTCCCCTGCCTCAGCCTTCTGAGTAGCTGGGATTACAGGCGCGTGCCACCATGCCTGGCTAATTTTTTGTAATTTTAGTAGAGATGGGGTTTCACCATGTTGGCCAGGCTGGTCCTGAACTCTTGACCTCAGGTGATCCACCTGCTTTGGTCTCCCAAAGTGTTAGGATTACAAGCGTGAGCCACCACCACGCCCAGCCTCCATTTTATATAAAGTACAAAATAGACAAAACTAACCCATTATGGGGTTATTGCTTCTGGGATTCTGGAAATTTTCTATTTCTTGATCTACTTGTTACACAGATATGCTTACTTTGTGAAAATACGCAGAACCAGGCCAGTGTGGTGGTTTGTGCCTGTAATCCCAGCTACTCAGGAGGCTGAGACGGGAGATTGGCTTGACCTCAGGAGCTGAAGATCAGCCTGGGCAACATAAAGAGACCTTTTCTCTACAATTAATAAACAAATTAGCTGGACATGATGGTGCCCGCCTGTAGTCTTAGCTACTTGTGAGGCCGAGTGAGAGGATCACTTGAGGCCAGGAGGTCAAAGCTGCAGTGAGCTGCAATGGCGCTACTATACTACAGCCTGGGCAAGAGTGCAAGACCCTATCTCTTTTTTTTTTTTTTTTGAGACGGAGTCTCGCTCTGTCGCCCAGGCTGGAGTGCAGTAGCACCATCTCGGCTCACTGCAACTTCTGCCTCCTAGGTTCAAGCGATTCTCCTGCCTCAGCCTCCCGAGTAGCCCTATCTCTTTAGGGCCAGGCGCGGTGGCTCATGCCTGTAATCCCAGCACTTTGGGATTGCTGAGGCAGGCGGATCACGAGGTCAGGAGATGGAGACCATCCTGGCTAACACGGTGAAACCCCATCTCTACTAAAAATACAAAACATTAGCCAGGCATGGTGGCACATGCCTGTAGTCCCAGCAACCCAGGAAGCTGAGGCAGGAGAATCGCTTGAACCTGGGAGGTGGGGAGGTTGCAGTAGGCTGAGATGGCGCCACTGCACTCCAGCCTGGGTGACAGAGCAAGGCTCCATCTCAATAAATAAATAAATTAATTAAATAAACAACAAAAATGCATAGAACCATGTGCTCATGATTTATGCACGTTATTTTTTTTTAATTTTCTTAAATTTTAGTCCATGTCCTACTGAACATACATGTTATATTTTAAAAAGGAAAATAATGGGCTGGGCGTAGTGGCTCACGCCTGTAATCTCAGCACTTTGGGAGGCTGAGGCGGGAGAATCACAAGGTCAGGAGTTTGAGACCAGCCTGGCCAACATGGTGAAACACCGTCTCTACTAAATATACAAAAAATTAGCTGGGTGTGGTGGCAGGCGCCTGTAATCCCAGCTACTCGGGAGGCTGAGGCAGGAGAATCGCTTGAACCTGGGAGGCGGAGGTTGCAGTGAGCCAAGATCGCGCCACTACACTCCAGCCTGGGTAACAGTGCAAGACTCCATCTAAAAAAAAAGGAAAACAATGATAAAAATGAGTGATACTGGCCAGGTGCGGTGGCTCACGCCTGTAATCCCAGCACTTTGGGAGGCCAAGGAGGGCAGATCATTTGAGGTCAGTTCAAGACCAGCCTGACCAACATGATGAAACCCCGTCTCTACTAAAAATGGGAAGAAACTAGCCAGGTGTGGTGGCAGGTGCCTGTAATCCCAGCTACTCGGGAGGCTGAGGCAGGAGAATCACTTCAACCCAGGAGGCAGAGGTTGCAGTGAGCAGAGATCGCACCACTGCACTGTAGCCTGTGCAACAGAACAAGACTCGGTCTCAAAAACAACAACAACAAAAACAAAACAAAACAAAAAAAGAGTGATAACTGTTTTCAAAGCACATTGGGTGGGTTTCCGTGCATGTTATGAGTGACCATCACACTGCCAGCACCCATGCATGGACCCAGAGGAAGGAATGACACTGGGCCCAGGTGATTCAGCCCATCTTCCTATCTGCAGTTTCCTCATAAGGTCCTGAGATTTGCACTTTCTTGCATGTCTGAATAAGAAAGCAAGCAAGCCTATATTGGCTTATACCTTGCCATAAATATAAATACATAAATAAGAGGCCAGGCACCATGGCTCATACCTGTAATCCCAGTGCTTTGGGAGGCCAAGGCAGGAGTATCACTTGAGCCTTGGTGTTCAAGACCAGCCTGGGCAACACAGCAAGACCCCGTCTCTACAAAAAATAGAAAAATTAGCCAGGCTTGGTGGCACATACCTGTATTCCCAGCTATTCAGAAGGCTAGGTTAGTAGGATTGTTTGAGCCCGGGAGTTCCAGGCTGCATTGCACTCCAGCCTGGGTGACAGACTGAGACCCTGTCTCTAAAAAATAAATAAATAGAACAGAAAGAAAGGAACGGTTTGTGGGCTGGGTGTGGTGGCTTATGCTTGTAATCCCAGCACTTTGAGAGGCTGAGGTAGGAGGATCACTGGCACCCAGGAGCTTGAGACCAGCCTGGGCAACACTGCAAAATTGCTTCTTTACAAAAAATACAAGTATTAGCCAGGCATGGTTGTACATGTCTGCAGTCCCAGCTACTTGGGAGGCTGGGATGGGAGGACTCCCTGAACCTGGAGAAGTTGAGGCTGCAGTGAGCCATGATCGTGCCACTGCACTCCAGCGACAGAATGAGACCCTGTCTCAAAAAAAAAGAAAAGAAAAGCTATGTGGTGGCCAGGTGCGGCGGCTCATGCCTGTAATCCCAGCACTATGGGAGGCCGAGGAGGGCAGATCACTTGAGGTCAGGAGTTTGAGACCAGCCTGGACAACATGGTGAAACCCTGTCTCCACTGAAAAAACAAAAATTAGCCAGGCGTGGTGGCGCCTGTAATCTCAGCTACTCGGGAGGCTGAGGCAGGAGAATCACTTGAACCCGGGCAGCGGAGGCTGCAGTGAGCCACGATGCCGCCACTCCAGACTGGGTGCTAGAACAAGACTCAGTCTCAAAAATAAAATAAAATAAAATAAAATAAAATAAGATAAACTAAAATAAAATAAAAAAGTTATTGGGTGTTCTTTGCCTATTTTGAAGCTACAAGCTGTAAGAAAATTACGAGTAATATAGAAATAAAATCATGGACTTTGGTGTTTTGTCTGAATATATGAATTTGTCCCCAATCTTTTTTACTTTCTTTTACTTTTTCTTTTCTTTACTTTTTTTTTTTTTTTCTTGAGACGGAGTTTTGCTCTTGTTGCCCAGGCTGGAGTGCAATGGCATGATCTTGGCTCACTGCACCTTCTGCCTCCTGGGTTCAAGTGATTCTTCTGCCTCAGCCTCCCGAGTAGCTGGGATTACAGGCATGCGCCACCATGCCCAGCTAATTTTGCATTTTTAGTAGAGACAGGGTTTCTCCATGTTTGTCAGGCTGGTCTCAAACTCCTGACCTCAGGTTATCTGCCTGAGTGCTGGGGTTATAGGCGTGAGCCACTGCACCCGGTTTCTTTTACTTTTTCTTTGAGACAGCGTCTCATTCTGTCACCCAGGCTGCAGTGCAGTAGCGCAAATTCTGCTCACTGCAGCCTCTGCCTCTGGGGCTCAATTGATTCTCCCATATCAGCCTCTGGAGTAGCTGGGACTACAGACACGCACCACTATGCCTGGCTAATCTTTGTATTTTTTGTAGAGGTAGTTTTGGCATGTTACCCAGGCTGGTCTTGAACTCCTGGGCTCAAGTGATCCTCCTTACATGGCCTCCCAAAGTGCTGGGATTATGGACTTGAGCCACTTCGCCCAACTTTCTTTACTTTCTTTTTTTTTTTTTTTTTTTGAGACAGAGTCTTTGTCGCCCAGACTGGAGTGCAGTGGCACAATCTTGACTCACTGCAAATTCTATCTCTCAGGTTCAACTGATTCTCATGCCTCAGCCTCCCAAGTAGCTGGGACTACAGGCATGAGGCACCACACCTGGCCAATTTTTGTACATTTGGTAGAGACAGGGTCTCACCGTGTTGGCCAGGCTGGTCTCAAACTCCTGATCTCAGATGATCCACTTGCCTCGGCCTCCCAAAGTGCTGGGATTACAGGCGTGCGCCACTGCACCCACCCTGATTAAGTATAGTTTACTATGTTTATTTATCCTCAAACATTCCAAAGCTTGAGGATAGCCACCCAGAAACACCAATTCCAAATGTATAGGGTCAACATTCCAAAGGGGAGCCCAGGCACGATGGCTCACGCCTATAATCCCAACACTGTGGGAGGCTGAGGTGGGAGGATCACTTGAGCCCAGGAGTTTGAGACCAGCCTTAGCAACACAGTGAGACCTGGTCTCTACAAAAAATAAAATAATTAGTTGAGCGTTGTCAACTAGTAGTCCCAGCTACTTGGGAGGCTGAGGTGAGAGGAAGGCTGCAGTGAGCCATGATCCTGCCACTGCACTCCAGCCTGGGTGTCAAAATGAGATATTGTCTCAAAAACGAAAGCAAAAACACACAAAAAAAGCATTCCAAAGTGGAGAAGTTACGGTTTCACTTATATAGGCAGAGACATACAATCCTTACAGTGACTTGACTAGCTATAGGATGCTACCTTCCAAGGAAGATTGCTTTATTACTCTGTGAGGGGTGTACCCGTCTGAGGAAGTCTTATCTCTGCCCTGTTTGGTCTTAGTTATTTCTAGGGTAAAAGGGGCAGAAGGTACAGCTGCTCGCCATGTGATTCATGCTGCATAACCACATTCCTCTCAAGTTTCAGGATCATTTACAATTCCAACAGCAGCTGGGCGTGGTGGCTGGTGCCTGTAGTCCCAGTACCAGGGATGTTGAGGCTGGAGGATTGCCTCAGCCCAGTAGTTTGAGGCTGCAGTGAGCTATGATTGCATCACTGCACACCAACCCTGCCTCTAAAAAATAATAATATCAACAATAAAGTTCCAACAGCTTTAAGTTTGAATTATTTAATTCCACAACTCATTTATCAACATATGTTGCAGATAACTCATGGGGAGTTTAAAATACTCATAGTATTGTCACAGGTTATAGGTTTTTCTGATTACGTATTGCTGTTAATGAATTATCCCATATCTTTTTGTTGCTGTTGTTAGAGACAGGGTCTTGCTATGTTGCTCAGGCTGGCCTCTGATTCCTGGGCTCAAGTGATCCTCCTGTTTCACCCTCCCAAGTACTGTCACTAAACCTGGCTAATTGCTTCATATCTTTTTTATTTTTTTTTTCCCCTTAGAGACAGGGTCTCTATAGACAGAGATCCTCTGTCTATAGAGGATCTATGAGCAAGGTGGCTCATGCCTATAATCCCAGCACTTTGGGAGGCTGAGGTGGGTGGATCACCTGAGGTGAGAAGTTTGAGACCAGCCTTGCCAACATTGCGAAACCCCGTCTCTACTAAAAAAATACAAAAATTAGCCAGGTGTGGTGGCGCACGCCTGTAGTCCCAGCTACTCAGGAGGCTGAGGCAGGAGAATCGCTTGAACCCAGGAGTTGGAGGTTGCAGTGAGACGAGATCGCACCATTGCACTCCAGCTTGGGCAACAGAGTGAGACTCTGTCTAGACAAAGAAAATAAACTAAAAAAAAAAAAAAAAAAGAAAATTACAATTAAATTACAATTACAACTGGAAAGCAGTTGGGAGATTTCCTGAAGAACTTAAAACAGAACTACCATTAGACCCAGCAATCCCATTACTGGGTATATACCCAAAGGAATATAAGTTGTTCTACCATAAAGACAAATGCATGCATATATTCATTGAGGCACTACTCACAATAGCAGAGACATGGAACCAACCTACATGCCCACAAATGGTGGACTGGATAAAGAAAATATGGTCCACATACACCATGGAACACTACACAGCCATAAAAAAAGAACAAGACTGGCCAGGCGTGGTGGCTCATGCCTGTAATCCCAGCACTTTGGGAGGCTAAGATGGGCGGATCACGAGGTCAGGAGATCGAGACCATCCTGGTTAACACGGTGAAACCCCGCCTCTACTAAAAATACAAAAAATTAGCTGGGTGTGGTGGCAGGCGCCTGTAGTGCCAGCTACTCGGGAGGCTGAGGCAAGAGAATGGCGTGCCTGGGGGACAGAGCGAACTCCGTCTCAAAAAAAAAAAAAAAAAGAAACAACAAGACCATGTCCTTTGCAGCAACATAGATGCAGCTGGAGGCCATTATCCTAAACAAACTAATGCAGGAACAGAAAACCAAATACTGCATGTTCTCACGTATAAGTGGGAGCTAAACATTGAGCACACATGGACATAAAGAAGGGAATGACAGGTGCCAGGCGCAGTGGCTCACGCCTGTAATACCAGCATTTTGGGAGGCCGAGGCGGGTGGATCACTTGAGGTCAGGAGTTCAAGACCAGCCTGGCCAACATGGTGAAACCCAGTCTCTACTAAAAATACAAAAAAAAAAAAAAAAAAAAAAAAAAATGGCCGGGTGCGGTGGCTCACATCTGTAATCCCAGCACTTTGGGAGGCCAAGGTGGATGGATCGCCTGAGGTGGGGAGTTCGAGACCAGCCTGACCAACATGGACAAACCCCGTCTCTACTAAAAAAAAAATTACAAAATTAGCCAGACATAGTGGTGCATGCCTGTAATCCCACCTACTAGGGAGGCTGAGGCAGGAGAATCGCTTGAACCCGGGAGGCGGAGGTTGAGGTGAGCCGAGATCGTGCCATTGCACTCCAGCCTGGGCAACAAGAGTGAAACTCTGTCTCAAGAAAAAAAAAAAAAAAACCACCACAACAACCAACCAACCAAACAAACAAAAATTTAGCAGGGCGTGGTGGGGTGGACGCTTATAATCCCAGCTATCAGGAGGCTGAGGCAGGAGAATCACTTGAATCTGGGAGGCGGAGGTTGCAGTGAGCTGAGATCGCGGCCACTGCACTCCAGCCTGGGCGACAGAGCGAGACTCTGTCTCAAAAAAAAAAAAAAAAAAAAAGGGAATAACACCAGGGCCTACTTGAGGGTGGACCTACTTGAGGGTGGAAGGTACGAGGAGGGTGAGGATCGGAAAAACTACCTATTGGGTACTATGCTTATTACCTGGGGAGGAAATAATCTGTAACCCAAATCCCTTGCGACATGCAATTTACCTATATAACAAACTTGCACATGTACCCCTGAACCCAAAATAAAAGTAAAAAATAATAATAATAAAAATAAAGCGAAGCCCCACGGGGCGAGCATGAAATCTGGGAGCTCAGCCATTTCCCTGGAGGTGGCTGGGTGGGCGGTGGGAGTGGACGGGGCTGGGCAGTGACTGCTGCCAAGGCAGGGGGCTGGCGCGAGGGACGGGGGTAGGGGGCTGGGCAGGCATCGGTGTCGCCTCGCAGGGAACAGTTGGGTGGCTTCCAGCTTATGCCAGGAGTCTCCTCCTCACCCGCACATCGCGGGGCTAGGATGGGATGTCGTGGCTGCCAAATCCTCCGAGGCAACTCCTGCCTGGGACGGCCTACCACAGGATGGGCCTGAGAATCCGGAGCGCAGGCTCGGGCCGCTAGGACACCTTCCCCCGCCCGCGGACCCAGCCTTCCAGCATCACCGGGGTTCGCGGAGGAGAAAGAGGAAAGGCGTTTGGCCTGCCAAGGCCGCCGTAGCGAGGGGGCGGGGCCCGGAAGAGCAGGATGGCGGCGCGGGACAGTGACAGCGAAGAAGATCTGGTCAGCTATGGGACCGGGCTGGAGCCTCTGGAAGAAGGTGCGGGCCGCGTGGGCCGGCGGAGCCTGTGGAAAACAGGCCAAGGGCCCAGGATTCGGGCCACAAAAGCACAAGTCGGTGCTGGACCATTGTTAGATCGTTCCCAGCGCTGGGAACACGGCGACGAGGGAGGCGTTAGCCGCGCTCTCGGGGTGCTCACCTTCTGCAGCGACAGAGAGAGGTTTACAGGGACGGGAGACACAAGCGTGGCCGAACAAGGGGGCGGCGAGATAGAAACAAGAAAATGACGGAATAGCTAGTGTGAGAGCGGGGGGTGCTCAGGCAGTGTCTTCCCCGAGAGAGGACGTTTGAGCTCAGACTTGAAACCGAGGAAGAAAACAACCATGAGCAAATCTGGAGGGAAAGCATTTCAGGCAGAAGGAACATAAAGTGGCAAAGGCCCTGAAGTGGGAGCCAGTTTAGGAAATTGAGGGGCAGGCAGGACGGGTATGGTTGCAGCAGATGACAGCGGGGGAGACAGGTAGAAAAGAATGTCAGAGGGGCTGACAGGGGCTGGATCTTACTTGGTAGGGTAAAGAGTTTGGATCTTGTACTAAGTGCAGGATTAGGGTTAGGGTTAGGGTCATGGGAAATTACACAGGGAGGGATATATATATGATTTTTAGAGACAGGGTTTTGCTCTGTTTCCCAGGCTGGTCTTGAACTCCTGACTTCAAGTGATCCTCTCGCTTCTGCCTCCCAAAGTGCAGGGATTACAGGCTTGAGCCACTGTGCTCGGCCAATTTTTAATGTTATTCTATCTTTGATGTTGAGAATACACTGGTTGGGGATGGGTAAGAGTGAAGCAGGGAGATTAGCAAAAAGAGGTCAGGAGATGATGGTGGCATGGATGGGACAGCAGTGGTGGTGGTGTGTAGTGGTCTGGGTGGAGATATATTTTGAAAGCAGAGCTGACCATACTTGCTGGTGGAATGTGGGGGTGAGGGGCAAGATGAATCAAGGTTCTCTCCTGTGTTTCTGGTCTGTTCCACTTAACGACTTGACTTGTTCAGCAAGTTATGTATTGAGTGTCCAGTAAGGGCTGTTGGCTGTGCTAGCCCTGTAGGGAAGGCAGAGGAAGAATGGTGGAATCATTGGGCCACAATTTATTTGCAGACCTCCTGTTGGTGGGGGTCCCCTCCCTTTTTTCACCCTGACCACATCCTGCCAGGTTGATTGTACTTCTGGGATATCTCCACTTATGCCCCCTTTATTTCCTACAAACAGTTCTGGTGGAAACTTCTGCTGGATACTGGCCCTTCTTCTACCCTCGGCTTACAAAAGGTTGAGAAAGGGGCCAGGCACAGTGGTTCACACCTGTAATCCCAGCACTCTGGGAGGCTGAGGTGGGAGGATTGCTTGAGGTCAGGAGTTTGAGACCAGCCTGGGCATTGTAGTGAGACTCTGTCTGTAACAAACAAACAAACAAACGAAACAAAAGGCTGAGAAAGGCTAGTCTTCCGAATGCTTTTTATGTGTTTGAAGTCAGCTGTTGCATTTTCTTAAGACATCTCTGTTCTACACTCACTATCCCAAGTTCTTTTTTTATAGAGACAGGGTCTTGCTGTGTTGACCATGCTGGTTTCAAACTCCTGACCTCAAGCGATGCTCTCACCTTGGCTTCCCAAAGTGCTGGATTGCATGCATGAGCCACAGTGCCCAACATTTTTTATTTTAAAAATAGAGATGAGGCCGGGCGTGGTGGCTCACGCCTGTAATCCCAGCACTTTGGGAGGCCGAGGCGGGCAGATCGCGAATTCAGAAGATCCTAACCATCCTGGCTAACACGGTGAAACCCCGTCTCTACTAAAAATACAAAAAAAAATTAGCTGGGCGTGGTGGGGGGGGGCTCATGTAGTCCCAGCTACTCGGGAGGCTGAGGCGGGAGAATGGCGTGAGACTGGGAGGCAGAGCTTGCAGTGAGCCAAGATGGCGCCACTGCACTCCAGCCTGGGCGACAGAGCGAGACTCTGTCTCAAAAAAAAAAAAAAAAAAAATAGAGATGGGATCCTTCTATGTTGCTCAGGCTGGTCTTGAACTCCTGGCCTCAAGTAGTCTTCCCAGCTCAGCTTCTTAAAGTGTTGGAATTATAGGCGTGACTCTCTACGCCTGGCCCCAACCATGTTTTTGTTTTTTTTTTTTTTCTGTGACAGAGTCACGCTCTGTTGTCCAGGCTGGAGTGCAGTGGCGCGATCTCGGCTCACTGCAACCTCCGCCTTCCAGGTTCAAGCGATTCTCCTGCCTCAGCCTCTCAAGTAGCTGGGATTATAGGTACATTCCACTACGCCTGGCTAATTTTTGTATTTTTAGTAGAGACAGGGTTTCGCCATATTGGCCAGGCTGGTCTTGAAGTCCTTAGGTCAAGCAATCCATCTGCCTTCACCTCCCAAAGTGTTGGAATTACAGGCGTGAGCCATTGCATGTGGCCCCCAACCTTGCTTTTGAAGTGGAAGGAAAGGACATGGATTTGTAGACTTTGTTTTTCTGGACTAAAAACATTCTTTAACTTCTCAGTAATACAAGTTTTTGAGGATTGATTCATTGTCTTCTAAGCACTTTTTTTTGAGAGTTTCGCTCTTGTCACCCAGGCTGGCATGCAATGGTGCGATCTCGGCTCACTACAACCTCTGCCTCCCAGGTTCAAGAGATTCTCCAGCCTCAGCCTCCCGAGTGGCTGGGATTATAGGTGCCCACCACCATGCCCGGCTAATTTTTATATTTTTAGTAGACACAGGGTTTTACCACGTTGGCCAGGCTGGACTCGAACTTCTGACCTCAGGTGATCTGCCTGCCTCGGCCTCCCAAAGTGCTGGGATTACAGGCGTGAGCCACCATGCCCAGCCAGTTTTCTAAGCACTTTGAAATTTAAATGCACTCTGTCTGTATTTTACGATATAACACACTAGACTAATAATTATTTTTACTCCCTGCTTTGAAGTTTTAGTGACAGGTTAGACAGGCATTGGTAGAGGAGAACTCCATTTTAATTAAAGTTGCTGGCCCTGACAGAAAGGTTTATTAGTTAAGAGTTAACCAGGGAGCCTAGTGACAGTGGCTGAACTTTATAGACACATAGGCCTTCTAATCTGGAAAGAAGGGGGCCAGATACTTACCTATTCTTTCCTTAGACACTTCCACTTGGTTCTAGAATTCTTATCTACAGCTCATTCTATACCCAGATTAATTTTAGGGCCAATTTTCTCCTCCTTGATGCTGTGACTCTCACACTTAAAACTAACCGTGGCTTCCCTCGCCCCCAGGACACACTATAAACCCTGCAGCACTATGTTCAAGGCCCCCTGCACTGTCCGCCTTTCTGGTTCCATCTTCCGCTCATTCCTTGGCCTCCCGTTAGACTGGACTTTCTCAATACACCTGACCTTGCCCTTTTTTTTTTTTTCTTTTTTTTTTTGAGATGGAGTCTTGCTCTGCCTCCCAGGCTGGAGTGCAATGGCACGATCTTTGCTCACTGCAACCACCGCCTCCCAGGTTCAAGCGATTCTCCTGCCTCAGCCTCTTGAGTAGCTGAGCTTACAGGCGCATGCCACCACGCCCGGCTAATTTTTGTATTTTTAGTAGAGGCGGGGTTTCACAATGTTGGCCAGGCTGGTCTTGAACTCCTGACCTCAGGTGATCCGCCCGCCTCGGCCTCCCAAAGTGCTGGAATTACAGGCGTGGGCCACTGTGCCCAGCGACTTTGCCCTTTTATCCCTCCTTCTGTTTACTGGTGGGAGTCAGTGGCTCTGTGTCCCTATCTGCAGCTATCAAAATTCTGCTTATTCCTAACGGTGGCTGATGTTGCAGACCTTCTCATTGTCAGAAGTGCTCCAGTACGTGCAGGTCTTCTCTGCTGGGCTCGGAGTGTCCTGAGAACGGGAGCAGAGTTTTGTTCAGTTTTCTATACCCCAGCTCTAGAAGGGCTGCTTGCATGGCAAGGCCCTCATCAACTTTTTGTTTTTGTTTTTGAGACAGTCTTGCTTTATCCCCCAGGCGGGAGTACAGTGGCATGATTATGGCTCACTGCAGCCTTGGCCTCCTGGGCTCAAGCGATCCTCCCAGCTCAGCACCCCCCAGCCCCCAGTAACCAGGACTATAGGCGCATACCACCATGCCCGGCTAATTTTAAACATTGCGTCACTATGTTGCCCAGGTTTGTCTCAAACCACTGCTTCTAATGACTCGAACCACTCCTACCTGGGCCTCTCAAAGTGCTGGGATTACAGGTGTGAGCCACTGCACCTGACTCCCCCACCCTTTAAAAAAAATGTAACCATTAGCCAACCAGGGGCTCGTTGAAATTTTGGTCAGGGAATGAGAGGAAGGAACAGTATAGGAGGCATCTCTGGCTTGGAGACAGAGCTGAGATCTGGTTTCACCTTTGTGCTTATTAGCAGTGAGTCTCAGGGAAGTTACTTAATCAGTATCCTTATCAGGGTATGATAAATGAGATGATATGTACTAAAGGAAGGAATTAGTTGTCATTAGTAGCAGTAATTAGGACATGGCCTGGCTAAAATGCCACCCACCTCCTTTCTGGAGTTGTTCCGTCACTGGTTAGAGGTGGTGCCTTCTGCTCAGGAGACCTGTGGGAGCTAGTTGGCCACATTGCTTGGCCCTCATCATCTGCCGCCACAGGTTGCACTCAGTTGTCTGCAGATCTTATCTCCCCTTTGAGATCAGAAGCACCAAGAATAGCACCAAGCACTGGCAGCACCTGTTCCCTCTTACCGTAGCCCAGTGGGACAGTTGGCAATGCCTGGAGACCTTTTTGGTTGTCATGCCTGTGGGGCATAAGCTGCTGCTATAGGCCCAGGATGCTGCTGAACATCCTGCAATGTACAGAACATTCCCCTGCAACAAAGAATTCTCCAGCACAAAATATGCTGAGATTGAGAAGCTCTGCCATAGCCAAGAATGATGCCAAGTGCATATATGTAATGTAGTGTGTGTACTGCATTTCCATGAAATGGTGAACATCTTGGGTTGTGGGACCCAAGTTGTAATTTAGTCCTTTAGAGGGAAAAGACATTGTAGCTGATATTAACTGATTTCCCCCATGGCCAGGGACTGTGCTCAGCTGTTTACGTATGATATTTAATCCTCGTTACCACCCTACAAAGATGGGCTTCTTTATTACCTTGATTTTACAGTTGTGGAGGCTGAGGCTTAGAGTGATGAAGTAACTTGTTCAAGATGACAAATTTTTTTTCTTTTTTTGAGACAGAATCTCACTCTGTCACCCAGGCTAGAGTGCAATGGCATGATCTTGGCTCACTGCAACCTCCTCCTCCTAGGTTCAAGCGATTCATCTGCCTCAGCCTCCCGAGTAGTTCTGCCTGCCACCATGCCTGGCTAATTTTTTGTATCTTAGCAGAGACGGGGTTTCACCCTGTTGGCCAGGCTGTTCTCAAACTCCTGACCTCAGGTGATCCACCCGCCTCAGCCTCTCAAAGTGCTGGGATTACAGGCATGAGTCATTGCGCCAGGCTGATGACAAATCTTAACAAGTAGTAGAAGGGGATTTGAATTCAGATCTCTAGGTCTTTAAACCTGGGCTCTTGGCTGGACGCGGTCGCTCACACCTGTAATCCCAGCTACTTGGGAGGCTGAGGCAGGAGAACCACTTGAGCCCAGGAAGCAGAAGTTGCAGTGAGCCAAGATCATGCCACTGCACTCCAGCATGGGTGACAGAGACTGCATCTCAAAAAAAAAAAATAAATAAAGTATTTCTTGTGTCTCCCTCTTCTTGTTAAGTACTTCATAGGCATTTAATTTGCATAACAACTCCATGAAATAGCTGTTACCATTAATGCCATTTCTATTTTACAGATAAGTAAATTGAGGCACAGAGAGTCAAGGCTGACCAAAGTCCAGCACTAGTAAAGGGAGTTGGCTTGAAACTCCACTGTGACTCTCACCCTTAACTCATACCCTTAACCACTGTATAACCTACTTCCTCTTGTGAACTTTTGAAAATAACTTGATTTTTTTTATTTTTTAAAAAAATTTAAATAAATTCAGGATTTTGAATTGTAGTTGATAAAACGAGGCAGTAATTTGTGCCATAGTACCTGGGAGTTTAAACCTAAGGAATTGTTAGGCTAGGCCTAAAATGTATTAGATTAAATTCCCTTGCTTGTGTGATGTCTCAACCCAGCCCTTTCAACAAAGTAGGAAAAGGAATAGGTTTAAAGAACACTGTGGAATCAGGAGATTCACAGAAATTAAGGAAACTCTTAGGAGTCGGGGAAAATAGGCAATACCAAAGGAAAAATGCCGGATTCAGGGATGGTGTGACGTTCTAGAAGAGGTATGGAAGTGTATCTCTCCTTGCCAAGTGCCACCCCAGCTTCTGCGCCCTTCATTTGAAGCCAGGAGATTTCAGTTTCATCTGTCGGAACTCTCCTGACATTATAATTTTTTTTTTTTTTTTTGGGGGAGAAGTCTCGCTGTGTCTCCCATGCTGGAGTGCAGTGGTGTGATCTCGGCTCACTGCAACCTCCACCTCTCGGGTTCAAGCGATTCTCCTGCCTCAGCCTCCTAAGTAGCTGGGATTACAGACGTCTGCCACCACGCCCGGTTAATTTTTGTATTTGTTAGTAGAGCCGGGATTTTGCCATGTTGACCAGGTTTTGTAATGGAATTTAGTGGGAAAAGAGGGCAATCATTATTACATAAGCTTATAAAATATATTGTTTTCTAGGCTATATAAAGCAGTAAAGTCTAGGAATAACAATTTAAATGATTATATTTGAATTATAAGAAGTAAACAATTTATGATATTTAAAAAGTGACATTTTCCCTAAATTTGAACCGACCATCTCCTCTCTTTTTCATTTAAAAAACTTTTTTTTTTTTTTTTTTTAGGTGAAAGACCAAAGAAACCAATCCCTCTTCAGGATCAGACTGTCAGAGATGAAAAAGGAAGGTATAAACGATTCCACGGGGCCTTTAGTGGAGGTTTCTCTGCTGGATACTTCAATACTGTTGGCTCAAAAGAAGGTATCATTTTCCTAATTGTAGCTATTATACCATTAAAGCAAATGATCAAAATATTGATTCTCCCTCACCCTTGCTTTTTTTTTTTTTAATTTTGAGACAAGAGTCTCGCTCTGTCGCCCAGGCTGGAGTGCTGTTGTGTGATCTTGGCTTACTGCAACCTCCGCCTCCTGGATTAAGCGATTCTCCTGCCTCAGCCTTCCAATTAGCTGGGATAACAGGCGCATGCCACTATGCCTGGCTAATTTAAAAAAAAATACTTTTAGTAGAGACAGGAGTTTCACCATGTTGGCCAGGCTGGTCTCAAAGTCTTGACCTTGAGTGATCTGCCCACCTTGGCCTCCAAAAGTGCTGGGATTGCAGGTGTGAGCCACTGCACCCGGCCACCTTTGCTTTTTTTTTTTTTTTTGCGATGGAGTCTTGCACTGTTGCCCAGGCTGGAGGGCAGTGGTGTGATCTTGGCTCACTGCAACCTCCGCCTCCCGGGTTCAAGCGATTCTCCTGCCTCAGCCTCCCAAGTAGGTGGAATTACAGGCGCCTGCCACCATGCCCAGCTAATTTTTTTTGTGTTTATAGAGACAGGGTTTCACTATGTTGGCCAGTGTGGTCTCTAACTCCTGGCCTCAAGTGATCCGCCTGTCTTGGCCTCCCAAAGTGCTGGGATTACAGGTGTGAGCCACTGCGCTCAGCTTTCTCTGAACATACACTGTAACCTCTTGTGTTCTTTGGATATTTGGATGTTTCCAGAGTCAACTTGTATCTTGTTCATTGATTGCAACCTTATGGTTAAAGAGTTTTCTTTCACTTTGTAAAAAAATGCATACCTCCTAATCAGATGATTAAATGATAATAATGACTTTGGTTTTTATTGTGTCTTGCCATTCACGAAATACTCTTAAACAGAGTCTTTCAGTTAATCATTGACTGTCTCTCGTGACTGAGTGAGTGAGGAGGGCAGGTGTCACAGGGATCTTGCAGATGATGCCACCAAGGGTCAGAGAGGTTAAGGAGCCAGCATGGCGTTAGTGCTGAGGGAAGAGTCACCAGGTGCCCTCTTCAGACACTGGGGACCACAGCAAGACTGGCTCCTCAGTGCTCTCTACCTGGGGAAAAGTCAGTTAAATCTTTTATGTTATGTACTTTTATAAATGCCAAGTTGTTTAAAGTATTGTATGTTTTAAGATATATTAATCTAGAAGCATTTTTTTGAACTGGAAGAAATGGCTTTCTATATCTCAGTTATGAATGGAAGATGAACTGATTTTATTATATGTGCTGCCATAGTGAGCACGGAAGATGAACTGATTAATTCACATAGCAATTATCAAGAAAAAGATGGGCTAGATCTTTTATAATTTTTTTTTTTTTTTCCTGAGATGTAGTCTCACTCTGTCGCCCAGGCTGGAGTGCAATGGCATGACCTCGGCTCACTTCAACCTCCGCCTCCTGGGTTCAAGCAATTCTCCTGCCTCAGCCTCCCGAGTAGCTAGGACTACAGGTGCCCGCCACCACACCCGGCTGATTTTTGTATTTTAGTAGAGATGGGGTTTCACCATGTTGTTCAGGCTGGTCTCGAACTCCTGACCTCAAGTGTTCCACCCGCCTCAGCTTCCCCAAGTGCTGGGATTACAGGCGTGAGCCACCATGCCCGGCCTTACCATTTTATTTAATTAATTGATTTATTTTTTGAGACAGGGTCTCACTCTGTCGCCCAGGCTTTAGTGCAGTGGTGCACCTACTGAGAGTAGACCTTCCCCAGATGCCTCAGCTCACAGGGCCCTTGGAGAGAATCAGGAAGGAGGTGCAACCCTCTTAGAGAAAACTAAACAACTTTATGTGCAGAGGTTACAGACATATGTGACCTCCAGAGCATTCCCTGTTTGTGGACGTGGCACATGCTCGGTAACCGTGGTCAGGGAACAAGGCCATTGGTTACAGGATTCCAGTGTCTGTTGAAACTGGGGGACTGGCAGAGCCGCTGCCCTTGGACCTGCCAGGTTGAGTCTTTGGTCAGGGTACTGTGAATGTTGCCTGGATTCCTTCTGTTACTCTCTCTTTATCCACTCTGACTGATTAAAACACCTTGACATCATATCTTTACACTTGATCTTAGCCAAAAGGCCTAGAAGCGATGACATCATTTCTTTAGATATGTTAATATGCCAGTGGAGGTTGCTGGTCTCACGTCCTGCATTTTAAGGTGACCTTGCATCTGTCAGCTCAGATCTGCTTGTGTTCATTTCACAGTTTAACTTTCAATGTGTAATTCTATATCTCTTGGTTTCACTTTCTTATGGGGAAACCTTAATGTATCCACTAAGTTTTACATCAGGGGATACAGGGATTAATAAGAAATTTATGTGGAATAATTACGTCTATATAAGCACTGAGATGGGAAGTAGCTAAGAGTTTATAGTTATTGGGAATTTCAAGTCCATACATGTTATTTAATCATTTACTCATAGACCCAAATACTCTCTAGGATTGTAAAGTTCTAAACTCTTTTTTTTTCAGGATGGACACCCTCTACCTTTGTGTCTTCACGACAGAACAGAGCAGACAAATCTGTTCTTGGTCCTGAAGATTTTATGGATGAAGAGGTGCGTGTGCAAAACTTTAATTGCCAATTAGCTGGTGGGACAGGTCTAGTTGGTTGCTGTAACTGCCTTCTCTCTCCCCAGAAGGTCCAATGTACGATTTCCTCTTTGTTTGTAAGGCTTTATCTTTTAGGTATTTGATGTGCAGTGTCCTGTACATCAGTAGAGTCTTGTTCATTGGAGGAGCATTTTATACTGGGGCCAATTTCTAAAATCAAGAGTGTAAGGGGAAAGTCATATACAGGCAATTTACTTGAAAAGCCTCGTGGCTGGGTGCGGTGGCTCACGCCTGTAATCCCAGCACTTTGGGAGGCCGAGACAGGCGGATCACGAGGTCAGGAGATCAAGACCATCCTGGCTAACACGGTGAAACCCCGTCTCTACTAAACAAAATACAAAAAATTAGCCGGGTGTGGTGGCGGGTGCCTGTAGTCCCAGCTACTCGGGAGGCTGAGGCAGGAGAATGGCGTGAACCCAGGAGGCAGAGCTTGCAGTGAGCTGAGATTGCGCCACTGCACTCCAGCCTGGGCGACAGAGCAAGACTCCGTCTCAAAAAAAAAAAAAAAAAAAAAAAAAGTAAAGCCTCTATTGCCTCAAAAGCTCAGTATCCATGGTGCTGGGTCTGCAGCTTTCCACAGTAACTCTCAGGCACACTGCAGTAAAGAACTGTGAGTGACTGAACTAAAATTAAACTTCTGCTACCTTAAAACCTGGTCGCGGATTCACCCATGATAAAGATTAAATAGGGAGGGAGAGCATCAGGAAGAATAGCTAATGCATGCTGGGCTTAATACCTAGGTGATGGGTTGATCTGTGCAGCAAACCTCCATGACACACATTTACCTGTGTAACAAACCTGCACATCCTGCACATGTACCCTGGAACTTAAAAGTTGAAGGAAAAAAAAGATTAAATAAAACATTTATATCAGCATGTGCGAGGCTGCAGGTAAGAGGGAAGGAAGTCTCATTCTTTTTTTGAGTAGCATCATCTAGAAGGAAACATATCTCATGTAGCAAGAAGTCTAGATGTGCTGAGACCCCAGGCTCTCTCTTCTCAGTCTTCTGTTGGCAGCTTGTCCTTATACTACCTCTCCTCATGATTGCAAAATGGCTGTAGTAGTTCCAGGTGGCACATCCAGGATGACGTTGTTCAAGAGAACTTTCCTCTTGGTCCCTTTTCTTTTCTTTTTTTTTTTTCCTGAGACGGAGTTTTGCTCTGTTGCCCAGGCTGGAGTGCAGTGGCGCTATCTCGGCTCACTGCAACCTCTGCTTGCCAGGTTCAAGTGATTCTCCTGCCTCAGCTTCCCCCGAGTAGCTGGGATTACAGGCGTGTGCACCACCATGCCTGGCTAATTTTTGTATTTTTAGTAGAGACGGGGTTTCACCATATTGGCCAGGCTGGTCTCGGACTCCTGACCTCAGGTGATCCACCCACCTCGGCCTCCCAAAGTGCTGGGATTACAGGTGTGAGCCACCGCACCCGGCAGTCTCTTTTCTTAAAAGCAAAGTAGCCTTTCATATGAGTCCTACCATGAATTTTCTCTACATTTGCTTGCACAAATTGTTTTACATGCCCATTCCTAACGCAGTCCCTGGCAAGGAAAGTGGGATCAAAATGACTGGCTTAGATAAGACACAAAGCCCCACTTCATAATCCTGCCTCCCCAACACTGGGAGTACCACTCCTGCAATGTGTGGCGGTGCAGAGGAAGGCAGGTGCCTAGACAACGTCAGGACTCTGCAAGGAAAGAGGAAACGTGCCAATGGTTGGACAGGCAGCCAGCAACATCTGCTCCAGTAAAGGCAAAGGCACCTGACTCTAGGCCTGGCACTCACACTTGTGAATGCTTGCTGGCTGGAACTCCAGGCTTTGTCTCTTTCACGCTGACCTTTGAGATACTGTCGAGAAGAACACGGCCATTACTTCCTGTCTTCCCAGCTTGGTCATGCTCGGGGTGGCCCTAATGAGCAGCGACTATCATGCCCTGCCCTTGGCCACTGGCTTTACCTTGTGTGAGGATGAGGTTCTAAAGTCAGTGTGAGGCGGGGCACGGTGGCTCATGCCTGTAATCCCAGCACTTTGGGAGGCTGAGGCGGGTGGATCACCTGAGGTCAGGAGTTCGAGACCAGCCTGACCAACATAGTGAAACCCCATCTATACTAAAAACAAACAGCTAGCCAGGCATGGTGGTGTGTGCCTGTAATCCCAGCTACTTGGGAGGCTGAGGCAGGAGAATCACTTGAACCCGGGAGGCGGAGGTTGCAGTGAGCCCAGATTGCACCACTGCACTCCGGCCTGGGCAACAAGAGAGAAACTCTGTCTCAAAAAAATAAATAAATAAAAAATAAAGTCAGTGTGTATGTCTGTCACTCTGCTGATCCAGAACTAAATTTTGTAGTTTTAACTTTTTTTTTTTAACAGAAATAAAACTATGTGATGTATTGTGTATAGTCACTTTCCAAATAATGTAATTCTGTTTGAATTTTTTTGAAGGATCTTAGTGAATTTGGGATAGCACCTAAAGCGATTGTCACCACAGACGATTTTGCCTCCAAAACCAAAGACAGAATACGAGAAAAGGCTAGGCAGTTGGCCGCTGCTACTGCCCCTATTCCTGGAGCCACCCTCCTTGATGACCTCATAACGCCAGCAAAGTGAGCATTTCCTTCTGACTGTCATGATCTTAGCACCGGTGTTTTGCATATGTGTGATTCTCTTGCTGAGGGATAGTTTGATTGCAAGTGAGACAAGCCTTCTTAGGCTCAAAGTCTAAGTGAAAAAGGGGGTTTTGCGTAAAGGATCTTGCACTGTCATTGCACGGAGAGATTAAGAACTCCAGCCACTAGCTGTGCTGCTGGGGCTCTCAGAGGCTGGAGAGCTGTTAGGAATTACAGTGACTTCTCCCACCACCCCTCCAGACCTTATAGCCTCGCCTCTGTCTGCCTCCTTCTACCCTCACTTTCTGTGTATCTCCTTGTGCTCCTGGGCTTGTGGCCTGATATGGCAGCCTTAGACCTTCAGGGATTCCCAGGCCACATGCTTAGCAAAGACTGTCTAGAGTCCCTGTGATCCCATCGTAAAGGCCCAGGAGAAAGGTCATCTGATTGACTTCCCCAGTTCAGGTGTGCACCCCAGTGCAGCCTGCTGTGGCTGGAATGGCAGGGTCACGCCAGATGTAATGTGGGTGAGGGCAAGGGCCCAGGCAAGACAGGCCTAGGAACTGAGCAGGAACTCAGAAGCCGCTTATTTCATATTCTTTGTTAATGTTATTTTGAAAAGTTCATTTTCAATGCCTTGCTATCCTAGATTATCTGTTGGTTTCGAATTGCTAAGAAAAATGGGTTGGAAAGAAGGACAAGGAGTTGGTCCTCGAGTAAAGAGACGGCCACGCCGACAGAAACCTGGTGTGTATGTTAATTGATTAACTGTTATCACTGCTGCAGCGTACTTTTTTTTTTTTTTTGAGACAGGGTCTTGCTCTGTCGCCCAGGCTGGAGTGCAGTGGTGCGATCCCGGCATACTGCAGCCTTGACCTCCCGGGCTCAAGTGATCCTTCCACGTTAGCCCCGCAAGTAGCTGGGACCACAGGCATGTGCCACTGCGCCAGGCTAATTTTTTGTATTTTTTGTAGAGACGGGGTTTTGCCATGTTGCCCAGGCCCAGGCTGAGGATTGCCTGAGCAAATTCCAATAAACGAAATAGCTGGGCCCAGTGGTATGTGTGTCTTCTAAGGCTTTTTATGTGTAATGCATGACAGCTTCCAGAAAGGCTGTGCTAGTTTATGCTTCTGCCAGCAGCATGTGAGAGTTCATGTTTCCTACCCTCCCCCAAGCTGTCACAGTTTAACATTATTACTTGTTCCTTATTTCTTGCCCTGAGTCTCCCCAGCCAGACTGTAAGTGACTCTTTGAGGGTAACAGTCATTTCTTTTGGGTTCCTTATGCTGTGGGGCAGTATTGGTTACTCATTGAGCACATTACTGCTAGGTAGGGCAGGTGCTGGTAGAAAATGATTCCTGGCTGGGTGCAGTGACTCATACCCATAATCCTGGCACTTTGGGATGCTGAGGTGAGATTATCTTTGAGCCCAGGTGTTTGAGACCAGCCTGGGCAACACGGTGAAACCCTGCCTCTACCAAATATACCAAAATTAGCCAGGTGTGGTGGAGCGCACCTGTAGTCCCAGCTACGACTCAGGAGAGTGAGGTGGGAGGATGGCTTTAGTCCAGAAGGTTGAGGCTACAGTGAGCTATGATCATGCCACTGTACTTCAGCCTGGGTGACAGGGCGAGACCCTGTTTCTAAAACAATTCCCAGTTATCTTCCTCTCACCGTAATGCTGTAGCACATTTTATAAATGTACCCATGTACCTCTGAAGAGTTATCAGTGAGGTTTTTTTTTTTTTTTTTTTTTTTGAGATGGAGTTTCGCTCTTGTTGCCCAGGCTGAAGTACAATGCGCGATCTCGGCTCACTGCAACCTCTGCTTCCCGGTTCAAGCGATTCTCCTGCCTCAGCCTCCTGAGTAGCTGGGATTACAGGCTTGCGCCACCATGCCTGGCTATTTTTTTTGTATTTTTTGTAGAGACGGGGTTTCTCCATGTTGGTCAGGCTGGTCTCCAACTCCCGACCTTGTGATCCACCCCGCCTCAGCCTCCCAAAGTACTGGGATTACAGGCATGAGCCGCTGCGCCCAGCCTTTTTTTTTTTAAATTTTTTGTGGAGGCGGAATCTCACTATGTTACCCAGGCTGGTCTTGAACTCCTGGGCTCAAGCGATCCTCTCACCTCAGCCTCCCAGAGTGCTGGGATTACAGGTGTGATCCACCGCGCCCGGCCTGGTCGGGGTTTTCTATTTGTAGTCACTCATGACTATTGCATTTGAAATCTCTTTTCTAGATCCTGGAGTCAAAATCTATGGCTGTGCATTACCCCCTGGAAGCTCGGAAGGATCTGAGGTATTGCATGGTGTGACTGACCTTCACTTTGGTACAACAGCACCTGTTTCTGTATGACTGTGAAATTTGGTTGGAGACAATTTTAGAAATCAGATCCAATAACTATACAGTTAAATACTCATACCCTAAAGCTATCCTCATTATATCAGCATACATATTCAGCAACATGCCAGCACCACAGATACCCAGGTCTGTTCAGCTTCATAAAATGGAGTTGGTGTTAGCATCCTTTGTGCCAGAAAGTGATTTAGTCATTTATAACAGCACCAATGAAAGTTTGCTAATTGTTCTGTGTGGCATTAATCACTGCGTTTTCAATTAGTATTTTGTGGGTTTACTTTGCATCCTTCAGTGACTCACCTTAATTCCACTTTAAACGGAAATAGGGTGAAGATGATGACTACTTGCCTGATAATGTGACCTTTGCACCCAAAGATGTCACACCTGTGGATTTCACACCTAAAGATAATGTGCATGGTCTAGCTTACAAGGGCCTGGATCCCCACCAGGCACTGTTTGGAACTTCGGGAGAACATTTTAATCTTTTCAGTGGTGGTTCTGAGAGAGCTGGCGATCTTGGAGAAATTGGACTGAATAAAGGAAGAAAATTGGGAATTTCAGGCCAGGTAAAATTATTTTCTATTTTATAAAGGGGGAGTCATTGATAAATGAGTCTACTTTCTTTCTTTCTTCTTTTTAGAGGTTCTTTATTTTCTTTTTTTTTCCCCCTAATCCTCAAGTGGAATCAGGTCAAAGATTCTTTCTTAAAATGCATTTTTAAAATGGTGACTTTGCCATTTCATTATTACCATTTCTGTTTTTTTTTGAGACGGGGTTTCGCTCTGTTACCCAGGCTGGAGTGCAGTGGTGCGATCTTGGCTTACTGCAACCTCTGTCTCCTGGGTTCAAGTGATTCTCCTGCCTCAGCCTCCTGAATAGCTGGGATTATAGGCATGTGCCACCATGCCCCACTAATTTTTGTATTTTTAGTAGAGACGGGGTTTCACCATGTTGGCCAGGCTGGTCTCGAACTCCTGACTTCAGATGATCCACCTGCCTCGGCCTCCCAAAGTGCTAGGATTACAGGCATGAGCCACTGCGCCTGGCCACCTTTTCTTTCTTTCTTTCTTTCTTTTTTTTTTGAGACAGAGTTTGACTCTTGTTGCCCAGGCTGGAGTGCAATGGCGCGATCTCGGCTCACCGCAACCTCCACCTCCCGGGTTGAAGCGATTCTCCTGCCTCAGCCACCTGACTAGCTGAGATTACAGGCATGCGCCACCACCCCGGCTAATTTTGTATTTTTAGTAGAGATGGGGTTTCTCCATGTTGGTCAGGCTGGTCTTGAACTCCTGACCTCAGGTGATCCACCCGCCTCGGCCTCCCAAAGTGCTGGGATTACAGGCGTGAGCCACTGCGCCCGGCCCACCTTTTCTTTTTATAAACGTGTTTTTTTTTCAGTCTTTTAAACAAAAATGCTACTTGTTAGAGGCTCCTTTCCGCAGAGAGTAGGAGTTCTTCCAGCGGGCAGTAGAGTAGCAGCGGCCCTTAGACCCCAGCCACCAGCGTTGGCCCAGGCCGCATTGATCAGTTGATGAACATTTCTTCCTTTCTCCTCTTGGAAGCCACATTTCCACCCCTGCACTGCTGCTTGGCTTTGTTCTCCACTCCTCTTCCTGTGCTGGGACCTGGAGCCATGGCTGTTGTGGGGACTGGAGGGCAGTGTTGGCAGTAGGGACATGGCATTCACCTCTGGTCACTGTTTTCCAGAAAACTTGTGTGTGTGTTGGTCGATCTGGGACCCCCGTTCACTTCTCTCTTGGTGATCTTGAAGTGCTAACATGGTTTCCAATCACATCCTTAAAGTAGCTTTATCCCTGAAGATCCCAGACATACCCTAACACCTGTGCTCAGTTTGAAACCTTGTTTTTTTAAAGGCTTTTGGTGTAGGTGCCCTGGAAGAGGAAGATGATGATATCTATGCCACAGAAACTCTATCCAAGTATGACACTGTTCTGAAGGACGAGGAGCCTGGAGACGGACTCTATGGCTGGACAGCACCCAGGCAGTATAAAAACCAGAAAGGTAATTCGACAGCCACAAACCTAATGGCAGGACCAAGTGTCAGGGTATCAGGAAGGAGGGGCTGCAAGAGCGATACAGGAGCACCAGCCTCTGTTGTTGGTCAAAGTCACGGTAAGAAACAAAACAAAGAAGCGAGGCCCAGCATGGGAAGTGAAACAAATGCAGGATTCAGACCTGGCCAAGGCCAAAGCCAGCTGTCAAGGTGGGGCCCAGGTGGGAGGGAGGGAGAGGTCTGTAATCAGGGAAAGAGGAATGCCTGGACCAGTGACCACATGGCTGGTCAGAGCTGGCAGTGGGTCAAAGGGAAGCACCCAGAGCTCGAGGAACTGGGCAGGTGGCCAAAGGAGGCCAACACATGCAGCAGGTCAGAAGGTCAAGCCAGGGGACCAGGAGGCAGGTACACCAACAGCCTGCAGCAAGATGGAGCTGGGCGCCCAGTCCGTCTTCTCCCTTGAGTCCCTGGCTCTGAGGAGGCTCTTGTTGGGATAAGAGGCTGACATCTCTCAACACAACTTTAACTTCATGCTGTGTTGAAATTTCAAGGTGAATCAGATCCTGTGGTTTGAAGTCACATTTCAGTTGTTTCCAGAAAAGGTGCAGGGCCAGACAGTGTAGAGTCGGTATTAGCAGCATGTGATTTGGAGTCAGTCAGACCTGGGTTTGGATGCCAGCTCTCCATTGCCCAGCTTTGTGACCTTAGGCAAGGCTCATAACCTCTCTGGGCATTGGAGTCCACATTTGTAAAGTGAGGATAAAATCCACTCCAGAGGTGGTTGTGAGGATTAAGTGGCATAACTCAGTGTCTGGCAAAGCACCTGTCCCAAAGACTGAAGAAGTGGCACCTACTATTCTTTGGTTATCATACAGTCATGTGTCACTTGACTGGGATGGTATGACAGGGAACCCAGGGTTTTACACAGGACACTGGAAGGGCATGTGTACCCAGTGTTAGGAGACTTAACCTCCGGGTGGTCAGTGGGCTGCTAGTACTTACTTCCTTTTTTTTTTCCTTCCAATGTTTTTCTTTTTTTTTCCCCTGAGTCATTTAGCTTCTGAGCCTTCTTCCTTTTGCCTCCCTATAGTTTCTGATTTCTGTCCCCAAACTATGGATTATTTTTATATAACTTAAATGAAGATATATTAATATATCATAATATACTATTTAATTTTAATACTATATTATAATCAATATACCATTATATATTGTATATGATTTATATTTTATATAATTAATATATCAATACTATTGGTATATTATGTAACATACCAATACATTATTACATAGTAATGTATTGATCTATTTTAATTATTCATTATTTATTAAAAGTGGTGGGAGTATGAAATTGATAATATCCTATATCTGTTAATATAAATGATATTTAATATACAACATATTAATAACAATATATCAATCCTTTAATAATTAATGATATGTAATGACATATATTTAAGTCCGCCTGCTGAACCACATCTTTCACTTTTCCCTCGTGCACCAGCTTTGCCCCCAGCTGATTGGTTCTCACTCCTTCCACTGAGCTCCGAGCCTGTCCTTGTCCCTCTCTGCTGTGGCCTCTCTCCCCCAGCTTCCTCTCTCCCCCCCTGCAGGGTCACAGCATCTGTAGTTTTGACTGTATGATTTTCTATTCGGTGAATCTATCTTTATTTTACCTAGTCTCCACGGTTGATTTTTTACATTTTTAAATTTTTTTTTTTTGAGACAGAGTCTCACTCTGTCACCCAGGCTGGAGAGCAGTGGCATGATCTCGGCTCACTGCAACCTCCGTCCCCCGGGTTCAAGCGATTCTCTTGCCTCAGCCTCCTGAGTAACTGGGATTACAGGTGTGCACCACCACGCCCAGCTAATTTTTTTTTTTTTTTTTTTTTGAAGAAGGAATTTCCCTCTTGTTGCCCAGGCTGGAGTGTAATGGCCTGATCTTGGCTCACCACAGCCTATGCCTCCCGGGTTCAAGCAATTCTCCTGCCTCAGCCTCCCAAGGAGCTGGGATTACAGGCGCCTGCTACCACGCCCAGCTAATTTTTGTGTTTTTAGTAGAGATGGAGTTTCATCATGTTGGCCAGGCTGGTCTTGAACTCCCGACCTCAGGTGATCCGCCCGCCTCGGCCTCCCAGAGTGCTGGAATTACAGGCGTGAGCTACCATGGCTGGCCATGGTTGATTTTTAAATTCTCATTTTTTTTTTCCATGATCAATAGGGCTATAATGAATATTTTTCTGATTCTGTCTTTATGTACATTTGTTTATTTCTTCAGAATTCTTCAGAATGAACTCATAAACATGAAATTTCTGGGTTTTGAGATAATACAAGTTCCAAGAATGTGAAATTGAATCCCACATTACCTGAAGAAATTTTAGTAAGTTCTAGAAGCTTTAAAAAAAGCCCAACATGCCAGGTGCATTGGCTTACACCTGTAATCCCAGCACTTTGGGAGGCTGAGGCAGGCAGATCACGAGGTCAGGAGATCGAGACCATCCTGGCCAACATGGTAAAACCTCGTCTCTACTAAAAATACAAAAATTAGCTGGGTGTGGTGGCACATGCCTGTAATGCCAGCTACTCGGGAGGCTGAGGCACGAGAATCACTTGAACCCAGGAGGCAGAGGTTGCAGTGAGCCAAGATTGTGCCACTGTACTCTAGCCTGGTGACAGAGCGAGACTCCATCTCAAAAAAAAAAAAAAAAAAAAAAAGCCCAACAGGAGTCAAAGCACAAAGAATGGTTTTGTGGGGAGGGGAGAGATGTGGTGGTGCTGAATGATGAGTGGCTAAAAGCCTTAGCTCATCTGCACTGCTTGCTGTTCCTGCTTCAGGCCTGAGCTCCTAGCCTGTGAAAGAGCTTTTGATGGTCATGTAGAAGGGGCTTTTTTTTTTTTTCAGAAGGGGCTTTTGAGTGCAGAGAATACAGTTCATTTATACGGACTTTTGGCGTAACCAGTACGTGCAGGAAAACCTTGAGAATCAAATCAAAGAGCTTTTGTTGGTGGGGTTGTCTCTATGACCAGAAGACGATCCCCACCTCCAGGTCAGAGGGCATTGGTCATTCAGTTTCCTATGTCTGTGATCTTTATGTCTTGTTAAAGATTACAGGCTGACCTGGTGGCATTGCCTTTCATCCCTATTTGGATTGTTGCTAAGGAGATGGCCAGGTAGTCACCCTGTAGTTCTTCACCTAGTTTTACACATGACGCTCTCACAGTTGTGATTTGTATTTTCCTCCATGCTTGTCCTTTTGGTGGTTTTTCTTGATCTTTTACTCCACGGGGTATATCCTTTGGTGCCCCTAAGGTACTTCTTCTAAAAATCACGTCAATATGCTTGTCTTGGAGGACCACAGCCTTGTGACCTGGGTAGCCCAATCTGTCCAGGGCGGTGTGGGCCGGGCCTTAGTCACTGAGTCAACAGAGGTGTGGGGCTTTGCTTACCACTTGTTCTTCCCTTTACTGCTGCTGTTGAGTGATAGCATGTATGACACGTACTATTTATGTTCTTAGAGATAAGAACGTAAAATGCTGATGTGTTCTGTCTTATTCTAATCATCTCTACTTCTGGAATTAATCTATGACATCATTTTGTAGAATCAGAGAAAGACCTTCGGTACGTTGGCAAAATTTTGGATGGATTTTCCTTGGCTTCTAAACCTTTATCTTCTAAGAAAGTAAGAAAAACTTTTTTTCTTTCTTTTTTTACTGGTTTAGTTCTTAAAATATTTGCTGCTATGTGATCTGAGTTCTATTAACAACAGGAAAGATAAGTAAATTCTGTTTTCAAAAAACAACAGCCTGGTTACTAGTGATTGTCTAGAAAAACATTCTACATTAGAAATACCAGGGCGAGGCGCAGTGGCTCATACCTGTAATCCCAGCACTTTGGGAGGCCAAGGTGGGTGGATCACCTGAGGTCGGGAGTTTAAGACCAGCCTGACCAACATGGAGAAACCCCGTCTCTACTAAAAATACAAAATTAGCCGCACGTGGTGTCGCATGCCTGTAATCCCAGCTACTAGGGAGGCTGAGGTGGGAGAATCACTTGAACCCAGGAGGTGGAGGTTACAGTGAGCCAAGATCACACCACTGCACTCCAGCCTGGACAACACGTAAAACTCTGTCTCAAAAAAAAAAAAAAAAAATCAGTTGGCCAGGCGTGGTGGCTCACGCCTGTAATCCCAGCACTTTGGGAGGCCAAGGTTGGCAGATCACCTGAGGTTAGGAGTTTGAGACCACCCTGGTCAATATGGCAAAACCCCATCTCTACTAAAAATACAAAAATTAGCTAGGTGTGGTGGTGGGCGCCTGTAATCCCAGTTACTCGGGAGGCTGAGGCAGGGAGAATTGCTTGAACCTGGGTGGCAGAGGTTGCAGCGAGCCAAGATCGCACCATTGCACTCCAGCTTGGGCGACAAGAGCAAAACTCCGTATCGAAAAGAAAAGAAAAGAAATATCAGTCAGTAGCTACATTGTGATAAAAATATCTAATTTCTATTTTTTTTTTTTTTTTTGAGATGGAGTCTTGTTCTGTCACCCAGGCTGCAGTGTAGTGATGCAATCTCAGCTCACCGCAACCTCCGCCTCCCAAATTCAAGCGATTCTCCTGCCTCATCCTCCTGAGTAGCTGGGATTACAGGCGTGCACCACCACGGCTGGCTAATCTTTGTATTTTTAGTAGAGATGGGGTTTCACCATGTTGGTCAGGCTGGTCTTGAACTCCTGACCTTGTGATCCGCCTGCCTCAGCCTCCCAAAGTGCTGGAATTACAGGCGTGAGCCACCGCGCCCGGCCGCTAATATTTCAAATTCAAACTTCAAGTGAGTGGTTATTTACATGAAAAGAGACATACATTAGAAAGAGAATGAAATTGCTATGATTCTAGGGGAAATGTAGGTTAAGGAAAAGTAGAAAACATTCAGAAAGCTGGATAACCCATAGCCCTGGTTCCTCCCCATGCTCTGAAGCTAGCAGGGGCAAGGTTCCCTGGCCTCCTCAGCTGGGGCCGAGCAGAAGGGAGAGAAGCCGTGTGCAGGTGGGTGAAGTTGGAGGAGAGCTCTGCGTGCCTTTGCAGATTGCTTTGTTTTTGTGAGATGCTGTCACAGCCACATGTGAAGCTCTTAGGCCACATGGCGCTCTTCCTGTCACCACCAAAGTCACATGCTCACAGGCACACTCAGGAGGGAGTTAGGGTGCTGGCCAGCCCAGGAGGGGTGTCTGGCCATCTGCCTTGTCAGCATTCCTGTTTTAGATTGTTTCACGCTTTAATCAGCTTTTTGTTTTTTATTCAGCAAACATTTGTTCAGTACCTCTAAGGATTGGCCTGTGCTTGTCTGGGACACGGGAGGCCAGGGGACAGTTTTGATTTGTTTCATTGTGATAGTTCATGTGTTGTGATAGCCAGCAGAATATATCTAGGACAGTGTCGGGCATACAGTAAGCTGCTATTATTACCAGAAATGTCAAATAACATTAAAGGAAAATGCAGGTGTTTTACATGTATGAAAAGGAAGCATAAGGCCGGGCACGGTGGCTCACACCTATAATCCCAACACTTTGGGAGGCTGAGGCGGATGGATCACTTGAGGTCAGGAGTTCGAGACCAACCTGGCCAACATGGCGAAACCCCACCTCTACTAAAAATACAAAAATTAGCCAGGCATGGTGGTACGTGTCTGTAAACCCAGCTACTTGGGAGGCTGAGGCAGGAGAATTACTTGAGCCTGGAAGGTGGAGGTTGCAGTGAGCCAAGATTGTGCCACTGCACGTCTAGCCTGGGTGACAGAGCAAGACTCCATCTCAAAAAAAGAAAAAAAAAGAAAAGGAAGCATAGTTTAAAAATGATGGAGAAGCACTCACTGGTCCTTAGGATAAATAGGCCAGCCTGGCCCCAGGTAGCTCCCATCCAACAAAGGTAGCAGATACACAAATACAGAGTCGTGGGCAAACATCCCTAAGTGGAGAGACACAGTCCTGGGGGTTCCTGGCGCTTCTCTGGAGTAGGGCTTTGGGCAGGAACACTTCAGAGGAGGGCTGTGTTCATCTAGCCTTTCACACACAGATTTAGATGGTTCTCTAGATCTGAATCTAGAGGTCAAACAGAACAATGATTTGGCAGACAGACAGAGAGAAATACTTTCAATCCAAGACTGGGCATGGTGGCTTACGCCTGTAATCCTAGCACTTTGGGAGGCCAATGCGGGCAGATCGCTAGAGTCCAGGAGTTTGAGACCAGCCTGGGCAACATGGTGAAACCCCATCTCTACAAAAAATACAAAAAAAAAAAAAAATTAGCTGGGTGTGGTGGTATGTGCCTGTAGTCCTAGCCTCTTGGGGGCCTGAGGTGGGAGGATTGCTTGAGCCTGGGAGGTCCAGGCTGCAGTGAGCTGTGATTGGCTGCTGCACTCCAGCCTGGGCAACAGAGTGAGACCCTGTCTCAAAAAAAAGAAAGAAATACTTTGAATCCCATGGAGGATATAGAGAAGTTGTGGACACACTCCTCCTTTCTGCCATGTTCCTCTGGGTTTTTGTGTGGTGGTAACATGAGAGTGTTTTCTGGCTGATTTGGGGGTGTGTCTCCAGAAGGTGATGAAGCTAAGATGATAAAAAAACAGGATTTCTTGACAATGATAACACCACTCTTTCATGGACTTTCATTGTGCCAGGGGCTTGACCCAGGCTGTGTATTTTAACAACCACCTGGGGAGCTTGGGGAACTCCAGTTATAGCAGACTCTCTGGGGTGGGGCGCAGGCATCAGTATAGTTACAACTCCTCAGGCGAGTCCAGCATGCACCTGGACCTGAGAGCCAGCGGAGAGAGGGGCCGGGAGAGAGGGGTCAGTGCTTTCAGCCACAGGGTTACTTCATCATGGACTTCAGCTTTCATGTAGCTTAAAAATCTAGAGAATATTTCAGTGTGAATTTGGGGGAAAAAAATAGTAAAGAAAAGTCTAGAAAATAGCTTAAATAACAAACACGTGTGGATTTGTTAGACCAAGAGCAAGGGAGACCATTTAATGCAGTTATTTAACAATATTTAGTACTTTCCTTTACCTTGTCTGCTGTGCCATCATTCATGCCTGTCAGTGTTAAAAATCCCCAAATTTCCCAAACAGATTTTCATTTCACTTCCGTCAACTTTTAAATTAAAGTTTTTAAATTCCTGTCCCCACTCCCCTCCTAGCTCCTGGGCCAGGTCCTCTTGGCTCTACTCACATTATTCATAGTAATATCTTGGATGAAAAAATAGGCCAGGCGTGGTGGCTTACGCCTGTAATTCCAGCACATTGGGAGGCTGAGGCGGGTGGATCATTTGAGGTCAGGAGTTTGAGACCAGCCTGGCCAACATGGTGAAACCCCGTCTCTACTAAAAATACAAAAATTAGCCAGGCATGGTGATGCGTGCCTGTAATTCCTGCTACTTGGGAGGCTGAGGCAGGAGAATTGCATACCCAGAGCTGAGATTGCACCACTGCACTGCAGCCTGGATGACAGAGCAAGACTCTGTCTCAAAAAAAAAAAAAAAAAGAAAAAGAAAAAAGAAAGCCCGAAGCTTCAATTTGCAACTGAAACATAACTAGAAAAAATAATTATGAATTTAAAAATAACTACAGTTATTATTATTATTAATTATTATTTTTGAGATGGAGTCTCACTCTGTCACCCAGGCTGGAGTGCAGTGGTGCGATCTCAGCTCACTGCAACCTCTGCTTCCCAGGCTCAAGCAATTCTCCTGCCTCAGCCTTCCAAGTAGCTGGGATTACAGGCATCCACCACCACACCTGGCTAATTTTTGTATTTTTAGTAGAGACGGGGTTTCACCATGTTGGCCAGGCTGGTCTTGAACTCTTGACCTTAAGTGATCTGCCTACCTTGTCCTCCCAAAGTGCTGGGATTATAGGCATGAGCCACTGTGCCCAGCTATTATTATTATTTATTTGTCTTTCTTTTTTTTTTGTTTGAGACGGAGTCTCGCTCTGTTTCAGCTCTGCACCGGGGTGCAGTGGCGCAATCTCAGCTCACTGCGACCTCTGCCTCCCGGGTTTACGCGACTCTCCTGCCTCAGCACCCCCGAGTAGCTGAGATTACAGGTGTGCGCTACCACGCCTGGCTAATTTTTGTATTTTTAGTAGAGATGGGGTTTCACCATATTGGCCAGGCTGGTCTTGAACTCCTGATCTCAGGTGATCCACCCGCCTTGGTCTCCCAACATGCTGGGATTACAGGCATGATCCACTGTTCCCGGCCCCAACTATTATTTAAAAAAATTTTTTTTTTAGTTTTATAGAGATGGGGTCTCATTCTGTTGCCCAGGCTCGTCATGAACTCCCAGGCTCAAGCAGTCCTCCCATCTTGGCCTCCCAGAGTGCTGGGATTATAGGTGTGAGCCACTGCGCCCAGCCATTATTTTCCTCCATGCTTTGAATGGTACTTTTTCTAAATTTTCTGATGTACAGTGGGCCAGCCCTACCTGTAGGCCCTGACATTTATGATCTATTGTCATCTTTATAGTTCTTATCCTATAAAACAGGCACATTAGCTTCTTTCTGTAGAAATGGGTGGGAGGATATTCGAAATGCCTGACCACTGGAACACGGTGGCTCTTGTGACCCTCCAGGTCCAGAGGGGATGCTGGCTGGACCTCTGGCCAGCCTGTTCTTGTGCTACCTGCCTGCTGAGTGTTAACCCGGGAAGGGGCGGGGTTAACAAGGCTCAGAGGTAACAGGTTTTCCTGATTAAATCAAACATGATCTTGCAGCCTGTATTTTCTGGGTTTTGTCTTGGTTTGTTAAGATCTATCCACCTCCAGAGCTGCCAAGAGACTATCGACCAGTGCATTATTTCAGACCCATGGTGGCCGCCACCTCCGAGAACTCACACTTACTGCAGGTATTATCAGAGTCAGCTGGAAAGGCAACGCCTGACCCAGGGACACACAGTAAGCACCAACTGAATGCCTCCAAACGGGCTGAGTTGCTTGGAGAGACGCCTATTCAAGGTATGTGCCATGGAGAAGACGGAAATCATTTCACATAATTCGAGTTATCAAAATCAAAATGGAAAGTTGTTGTTTTCCCACTGAAGTTTTTTACATGAATTTGTATTCCCAAACTGTGGAAATACCACTATTTATTGTAAATGGCATACATAATAGTGTGCATATCTTTTACTTCTTTTTTTAAGTTTTATTTTTAAACTTATTTATTTTGAGATAATGTCTAGGTCTGTCACCCAGGCTGAAGGCAGTGGTAACTCTCTATAACCTGGAACTCCTGGGTTCAAGCGTTCCTCCCACCTCAGACTCCCATGTTGCTGGGACTATAGGCATGTGCCACCACCACACCTGGCACATTTTTTAAATAGAGATGAGGGTCTCACTATGTTGCCCAGGCTGGTCTGGAACTTCTGGCTTCCCAAAGTGCTGGGATTACAGGTGTGAGCCTCTGCGCCCAGCCAAGGCTTGTTTTTCCACCTTCAGTTTGGTTGATGTCATTCAAATCACAACTTTTGTTGTAAGCTCAGCTGTTTTCAGACTTGTCATAATTATCAGGGAATGTGGTTAAGGTGCCTTCCCCTTCTCTGCACAGCCTGGGAGAGTATGTTTTCTTCCTCCTGGGGATCGCATTGTGTAACTCTTCTCCCGAAAGTCTGAAAGGGATGAATGTGTCTGAAAGTCTGGAAAGACATGGAGAATCCCCTGCAGGGTGCAGCAGGAAAGTCCCACCATGAGAGGTGGACTTGGACTCTTAGGGGCTCGGGTCTCACTGCCATGGGGAACTCAATAGGTGTCTCGTATAATTGGCAAACAGAACCCTTGGTTCCCCACCCCCATCACACACTGCGCTTCCTCATCTAAGTCTTCTCATCTCAGGAAGTGGTGCCACCATGATCCACTGCTCGGACCAGGATGTAGGAGGCCTAATTCTTTTTTTTTTCTTAATTTTTAATTTTTATTTTTTTTTATTATACTTTAAGTTCTAGGGTACATGTGCACAACGTGCAGGTTTGTTACATGTGTATACATGTGCCACGTTCGTGTGCTGCACCTATTAACTCGTCATTTACATAAGGTATATCTCCTAATGCTATCCCTCCCCGCTTCCCCGGGAGGCCTAATTCTTAGCTCCTCTCTTTTCGGTCCTCCCGCACCCTCCCTGACCCTCCTTGGCCCTTAGTGAGTCCTCTCGGCTCTACCCACACGTGTGGGGGTTCTGTCCACTACTCATCTGCATTTCCGTGGCCTCCCGGGTCTGAGCCCCACCCCTCCACCTGGACCGTTGCTGCAGTCTCCTTGGTGGTCTCCTTGTTTCCTGTCCATCTCCCGTAGACTGTTCCCCTCACCAGCAGCTGGATGAGGCCAACTATACCAGCCAACACCTCTCCCACCTACAGAAACCTCCAGGCTCCCCACGAGGCCCTGTGCGGCCCCGCCCCTGCCCGCCTTTCAGGCTGCACCATCCACCACCTTCCCTTACCCTCCCACAGTGTAGCGTCTTCCTCCTCCTTTCCTCCCCTGGAACACGCCGTCATCCATGACACTGCCTAAGGGCCTTTGTGTTTGCTGTACCTCCCTTTCTGTTCTTCCCTCATATTTTTGTGAATCTGGCTCTTTTTTTTTTTAGCTTATGACTTATCTCGAATGTTACTTTCTTCCAGCCTTCCCCGACCACCATATAATCTGGTTATCTGCCTGTCCCCTCTACCAGCCCGCTCACACAAGCCCCCCTCAGTCACATCGTCCTGTTTTTTTCATAGCCCTCCTCTATTGAGGGCCAGCGTATTGCTCCTGGGCTTCTTTCGTGTCTCCACTGCCCTCCAAGCTCCTGGGCCAGGTCCTGGCATAGAGCTGGCACTCATGAGTGTTTGTCCCATTGGTGAGGGCTTGCTGGGGAGCTGTACTCGGAACCAGGGCTAGTGGTGGTGGACTGCAGGTCTGGAGCCGGGGATGTCAGGTTCCCCATCCTGGAATCACTCACGTGCCCTGTAAGTGTGCATGTATTAACTTCCATTTTTGCTGACTATAAAACAGGAATCTTGGCTGGACACAGTGGCTCATGCCTGTAGTCCCAGAACTTTGGGAGGCCAAGGTGGGATGATCTCTTGAGCCCAGGAGTTGAGACCAGCTTGGGAAACATGGCGTAATCCCGTCTACAAAAAATACAAAAAGTAGTCGGGCATGGTGGTGTGTACCTGTGGTCCCAGCTACTCAGGAGGCTGAGGTGGGAGGATCACTTGAGCCTGAGAGGTGGAGGTTGCAGTGAGCCATGATCACACCACCGTACTCCAGTCCAGGTGACACAGCGAGACCATGTCTCAAAAAAAACATAGGAATTGGCCAGGCGTGGTGGCTCACGCCTGTAATCCCAGCACTTTGGGAGGCCGAGGCGGGTGGATCACCTGAGGTCAGGAGTTTGAGACCAACCTGGCCGACATGATGAGACCCTGTCTCTACTAAAAATATAAAAAATTAGCCAGGCATTGTGGCACATGCCTGTAGTCCCGGCTACTCGGTGGGGATGAGACAGGAGAATTGCTTGAACCCAGGAGGTTGCAGTGAGCTGAGATGGTACCATTGCACTCCAGGCTGGGCAATAGAGCGAGACTCCATCTAAAATAATAATAATAATAAGAAGAAGAATCTCAATTTTTATCACTGTCTAGTCCACAGGGACATATTAATATAAATGAAACACTAAACATAAAATCCTCATCCCCAATTATGTAAATTTGTGTTATTGAAATGTATGTACAGAGAAACGTAAATGTGGTTGTCTCATGGCTCTTTTCATCTCTTCTAATTACTGTTTTTATTTAGGTTCAGCTACTTCAGTGTTAGAATTTCTGTCCCAAAAAGACAAAGAGAGAATCAAAGAAATGAAGCAGGCAACTGACCTGAAAGCAGCTCAGCTCAAGGCCAGGAGTCTGGCCCAGAACGCTCAGAGCAGCAGAGCCCAGCTCTCCCCTGCAGCGGCTGCTGGGCACTGCTCTTGGAACATGGCATTAGGTGGTGGGACGGCCACCTTAAAAGCCAGCAACTTCAAGCCTTTCGCCAAAGATCCGGAAAAGCAAAAGCGATACGACGAGTTCTTAGTACACATGAAACAGGGTCAGAAAGGTGGGTGCTGGGCCTGGGTGTCCCAAATCTCGGCCCGGGCGGGGTCATATTCTCACTGTTCTCATCCTAGACCCATATTTACAGTTGAGGTATCCTGTTCTGTCAGTGTTTTTGCTTTATCCTGCTGCAAATAGTGCAAAGGTTTCAGGCCTTGGCTCTTGACCTCAGAAAGCAAGAACAGTTGGCTTATGTTCCTCCATATCTCAGGCCAAAGCTAGCTGTTTAAGTAGAGAACACAGCTGGCGGTGGCCGGTACTTACAGGCCGTTTGGTGTTTGCAAGTGCTTGACTGCTACAAGCATTGCATTCACATTTCATATCAGCATCATCTTCCACCTCATCCGAAGATCCTAACCATCCATTCCTGACTCATAGTCTAAAATATGACTTAAAACAATAGTTAGCTATTGAACCGTTACAGAGGGAAAACAATCACTTTGTGATCTGTGAAGTAAATAGGGCAAGAATGAGGCAAGAATGAGGAAAGGGGTTGCTGTTGTATGCAGTAGTCCTCGTGAGAGGTTATCAGTAAATTACAGGGTTGTTTTTTAAAAACAGATCTTTGCGGAATGTAAAGTCTATTTACTGTGCCTTAACTCTCTACTAAGAACCTACATCACTAATGTTTATTTGCTTTAAAAAAAAAAAACGGTTAGTGAAAGAGTGTTTTTCTGCCAAAACATAGGGATGTGGTTGAGGTGAACTTATCACTGCCTGGGAGTGGTGACAAGTTCCTTACTGCTGAAGATTTAACCAACCATTAGCCTCTCAAATGGTTTTCTCTGTTATGTTTGGTAGACAGAATTCAATAAAAGCATCATTTTGGCTGGGGATGGTGGCTCATGCCTGTAATCCAAGTACTTTGGGAGGCTGAGATGAGGATCGCTTTAGCCTAGGAGTTCAAGACCAGCCTGGGCAACATAGTGAGATCCTGCCTCTACCAAAAAAAAAAAGATATATATGTATATATAAAATATATTATATATATATATACACACATCATATTTTATTTATTTTTTTGAACGGAGTCTTGCTCTGTTGCCCAGGCTGGAGTGCAGTGTCAGGATCTTGGCTCACTGCAATCTCAGCTCACTGCAACCTCCACCTCCCAGGTTCAAGTGATTATCCTGCCTCAGCCTTCTGAGCAGCTGGGACTATAGGTATGTGCCACCACGCCTGGTAATTTTTTGTTTCCCGTCTCTACTAAAAATACAAAAAATTAGCCGGGCATGGTGGCGGACGCCTGTAGTCCCAGCTACTCGGGAGACTGAGGCAGGAGAATGGTGTGAACGTGGGAGGCGGAGCTTGCAGTAAGCAGAGATCATGCCACTGCACTCCAGCCTGGGAGACAGAGTGAGACTCCATCTCAGAAAAAAAAAAAAAAAAAAAAAGAGAGATGGGGTTTCACCATGTTTGCCAGGCTGGTCCCGAACTCCTGACCTCAAGTGACCCACCCGCCTCGGCCTCCCAAAGTGCTGGGATTACAGGCATGAACAACTGCGCCTGGCCTAAATTTTTTTTAAAAAAGCACAATTTTGAAGGAAACAGCAATATTACCTGCCAAATACCTCACCATTCCCATAGTCATAAAAACAAGGATAAGGACTTATGAAATATACAGGGATACAGTGGTGCCCAGCAGATGTTCTCTTGTAAGCCCCATGTTTTCCTGAAAAGTGAAGCTGCTTCTTGTTCTCTGCCCCCGCAGATGCTCTGGAACGCTGTCTGGACCCCAGCATGACAGAGTGGGAGCGAGGCCGTGAGCGGGATGAGTTTGCCCGGGCGGCCCTGCTGTACGCATCTTCCCATTCGACCTTGTCCTCCAGGTTCACTCACGCCAAGGAGGAGGATGACTCAGATCAGGTTGAAGTCCCTCGAGACCAAGAGGTCTGTTGTCACCATGTCCCTTACCTGGTGAACTTTAATATTAAAGCACTGCCTAGCCAAAATAGTTTTTTCCTTTTTTTTGAGACGGAGTCTCTCTCTGTCGCCCAGGCTAGAGTGCAGTGGTGTGATCTCGGCTCACTGCAGCCTCCGCTTCCTGGGTTCAAGCGATTCTCCTGCCTCAGCCTTCCAAGTAGCTGGGATTACAGGCGCTCGCCACAACAGCCATCTAATTTTTGTATTTTTAGTAGAGATGGGGTTTCACCATATTGGCCAGGCTGGTCTTGAACTCCTGACCTCAGGTGATCCACCCGCCTCGGCCTCTCAAAGTACTAGGATTACAGGCATGAGCCACCATGCCCGGCCGAGCCAAATATTTTTAATCCCTTGGTGAGAAGATCAAAATATACATGTATAGGAGAATAGGAAACCATTTTATGCCTTAGTTTCCAATGTACTGGAGCATAAATGTTATAGCACAAACTTTTTTCACAGTTCTAGAAGATTGCTTGAAAATTTTAAATGGGAGAGCAGTCAGGTCAGTGGTGCGGCCACTTGATGGAACAGAATGCATGTCTTTTTCCAGAATGATGTCGGGGATAAGCAGTCGGCTGTGAAGATGAAGATGTTTGGGAAGCTCACCCGAGACACGTTTGAGTGGCACCCTGACAAGCTTCTATGTAAGAGATTTAATGTCCCTGACCCTTATCCAGAGTAAGTTGGATAAACCTTTACATCAGTACAAAATGTATTCTTGATATTAAAGCTAATTTTCCCCTTACATACTCATATAAATTCTTATTTTTTCTACATGAACTTATTTGCATATCACTGGATATACAAATCTACACATTTTATAGATTTGCTTTGATAAATTACTTCTATAATTTGTTACTAAAACAAAATCTGGATAGCAAACTTTATTCCATATTGAAGCTATGAAACTCAGATATGTCAAGTTACAAAAGCATTATGCCTCTCTCATTTGCCACCTTCTTGTTGCTGCTCATGTGGTTTACATTTATAATGTTACTTATGTTTTTAAATTATCATTATAAAAGTTAAACACTTTCTTATTTGATTAATAACACTTCAAGAGGTGGGGTGTGGTGGTGCACACTTGTAATCCTAGCTTGGGAGGCCAAGGCAGGAGGATCGCTTGAGCCCAGGAGTTCGAGGCCAGCCCGGGTAACATAGTAAGACCCCATCTCTAAAAAATCAAACAAACAAACAAACAAACAGAACACTTCAAGATAGTAGGCCGGGTGCAATGGCTCACGCCTGTAATCCCTGTATTTTGGGAGACTGAGGCAGGCAGATCACTTGAGGTCAGGAGTTCAAGACCAGCCTGACCAACATGGTGAAACCCCGTCTCTACTAAAAATACAAAAAATTAGCTGGGCGTGGTGGTGCGTGCCTATAGTCCCAGCTATTTGGGAGGCTGATGCAGGAGAATTGCTTGAACCTGGGAGGCGGAGGTTGCAGTGAGCCAAGATTGTGCCATTGCACTCTAGCCTGGGTGACAAGGCGAGACTCAATCTCAAGAGAAAAAAAAACAAAACAAAAAGATAGCATATGTGGTCAAACCAGAGACTGTCAGAAACTTTAGGTATATTTTTATCAGTGGAGCTTTTCCTTAATGGAAATCCATTTTGAAAGTTAAATTCTTGTCCTTATCATAATAAGGAAAATCTCATGGGACCTAAAATCAGTCACCCAGATTCTCGAACTGCTTTGAGAAGTGAAAGCATCTTAGGAGACTTTTTAGTCATGCAGAAGAGGTGGAAAACTTGAGATGGAAAGCTTTTCAGGAGGTGGATTTTGTCCTACTGGTTGTTACTAAAATGATTCTTTTTTCAATTCCCAGTTCAACTTTAGTTGGCTTACCAAGAGTGAAGCGTGACAAGTACTCAGTCTTCAACTTTCTGACGCTCCCAGAGACAGCTTCCTTGCCCACCACTCAAGCATCAAGTGAAAAAGTATCACAGCACCGAGGTCCCGACAGTGAGTAGGGCGTCCCCGGGGTCTCTGATTGACCAGGGCCTCAACCCCTAGCCTGTAGGAAGACAGAATTAAAGGGTAGTTTAGTCCTAACAATGTGAATGGTGCATATTCTCCCTCCATTGAGGGAATTACTCTTACTAATAACTTAGCTCATGTTGTAATGGTCCAGATGTTTACTCTTTGGGGTTGGGGCTCTGTCTCTGCCTCTGCCACCTACCTCCCCAGGACCCTACACAGTGCCAGGCCCCTAGTAGGCACGCTGACATTCTGAGTGAATGAAAGAGCAGTGGTGAAGAACTGGCCTTTTCCTTGCTAATGCTGGAGTTTATATCTATGTCCTGCCTTTCAGAATCAAGAAAACCATCCAGATGGGATACCTCTAAACACGAAAAGAAAGAAGATTCCATTAGTGAATTTTTAAGTTTGGCTAGATCAAAAGCCGAGCCACCTAAACAACAGTCCAGCCCCTTAGTAAACAAAGAGGAAGAGCATGCACCAGAATTATCCGCAAATCAGGTATTTGGGGCTTCCAGATTCTCTTTGCCACGCTGAGTGTGGCCCTTGCTTTTCTCTTTGGTGACACTTTCTCCTCGTGACTCACCAGCAGAGGCAGCCAACTATTGATCCATTTCCCCTTAAAGGCCATTTGGCTTGTTTCTAACTTTTGGCTATAACAAGTAAAGCTGCTGGGAGCATTCATGTGCAAGTTTTTGTGTGAATATAAGTTTTCATTTCTGTAGAGTACAAACCTAGTAGTGGGAATCCTGGAAAATATGTACATGTATATTTAACTTTATAAGAAGCTGTCAAACTGTATTCCAAAGTTATTTTTGCCTTATGTATTTTGAAGTGCACTTCTTAGGTGTATATACATTTAGGATTGCTATTTCTCTCTTTTTTTTTTTTTTTTTTTTTTTGAGATGGAGTCTTGGTCTGTCCCCCAGGCTGGAGTGCAGTGGCATGATTTCGGCTCACTGCAAGCTCTGCCTCCCCTCCCGGGTTCAAGTGATTCTCCTGCCTCAGCTTCCCAAGTAGATGGGACTACAGGTGCGCACCACCATGCCTGGCTAATTTTTGTATGTTTAGTAGAGATGGGGTTTCACCATGTTGGCCAGGCTGGTCTTGAACTGGGATTGCTATTTCTTTTCAGTGAATTGATCTTTTTTTTTTTTTCTCTGACACCGGCTTTTACTCTGTGCCCAGGCTGGAGTGCAGTGTTGTGATAATGGCTCACTGCAGGCTCGAACGCCCAGGTTCAAGCAATCCTGCCTCAGCCTCCTGAGTAGTTGGGACTGCGGGCACACACCACCATGCCTGGCTAATTTTTTTTTTTTTTTTTTTTTTTTTTTTTTTCAGAGAAAGGGCCTTGCTATGTTTTTCCAGGTTGGTCTCAAACTTCTGCTCTCAAGCAGTCCTCCTGCCCTGGCCTCCCAAAGTGCTGGGATTACAGGCGTGAGCCACCATGCCCAGTTGACCCTTTTAACATTATGTAATATCATCTTTATCCCTGGTAATTTTCTTTAGTGTTTGCGTAGTATATATCTTTTTCATCTTCTTTTTAACACATCTGTTTCATTATATTTAAAGTGGGTTTCTTTTTTTTTTTTTGAGATGAAGTTTTACTCTTCTTGCCCAGGCTGGAGTACAATGGCACTGTCTCGGCTCACCGCAACCTCTGCCTCCCGGGTTCAAGCAATTCCCCTGCCTCAGCCTCCTGAGTAGCTGGGATTACAGGCAGGCACCACCATGCCTGGCTAATTTTGTATTTTTAGTAGAGACGGGGTTTCTCCATGTTGGTCAGGCTGGTCTTAAACTCTTGACCTTAGGTGATCTGCCCGCCTCAGCCTCCCCAAAGTGCTGGGATTACAGGCATAAGCCACCGCGCCTGGCTAAAGTGGGTTTCTTATAAACACCGTGTCACTGAGTCTTTCTTAAAATACATTTTGATAATTTATATTGGACATTTGCATTTAATGTGATCATGGATATTTTTGGATTTACGTGTATGATGTTATATTTTCTGTTTATTACCACTCTTTTTTGTTTCTTTTTTTCCCCTTCTCTGCCTTCTTTTGGATTACTTGAATAATTTTTATATTCCATTTGAATTTTTCTATTTTTTTTCTCTTGGTATTTTTTTTTTAGTGATTGCTCTAGGGATTATAGTATACCTACTTACCTTTTTACAGTCTACTGAGAATTAAATGTTTTACCACTTCCAGTAGAATAGAGAAGCTTTAGCACTATGTAGGTCCTTTTACTCTCCTCCCTCTATGCTGTCTTACATATTACATGTACACACAATGAAAATGCCATCAAACCAGTGGTGATCATTTTTGCTTTTAGTCATTAAACATATTTTAAAAGAACCGATGCAGAGACAATAGCCTACTCTGTTTAATCAGATATTTTCTATTTCTGTTGCTCTTTCTTCATCCTTGAAGTTCCACGTTCCCCTCACCTATCATTTCTGTCTGAGGAACTTCCTTTAGCATTTCTTTTAGACCAGTTCCAACAAGTGATTCTCTTAAATTGCCATTATCTGAGAATGTCTTATATTTTGTCTTCATTCCTGAAGGATGTTTTTGCTGGATATAGAATTCTGGGTTGATAATTTTTGTTTTGTTTTGTTTGTTTGTTTTTTGAGACGGAGTCTCGCTCTGTCACCCAGGCTGGAGGGCAGTGGCGCGATCTCAGCTCACTGCAAGCTCCACCTCCCAGGTTCACGCCATTCTCCTGCCTCAGCCTCCCGAGTAGCTGGGACTACAGGCGCCCGCCACCACGCCTGGCTAATTTTTTGTATTTTTAGTAGAGACGGGGTTTTACTGTGTTAGCCAGGATGGTCTCGATCTCCTGACCTCGTGATCCACCCGCCTCGGCCTCCCAAAGTGCTGGGATTACAGGCGTGAGCCACTGCGCATGGCCAATTTTTTTTTAAATTAAACTGCTACTTCCTCCGGGGTTTCGTGATTTCTGATGAGAAATCTTCAACCATTCAAATTGTCCTCAGGCTGGGTGTGTTGGCTCACATCTATAATCCCAGCACTTTGGGAGGCTGAGGCAGGGGGCTTGTTTGAGGCTAGGAGTTTGAGACTACCCTGGGCAACATCGTGAGACCCCATCTTTTACAAAAAATTAAAAAACTAGTTGGGTGTGGTGGCATGCACCTGTGGTCCCAGCTACTCAAGGGGCTACGGTTGGAGGATCACTTGAGCCCAGGAGGTCAACACTGCAGTGTGCTATGATCGCACCATTGCTTTCCAGCCTGGGTGACAGAGTGAGACCCTGGCTCAAAAAACCCCAAAACAAATTATTATTCCTCTGTACATAATGATGTGATTTTTCTCCTAGCTGCTTTCAAGATTTTTACTTGGTCTTTGGATTTTAGCGGTTTGATTATGATGTATCTGGGTGTGAATTCTTTTGAGTTTATTTTGTTTGGGGTTTGTTAAGTTGCCTGAATCTGAGTTTGGAAATAGAACAGAGGCACAGTGCTCTACTGCATTTTTGGGGATCCTAGTAGCTGGGATTACAGACGCCCACCACCATGCCCAGCTAATTTTTGTACTTTTAGTAGAGACAGGGTTTCACCATTTTGGCCAGGATGGTCTCGATCTCCTGACCTTGTGATCCACCCGCCTAGGCCTCCCAAAGTGCTGGAATTACAGGGGTGAGCCACCACGCCTGGCCCGGTTTTGCTTCTTTGACCTCATCAGCACATTGTACAGTTGTTGACTCGGAAACACCACAAAAATAGAAGCTATGTGAGTGATCACTGTTTAGTTGGGTGGTGTGTGGCTATGGATACCCATGTACATGAGCATAAACATAAATATGTGTGTCTGGGAGTGTATTCTAGAATGTCTCCTCCCTTTTACCCTTGCCTCTGTATCCCTGACTCTTATTTCACTGTCAATACAGACCGTCAACAAAGATGTGGACGCACAGGCTGAAGGAGAAGGGAGCCGCCCATCCATGGACTTATTCAGGGCCATCTTTGCCAGTTCCTCAGATGAAAAGTCCTCATCCTCCGAGGATGAGCAAGGTGACAGTGAAGATGATCAGGCAGGCTCTGGGGAGGCCAACTTCCAAAGCTCCCAAGACACTGACTTGGGGGAAACATCATCTGTGGCTCACGGTATGTCAGTATTTCAGACTCGGGGATCTAAAGGAGAAGACAATGACTCTAGGACAGCTGCTTCTCTGTTTACTCTATAATCTTAAACCCGAATGATTAGCAATCAATGATATGTAATCTTTTATATGTATATAATTTTTTTTTTTTTTTTTTTGGAAACAGGATCTGGCTCTGTCCCCAGGGTGGAGTACAGTGGCGCAATCTTCGGCTCACTGCAGCTTCCACCTCCTGGGCTCAAGCAATCCTCCCACTTCAGCCTCCTGAGTAGCTGGGACTACAGGAATGTGCCACCACCCCTGGCTAATTTTTGTATTTTTAGTAGAGATGGGGTTTCACCATGTTGGCCAGGCTAGTCTCTAACTCCTGACCTCAGGTGATCTGCCCACCTCAGCCTCCCAAAGTGCTGGGATTACAGGCATAATCCCAGTGCCCGGCTAGTTTTCCAGACTTTTAAAATTTTTATATCTCTTCTATCTGAATATATAGTAATCTGCTTAAAAAACAAGATTATTAACGTGAATATGATCATTTATCTTCAAGGTTTTTTCTTTGATAATTTATTTTGAGTGAAACTTGTCTCCCGCAGTTCTCTGTGATGGGACATACATAGTCTTACATTCCTGATGGTTTGTAAGATTTTCCTTCTCAGATGGCCCTTTCTTGGGGACACATTTCTACTTTTCAGGTCTTAGGGGCGCTAGGCTACGTGCCCACGGGTGCACTTGGCACGCTGTACCTCAGCCATTGCTGCCCTTGGTTGCAGGTGCCCTCGTGTGACTGACTTCCAGCTCTGGAGTTCACAAGGGCAGCACCGGGGTCTGCGTGTTCACTGCTGCATCCTTAGCACCTGGCAGGAGTGAAGTGGTGTGGGCAAGCATATGTTATCTGGTGGCAAAAGACATGAATGAAAGACTCAGAGACATTAACATGGGGCAGACGAATGACATGAACACCCCGCTGTTTTTCAGCTCTTGTGCCAGCACCCCAGGAGCCGCCACCTTCCTTCCCGATACAAAAGATGCAGATAGATGAAAGAGAAGAGTTCGGCCCGCGGCTGCCTCCCGTCTTCTGCCCCAGTGAGTGCAGAGCCCTTTGGTTCGCCCATTTTTATCAGTGTGTGATTGCCCTGAGATGGGGACAGTGTGACTTAGAGCCGACCAAACATACGTGCTTGCTTCTGGTTTATATGTTTTCAGTCATATTTTAAACCCGTTGTCTCCACCTAGTGCCTGAAATGATAGTTGTTTCTATACACCTTCAGAGACCTCCAAACTTTATTTCCTTTACCTGCCACATGTTTACAGGAGGGTCCTAAGTATCTTAAGTTTTGTTATAGAAATATAAGTTTCCCAACAGAGCTTAAAGAAAAAGAGCCTGGCCGGGCACAGTGGCTCATGCCTGTAATCCCAGCACTTTGGGAGGCCGAGGTGGGCGGATCACGAGGTCAAGAGATCGAGACCATTCTGGCCAACATAGTGAAACCCCGTCTCTACTAAAAATACAAAAATTACCTGGGCGTAGTGACGCACGCCTGTAGTCCCAGCTACTCTGGAGGCTGAGGCAGAAGAATCGCTTGAACCCGGGAGGTGGAGGTTGCAGTGAGCCGATATTGCACCATTGCACTCCAGCCCAGGTGACTGAGTGAGACTCTGCCTCAAAAAAAAAAAAAAGGGGCTGCAGCCAGGCACAATGGCTCTAGCTGGGCTGGTGGCTCACACCTGTTATCCCAGCACTTTGGGAGGGCGAGGTGGGAGGATTGCTTGAGGTCAGGAGTTTGAGACCACCCTGGTGAATTTGGTGAAAGCCCATCTCTACTATAATTTTTATAAAAATTATAAAATTTTATAAAAATATAAAATACAAAATTATATATTTTATATATAAAAATTATATATATTTTTATATTTTATAAATTTTATATATTTTACAAATTTATATATTTTATATATTTATATATTATATTTTATATATTTTATATATTTATATATTTATATATTTATATTTTATATATTTATACTTATATATATATAAAATATAAATTTAAATATTTAAAATAAATATATTTTAACTTAATTTAAATATATTTCTAAATATATTTAAATAAAATATGTAAATATTTAAAATAAATATATATTCATATATAAATACATATTAAAATATATTCATATAAATATATATATTTAGATATTTTATAAATTTTAATATATTTTTATAATTTTTTATATATAACAATTATATATAAAAATTATATATAAAATTATATATTTTATACATAAAAATGATATATAAAATTATATATAAAATTATATATTTTTATACATTAAAATTTTATAAAAATATAAAATATAAAAATTAGCCAGGCATGGTGGTGTGTGCCTGTAATCCCAGCTAGTAAGGAGGCTGAGGCACCAGAATCATTTGAACCTGAGAGGCAAAGGTTGCAGTGAGCCGAGATCGAGATCGCGCCACTGCACTCCAGTCTGGGTGACAGAGCAAGACTCTGTCTCAAAAAAAAAAAAAAAAAAAGGTAAAAGAGGCTGGGTGCGGTGGCTCATACTTGTAATAGCAGTTTGGGAGGCCAAGGCAGACAGATCGCTTGAGCCCAGTAGTCCGAGACAAGCCCAGCCTGGGTGACACAGGGAGACCCATCTCTATTTAAAAAAAAAGGGTGGGCACGGTGGCTCACGCCTGTCATCCCAGCGCTTTGGGAGGTCGAGGTGGGCAGATCACGAGATCAGGAGATCGAGACCATCCTGGCTAACACGGTGAAACCCCATCTGTACTAAAAATACAAAAAAATTAGCCGGACGTGGTGGCATGTGCCTGTAGTCCCAGCTGCTGGGGAGGCTGAGGCAGAAGAAGGGCGTGAACCTGGGAGGCGGAGCTTGCAGTGAGCCAAGATCGCACCACTGCACTCCAGCCTGGGCGACAGAGCAAGACTCCGTCTCAAAAAATAAATAAATTAATTAATTTAAAAAAAATTAAAAAAGAAAAAGAGAAATTAAAAAAATAGTATACAAAATTGGAGGGGAATTGCAAGAAGAGTATTTAAGACTAATATATTTTTAAAATTTTATTTATTTATTTATTTATTTTTCAGACAGGGTCTCACTCTGTCACCTAGGCTGGAGTGTAGTGGTGCTGTCATAGCTCACTGCATGACTTCTGGGCTGAAGTGATCCACCCACTTCAACCTCCCACAGTGCTGGAATTACAAGCGTGAACCACTGCACGCAGCCAAGCCTCCTTTTTTTGTCTTTTTCTTTTTCTTTTCTTTTCTTTTTTTTTTTTTTTTGAGATGGAGTTTTGCTCTTGTTGCCTAGGCTGGAGTGCAATGGCGCAATCTCGGCTCACCGCAACCTCCACCTCCTGGGTTCAAGCGATTCTCCTACCTCACCCTCCCAAGTAGCTGGGATTACAGGCATGTGCCACCATGGCTGGCTAATTTTGTATTTTTAGTAGAGATGGGGTTTCTCCATATTGGTCAGGCTGGTCTCGAACTCCTGACCTGAGGTGATCTGCCCGCCTCAGCCTCCCAATGTGCTGGGATTTTAGGCGTGAGCCACCGCACCCGGCCGCCAAGTCTCCTTTTTACTTTAGCTAATGTAGCAAATACAATAAAATGGTCCTCTCAGAAGTAAATACAATCTATCCCCCATTCTGTTCCCCAAATATCTGTCAACAACTTCCATTTAGTTGCATCTTAAATTGGCATTTCAAGTTAAAACATTTACACTGGTTTATCATCTCTTTGAGGGCTGGGTTTACAAACATCTATAACATGGCCCAGATATATAACTAACATAAAAATATCATTATTCACTTTATAGTTTCTCATGGTGCCCATATGTGAATACTGGTTTGATTAGCTAACTGCTTTCAAAGACAGGATTAAAAAGCAGAGAAAAAAAGTATGAAGTTTTGACAAATTGCAGTGAATGTATTTCTTATTTGCTATAGTTGTTCAGCACTTTTGTTTTATTTTGTTTTGTTTTGAGACAGAGTCTCACTCTGTCACCCAGTCTGGAGTGCAGTGGCGCGATCTCGGCTCACTGCATCCTCCACCTCCCAAGTTCAGGTGATTCTCCTTCCTCAGCCTCTGGAGTAACTGGGATTACAGGTGCCTGGCTAATTTTTTGTATTTTTAGTAGAGACGGGGTTTTACCATGTTGGTCAGGCTGGTCTTGAACTTCTAACCTCAAGTGATCCACCTGCCTCAGCCTCCCAAAGTGTTGGGATTACGGTCGTGAGCCACTGTGGCCTGGTTGTTCGGCCCTTTAGTTTCTTTTTTTTTTTTTTTTGAGACGGAGTCTCGCTCTGTCACCCAGGCTGGAGTGCAGTGGCGCAATCTTGGCTCACTGCAAGCTGCGCCTCCCAGGTTCACGCCGTTCTCCTGCCTCAGCCTCCCAACTAGCTGGGACTACAGGTGCCTGCCACCACGCCTGCCTAATTTTTTTATTTTTAGTAGAGATGGGGTTTCACCATGTTAGCCAGGATGGTCTCGATCTCCTGAACTTGTGATCTGCCCGCCTCAACCTCCCAAAGTGCTGGGATTACAGGCGTGAGCCACCACGCCCGGCCGGCTCTTTAGTTTCAAACTGGTATCAGCACTTGAAAGCCAAGTCTTTTATGTCCCTTTACCATAATGTCTTTGATACCCTCGTAATAGTGACTTAATTTGGTCTATGGGTTATTTAGGGAAATGATTTTTGAAAAAAACTAGTGTTAAAAAAAAGTTTTGGGCTGAGTGCGGTGGCTCACGCCTATAATCTTAGCACTTTGGAAAGCTGAGGTGGGAAAATTACTTGAGTCTAGGAGTTTGAGGCCAGCCTGGGCAACATAGAGAGATTGTATCTCTTAAAAAAATAAAAAAGAAAAAAATTAGCCTGGTGTGGTGGTACATGCCTGTGGTCCCAGCTACTCAGGAGGCTGAAGTGGGAGGATTGCTTGAGCTCAGGAGGTGGAGGCTACAGTGAGCTATGATCCCACTGCTGCACTCCAGCCTGGGTGACAAAGCGAGATGCTGTCTCAAAAATAAATAAATAAATAAATAAATAAATAAATAAATAAATAAATAGCTGGGCACGGTGGCTCACGCCTGTAATCCCAGCACTTTGTGGGGGCCAAGGTGGGCGGATCACCTGAGGTTGGGAGTTTGGGACCAGCCTGACCAACATGGAAAAACCCTATCTCTACTAAAAATACAAAATTAGCCAGGCATGGTGGCACATGGCTGTAATCCCAGCTACTTGGGAGGCTGAGGCAGGAGAATCGCTTGAACCTGAGAGGCAGAGGTTGGGGTGAGCTGAGATCGCACCATTGCACTCCAGCCTGGGCAACAAGAGTGAAACTCTGTCTCAAAAAAAAAAAATTAAAAGAATTTTGGAAAAAAAAAAAGTTTTGGGAGGTTGAATTTTGAAAAATCTGGTTGGGCATGGTAGCTCACACATGTAATCCCAGCACTTTGGGAGGCTAAGGTCAGAGGATCCCTTGAGTCCAAAAGTTCGATAACAGCCTTGGCAACATAGGGAGACTCTCACTTCCACAAAAAAATTAAAAAATTAGCCGGGTATGGTGGTACATGCCTGTAGTCCCAGCTACTCGGGAAGCCGAGGTAGGAGGATATGTGAACCGAGGTCAAGGCTGTAATGAGCTGTGATTGCACCATTGCCCACCAGTCTGGGAGACAGAGCGAGAACCTAAAAAAAAAAATAAATAAAGAAATAGGACTACAAAATTGCAGGCATCTGTTAACTGAGTTGAGAAAATATTCACCCTTACAAAACATCTTGAAACTTTCCTTTTTTTTTTCTTTTTTTCTTTTTTTTCTTTTGAGAAGGATTCTTGCTCTGTCACCCAGGCTGGAGTGTAGCACGATCTCGGCTCACTGCAGCCTCTGCCTCCTGGGTTCAAGTGATTCTCCTGCCTCAGCCTCCTGAGTAGTGGGGATTACAGATGCATGCCACCACGCCCATCTAATTTTTGCATTTTTAATAGAGACAGGGTTTCACCGTGTTGGCCAAGCTGATTTTGAACTCCTGACCTCAAGTGATCCGCCCACCTCAGCCTCCCAAAGTGCTGGGATTACAGGCATGAGCCACCGTTCCTGGCCGAAACTTTTCTTTAGGTGAAAAAAATTGATTTAATGCCTTTCACTGCTTCTACTATTGTGAAATTTTGTTGATTTAGTTACCCAGAAATTAATGACCTATGAAAACATTTTGGTCTGAATTTGGAGATGGAGAATTGAGGCACATGCAAATTCTTTAATGATTTTTAATGATTATATACATTATTATTATTTTTTAAAGTTAGGTAGAGATAGGGTCTCACTATGTTGCCCAGGCTGGCCTTGAACTCCTGAGGTCAAGGATCCTCCTGCCTGGGCCTCCCAAAGTGTTGGGATTACAGGCATGAGCCACCGCTCCCAGCCCATTATGTTGTTTTGATGGTAGTTTTTTCAGTGTTTCCACTTGTAAGACAAATTCTTATAAAATACGTTTTTGTAGAGAGAGGAGGATATAAGAAGAGCTAACATTTAGGTGCCAGATTCTGAGCTTCGAGAATCATGGACATGGCCCTGTCTAGTCTAGTCTGTGTCCCTAAAAGGATTGGGATTCTTATTGTCCCCATTTTATAGTTGGGGAAACTGGGCGTGGGAGAGGTTAGGCGACGTGTCGAAGATCACAGTGCTGGCAGCAGAGCTGAGTTCCAATTTTGGTCTGTTTCTGAGCTTATCTGATGATGTTGGATTACAAAAGGCTTTGTGGGCTTTCTGGTCCGACTTTATCTGCATCTGGCAGCTGGGGTCACGGCAGGATACTGATTGGATCACACAGGTCTTTGTTGAGGTCTCTGACAGCTTTCTAAGTACAACTCTGCAAGGTGGTGTGCTAATCTGTTTCTCAGTGAGGCAGAAGCTAATCCAAGGGCAGGAGTTCTTCCTCAGTGTTAAACATTCCATCTACACTAGATGCCTGATTCAGCAGTTTAGGAGCTTAGTTTTGGATAGTCTTTGTTTTCGTGCTATATAGGTCCTGTGTTTATTACCTTTGTGTTTCAGATGCTCGTCAGACACTTGAGGTTCCTCAAAAAGAGAAACATAAAAAGAACAAAGACAAGCACAAGGCCAAGAAAGAGCACAGGCGGAAGAAAGAGAAGGTGAGAGACTTGTGTGTACCCCAGGATCAGTGTGGGGTGGGACCCGCTGGTCAGCCCCCAGGAGTGTCATATACTGCAGCTGAAGAGCGGATCTGGTGGCCAAGTCACAGTTCTCTCTGAGACTTAACAGAAATGTTGACATTCAATTCAAATGCTTGATTTTTCAGAAACATTTTCTTTTGCACTTAAACGCCCCCCCGCTTTTTTTTTTTTTGAGATGGAGTCTCACTCTGTTGCCTAGGGTGGATGGAGTTCAGCTGCAACCTCTACCTCCTGGGTTCAAGCAATTCTCCTGCTTCAGCCTCTTGAGTAGCTGGGACCACAGGTGTGCACCACCACACCCGGCTAATTTTTTGTATTTTTAGTAGAGATGGGGTTTCACCATGTTGGCCAAGCTGGTTTTGACCTCCTGACCTCCGGTGATCTACCTCCCAAAGTGCCGCGATTACAGGCATGAGGCACCATGCCCAGCCCTTAAAAAAACTTTTTTTGTGAACATTAAAAAGCAGAAAAAAGGGCATTTAGGGATCTTAGAGCAATGGGTGAATATTAAATAATAAAACAATTTATTTCTTATTTATTCAATGTTAAGTGAAGGTATTATTTTCAGCATTTCTCAGCTACTTTGTCTTTATTAGTTTGAGATTTTAGTCCGTCACTTGCCGTTTGAAGTAAAAGAATTCGAATGGAAGGCAGGCATGTGCTCCCACTGTTGACGTCTCTTATTTCATCAACCATGTCTTCTTTTGGGTTTCAGCACAGGCTTTTAATTAGGTTAATGTTCTTGTTGGGTACCCAAAGTAGTCTGGGCTAGGTGCTGAAGAAATTAGAAACAGTTTCCTTACTGGCCACCAGAGGGAAGCACTCCCACGTATGGCGGATGACGGGCGTTCCCTCCTAGTGAAAGGAAGAAAATGTGTGCCGACCAAATCTGTGTGTCCTTACCAGTGTATCTGCTGTTCGGTAACCTTCTGCCAGTTTCTTCCTTGTGGTTTTCCTGGGTGCCCGTCATCCTGACATGAAGTTTCCCAGGGGTCTGACAAAATAAACAAGTCAGGTTCACCGGAGGTGGCACAGGTCACCATGCATAAGATGTGTGGTGTCACGTCTTATGACACCAAGTGTTACGATAGGTCCTGTCTGCGCCTTCTTGGTTCTGCTGTGTCTGTTGCTGGAGGCGCAGCTGGGTCAGGGTGCGCAGTTGAGAGTGGCACAGCCGTCTGCCCTGTGCTGTCTTGTTAGGCTCTCACTCTCACTCACTCTAAATGAGGTTTAAACATTTTTTTGAATGACTCCATCACTGCAGCCTTGTTAACCTTTCATTGTATTGAATTAAGGAGGAAAAAATACATTTGTTTTCCCCCACCACTATTTGTTTTTTACAGAAAAAGAAACACAGGAAGCACAAACACAAAGGCAAGCAAAAGAATAAAAAACCAGAGAAAAGTAGTAGCTCCGAGAGTTCCGACAGCAGCGACAGCCAGAGTGACGAGGAAACCGCAGACGTGTCGCCCCAGGAGCTGCTGAGACGGTGGGTAGTGGGAGATGGAGGGTTTTTCAGAAACCTTTAGAGGCTTATTGAGTGCTTGATGTGTTTGCTTAGAGGCAAATATCAGAAATGAAAAACTGGTAGGCCGGGTGCAGTGGCTCACGCCTATAATCCCAGCACTTTGGGAGGCTGAGGCAGGAGGATCGCTTGAGCCCAGGAGTTTGAGACCAGCCTGGGCAACATAGTGAGACCCCAGCTCTACAAAAACAAACAAACAAACAAACAAAAAACAAATTAGCTGGGCGTGGTGGTGCACACCTGTGCCTCCAGCTATTTGGGAAGCTGAGGTGGGAGGATCTGTTGAGCCCGGGAGTTGGAGGTTGCAGTGAGCCACTATCGTACCACTACACTCCAGCCTGGGTGATAGAGCAAGACCCTCTCCCTAAAAGAAAAAAAAAAATGTGTGTATTAACTAGGCTTTTTAAAAAGTTTGAATATCTAATTATGTAAGTGATATGTGAATATATTATCATTATGAAAATTCAGGCCAGGCGCGGTGGCTCATGCCTGTAATCCCAGCACTTTGGGAGGCCGAGGCGGGTGGATCACAAGGTCAGGAGCTCGAGACCATCCTGGCTAACACAGAGAAACCCCGTCTCTACTAAAAATACAAAAATTAGCTGGGCGTGGAGCGTGTGCCTGTAGTTCCAGCTGCTGGGGAGGCTGAGGCAGGAGAATGGCGTCAACCTGGGAGGCGGAGCTTGCAGTGAGCCGAGATTGTGCCACTGCCCTCCAGCCTGGGCGACAGAGCGAGACTCTTGTCTCAATAAAAAAAAAAAAAAAAAGAAAAGAAAATTCAGACCTTACAGCCAATGCTTAAAGGAGCCCTGACTAGTTCTCCAAACCTCTACTTTCTCCACAGTAACTTCTGCCATCAGTTTCATATGTAACCTTTAAGACCTTTTTTGTGCAACCACACACACACACATACACACTCACGTACATGGATGCACATACACATTGTTTGTTTCTTTTTTAGACGAGTCTCGTTCTGTCACCCAGGCTGGAGTGCAGTGGTGCGATCTTGGCTCAGTGCAACCTCTGCCTCCCGGGTTCAAGCAGTTCTCCTACCTCAGCCTCCCAAGCAACTGGGATTACAGGCACCCGCCCCCACACCCAGCTAATTTTTGTATTTTGTATTTTTTTAGTAGAGACAGTGTTTCGTCATGTTGGCCAGGCTGGTCTCAAACTCCTGACCTCAGGTGATACACCCACCTTGGCCTCTGAGTGCCAGGATTACAGGTGTGAACCACCATGCCTGGCCTATATACAGATTTTTGTGCACATTTTAAATATAAGTAATATAATTTTATATAGCATATATTTATAGGGTATGAATTTTATTTTATTTTTTGAGACAGAGTCTCGCTCTGTGACCCAGGCTGGAGTGCAGTGGCCTGATCACAGCTCACTGTAAACTCTGCCTCTCCGGCTCAAGGGATCCTCCCACCTCAGCCTTCAGAGTAGCTGGGACTGTAAGTGTGCACCACCACACCCAGCTAATTTTTTTAAAAAATCATTTTTTTTGAGACAGAGTCTTGCTCTGTCACCCAAGCTGGAGTGCAGTGGCGCGATCTTGGCTCACTGCAAGCTCCACCTCCTGGGTTCACGCCATTCTCCTGCCTCAGCCTCCTGAGTAGCTGGGACTACAGGTACCCGCCACCACGTCCAGCTAATTTTTTGTATATTTAGTAGAGACGGGGTTTCACCGTGTTAGCCAGGATGGTCTCAATCTCCTGACCTGGTGATCCGCCTGCCTTGGCCTCCCAAAGTGCCGGGATTACAGGCGTGAGCCACCACACCCGGCCTAAAAAAATCTTTTTTGTAGAGATGGGATCTCCTATGTTGCCCAAACTGGTCTCGAACTCCTGGCCTCAAGTGATCCTCCTGCCTCAGCCTCAGGCGTGAGCCGCTGCGCAGGCCTGCTCTTGCCAGTTTTATCTTTATTGGGAAGAAGGGTGTTGTGTGAATTCTTTGAGTGTCTGGCTTCTGAGATTCCTTCAGATGATGGTAGGCAGCAGTGAGGGGCTTGTAGTCATTGCTGTGGAAGATTCCTTCTTGTGAGCACACCACGGTATGTTTATCTCTTCTGTTGTGTGGATACTGGGTTTTTTACTTTGAGTCTGTGGAGCAGGGATTTTCAGCCAGTGTGACCCAGCTCTGTTTCAAATAGAACTGCCACGAACATTCCTATATGTATGAAATTCAGATTTAGGCCAGGTGCGGTATCTCACGTCTGTAATCCCAGCACTCTGGGAGGCCGAGGCAGGCGGATCATGAGGTCAGGAAATCGAGACTATCCTGGTTAACACAATGAAACCCCAAACCCCATCTCTACTAAAAAAACTAGCCAGGCGTGGTGGCACGTGCCTGTAGTCCCAGCTACTCAGGAGGTGGAGGCAGGAGAATCGCTTGAACCTGGGAGGTGGAGGTTGCAGTGAACCGAGATCGCGCCACTGTACTCCAGCCTGGGTGACAGAGACTCTGTCTCAAAAAAAAAAAAAGAAAAGAAATTCAGATTTAAGACTGACAACTTGGGGGCTGGGCATGGTGGCTCATGCCTGTAATCCCAATACCTTGGGAGGTCAAGATGGGAGGATCGCTTGAGCCCAGGAGTTCAAGACCAGCTCGGGTAATATAGGGAGACCCTGTCTCTATAAAAAAATTAAAAAAAAAAAAAAGACAACTTGGATGCTTTGGGCCCTGGAGTGAATGTATTTTAGTTCCTTCCCAAGGGTCATGCAACGGATGCGGTAGGTGAGTGAAACTGAGATTAAAAATTGCTTGTATTCTCAAGGCTAAATAAGACTAGGGAAAAAAGTTGCTTTTATAAGTGGTCTTAATACGAGGTGTGGGTGAGTGAGTCTCTGTGTGTTTTCAGGGTAATAGAAGAAGCATTTTAAGAACACAGATTGGCCGGGTACGGTGGCTCATGCCTGTAATCCCAGCACTTTGGGAGGCCGAGGCGGGCAGATCACAGTCAGGAGTTCGAAACAAGCCTGGCCAACATGGTGAAACCCCATCTGTACTAAAAATACAAAAATTAGCTGGGTATGGTGGCATGTGCCTGTAATCCCAGCTACTCTGGAGGCTGAGGCAGGAGACTTGCTTAAACCTGGGAGGCGGAGGTTGCAGTGAGCTGAGATCGCACCACTGCGCTCCAGCCTGGGCGACAAAAGTGAGACTCCATCTCGGGGGAAAAAAAAAAAAAAGCACAGATTAGGCAGTACTTCATTGTGGGTTATTGTGAGTGCATTTTGTAGGTGCAGACATGCTGCTGTGATATGGGGAGGCCTGGCATTCTCAGCCTCCACGGAGCTGTTTGGTTTTTCACTTTAGCTAACTTTCCATTTCTCTCTTTTCTGTTTTCTTTTCCAGGCTGAAAAGTCTTCCACTAAGAAGGCAGTAATTGAATGCTGCCCTGGCTCGTCCTAGAATCATTTCTCCTCCATGATGGAAGCCCAGTGATTGTTCAGTTAACGCATTGTACAGAGTGTATTTATATGTAAATTCCTGCTGTAAAATAATTTTTAAAACCTTGACATTTCAAAGACTGCCTTGAAAGGTCGCAGAAATTGATTTCTATTTTTAATTTCAGTTAGTATCGGGGGAAAAAAATCCAGACTGAACAGTTTAATTAAAGTGGAATTTTTCTATTTTCTTCTTGATTTTTAAAAAATTTCCTGGGACGTTAAAAAAGAAGTTAAAAGTGAAGGCTTCTCTCTGGTTTTGTGATGAAGACAGCCTGGACTCACTGAAGGACAAGCGTGTGAGAAGGGGCGGTTGCGGCCCCTCCTGCCGTTTTTTGGGAGTGAAGCTCTTCCCTCTCTGGGTGGCTGGGTTACTGTTGGTGCCCAGGAAGCCCCATGGGAGGGCAGAGCCAGGGCCTGGCAGGGGGCCTCAGCCTCTCAGGGTAGATGTCACTAAAGTGTCTGAGACAGGCAGGGAAACCAGGCAGGAGAATGTGCACCCACAGCCTGGGTTACACGGCTGCAGCTCCCTGCTCTGAGGCCACCTCATGTGTACCAAGGAGACCTTTTTGAAAAATAAAGTGCAGACCAGGTGTGATGGCTAATGCCTGTAATCCCAGAGCTTTGGGAGGCCGAGGCGGGAGGATTGCTTGAGCCCAGGAATTCCAGACCAGCCTGGGCCACATAGAGACCCCTGTCTCCACAAAAAATAAAGTATTGAGCATTTGTATTTTACATTATGAAAGTAGCATCATAGATCACAACAATTTTAAAAGCAGAAAGAAGGAAGAGGCCGGGTGCGGTGGCCCATGCTTGTAATCCCAGCACTTTGGGAGGCCGAGGCCAGCGGATCACTTGAGGCCAGGAGTTCAAAAACAGCCTGGCCAACATGGCGAAACCTTGTCTCTACTAAAAATACAAAAAAATTAGCCAGGTCTGGTGAGCATACACCTGTAATCCCAGCTGTGTGGGAGGCTGAGGCACGAGAATCCTTTGAACCCTGGAGGTGGAGGTTGCAGTGAGCCGAAATTGCGCTACTGCAATCCAGCCTGGGTGACAGACTCTTGTCTCCACCAAAAAAAAAAAAAAAAAAAAAGAAGGAAGAAAATCACTTTTAGTTTTATCATCCAAAGATGACACCCTTCTTCAATATTTTGAATAATTCCACCCTGTCCTTTTCTAGCTATGGGGCTGTTATCTGACTGGTGGTAGCATTTTATTCCCTGTCACTGTTGTTGGGGTTGTGACAGATATTTCCCTCATCTATTATAAATGTTGTAAACCCACCCCTAATAACTGCATCTTATTTCATGCAGGGGCTACCCCATAACTTACTGACCTTTTCTGTTTTGTCATGAAGTGGGTTGGCCAGGAGCTGTACCCAGGCAGAGGACATGAAGAAATTGCCCTGTGACAGGAGCCAGGGAAACCACAGCGGAGGGCTGGAGGCTGGGGTGCTGGTTTTGCTGGCTCGGCCTGGTTCCCAGAATGCAAAGCCCATTTTTCTTTTTTTTGCAACCTCCACCTCCTGGGTTCAAGCCATTCCCCTGCCTCAGCCTCCCATGTAGCTGGAACTACAGGCGCACGCCCCCATGCCTGGCTAATTTTTGTTATTATTTTTTTTAAGTAAAGATGGGGTTTCACTAAACCTGTTGGCCAGGCTGGTCTCCAACTCCTGACCTCAGGTAATCCGCCCGCCTCGGCCTCCCAAAGTGCCGGGATTACAGGCGTGAGCCACCGCGCCCGGCTGCAAAGCCCATTTTTCTATAGGTAACCTGTGCTGCGCGGGGTGGCACTAGTTTTCACCCAGCGGGCGAGGAGGCAGCGAAGTCGCGGGCCCAGCGTAGCGCGCGCCTCCGAAGGGCTTGGTGCGGGCGCGGGCGCGGGCGCGCGGCGCCACCGTTCCCATCCAGGCTTGTCGGCGGCCACCGGCGGACCGGGCTTCGAGATGGCCTCCCCGCCGCGGTGCTCCCCGACAGCCCATGACAGGGAATGCAAGTTGCCGCCACCCTCCGCCCCCGCCAGCGAGTATTGTCCCGGCAAGCTGTCCTGGGGGACCATGGCGAGGGCCTTAGGCCGCTTCAAGCTGTCGATCCCGCACACGCACCTGCTGGCCACCCTCGACCCCCTGGCCTTGGACAGGGAACCACCACCGCATCTGTTGCCTGAGAAGCACCAGGTGCCGGAGAAATTGATCTGGGGCGACCAGGACCCTCTCTCCAAGGTCAGAACCGCCGCTGGGGTGAGGGGGCACTGGCCTGTTCCCCACACGGGAGGAAGGCGCTCGAGCTGTCGGGGGACCCATGGAAAACCCACCTGGCTTCACCAGGACCCCCAGCGAGGCCCTAGGCCCATTTCCCCATCTGTGGTACATCTGTGGGCAAAGGTCAGACCCACCTGAGCAGGGCGTGCTGGGGATGCCGGCGGGGGCTCCCCGCACTGCCACCTGCTGGGGAACCAGGACTCTTCGCTGGGAGGAGGCTCTGCCCCACCATGTGACCCCATCTAGACCTTGGAGTCTCCGTAGGTAGGCCCACCCACAGTGATGCTCCTAATTGCAGCCCAAGGGTCGGTGGCTCAGCTCTCCCCGTCCAGGAGATACAGTTAGCGTCAGAAGAAACGGGAAACTCAGAATAATAATAACAACAATGAATTGGGCCAGGCAAGGTGGCTCACACCTGTAATCCCAGCCCTTTGGGAGGCCCAGGTGGGAGGATCACTTGAGCCCAGGAGTTTGAGACCAGCCTGGGCAACATAGTGAGAGGTCGTCTCTACAAGAAATAAACTTAGCCCAGTGTGATGGGGCGCACCTGTGGTCCCAGCCACTTGAAAGGCTGAGGCAAGAGGATCCCTTGAACCCAGGAGTTTAAGGCTGCAGTGAGCTATGATTGTGCCACTGCACTCCAGCCTGGGCAACAGAGCGAGACTGTCTCCAGAATAAATAAATAAATAAATAAATAAATAAATAAATAAATATAGAGAGAGAGAGAGAAAGAAAGAAAGAAAAAGAAAAAGAAAGAAAGAAGGAGAAAGAAAGAAAAACTGGCTGGGTGCAGTGGCTCATGTCTGTAATCCCAGCACTTTGGGAAGCCGAGATGAGCAGATCACTTGAGGTCAAGGGTTCGAGACCAGCCTGGCTAACATGGTGAAACCCTTTCTCTACTAAAAATGCAAAAATTAGCCAGGCATGGTGGTGCGTGCCTGTAATCCCAGCTACTCAGGAGGCTGAGGCAGCAAGATCATTTGAACCCGGGAGGCAGAGGTTGCAGTGAGCTGAGATCATCTCACTCCATCTCAAAAACAAAACAAAACAAAAACCCAATAAAGAACATTCTCAATAAGTAGCGTTTCATGCTTGGCCTTGATTTATTGCACTCACATGCAGATGTCAGAGTGTGTTTTTAATAATTTCCTCGAAACCTCTGCCTGGCTTCCCAGCATGTTTAAGATGAAGTCTGGCGATCTGCCTGTGGCCTTCCAGGCCATTTCAAATCTGGCACCTCTCCATGTTCTCCTCCCCCATCCCCCTGTCTTGCTGACCTACAAGCAGGTCTGGCCTCAGGGATCTTGGCGGTTCCCTGCCCCCACGGTATTGCGCTCTTGGGGAGGCCCTCCCTGACCGCCCGTCTAAAGTAGCCAGGGCCACTGTCTCCTCCGTGCCTCATGCCATGGTCTGACATCCCCGTTCCGTCCTCAAGGTGTCCTCTGGCTGCCAGCAACTGGCCCCTCGAGGTTAGGGACTTTGCTCCTAGGTGGCTGCTGAGCTGCAGCATCAGGTCCAGGCCCCATGGGGGAGGAGGCTCTTGAGGTTTATTTGTGGAATATGTGAATGAACGCTACGCATAGAAGAACCGTTTTGTTTTTGCTCTGTCCTCTGCATGAGCTTTGTCAGCACCTCTGAAATGTACTCATGTGTTGGGGACTTCTCTCTGCAGCCCCTGGGACCCCTTTACCTAGTGGATCCCAAGGGACTGTGTGCAGAAAAAAACCTGAAACGAGAGCCCCAGAAAAGCCTGTGGTGGGGGTAGCGGAATGGTTCCCCCCTCTTGCTAATGTTTTTCCATGATGGAGTTCTAGGTTTTTTGTTTTCCTATTTTTTAAATTAAATTATATATTTTTTAAATTATTAATTTTAATTTTGATTTTTTTTGTAGAGAGGGGGAGTCTCGCCATGTTGCCCAGGCTGGTCTTAAACTCCTGGCCTCAAGCAATCCTCACTCCTGGGCCTCCCAAAGCACTGGAATTGCATGCGTGAGCCACTGCACCCAGCCAATTTAATTTCAATTTTTAATGATAGTTGGGTTTTCCTAATGAGAGAGATAACCCAAACCCTGCAGGGGCGGCAGGGGCTGGGGTCGCCAGAGGCGGGGGCGGTGCGGGAGGGCCGCGCAGGTCATGTCCCGGGGACTGGGGCCGCTCCTGGGGTAGGGAGCCAACCCTGCACGCGCGGCCCCGGCCTGGCCCGACGGGGTTAGCGAACTCCCCCGGAGAAAAGCCCGGTCCCAGCTCTCCACGCTCCCTGGCAACGGAGCCCGCGTTCCAGTGTCCTCGTGTCCCCGAGCCCCCTAGAGGCGGGGTATCATCTCATCCCCTGCATCTCCACCTGCACGTCCCCGACACCCCCCCCCCCGCCCCGCATCACCTGCAACCGGAAGGCCACCGCCGCCCTGAACCGTCGCATCCCCTCACCCCTGTCCTCCTGCCAACTCAGCCCAGCACCCTGACACTGCCTTCCAGGCCACACCCCTGGTCTTGCCTCCAACATTTCCCCCACCCCCACACTTCCGCAGCTCAACCTGGGACGTGTCGCCATGCGCGAGCTGGGGTGGGTGGGTGGGGGGGGTGACATCTTCAGGCTTCCCTGCTCTGTCCTCTTTTTTTCCCCCCAGTTTTACTGAGATATAATTCACGTACCATATAATTTAACCATAGAAGCTGTAGTGGTTTCTAGGGTATTCAGAGTACTGTACTCCCCAGTTCCCCAATACCCATCCTGCCGACACCAGGCAATTCTGCTTTCTGTCCATAGATTTGTCTATTCTAGACCTTTTATAGCGATAGAATCAAGCCATACGTGGTCTCTTGTGACTGGCTTCATTTCCTTAGCTAACGTCCTCAAGGTTCATCCATGTTGTAGCCTGTAGCAGTGCTCCCTTCCCTTTTCATTACCAAGTAATATTCTGTTGCATGGCCATGACACATTTTCTCTTTCTTTGAGATGGAGTCTCGCTCTGTTGCCCAGGCTGGAGTGCAGTGGCGTGATCTTGGCTCACTGCAGCCTCTGCCTCCCAGGTTCAAGCGATTCTCCAGTCTCAGTCTCCCAGTAGCTGGGCTTACAGGCATGTGCCACCATGCCCGGCTAATTTTTGTACTTTTAGTAGAGACGGGGTTTCACCATGTTGGCCAGGCTGGTCTTGAACTCCTGGCCTCAGGTGATCCACCCACCTTGGCCTCCCAAAGTGCTGGGATTACAGGCGTGAGCCACTGCGCCTGGCCGAACCGCCCGTTTTTCAAAGTGGCTGCACTACTTTACGTTCCTACCAGCAATGTAGGAGGTTTCCAACTATTGGCATCCTTGCCAACACTTGTTATGGGACTTTGATGATAGCCATCCTAACAAATATGACACAGTATCACACTTTGGTTTTCTTTTCTTTCTTTCTTTCTTTCTTTTCTTTTATTTTTTAAGACGAAGTCTTGCTCTGTCACCCAGGCTGGAGTGCAGTGGCATGATCTCAGCTCACTGCAGCCTCTACCTCCCAGGTTCAAGCGATTCTCCTGCCTTAGCCTCCCAAGTAGCTGGGATTAGAGGTGCCCAACACCACACTCGGCTAATTTTTTTTTTTTTTTTGAGATGGAGTTTTGCTCTTGTTGCCCAGGCTGGAGTGCAATGGCACGACCTCGGCTCACTGCAACCTCCGCCTCCCGGGTTCAAGCGATTCTCCTGCCTCAGCCTCATGAGTAGCTGGGATTACAGGCATGCGCCACCATGCCTGGCTAATTTTGTATTTTTAGTAGAGACGGGGTTTCTCCATGTTGGTCAGGCTGGTCTCAAACTCCCAACCTCAGGTGATCCACCTACCTCAGCCTCCCAAAGTGCTGGGATTATAGGCATGAGCCACCGTGCCTGGCCTAATTTTTGTATTTTTAGTAGAGATGGGGTTTTGCCATGTTGGCCAGGCTGGTCTTGAATTCCTGACCTCAGGTGATCCGCCTGCCTCGGTCTCCCAAAGTGCTGGGATTACAGGCATGAGCCACCGCGCCCGGCCACACTATGGTTTTCATTTGCACTTTCCTGATGTGGTGAGTCATGCTGAGAATCTTTTCATGTGCTATCAACTATTTTTATTTTTTCTTTTTGAGACAGTTCTCACTCTGTCACCCAGGCTGGAGTGCAGTGACATGATCATAGCTCATTGTAACCTCCGCCTCCTGGGTTCAAGCAATTCTCATGACTCAGCCTCCTGAGTAGTTGGGATTACAGGAGCACACCACGATGGCTGGCTAATTTATTTATTTTTATTTTTTATTTTTTAGTAGAGATGGGGTTTTGCCATGTTGGCCAGGCTGGTCTTAATCTCCTGGCCTCAAGTGATCCGCCTGCTTCAGCCTCCCAAAGTGCTGAGATTATAATTGTGAGCCACCACATCCCGCCCTTGCATATCTTCTTTGGAGATATATCTATTCAAATCCTTTGCCCATTTAAAATTTTAATTTTTATTATTTAAAGGCAGGGTCTTGCTCTGTCACCCAGGCTGGAGTGCAGTGCTGCAATCATAGCTCACTGTAACGTTAACCTTCTGGGCTCAAGTAGTCCTCCCGCCTCAGCCTCCTGAGTGGCTGGGACTACAAGTGTGAGCCACCATGCCTGGCTCATTTTCTTTCTTCTTCTTTTTTTTTTTTTTCCAATTTTGTACAGACAGTCTCACTATGTTGCCCAGACTGGTCTTGAACTCCTAGGCTCAAGCAGTCCTCCTGCCCCAGCCTCCCAGAATGCTGGGATTACAGGGATGAGCCACCGTGCCCAGCCAGAATTTTTTTTTTTTTTTTCAGATGGAATCTCACTCTGTCACCCAGGCTGGAGTGCAGTGGTGCAATCTTGGCTCACTGCAACCTCCGCCTCCTGTATTCAAGTGATTCTCCTGCCTCAGCCTCCGAGTAGCTGGGATTATAGGCATGCGCCACCATGCCCAGCCAAGTTTTGTATTTTTAGTAGAGATGGAGTTTTGCCATGTTGGCCAGGCTGGTCTTGAACTCCTGACCTCAGGTGATCTGCCTGCCTCGGCCTCCCAAAGTGCTGGGATTACAGACGTGAACCACCCCCCTGGCCAGAATTTTTTAAATTCATTTTTTTCCGGGTGGTTTATTGCAAGTGTTTAGAAATATAATTAACTGTTGTACATTGATTTTGTGTCCTGCAACATGTTTAGCTCATCTGGTCTCTCCTTTTTTCAGATCCCATTTAAAATTCTGAGTGGGCACGAGCACGCTGTGAGCACCTGCCACTTCTGTGTGGATGACACAAAGCTCCTCAGTGGCTCCTATGACTGCACTGTGAAGCTGTGGGTAGGTGGCCGGCTGTTAGGTACTCCTGGAGCGAAAACCTTTCCTAAGCTTAGGCACCTCCTGTGTCGAGTTCCCCAGCACTGAACTCACAGGCACTTGTGGGTCCTGGTTTGCAGGTCTTCTGAGCAAAGTGCCAGAAGGAGGAGAGGGTGAGAGCCCAGCCTAGACGAAGTTAGGGTGGCTGCTGCCAGCTTGCAGGCCTGGAAACAGTGGGAATGGGATGGAGACCTCTGGACTGAGAGTGCCACACATTTTTTTTTTTTTTTGAGACGGAGTTTCGCTCTTGTTACCCAGGCTGGAGTGCAATGGCGTGATCTCGGCTCACTGCAACCTCCGCCTCCTGAGTTCAAGCCATTCTGCTGCCTCAGCCTCCCAAGTAGCTGGGATTTCAGGCATGTGCCACCACACCCAGCTAATTTTGTTTTTTGTTTTTTTGTGTTTTTTAGTAGAGATGGGGTTTCACCATGTTGGTCAGGCTGGTCTTGAACTCCTGACCTCAGGTGATCCACCCACCTCGGCCTCCCGAAGTGCTGGGAATATAGGCATGAGCCACAGCGACTGGCCCTTTTGTTTGTTTGTTTGTTTTTGAGAACAAGTGTTGCCCAGATGGAGTGCAATGGCGTGATCTCAGTTCACTGCAACCTCTGCCTCCCGGGTTCAAGTGATTGTCCTGCCTCAGCCTCCTGAGTAGCTAGGACTACAGGTGTGTGCCACTACTCCTGGCTAATTTTATTTTTTTAGTAGAGACAGAGTTTCACCACGTTAGCCAGGCTGGTCTCGAACTCCTGACTTCAGATGATCCACCTGCCTCAGCCTACCAAAGTGCAGGGATGATAGGTGTGAGCCACCGTGCCTGGCCCCCACACCTTTTTTTTTTTTCCTTTCTTTTCTTTTCTTTTCTTTTTTTTTTTTTTGAGACAGAGTCTTGCTCTGTCGCCCAGGCTGGAGTATAGTGCCACGATCTCGGCTCACTACAACTTCCGCCTCTGGGTTCAAGTGATTCTCCTGCCTCAGCCTCCCTAGTAGCTGGGACTACAGAGGCACGCCACCATGCCCAGCTAATTTTTTATTTTTAGTAGAGACAGGGTTTCACTGTGTTGGCCAGGATGGTATCAAACTCCTGGCCTCAAGTGATCTACCTGCTTCGGCCTCCCAAATTGTTGGGATTATAGGTGTGAGCCACTGTGCCCGGCCACCCCACACACCTGTCAGAGAACGGAAGTCCTGGCTGTGTTTGGGGCCTAGGATGTCATCTCTCTGGGTCTCCTTCTCATCTGGAAAACTGAGCTCCATCCACAGAGACTGGATGGCCAGGTCTGTGTGGTCACAGAGGACAGAAAGGTGTCCAGGCCTGGGACCTGTTCATGAGGGGTGGTTGGAAGAGGCAGGCCTGGGTGCAGATCAGCACCCCAAGGTGCAGCAGGCAGGGGCACCGGGGATGGGGCTGTGAGGTTCACATGAGGTTGCAGAGGTGGCTCCTGGAGCCCTTCTGGGGACTGCAGGGCATGGCCAGCAGGCCCAGGCAGTGCAGATCACTCAGGAGGGCTGGGGAGGAGCAGGGCTGGGGGAAGGCAGTGGCCATGAGGCCAGGCTGCAGAAGGCTGTGTGGCTGGGGCTGGGACTCATGGGAGAGGACGGTCAGTTGTGAGTTTTGCAGCATCTGGCTTCAGGGACAGGAGTGGAGGGAGTTGAGGCTGGTTCCTGGGTTCTGGTTTGGGTAACGGGGAAGAGGATAGCCCCTCACCCTACAGACGACCTCAAGGGAATGTTTTCTCTGGTATTTCCTGCTAGGGGGACAGATACTCGCATGAAGATCGGAAATAAAGACATCAGTTGAGTGGTTCTTAGGATGGTACAGGCAAAAGGATTTAAGGGTTTGGAACAGAGGATTTTTTTGAGACATTATCAGTCAATCCCCACTATTGTCTGTTTTTGTTTGTTTGTTTGTTTTTAATGAATTTAAGACCATTGGCCTATAACTTCATACTTGCTCTTTTGTGAAATGGAAATGGGAGAAAATATGCATACACACACACACACACACAGCCACAAGATATAATCTGTGCCAAGGGCATGACAACTGGGCAGGAGGGTTTGTGGTGGACCCCACGTTTAGGACTTACCAGCTGTGTGACCCTGGGGGGTTGCATGACCTCCTGGGCCTCCCTGGGTCTGCCCATGCTGCACAGGACCAGTTGTGTGAAGGGGCTGCCCCGGGGCTCAACTCACCTCCACTCCCGCCCTCCGTAGCTGTCCTTATGGACACCTGGCCCACAGAGCCCAGAGCCTCAAGATCTTGTTAGAAAAACTGCTGGTTTCTCTGGGAGCCTCACCCCCACAGCCCACAGGATAACACTAGAGGAATTTTTTCTTTGTTTTGTTTTAGAGACAGAGTCTTTCTCTGTCACCCAGGCTGGAGTGCAGTGGTGCAATTACGGCTCACTGCAGCCTCAACCTCCTGGACTCAAGCAATCCCCCCATCTCAACACCCCGAGTAGCTGGGACTGCAGGAGTGCACCACCACACCTAGCTAATTTTTTATATTTTATATTGTAGAGATGAGGGTCTTGCTACATTGCCCAGGCTAGTCTCAAACTCTTGGCCTCAAGCAATCCTCCCGCCTCAGCTTCCCAAAGTGCTGGAACTTCAGGCATGGGCCACCAAAGTCCCAGTTTCATAGATGTATGCGGACATGTGTGGACAAGAAAAAAAGACACGTCGGCTGGGCGCAGTGGCTCATGCCTGTAATCCCAGCACTTTGGGAGGCCGAGGCGAGCAAATCACCTGAGATCAGGAGTTCAAGACCAGCCTGACCAATGTGGTGAAACCCCGTCTCTACTAAAAATACAAAAATTAGCTGGGTGTGGTGGCAGGTGCCTGTAGTCCCAGCTACTCAGGAGGCTGAGACAGGAGAATTGCTTGAACCTGGGAGGCGGAGGTTGCAGTGAGCCGAGATCGCACCACTGCACTCCAGCCTGGGCGACGGTGGGAGACTCCGTCTCAAAAAAAAAAAGAAAAGACATATGCCAACATATTCACAGCTGTTAACTCTGGGGTCATGGAAGGATGAATGTTTTTCTTTCTTGTGTTTTCTGTAATAAAATCATATTACCTTTGTAATAATATGAGAAAAACTACCAAACTTACATTTTTTTTTTTTTTTTTTTGAGACAGGGTCTTGCTCTATCACCCAGGCTGGAGTGCAGTGGCAAGAACACAGCTCACTGCACCTTTTACCTCCTGGGCTAAAGGCATCCTCCCATCTCAGCCTCCCAAGTCGCTGGGACCACAGGCACACACCACCATGCCTGGCTAATTTTTTTGTTTTTCGTAGAGACAGGGTCTCACTACATTGCCCAGGCTGGTCTCAAACTCCTTGGCTCAAGCGACTCTCCTGCCTCAGCCTCCAAAAGTGCTGGGATTACAGGTGTGGGAGCATGTTTTTTTTTTTTTCTTTTTTGACACAGGATCTCACTCTGTTGCCCAGGCTGAAGTGCAGTGGTGCAGTTATGGCTCACTGCAGCCTCAACCTCCTGGGCTCAAGTGATCCTCCCACCTCAGCCTCCTGAGTATCTGGGACTGCAGGAACAGGCTGCCATGCCCAGCTAATATTATCATTTTTTGTAGAGATGGGATCTCCCTGTGTTGCCCGGGCTGGTCTTGAGCTCCTGGCCTCAAGCCGTCCTTCCTCCTTGGCCTCCCAAAACACTGGGATACAGCATGAGCCACCAAAACCCAGCCCCAAACTTATTTTTAAATGACCAGAAAAAAGGTGGCAATATATTAGAGGGAGATTGGGCATAGGATGAAGAATATTTTTCCCAGCTTCTCTGTACATTTATGGACTTTCCAAGTTATTCACAATAATCTCCAATGAGGGGAAAAGGGTTTTTTGTTTGTTTGTTTTTTTGAGATGGCGTTTTGCTCTTGTTGCTCAGGCTGGAGTGCAGTGGCGTGGTCTCGGCTCACTGCAACCTCTGCCTCCTGAGTTCAAGCGATTCTCCTGCCTCAGCCTCCCAAGTAGCTGGGATTACAGGCACCTGCCACCACGCCCGGCTAATTTTTGTATTTTTAGTAGAGATGGGGTTTCATCATGTTGGCCAGGCTGGTCTCAAACTCCTGACCTCAGGTGATCTGTCCGCCTTGGCCTCCCAAAGTGCTGGGATTACAGGCATGAGCCACTGCACCTAGAGGAAAAGGGGCTTTTAAAAGATTTAAAAGGTATTTGGATTTGAGGTGTTGCTGGGGGCAGGGACTGGAAACGGGGTCAGTGGGTGAGGCAGAGAGGGGAGGCCAGGGGAGATTTTGGCCAAGATACTGTGACAAGAGGAGATGACTGTGTAGGGTTATGGGTTCACCCTCTACGGAGGGACATGGAGCGCATGGTGGGAGCCACAGCTGAGGGTCTCAAGGAGCCAGCAGGGGGGGACGAAGATGGAAGAAGAGAGCCAGGGGAGGAGACAGGTCTCTGGAGTGGCAGCCAATGGGACCAGCTAAGGCAGGGGCTCAGAGGAGAGGTGGCGATTTATGGGACAAGGGGCGAAGGCACTAGGAGGGCAGAGGGAGGGAGCACAGGGATGAGGGGCTGCCTGGAGAAAGTGGTGGAGGGAGGAGGGCTGGAAGCAGTCTGTGGTGCGGGTGGGGAACACTTGGATGCACTTCCTGGGACATGGAGAAGGACGGCTCATGGGAAGGAGGGCATATGAGGTGGCAGAGGTGACAGTGCCTGCATTGTGGATGGGGCATGGAACAGGCAGGGAATGAGAGCAAGAAGGCTGTTGTGGGGACCGAGGGCCTCTCCAAGATTAGGGTCTCTAATCTTGGGACAACAACCAAGGTGAAAACAGGCATCTTTCCCTTCATGGAGACAAGAGCCCTTTGGCCAACACAGACAGCAGTCCCGGGGGGCCCTTCTGCCGACTCAAAAGGGGAAAGAAGGGCCGGGCGTAGTGGCTCACACCTGTAATCCCAGCAATTTGGGAGGCCCAGGTGGGTGGATCACGAGGTCAGTAGTTCGAGACCAGGCTGGCCAATATGGTGAAACCCTGTCTCTACTAAAAATACAAAAAAAAAAAAAAAAAAAAAAAAAAAAAGGCCGGGGGGCGGGAATAACGTGGGAGAATTGGAAGATGCAAGGTGGACTGCACAGGTGGCAAGTTACCATCCCATCCCCTGGGCAATGACAAGGGGAGAGGCTCCCTTGCCCCTGGGGTCTCTCAGTCACCCCAGAGGATTAAGAAAGGGTTTAAGTCTCCCTGAAAGCTGAGTGCAATGGCCCACGTCTGTAATCCCAGTGCTTTGGGAGGCCGAGGTGAGAGGGTTGCTTGAGGCCAAGAGTTTGAGACCAGCCTGGGCAATGTAGCAAGACCCTCATCTCTATAAAATAAAAAATAAAAAATTAGCCAGGCATGGTTGTGCACTTCTGTAGTCCCAGCTACTCGGGAAGTTGAGATGGGAGGATTGCTGGAGCCCAGGAGGTGGTGCCTGCAGTGAGCCATAATTGCACCACTGCACTCAAGCCTGGGTAACAACAGAGTGAGATCCAGTGTCAAAAAAAAAAAAAAAAAAAAAAAAGGCTGGTCACAGTGAGTCACGCCTGTAATCCCAGCACTTTTGGAGGTTGAGGCAGGAGGATCGCTTGAGCCAAGGAGTTTGAGACCAGCCTGGGTAATATAGTGAGACCTTGTTTCTACCAAAAACAAAAAAATTAGCCAGGCGTGGTGGCGTGTGCCTATGGTCCCAGCGACTTGGGAGGCTGAGATGGGAGGATGGCTTTGGCCCAGGAGGCCAAGGGGTGCAGTGAGCCGTGTTCTTGCCACTGCACTCCAGCCTGGGTGATAGAGCAAGACCCTCTCTCAAAAAAAAAAAAAAAAAGTTTGGTAGTTTTTCTCATATTATTACAAAGGTAATATGATTTTATTACAGGAAACACATGAAAACACAAGAAAGAAAAAAACTCATCTTTCCATGACCCCAAAGTTAACGGCTGTGAAAATGTTGTCATAGGTATTTTTTTCTTCTCCACGAACATCCACATACATTTATGAAACTGGGACTGTACCAAAATACTGATATGTACTCACCATAAACGTAGACGCCAAATATTGTCACATCTCCTTTATTTTCCAACTGTTTATTAGACCCCCTTTCCCTCGTTCATTTGAAGTCTAACCAGTATTTCCCCTTTAAATTGTCTGGGTCCACAGGGATGGGGTCGTGCTTCTAAATGCCCAGTGTGGAGGGAGTGGGCCGATCTCTGCACAGCCGCTGTTCCTGCTCTTGGCCACTTGGTGTCACTGTCGAGTCTAAAACTGCGCAGCCCCACGGACACTGATCATTCTGGCGCTGCCCTCAGTTGGCCCCGGCCCGCCCAGAGTGCGTGCAGGGGCCTGGATCCCACAACCCAAGACGATCATTTTCTTTTCTTTTTGAGACGGTGTCTCGCTCTGTCGCCCAGGCTGGAATGAAGTGGCGCAATCTTAGCTCACTGAAACCTCCGACTTCCGGGTTCAAGCGATTCTCCTGCCTCAGCCTCATGAATAGCTGGGACTACAGGCGCGCGCCACCACACCCAGCTAATTTTCATATTTTTAGTAGAGACGAGGTTTCACCATGTTGGCCAGGCTGGTCTTGAACTCCTGACCTCAGGTGATCCACCCACCTCGGCCTCCCAAAGTGCTGGGATTACAGTCGTGAGCCACCGCGCCCGGCCTGGAAGATATTGCTAGATTCTGCAAAGACTTTTTGGCCAGTAGGAAAGGAAAACACAATCTGTTTGCAGCTCTGCCCCCAGCATGGCCAGTTTCCACCTGGTGTCTGGAATTGCGGGGTAATTTCCCATGGATGCCAGGAATGGCAAGGGTGTCCTTCCCGCTCAGGGGACGGACATGTTGCAAAGTCCTTTCCTCTTTCGGAGCTGAGTGAGAGTCCCAGGACCTTGGAGTTCTCAGATTTTGCTACCAGAGATAAGCTAAGGGCTAATGTTGACCTCGATTTACGACTTCAGCAAACACGGCAGTGACCACTCTCTTCTCCTCTCTCTCCCGTTGATTTGAGGATCCGGTGGACGGTTCTGTGGTTCGCGATTTTGAGCACAGGCCCAAAGCTCCTGTTGTAGAGTGCAGCATCACCGGCGACAGCAGCAGGTGACCTTTCCCTCGTCTTACACTGGGAAGAGGGAGGGTGAGCAGGCATGCCATAAATAGGTATGCCTGTGACATTTTTGTTTTTGTTTTAAGTAATAGATATGGGGTCTCACCATGTGGCCTAAGCTGGTCTCGAACCTGTGGTCTCAAGCGATTCTCCTCCTGCATTGGCCTCCCAAAGTGTTGACATTACAGGCATGAGCCACCACACCTGGGCTTTGTGAATTTTTATTTTTTATTTAGACAGGATTCTGCTCTGTTGCCCAGGCTGGAGTGCAGTGGTGCAAACATGGCTCACTGAAGCCATGGACTCCTGGGCTCAGTGATCCTCTTGCCTCAGCCTCCTGAGTAGCTGGGATTACAAGTGTGCACCACCACACCTGGCTAATTTTTGTATTTTTGTACAGATGGGGTTTTGCCATGTTGCCCAGGCTGGTCTCAAACTCCTAGGCTCAAACAATCCTGCCTTGGCATCCCAAAGTGCTGGAATTACAGGCATGAGCCACTGTACCTGGCCTGTTTTGTTTTTGAGATAGGGTCTTGCTTTGTCACCCACGCTGTAGTGTACTGGTATGAAAATGTAAGTTTCATGGGAATTTATCTTTTTTTTTTTCTTTTTTGAGACAGAGTCCTGCTCTGTTGCCCAGGCTGGAGTATAGTGGTGCGATCTCGGCTCATTGCAACCTCCACCTCCTGGGTTCGAGTGATTCTCCTGCCTCAGCCTCCTGAGTACCTGGGACTACAGGTGCACACCACCACAGCTGGCTAATTTTTTTATTTTTAGTAGAGAGGGGTTTCACCATGTTGGCCAGGCTGTTCTCGAACTCTTGACCTCAGGTGATCCACCCACCTCGGCCTCCCAAAGTGCTGGGATTACAGGTGTGAGCCACCATGCCCACATGGGAATTTATCTTATATAGAGGACAAACTTTGCCACAGAAACGTGCCATGTAAGAAGACAAGGATACATTTATGTTTTTTTGTACAAGAAAACATTTCAGAACAAAATAAGTAGTCTCTTAAACTATATCCCTGTGAAAAGACAGACATGGGAGCAGAGAGGAAAACGATTGATCCTTGCGGGTGTAGAGATCCCTTTAGGAGAGGAAAACAGCTGGGAGGCTGAGGCGGGCGGATCACCTGAGGTCGGGTAGCCTTGAACAAGGCTAGCCTGACCAACATGGAGAAACCCCGGTCTCTACTAAAAATACAAAATTAGTCGGGCGTAGTGGCACATGCCTGTAATCCCAGCTACTCGGAGGCTTAGGCAGGAGAATTGCTTGAACTCGGGAGGTGGAGGTTGTGGTGAGCTGAGGTCACGCCATTGCACTCCAGCCTGGGCGACGAGTGAAACTCCGTCTTAAAAGAAAAAATAAAAAAGAAGAAGAGGAAAACAGAAGAAATGCTACTTTGAAAGCCCTTGATATAAAGGAGCATGTGTGGGTGGCTGAAGAGTACTGGGGATGATTGTGCTGTGGTTCCTTGTGTGTTAGGTCCTATTTCCTTCCTTCCTTCCTTCCTTCCTTCCTTCTTTCCTTCCTTCCTTCCTTCCTTCCTTCCTTCCCCTTCCTTCCTCCCTTCCTCCCTTCCTTCCTTCTTTCCTTTTTTTTGATGGAGCCTCTCCTGCCCACGCTGGAGCGCAGTGGCGCAATCTTGGCTCACTGTAACCTCCGCCTCCTGGTTCAAGAGATTTTCATGCCTCAGCCTCCTGAGTAGCTGGGATTGCAGGTGTGCACCACCATGCCTGGCTAATTTTTGTATTTTTAGTAGAGATGAGGTTTCACCATGTTGGCCAGGCTGGTCTTGAACTCCTGACCTCAGGTGTTCTGCCCGCCTCAGCCTCCCAAAGTGTTGGGATTACAGGCATGAGCCACCGTGCTTGGCTGGTTCTCTCTAGTTTCAGTGAGAACCGAATGGTCCCTAGGGTGGGTGATGGAGCAGTCTTTTAAAGATGATTGTGTTAATTATAATCTTGGTCCTAAATTAGAAAAATGAAAAAAAGTCTTCATAGAAGTCATAGGCAGGCCAGGCGTGGTGGCTTATTCTTGTAATTCCAGTACTCTGGGAGGCTGAGGTGGGAGGATCGCTTGAGGCCAGGAGAGACCAGCCTGGGCTCTGTCTCTAAGGAAAAAAAAAAAAAGAGAGAGAGAAAAAAATAGCCAGGCATGATGATGAGTGCCCATAGTCCCAGCTACTCAGGAGGCTGAGGTAGGAGGATCACTTGAGCCCAGAAGCTCAAGGTGGCAGTGAGCTAGGATTGCACCACTGGACTGCAGCGTGGATGACAGAGTGACATCCTGTCTCAAAAAAGAAAAGGAAAGGCGGGGGGCGGGGGAGGATGGAAAGGACCACAGACCTAACTGTCTCTGTTGTTAAGAATCAATGTTTGGCCAGGCGCGGTGGTTCACGCCTATAATACTAGCACTTTGGGAGGCCGAGGCAGGTGGATCACTTGAGGTCAGGAGTTTGAGACCAGCCTGGCCAACATGGCAAAACCCCGTTTCTACTAAAAATACAAAAATTAGCTGGGCGTGGTGGCGGGCGCCTGTAATCTCAGCTACTCAGGAGGCTGTGGCAGGAGGGTCGTTTGAACCTGGGAGGTGGAGGTTGCAGTGAGCCGGTATTGCACCACTGCACTCCAGCTGGGGCAACAGAAAGACACCCTGTCTCAAAAAAAAGAACCAGTGTTCGTCATCGTCATCTTATTTCCAGAGTCATTGCCGCATCCTATGATAAGACAGTGAGGGCCTGGGACCTGGAGACAGGCAAGCTGCTGGTACGTATGCCTGTCCAGTGGGGGCGTTGGTTGCAGCCCAGGGGCTTGACCAAGCCTCAGGCAGCTTTGGGTTGGACCCTGGGTAGGGGGAGGTGATAAAACTCCATTCTTCTAGGAAGGAGGCATGTTCCTGGGGATGGAAGTACAGATGTGAACTGCACCCACAACAGCCATTGCTTGCAAAAAGTCTGGAGGGTGAGAGGGTGGGCACTGGGGGAGGAAGACTCCTGGAGGAGGCGGATGGAACCAAGGCTTCTGCTTGAAAGATGGGATGGGTTTGGATACACAGAAAGAAGCCAGAATTGGGGGTGGGGTGTGGGGGCTGGTATTCCAGGCTCCCCGGTAAGATGTTTGGATTTGATTAGACAGGAAGTGGGGCTGAGGCCATGGGACAAAGGCCATGTGCCCCCAAGAACCAGGGTTCTGGCCCTTACCAGTCTGTTCTCTTTATATCTTGGAGGGGGTCACTCTCCGTCCATCCCACAGGCTCAAGACTCCCACTCGGCCCTGCACCCCTTCCAGGCACCCTCAGCTCTGCTCAGGGGCCTCCTCGGGGTCTCCTGCCTCACCCCTGCCGTCCCTCCCTCTCAGCTCCTGCAGGCCTTTTCTGTCCCTTCCTCCTTCCTTTCCTTAAAAAACAACCTTTCTTGTTAGTGCAAAGGTCAGTTTGTATTCATTGTAAACATTTTTAGAAAGACAAGATAAGCCAAGTTTTTATTTTATGATGACGATGATGATGATTTTTAGAGACAGGGTCTTGCAAGCTCTGTCACCCAGGCTGGAACACAGTGGCGCCATCGTAGCTCACTGCAGCCTCAAACTCCTGGGCTCAGATGATCCTCCCGCCACAGCCTCATAAGTAGCTGGGACTACAGGCGAGCACCGCCACACCTGGCTCATGTTTTACTTTTGTAGAGATGGAGATCTTGCATGTTTCCCAGGCTAGTCTCAGGCTCCTGGTCTCAAGCGATCCTCCAGCCTTGGCCTCCCAAAGCACTGGGTTTACAGGTGTAACACACCACACCTGGCTTAAAACAACCTTTTGATTGCTGGCTCATTTCAGTGGAAGGTCAGGTATGATACCTTCATCGTCTCCTGTAAGTTTTCTCCTGATGGTAAATACGTGGTCTCAGGCTTCGACGTGGATCATGGAATCTGCATAATGGACGCCGAGAACATCACCACCGTTTCCGTCATCAAAGGTGAGGGTGTGCGGGCTCCCTGTATCTTCAGTCTGCCATAGGAATAGCCACTTGTCACTGACTGACGGTGACCTTCCATTGCTTTATTTGGTGAAACTGTAATGGTATGAAGCACGTCATTAAAGCTGGGACACTAGGCTAGGTGCGGTGGCTGGGATTGCATCTGTAATCCCAGCACTTTGGGAGGTTGCTTGAGCCCAGGAGTTTGAGACCAGCCTGGGCAACAGGGTGAAACCCTGTCACTACCAAAAACAATACAAAAATTAGCCAGGTGTGATGGCATGCACCTGTAGTCCCAGCTGCTTGAGAGGCTGAAACGGGAGAATCACTTGAACCCGGAGGTGGAGATTGTATTGAGCTGAGATTGAGCCACTGGACTCCAGCCTGGCAGACAGAGTGAGACTCCATCTCAAAAAAACAAACAAACAAACAAAAAACAAACAAACAAACAAAAAAACACACCAAAACTGATCCTCTTCAGTTAATGCTTTTCCATTCATTCAGTCTTGTGCTTTTAACAAAGGACACAATGTTCGGCTCCAACCTCATGTGGTCATTGACAGCCTAATCTTTTATTGAGGGGAGGCTCAGGCTTCTTAACATTAACATTAACAGAGTTAACATTAACAGAGTCTTGCTATGTTGCCCAGGCTGATGTCAAACTCCTGGCCTCGAGGGATCCTCCTGCCTCAGCCTCCCAAAGTGAGGGATTATAGGAGAAGCCCCCTCACCCGGCCTACCTGTATCTTTTTTTTTTTTCTTTTTTGAGATGGAGTCTTGCTCTGTCTCCTAGGCTGGAGTGTAGTGGTGCGATCTCGGGTCACCTCAACCTCCACTTCCTGGGTTCAAGCAATTCTCCTTGCCTCAGCCTTCTGAGTAGCTGGGATTACAGGCACCCACCACCACGCCCAGCTAATTTTTGTATTTTTAGTAGAGATGGGGTTTCACCATGTTGGGCAGGCTGGTCTCGAGCTCCTGACCTCAGGTGATCTGCCCGCCTTGGTCTCCCAAAGTGCTGGGATTACGGGCATGAGCCACTGTGCCCAGCCTATTTTTAAAATATAGGACTTAGTAATTGTTGTATGACAGTTTCCTGGTTGGGACACTGTGTGATGATGATACCACATGTTCCCATGGGGGCTGCTGGGTGAAGGACATGGGTGATTTCTCTGTTATTCCTTACACCTCCATGGGAGTTTACAATTATCTTAAAATTAAAGTTAAAAAAATGTGTAATCATTGTAAAGACATTCATTATGGGCTGGGCGTGGTGGCTCATGCCTGTAATCCCAGCACTTTGGGAGGCCGAGGCTGGTGGATCACCTGAGCTCAAAAGTTCAAGACCAGCCTGGCCAACATGGTGAAACCCTGTCTCTACTAAAAATACAAAAATTAGCCGGGCGTGGTGGCGGGCACCTGTAATCCCAGCTACTCGGGAGGCTGAGGCAGAATTGCTGGAACCCAGGAGGTGGAGGTTGCAGTGAGCCGAAATCGCGCCTCTGCGCTCCAGCCCAGGTGACAGAATGAGGCCCTGTCTCAAAAATAAAAAAATCATTCATTATGTAAATAAAAAAGCAAAAGGCTGCTGTGTCTGTCCTGTCTCCTCCCCAGAGGCACCTGTTATGAACCATACATTGCTGGGCAGTCTTCCTGAACCCTGTGTGTATGCCTGTGCGTACAAGTGTTTGCACACACAACACTGCTTCTCATATGTGCTTTGTGTTTCTTTTTATCGATGTGGCACTATGCCATGTGCACTGCCCCACAGCTTCCCTAATAGCCCCTAAGAGCCCACTTGACACTCTGACCCCACCATGCTTCAGACTCCAGCTTTGCCCCACACTGCTCCATGATCCGGCCCAGGCCTTTGCAAGCACTGTTCCTTCTTCCTGGAGTGCTCTTCCATTTCTGCTTCCCTTGCTGGCTTTTCGGGCCCTTCCTGGACCCCTCAGGGTGGCCAGGCTTATGTTGTCTGGGCCTTGGTGGCCCGTGCACTCATCTCATGATCTGTGGCATGTGGCAGGTCGTTGCCTGGTCCGGGGTGTCTCCTCCATCAGACTGGCAGCTCTGCGGGGGCAGGGAACCTGCTGTGCTCCCGGTTCAAAGCCTGGGACATAGTAGTCACTCAGGAATGTTTGTGCAGGTGTGTAGCTCCTGATGAAAACTGGAATTGTGTTTTGTAATCGTCACTGGCTGGGGAAGTCGTGGGAGTCCTCCAGCCCAGCAGGTGGAAGGCGTGGTCTCAAGTCCCTTTCCTCCGTGTTCTGCAGATCATCACACAAGGTCCATCACGTCATGCTGCTTTGACCCCGACAGCCAGAGGGTGGCTTCTGTCTCATTGGACAGGTGCATCAAGATCTGGGATGTTACATCCCAGGCCACGCTGCTCACCATCACTAAGTGAGTTGGACCCCAGGAGGCCAGAAGGGAGTTTGGGTGGGGCGTCCCCATTCATGACTTCCTGAATTCCACATAAGCCAGCATCCATGTGGACACGTCTGTAGCTTGGTCATAGGTGCTCTGAGGAGGCTGGGGACAGGCAGGCAGGAGGGAGCCATCAGCTGTGGCCTGTGGGCTGGGCTGGGCCTCAGATGCATTTGTTTCAATGTGAGCCACTAGTGGAAATCATTGTGCAGAGAAGTCCACAAAAGGTGAAGTTCCAGCATCTCCTGTAAAATGGGAAGGTCTGGCTGGGCGTGTGGCTCATGGCTATAATCCCAGAGCTTTGGGAGGCCAAAGTGGGAGGATCACTTCAGGCCAGGAGTTCAACACCAGCCTGGGCAATGTCACAAGACCCCATCTCTACAAAAAATTTAAAAATTAGCTGGGTGTGGTGTCACACACCTGTAGTCCCAGCTACTCAGGAGGCTGAGGCTGGAGGATTGCTTGAGCCTAGGAGTTTGAGGCTGCTGTGAGCTATGATTGCACCACTGCACCCCAGCCTGGACAATGAAGTAAGACCCTGTCTAAAAAAAATAAATAAATAAAGTGAATTCAGTCGTTTTGGAGATATTACATTATCATTTAAAAAAATTTTGGGGCTGGGCTCGGTGGCTCATGCCTGTAATCCCAGCACTTTGGGAGGCCGAGTGGGGCGGATCACCTGAGGTCAGGAGTTCGAGACCAGCCTGGTCAACATAGTGAAACCCCACCTCTAGTAAAAATACAAAACTTAGCTGGGCGTGGTGGCGGGCACCTGTAATCCCAGCTATTCAGGAGGCTGAGGAAGGAGAATAGCTTGAATCCGGGAGGTGGAGGTTGCAGTGAGCCAAGATTGTGCCACTGCACTCCAGCCTAGGTGACAGAGTGAGACTCTGTCTCAAAATATATATATATATATATACACGCACACAACATAAAACATGATATTTTAACCATTTTTAAGTGTGCAATTCTCTGCCATTCATTACATTCACAGTGTTGTGCAACCATCACCACTATTTATTTCCAAAATGATTTCATCATCTCAGACAGAAGCTCTTACCCGTTAAGCAATAACTCCCCATTCCCCATGCCCCCAGCCCTGGGTAATGTTTATTCTACTTTCTGTCTCTATGAATCTGCCTATTCTAGATATTTCATATAAGTAGAGTCATACATTATTTGTCCTCTTGTGATTAGGTTATTTCACTTAAAATAATGTCCTCAAGGTTCATCTGTGTTGTAGCCTGCATCAGAACATCAGAACTTCATTCCTTTTTTTTCCTTTGAGACTTAGTCTCGCTATGTCCCCCAGGCTGGAGTGCAGTGGTGCCATCTTGGCTCACTGCAACCTCTGCCTCCTGGGTTCAAGTGATTCTCCTGCTTCAGCCTCCTGAGTAGCTGGGATTACAGGCGCCCACCACCACACCTGGCTAATTTCTGTATTATTAGTAGAGACGGGGTTTCATCATGTTGGCCAGGCTGGTCTCAAACTCCTGACCTTGTCATCCACCCACCTCGGCCTCCCACAGTGCTGGGATTAAGAACTTCATTCCTTTTGATGACTGAATAGTACTGCATTATAGGTGTACATACCACATTTTGTTTATCTGTTCATCTGTTGATGACCTCTTAGGCTGTTTCTACCTTTTAGTTATTGGGAATAATGCTGCTATGAACACATGTACATGTAACTTTGAGTTCCTGCTTTCAATTCTTTTTATTTTATTTGATTTCGAGACAGAGTCTTGCTCTGTTGCCCAGGCTGGAGTGCAGTGACGTGATCATAGCTCACTGGAGCCTCGGATTCCTAGGCTCAAGTGATCCTCTTGCCTCAACTTCCTGAGTAGCTGAGACTACAGGTGCACACCACCATGCCTGGCTAATTTTTAAGTTTGTTTTTTTTTTTTTTTTGCAGAAACGGGGTCTCATTATGTCTCCCAAGCTAGTCCTGAACTTCTGAGCTCAAGTGATCCTCTCACTTTGGCCTCCCAAAGTTCTGGGATGACAGGTGTGAGCCACTGCACCTGGCCTGTTTTTAATTCTTTACTCTGTATACCCAGGAGTGGAATTGTTGGATCATATGGTAATACTGTGCTTAGCTTTTTCAGGAGTGGGGATCTTGCTTATTAATTTTGCACTGAGAACTGAAAATGATATAGCCCGACCGACATTATGAATTTTTTAAATCCTCTAGCAAGATCAGCTATATCATTTGCAGGGTGCAATCTCGGCTCGCTGCAACCTCCGCCTCCCGGGTTCAAGCAATTCTCCTGCCTCAGCCTCCCGAGTAGGTGGGACTACAGGCGCCCGCCACCATGCCCAACTAATTTTTGTATTTTTAGTAGAGACAGGGTTTCACCACATTGGCCAGGCTGGTCTCAAACTCCTGACCTTGTGATCCACCCACCTCGGCCTCCCAAAGTGCTGGGATTACAGGCATGAGCCACAGTGCCTGGCCACACTGTGGTTTTCATTTACACTGTCATTCATATTGTTTTTCTCCTATAGGTAAAAAGTCATTTCTCTCTTGCTGCTCTGAAGATATTTTTGTTGTCCTTAGTTTTCTGAAGTGTAATTATGTGTCTGGGTGTAGATTTCTTTGGATTTATCCTGTTGGGTTTTACTCAGATTCTTGAATCTGTAGGTTTATATATTTTGCCAAATTTGGTAAAATTTCAGCCATTTAAAAAAATTACTTTTAAAGTTGACTCCATCTTGTCCAGAACTGTACGTGCAGCATAGCCATTTTCCCCAAACTTCTGTACAGGTGAAATGGCCTTCTACGAGAAGTGGGATTTATGTGAAATGAGAGTCCATAGAGATACCTCTGGTTTATTTATTTATTTATTTATGTATTTATTTATTTAGAAATTGCTATGTCTTTTTTTTTACTTTAAGTTCCAGGACACATGTGCAGAATGTGCAGGTTTGTTACATAGGTACACATGTGCCACGGTGGTTTGCTGCATCTATCAACACGTCATCTAGGTTTTAAGCCCCGCATGTGTTAGGTATTTGCCCTAATGCTCTCCCTCCACTTGCCTCCCACCCCCTGACAGGCCTCAGTGTGTGATGTTCCCCTCCCTGTGTCTATGTGTTCTCACTGTTCAACTCCCACTTATGAATGAGAACGTGTGGTGTTTGGTCTTCTGTTCCTGTGTTAGTTTGCTGAGGATGATGTCCCTGCAAAGGACATGATCTCATTCTTTCTCATGGCTGCATAGTATTCCATGGTGTATATGTACCACATTTTCTTTATCCGGTCTATCATTGATGGGCATTTGGGTTGACACGAAGTCTTTGCTATTGTGAATAATGCTGCAATAAACATACGTGTGCATGTGTATTTATAGAAGAATGATTTATAATCCTCTGGGTATACCTCTGGTTTAAACCTCAATGACAGTGTCTGGCTGCTGGGAGAGCTTGCAGTCAAACCTCCATGATATGCCAGCATGGTTCTTAGCTCACCAGGCACTGGGAATTGGTGAGGTTTATCCCGGATGGCCCTGCGAAGTTGACATTTCTTCTCCTTTGGCGTTGCTCAGTTTGTGCCTTTCAAAGAACCAAAATGGGTTCCAAAACTCTGATCTGAGCTCTAGAAAATTGTTTTGCTCAACCTTTTCTTCAGGTCAAATGATTGATTTTATGATCCAGGCTACTCAGAGAAAACTCTGCTTACAAGAGGAGGTGAGAATCACAGGAGAAAGACATTGAGGGTTACAAACAAAAAGTGGCAAAATACAGACAGGCTTTTTATTATTATTATTTTTCTGAAAAAGAAGATGCTTAAAAATTGGAATGAATAACTTCATTTTTTTTCTGAGATAGAGTCTTGCACTGTTGCCCAGGCTGGAGTGCAATGGCACAATCTTGGCTCACTGCAACCTCCACCTCCTGGGTTCAAGTGATTCTCCTGCCTCAGCCTCCAGAGTAGCTGGGACTACAGGCATGTGCCACCATGCCCAGCTAATTTTTATATTTTTTGTAGAGATGGGGTCTTGCTATGTTGCCCAGGCTGGTGTCAAAATCCTGGGCTCAAGCAATCCTTCCACCTAGGCCTCCCAAAGTGCTGGGATTATAGGCATGAGCCACTGCACCCAGCCAAATAACCCACAATTTTATTAATTAAATATACAACACTGAAATATACTTGAATAGCACTGAAGACAAATGAGGATAGGAGTGAGAAAAAGGGAGAGTGAATAGTTGGGGTGGAGAAGCAGAGGAGTAAGTAAGAGAGGGGTGGAACAGGGGGAGACCACGCCTGACATTGTTGGGGGAAAGATGGGGAGCAGGAGAGAGCCTCTGTGTAAGCGCCACCCAGCACCAAGCCCCAAAGGCTGTCTGTCAATCAATCACTCCTGACACCAGCTGCTTTTCCCTCCAGCGCCAAGGGAATACTGCAGAATCTTCCCAAATGAGGGCAATTTGTGCCCCAGTGGACATTTGACAATGTCTGGACTCATGTTTTGTTGTCACAACTGGGTGTGGGGGTTCCTGGCATCTAGCCAGGAGAGGCCAGGGATGCTGCTCCACCTCCTACAGAACACAGGACGGCCCCCACAACTCTGAGTGACCCAGCTCAAAATGTCCACCTTGGTGTGGTTGGCCCAGTGCCGTGGCTCACGCCTGTAATCCCAGCACTACTTTGGGAGGCCAAGGCAGGTGGACCACTAGAGCCTAGGAGTTTGAGAGCAGCCTGGGTAACATAGCGAAACACTGTCTCTATTATTATTTTTCTAAAAATTGGTGCAGTCGAGAAATGCTGGAACAGCGTGACAGTCTGAGCAATTCACATCTGGACCATGGTAGGCAGTGATCAAAGGCATGATGAACATGAGCTCACAGGAGATGCTGACCCCCACTTAGGTATGTCTTCAGGTCCTCTTGGGGCGAAGTGCTAGCATGTGCAGCCCGACCATGAGCTCACAGGAGAAAATACCCCCGGCTTTAGGTATGTCTTCAGGTCCTCCAGGAGCAAAGCGCTAATGTGTGCACCCCACCATCTGTGTTTCAGGGCACATTCCAATGCAATCTCAAACTGCTGTTTTACCTTCAGTGGCCATTTCCTGTGTACAAGCTCCTGGGATAAAAACTTAAAAATATGGAACGTCCACACAGGGGAGTTTCGAAACTGTGGAGCCTGTGTGACTCTGATGCAGGGCCATGAAGGTTCTGTCAGTTCCTGTCACTTTGCCAGAGACAGTGAGTAATTAACATGCAGAAGGCCTCCATTCCTGTGGGAGTGCTGGGCAGAGTTCTCCATGTTCCGTTCAAATGGACAGAGAGGCAATTTCCAATGATGCTGACAGGGAGGGCGGATTCTTCCCCACGAGAACAAAAAACCCAAGAGGGAAGACCACAGGTACCAGTTTACAGTGGTAGAAACTCAGCTCAATGTGGCGTATGCAACCAAAGAAATTGATTAATCCTGTAATGGAAAAGTCCAAGAGCACGTCTGACTTCAGGCATGGATGGGACAAGAGAGTCAATGCTGTTGGGAACCCAACCCTTCCACTCTGTCTTTCAACCTAGCTTCCCTCTGTATCAGCCTTTACCCCCAAGGAGGCAAAGATGGCCGGATGAGGTGCCTTATGCCTGTAATCCCAATGCTTTGGGAGGCCAAGGTGGGAGGACTGCTTGAAGCCAGGAGTTCAAGACCAGCCTGGGCAACACAGCAAGACCCTGTCTCTACAAAAAAATTAAAAAATTAGCTGGGTGTGGTGGTGCACACCTGTAGTCTCAGCTCTTCAAGAGGCTGAGGTGGGAGGATCACTTGAGCCCAGGAGTTTGAGGCTGCAGTGAGCTATGATTGTGCTACTGCACTCCAGCCTGGGCAACAGAGTGAGACCCTGTGTCTAAAAAGAAAAAAAAAAAGGCCAGGCACAATGGCTCATGCCTGTAATCCCAGCACTTTGGGAGGCTGAGGTGGGCGGATCACCTGAGGTCAGGAGTTCAAGATCAGCCTGGCCAACATGGTGAAACCCCATCTCTACTAAAAAATACAAAAATTAGCCAGGTGTGGTGGTGGATGCCTGTAATTCCAGCTATTCGGGAGCCTCAGGCAGGAGAATCGCTTGAACCCGGGAGGCGGAGGCTGCAGTGAGCCAAGATTGCACCACTGCACTCCAGCCTGGGTGACAGAGCGAGACTCTGTCTCAATATATATATATATGTATATATATGTGTATATATATATATATGTATATATATGTGTATATATATATGTATATATGTGTATATATATGTATATATGTGTATATATGTATATATATGTGTATATATATATGTATGTGTATATATGTGTGTGTGTATGTATATATGTATGTATGTGTGTGTGTGTATGTATGTATATATATATATATATATATATATATATATATATATATATATATATATAAAATTAAAGAGGTAAAGAGGACCTTTAGTGGTCCAGCTCAGCCTAGTTCTGGCCCCTGGCAGTCCTGGAGAAAGAGACCTTCTGTCTGATGGTGCCAGAACAAGTCCCAGGGAAGACTCCCATTGGCTCAGCTTGGGACACATGTCCATCTCTTAATGAATCACTTAGGGGGCAACGAAAGCCTCTGATTGGCCAGGTCTGGGTGACTTGCCCACCTGCAGAGCTAGGGTTGGGGTCAGAACCCCCTGATGCAGAGGGACTAAGAGTAGGCAAGGAGTGTTTCCCCACAGGAAATTGGGAGCTGTTGCCAGATAAAGGGACATAGAGGTGAATGGGGGCAGTGACAGGAAGCCACCGCGGCTAGCCAGCTCCAGGGAGGGAAGTGGGTGCTCTTGACACTCAGGAGCCAAACATATGCTCCCCTATCCTGGTGAGAAGTGGGGCTTGCTCTGTGTGTCTGGGGGCCTCAGCTGGCACACATGCCACTGGGGCCTGGCTTGAGAAGCACTAGGGTGCTTCTGGGCAACTTTCCCTCTTCAGCAGCACCCCTTGTCTAAGTCCCACTGTGAGGCACCCTGCCAGCTTCTGTCCTTGGCTTTATGGGGTTCAGAATCACATGCAGTTGAGCCAAAATTGTGCCACTGCGCTCCTACACTCTAGCCTGGGTGACGGAGTGAGACTCTGTCTCAAAAAAAGAAAAAAAGAAAGAAAAAAAAAAGAATCACATGCAGTTAATCATTATTATTCCTGATTCTGTATTTGTGAAGTCACCTACTTGCTGATATTTATTTGTAAACCTAAAGTCAACATTCATGGCACTTTCAAGGTCACTCACAGATGTGAAGAGCAGCAAAAAATCTAAGTCACCTCCCAGCTGAGGTTGGACAAGGCAACACTCTGCCTTCTTGTTTCACCTCCCACGTGGTAAAATGTCCTTTTTGTGGTCTATTTAGTGCCACCATTTTTTTTTGTTGTTGTTTGTTTGTTTTGCTCCCTCTGTTGCCCAGGCTGGAGCGCAGTTGCGCGATCTTGGCTCACTGCAACCTCTGCCTCCTGGGTTCAAGCGATTCTCCTGCTTCAGCCTTCCAAGTAGCTTGGATTACAGGTGCGCACTACCATGCCTGGCTAATTTTTGTATTTTTGGTAGAGATGGGGTTTCGCCATGTTGTCCAGGCTGGTCTTGAACTCCTGTCCTCATGTGATCTGCCTGCCTCAGCCTCCCAAAGTGCTGGGATTACAGACGTGAGCCACCACACCTGGGCTTTCTTTTGCTTTTTGTTAGTGATTTTGCTGTGTAAAATGGCTCCCTTGGCCGTGTGTGGTGGCTCACAGCTTTAATTTCAGTGCTGGGGGGGTGCTGAGGCGGGAGTATTGCTTGAACCCAGGAGTTTGAGATCAGCCTGGGCAACATAGTGAGACCCCATCTCTACCAAAACAAAAAAAAAAAATTTAGCCAGGTGTGCTGGCACCTGCTTGTAGTCCCAGCTACTTGGTAACTGAAGTGGGAGGATTGCTTGAGACCAGGAGTTTGAAGCTGCTGTGAGCTGATTGCATCACTGCACTCTAGCCTGGGTGACAGAGCAAGACCTTATCTCTAAAAATAAATAAATAAATAAATAAATAAATAAATAAATAAATAAATAAATAACAAATAAAATGATCCCTAACCACAGTGCCGAAGTGCTGTTTGCCGTTCCTAAGCGCGAGAGTGCTATGATGGGGAAAATGCATGCATCCATTCAGGCATGAGTTACAGCTGTTGGTTGTGAGTTCAATGTAAACAAATCAACAGTATATATGCAATAAGGTGTCTTTAAACAGAAACACACATAAAACAAAGTTACGTACTGATCAACTGATGAGAATGTGACCAGAGCTCGCAGGAAACTGACCCTGTATTTCCCCTAGGAGCGATGGTTCAGTATTCACTAATTCAGTGTCTGCAAAAACTGCAGAGGCCCCCAACCTTTCTGGCGCCAGGGACAGGTTTCATGGAAGACAACTTTTCCACAAATGGGAGCTGTGGAGGATGGTTTCGGGATGACCCAAGTGTATTACATTTATTGTGCCCTTTATTTTTATTATTATTACATTGTAATATATAGTGAAATAATTATACAAGTCAGCATCATGTAGAATCAGTGGGAGCCCTGAGCTTGTTTTCCTGCAACTAGATGGTCCCATCTGGGGGTGATGGGAGACAGTGACAGATCATCAGGCATTAGATTCTCATAAAGAGTGCACAACCTAATCCCTCGCATCCGCAGTTCACAATAGGGTTCATGCTCCCGTGAGAATCGAATGCTGCAGCTGATCTGACAGGAGGCCGAGCTCAGGTGGTAATACGAGCGATGGGGAGTGGCTGTAAATACAGATGAAGCTTTGGCTTGCTTGCCTACCACTCACTGTCTGCTGGGTGGCCTGGTTCCCAACAGGCCATGGATTGGTACCAGTCTGTGGCCCAGGGACTGGGGACCCCTGTCATAGAACATGACTACTGTAAATGATAAGAATCAGCTGTAATTGGCTTGGGGTCGTGGAGCCACTCCAGGAAGGGGTTTCAGTGTTGTCAGAGTGAGATGAGGTGGTGCCTCGCCAAGGCATCTTCAGCTGGCTTTGGGCTCACTTGGCTTGGAAAGTTGACCCCCATCTCCACCCTTTCATTTTCTGTTGCAGGCTCTTTTCTCATTTCTGGAGGGTTTGATAGGACTGTGGCTATTTGGGATGTAGCAGAAGGCTACCGGAAGCTCTCTTTGAAGGTACATGTGGCCAGCATGAGATTGAGGATCTGAACTTCCCTCCCGAGTCCTTCCTGTGCTCAATGCTGGTTGCTGGGGACACAGCTGTGAGTGACACAGGCCTTGATGCCTCTGTGGGCTGATGAAGGACAGACAGGAAGCCAGCAAACACACCACCGACTGTGAGGAGTGAAATGGAGAAACCACAACAGGGTGACATGATGGGGACAGAGGCGGGGGACCCATCCACATTGCATGGGCAGAGCTTCCTGGAGAAGGAGGTGTTTGAGCTGAGAACAGAAAGGACTACATAAGTGGGGATCTTGAAGAAGAAGGGCAGTCCAGGCAGATGGAACAGCTGATGCAAAAACCCTGAGGTGGGAGTGTCTAAGAACAGCAGAAGTTACTGTGCAGGCCTGGGCACTGTGGCTCACTCCTGTAATCCCAGTACTTTGGGAGGCTGAGGTGGGCGGATCACCTGAGGTCAGGAGTTTGAGACCAGCCTGGCCAACATGGTGAAACCCCCGTCTCTACTAAAAATACAAAAATCAGCCGGGTGTGGTGGTGCAAACCTGTAGTCCCAGCTACTTGGGAGGCTGAGGTGGGAGGATCGCTTGAACCCGGGAGGCGGAGGTTGCACTGGGCCAAGATTGTGCCACTGCACTCCAGCCTGGGCGATAGACTGAGATTCTGTCTCTAACAAAACAAAACAAAACAAAAAACAGAAATTACCTTGAAGAGAGACGCATGCCCTAGTGAGGCATGCACAGAAAGCTTGGGGTTCCAAAATGGGGATGTCAACTGAATGCTCTGGGCTACAAGTGAGAGGATGAGAGGAGCCCCAACTCAGAGTGGCTCTATGATACGGGGATGTGTTATCCAACACAGCAAGAACCCACAATTGCCTCATGCTGTGCCCCTGTTCCCCCAAGGGGCCCCACACCCCAGGATTTCTGCATACTCCCTGGTTTCACGATCTCACTGTCACCTTTGGCTGTGAATGCGTGCATCCCTGATTCTTGGTCTTTCTGTTCCCAGGGACACAAAGTAGACATGTGTCCTTGAGCAGCCCATATTCAGGTCCCTGGGGCTGGTCTATCTGAGCTGTCTTCTCCTAGGACTTGGGGAGACAAAGCGAGTTTCCTCACAGCAAATAAACGGATTAAAATGGAATGTTAAACCTCTCTGTGCTTAAAGTCCCTCTGTCATCTAGGCACAGTGGCTCATGCCTGTAATCCCAGCACTTTGGGAGGCTGAGGCTGGAGGATCATTGGAGGTCAGGAGTTCGAGACCAGCCTGGCCAACATAGTGAAACACCATCTCTACTAAAAATACAAAAATTAGCCAGGTGTGGTCATGCCCACCTGTAGTCCCAGCTACTTGGGAGGCTGAGGCATAAGAATCTCTAGAGCCTGGGAGGCAGAGGCTGCAGTGAGCTGAGATTGCACCACTGGACTCCAGCCTGGGTGACAGAGCCGGTTGTTCTATTCTCTCTCCTCTTCTCTCCTCTTTCTCTGTGCTCCCATCCTCAAATTCCTGTCCTTTAATTACACTAAGCGGTTTAACCTTCCCTCTGATTCCTTTTTCTCTAACCACACTATGGCCTCACTTTCTGCCTCTTTCCATACGGGGAAGGCCAAAGAAGGACAGAGATGCTGGCATAAAGCCCAGACATCATTCAGTGTCTGAGGCAGCAATGGCAGCTATCTGCTCTGAGCTGTTTTTTTTGTTTGTTTTTTTTTGAGACGGGAGTCTCGCTCTGTCGCCCAGGCTAGAGTGCAGTGGCATGATCTTGGCTCACTGCAAGTTCCGCCTCCTGGGTTCACACCATTCTCCTACCTCAGCCTCCTGAGTAGCTGGGACTACAGGTGCCCACCACCATGCCCGGCTAATTTTTTTTTTTTAAATTTTTATTTTTTAGTAGAGATGGTGTTTCACCATGTTAGCCAGGCTGGTCTCGATCTCCTGACCTCGTGATCTATCCGCCTCGGCCTCCCAAAGTGCTGGCATTACAGGCATGGAGCACCGCGCCCGGCCTGCTCTGAGCTCCTATGTACCCAAAGAAAACACCCCACTCCTTCTCTGCTTAAGCCACAGTGGATCGAGTTTGCAGTTATTGGAAGCGAAAAGCCCCCTCACTTACAGGGCCTCTGAGGGGTATTTCCTAGAACAAAGAATGCAAATGAAAACCTGAGACCAGCTGGGAATATAATATTTCTCCCCCAATCTTGCTAAACACCCGAGTACTATTTTAAAAAACCATACACAGTGGCACACACATTTGTAGTCCCAGCTACTCGGGAGGCTGAGGCAGGAGAATCACTTGAGCCCAGGAGGTTGAGGCTGCAGTGAGCTATGATTGAGCTGCTACACTCCAGCCTGGGGGACAGAGTAAGACCCTGTGTCAAATAAAAATAACTAAATAAATAAATATAGAATGGGTAGGGCGCAGTGGCTCATGCCTGTAATCCCAGCACTTTGTGAGGCTGAGGCAGGTGGATCACTTGAGGTCAGGAGTTCGAGACCAGCCTGGCCAACATGGTGAAACTCCATCTCTATTAAAAATACAAACATTAGGTGGGGTGTGGTGGCTCACGCCTGTAATCCCAGCACTTTGGGAGGCCGAGGCAGGCAGATCACGAAGTCAGAAGATCGAGACCATCCTGGCTAACACAGTGAAACCCCGTCTCTACTAAAAATACAAAAAATTAGCCGGGTGTGGTGGCGGGCGCCTGTAGTCCCAGCTACTCGGGAGGCTGAGGCAGGAGAATGGCGTGAACTTGGGAGGCGGAGCTTGCAGTGAGCCGAGATCACACCACTGCACTCCAGCCTGGGTGACAGAGCGAGACTCCGTCTCAAAAAAAAAAAAAATTAGCTGGGCATGGTGATGGGCACCTGTAATCCCAGCTACTTGGCAGGCTGAGGCTGGATAATTGCTTGAACCCAGGAGGTGAAGGTTGCAGTGAGTGGAGATTGCACCATTGCACTCCAGCCTGGGCGACAAGAGCAAAACTCTGTCTCAAAACAAACAAACAAACAAACCCCAAAAAACAACAACAACAAAAAAAATAGAATGTACATATATCACATGTCTTTACACTTTGTATTCCACCCTAAATGTTGTTGATGAAACCGAGGAAGTACAATGAGCTGCTCTGCTCTTTCCTTTTTTTTTTTTTTTTGAGACAGTCTCACTCTGTTGCCCAGGCTGGAGTGCATGATCATGACTCACTGCAGCCTCAACCTCCCCGGGCTCCGGTGACTCTCCCACCTTAGCCTCCTGAGTAGTTGGGATTACAGGCGCATGCCACCATGCTCGGCTAATATTTTGTATTTTTAGTAGAGATGGGGTTTCACTATGTTGCCCGGGCTGGTCTCAAACTCCTAGACTCAAGCAATCTGTCCACCTCAACCTCCCAGAGTACTGAGATTACAGGCATGAGCCACTGCACTCAGCCAGCTACTCTTAAATGTAAGCAACACTGGGTTCTTGACTTTTTGTTGTTTTTTTAGATATGGGACCTCACTCTGTTGCCCAGGCTGAAGTGCAGTGGTGCAATCATGGCTCACTGCAGCTTCCACCTCCTGGGCTCAGGTGACCCTCCCGACTCGGCTTCCCAAAAGGCAGGTTACAGGTGTGAGCCACTACACCCAGCTTGTTTTTGTTGTTCTTTCAAAATTATTTTCTCCACGTTTTCATTAAAATTTGATATTTCTTCAGGGCCATAATGACTGGGTGATGGATGTTGCCATTAGCAACAACAAGAAATGGATCCTGTCTGCTTCCAAGGTAAAAGTGGTCAAGCTTACAATATCGATCACGTTCGCCAGGATTGGTGATAGTGGAAGAGTTATTGCCAAGTATAAAATTCCTGGGTGGGTTCGGTGAGCTGTACCTGACCGGGCCATCGTGTTCACGGAGCTGCCTGGGAATGTGGACAGCATGTCCTTCTATGCGCAAACGCGATGAGTTTGGAGTTTCCAGGTATTTCTGTGTCTGTACCGTTGACATTTGAACTTTGTTGGAAAAAGAGTCTGGCTGGATCAGTGAGCAATGGAGCCAATGGGGGACTTGAAGGGAAAGCATCAACTCATGGATAAGCCTTTGACACTGCCCAAGGTCCGGGGGGGTCTCCCTTTCCTGCAGCACTGCATCTTGAGATTCCCATTCCACTGGCACATAGCAGCCAGCCCAGGATATCCCAACAGCTGTCCTGCAGGTGTGAACCCCGGAGAAGTGGGGACCTACTCCGCCCTCCACCCATATTAGAGCAGCAGTCCCCAACCTTTTTGGCACCAGGGACCAGTTTCGTGGAAGACAATTATTCCATGGTTGGGGGGCGGGGGATGGTTTTGGGATGGTGCAAGAGCATTACATTTATTGTGCACTTTATTATTATTACATTGTAATATATTATGAAATAATTATACAACCCACCATTATGTAGAATCAGTGGGAGCCCTGAGCTTGTTTTCCTGCAACTAGATGGTCCCATCTGGGGGTGATGGGAGACAGTGACAGATCATCAGGCATTAGATTCTCATAAGGAGCACACAGCCTAGATCCCTTGCATGCACAGTTCACAATAGCCTTCGTGCTCCTGTGAGAATCTAATGTGGCCACTGATCTGACAGGAGGTGGAGCTCAGGTGGTAAAGCTAGTGACAGGGAGCAGCTATATATACAGATGAAGCTTCACCCCTGCTCACCTCCTGCTGTGTGGCCCATTTCCTAACAGGCCACAGACTGGGGGGTCGGGGACCCCTTTATTTGAGCATGTCATGTTCTAGGCTAGAGGTTTCTAAATCCAGGAGACTGTGGGAGAGGCGCTGCCTAGCATGATCAACTTTTCAGAGAGCCAACTTGGAATACAAACATATCAGAAAAAAAAAACAACAAACCCATAATAATACAATATATAGCAAAAGATTATATGCCTATATGTTACTACTTTAATATAAAAATAAGAAGTAAAGGTTTACTTGAAATTATACATTATTTTATATTTTTTACTTTTTTGTTCCATGAATATTATTATTTAAGCAAAACAACAGGACTAGTGAACAGCGACAATTAGTAGTAATTAACAGTAGGGCAAATTAAACAAATATGTTTGAGAAAAATATAAAAATATTGGCCAGGTGAAGTGGCTCACGCCTGTAATCCCAGCACTTTGGGAGGCCGAGGCGGGTGGATCACCTGAGGTCAGGAGTCCGAGACCAGCCTGGCCAACGTGGTGAAGCCCCGTCTTTACTAAAAATACAAAACTTAGCCGGGCGTGGTGGCAGGTGCCTGTAATCCCAGCTACTCGGGAGGCTGAGGCAGGAGAATTGCTTGAACCCGGGAGGCAGAGGTTGCAGTGAGCCGAGATCACGAGATCAAGCCATGGCCCTCCAGCCTGGGTGACAAGAGCGAAACTCTGTCTCAAAAAAAAAAAAAAAAAAATTATGTTTCTTTCTATTCTTTGATACAGTACTTTAGTGTTACTTTAAAAAAAATCTTGGCTGGGCATGGTGGCTCATGCCTGTAATCCCAGCACTTTGGGAGGTTAAGGTGGGAGGATCGCTTAAGTCCAGGAGTTGGAGACCAGCCTTGGCAACATAGTGAGACGCTATCTCTACAGAAAAACTTTAAAAAATTAACCGAGTGTGGTGGTGTGTGGCTGTAGTCCCAGCCACTCCAGGTCCAGCTACTTGGGAGGCTGAGGTGGGAGGATGGCTTGAGCCTGGGAGGTCGAGGCTGCAGTGAGTCATGATGGCATCACTGCACTCCAGCCTGGGCCAAACAGTGAGACTGGTTGTGGTCTCAAAAAAAAAAAAAAAAAAAAAAAGCTGGGTGTGGTGGCCACTCACGTCTGTAATCCCAGCACTTTGGGAGGCCAAGGCAGGCAGATAGCTTGAGCTCAGGAGTTTGAGACCAGCCTAGGCAACGTGGCAAAACCCTGTCTCTATAAAAAATTAGCCAAGCATAGTGATATGAGCCTATATTCTCAGTTACTCCAGGCCCAGCTACTTGGGAGGCTGAGATGGGAGGAATGCTTGAGCTTAGGAGGTTGAGGCTGCAGCGGGCTGTGATCATGCCATTATACTCCAGCCTGGGCGACAGAGTGAGACCCTGTCTCTTTAAAAAAAAATTATTGAATATTTAAACTTTTGGCTAGGCGCAGTGGCTCATGCCTGTAATCCTAGCACTTTGGGAGGCAGAGGTGGGAGGTCTGCTTGAGCCCAGGGGTTTGGGACCAGCTTGGGCAACATGGTGAAACCCTGTCTCTACCAGAAATACAAAAAATAGCTAGGAGTGGTGGCGCACACCTGTAGTTCCAGCTACTCACTCAGGAGGCTGAGATGGGAGGATGGTTTGAGCATGGGAGGCAGAGGCTGCAGTGAGCCACAATCATGCCACTACATTCTATCCTGGGTGACAGAGCTAGACCCTGTCTCCAATAAATAAATAATAAATTTTGTAGGTTATATTATATATTCTTAAGATATATAGAGGTAAGACTGTTTAAAAAAGAGAACACAAATAAAATAGGATTGATTAAATACATATTACTTATATTTAATGTAAAGCAGTGACTTCATTCTATGAGGCCAGCACAAGTTGGATACCAAAGCCAAGAACAAACATGACAATAAAAGAAAATTACAGACCAATATCTCATATTAATATAGATGCAAATATGCTCAACATAATATTGGCAAATAAAATCCAACAGTACATTAAAAGGATTATTTACCATGACCAAGTGGGATTTATCCCAGGGATACAGGGTGGCTCAACATAAAATCAATGTAATATATTACATTAATAGAACAAAGGGAAAAAAAACCCTATACAATCATTTCAACTGACACAGAAAAGGCATTTGAAAAAATTCAAAACCCTTTCATTATAATAATAAAAAAACCCAGAAAGCTAGGAATAAAGGGATAATTCCGCAACATGATAAAGAGTGTTTAGAAAAAATCTGCAGCTAACATGATTCTCAGTGGTAAAAGACTAAAATTTTTCTTCCCTAAGATCAGGATCAGGACAAGGATGCCTACTTTCATTGCTACTATTCAATATTGTACTGGAAGTGCTAGCCGGAGCTATCAGACAAGAAAAAGAAATAAAAGGCATCCAAATTGAAAAGGAAGAGGTAAAATTCTCTTCCTTTCCTTCCCTCCCTCCCAACCTTCCTTCCTTCCTTCTCTTCCTTCCTTCCTTCTGTCCTTTCTTTCTTCCTTCCTTCAATCCTTCCTTCCTGCCTTCCCTCCTCTTTTCTCTTCTCTCCTCTCCTCCTCTCTCCTCTCCTCTCTCCTCTCTCTTTCTCTCTTTCTTTCTTTCTAGGGTCTCATTCTGTCACCCAGGCTAGAGTGCAGTGGCACAATCTCGACTCACTGCAACCTCCATCTCCTGGGTTCAAGCAATTCTCCCGGTAGAAACGGGATTTCACCATGTTGTCCAGGCTGGCCTTGAACTCCTGACTTCAAGTGATCTGCCCACCTTGGCCTCTCAAAGTGCTGGGATTACAGGTGTGAGCCACCATGCCCAGCCAAAATGATTTCTTTCTTTTTTTTTTTTTGAGATGGAGTCTTGCTCTGTCACCCAGGCTGGCGTGCAGTGGCATGATCTTGGCTCACTGCAACCTCCATCTTCTGGGTTCAAGCAATTCTCCTGCTTCAGCCTCCCGAGTAGCTGGGATTACAGGCATGTGCCACCATGCTCGGCTAATTTTTGCATTTTTACTAGAGATGGGGTTTCACCATGTTGGCAAGGGTGGTCTTGAACTCCTGACCCCGTGATCCACCCGCCTCGGCCTCCCAAAGTGCTGGGATTACAGGCATGAGCCACCGTGCCCGGCCCCAAAATTATTTCTATTCATAGGTGGCATGATCGTAAATATAGAAAATCCCAAAGAATTAACAAGAAAGCTACTAAAGCTAATAAATGAATTCAACAAAGTTTCAGGGTACAAAATCAACACACAAAAAAGCAGTTGTGTTTCTATACACCAGCAATGAACACTCTGAAAAGGAAGAGCAATTCCATTTACAATGGCATATAAAACAATACTTAGGAATAAATCTAACAAAGGTGGTGAAAGACTGGCACAATTAATACTATAAAGTATTGCTGAAAGAAATTAAAGAAGACTTGAATGAATGGAAAGACATCCTATATTCATGGATAGGAAGACTCATCATTAAGATGTCAGTACTACTCAAAGTAATCTACAGATTCTGCATAATCCTTATCAAAATTCCAACAGCATTTTCATATGAAATTGCAAGGGGCCCCGAATAGCCAAAAGAATCTTGAAGAAGGAGAAGGGGAAGGAGAAGAATAAGAGGGAGAAGGAGAAGAAGAAAATTGGAGGACTCACACTTTCTGACTTTGAAGTTACTACAAGTCTACAGTAATTAAAACAGTGTAGTTCTGGCATAGGGACAGACATATAGACAAATGGCTTAGAATAGAAAGCCCAGAAATAAGGGATTTTTGACGAGGGTGCCGAGACCATTCAATGGAGAAAGGGCAGTCTTTTCAACAAATGGTGCTAGGAAAATTGGAAATTTACATGCAAAAGAATGAAATTGCACCCTTACCTAATACTGTATAGAAAAATTAACTCAGGATCAAACACCTTAACTTGAGAGCTAAACTATAAAACCCTTAGAAGAAAACAGTGGAGAAAATCTTCATGATACTGACTTTGGCAGTGATTTCATGGATATGACAACAAAAGTATAGGCAATGAGAGCAAAAACAGACAAACTAAACTTCGTTGAAATTAAGAACTTTTGTGCATCAAAGGATACTGTCAAGAAAGCAAAAAGACAACTTAGAGAATGGGAGAAAATAGTTGCACATCATGTATCTGATAAGGGATTAATATGCAGAATACATAAAGAACTTCGAAAACTCAACAACAAAAAACAAACAACCCATTTCAAGGATGGGCAAAAGACTCGAATAGGCATTTCTCCAAAGAAGATATACAAATGGCCAAGAAGCATATGGCAAGATGCTCAACATCATTAGTCATTAGGGAAATGCAAATCAAAAGCACAGTGAGGTATCACTTCACATCTATTAGGGGGTCTATAATAAAAGAACTCAGAAAATAATGAATGTTGGCAAAGGATGTGGAGCAACTGGAACCCTTGTGCCTGACTGATGGTGACAGAGTGAGACCCAGTCTCAAAAAAAAAAAAAAAAAAAAAAAGATTTTACTTACTGGCAACAACAGGTTTTTTGATTTGTAGGCTTTATTTCCCAGCACTCCAAAAGTGTTCAATGTACTAAATCTATAAGCTTGCTTTGAAAGACCAGGTATTTGTCAATGAAGTCCTTTGCACTATAAATTCACGGTATAGGCTATATCTATCTAAAATGTGCATTATTTATTTATTTTATTTTATTTTATTTTTGAGATGGAGTTTCTCTCTTGTTGCCCAGGCTGGAGTGCAATTGCACAATCTTGGCTCACCGCAACCTCCGCCTCCCGGGTTCAAGTGATTTTCCTGCCTCAGCCTCCCGAGTAGCTGGGATTACAGGCATGCACCACCACGCCTGGCTAATTTTGTATTTTTAGTACAGACGGGGTTTCTCCATGTTGGTCAGGCTGGTCTTGAACTCTCGACCTCAGGTGATCCACCCACCTTGGCCTCCCAAAGTGCTGGGATTACAGGCGTGAGCCACTGCGCCCAGCCCATTTATTTATGTTTTAAAGAGACAGGGTCTTGCTGTATCGCCCAGGCTGGAGTGCAGTGGCATGATCTCAGCTCACTGCAGCCTGAACCTCCCGGGCTTAGGCGATCCTCCCGCCTTAGCCTCCCGAGTAGCTGGGATTACAAGGTGCCCGCGATCATGCCTGGCTAATTTTTTGTATTTTTAGCGGAGGCGGGGTTTTCCCATGTTGCCCAGGCTGGTCTCAAACTCCTGGCCTTAAGTGATTCGACCGCGTTGGCCTCCCAATGTGCTAGGATTACAGGCATGAGCCACTGTGCCCGGCCCATTTTGACATCTTTTCTATGGTCAGAAATGATAATAGCCATCTTGTAGGCACATGTTTAAGGAAGATATCTCTTTCCATTTCTCTAATTGAAAATCTTGGCTGGGCACGGTGGCTCATGCCTGTAATGCCAGCAATTTGGGAGGCTGAGATGGGCACATTGCCTGAGCTCAGGAGTTTGAGACCAGCCTGGGCAACGTGCCCAAACCCCATCTCTACTAAAAATACAAAATATTAGTGGGGTATGGTGGCGCATGCCTGTAGTCCCAGCTATTCGGGGGGCCAAGGCAGGAGAATCACTGGAGCCTGCGAAGCGGAGGTTGTAGTGAGCTGAGGGCATGCCACTGCACTCGGGCCTGGGTGACAGAGTAAGACCCTGTCTTAAAAAAAGAGAAAAAAAGAAAGAAAAAATCTCATTAAGTGCTTCTGTACATTTCGAGGAAGGTGAAAAGTGGCCCCAAACACACTATAGGTGTGTATCACCACACCCAGCTAAATAAAAAATATTATTATTATTATTTTTTTGAGACAGAGTCTCGCTCTGTCACCCAGGCTGGAGTGCAATGGTGCGATCTCGGCTTATTGCAAACTCTGCCTCCCAAGTTTAAGTGATTCTCCTGCCTCAGCCTCCTGAGTAGCTGGGATTACAGGCATGCAGCACCAGGCCTGGCTAATTTTTGTATTTTTAGTAGAGACAGAGTTTCGCCATGTTGGCCAGGCTGGTCTCAAACTCCTGACCTCAGGTGATCCGCCTGCCTTGGCCTCTCAAAGTGCTGGGATTACTGGTGTGAGCCACCATGCCCAGCTTGAAACTAACTTTTGAATTAAAGTATCTAAGAGCTGGGAGGATGTTTTTTGTTGTCATGATTTGACAAACCACTTGCTATACTGTAGGAAGTATGCTTATTGGTAAGATCTGACAGCTTTAGGCAGCATGAAGTCAACACATCTGTTACAAAAATGACCCCTTTGTTCTCCCACAGGATATTTAGTTGCAACTGCTGAATCAAGAAATGTAACATACTCAATGTATCCATTTTTTTATTGCTGCTATAATAAGTTACCAGACTGTACTGTTTAAACATTAAACAACATAAATTTAATATCTTACAGTACTGTAAGATAGAAGTCTGATAAGCTCTCACTGGGCTAAAATCTAGGTATCAACAGGACTGCATTCCTTTCAGGAACTATTATTAACTAAGGTCCATGGTTTTATAGTTTCATGCTTTGTGTTACTGTATATTTTTGCCAAATGCATATCATATATCCACCAATACAGTGTCATATAGTTTTGTTTGTTTGTTTGTTTTGAGACAGAGTCTCACTCTGTCGCACAGGCTTGAGTGCAGTGGTGCGATCTTGGCTCACTGCAACCTCCGCCTCCTGGGTTCAAGTGATTCTCCTGCCTCAGCCTCCCAAGTAGCTGGGACTACAGGTGCACGCCACTGTGCCCAGCTATTTTTGTATTTTTAGTAGAGACGGGGTTTCACCATATTGGTCAGGCTGGTCTTGAACTCCTGACCTCACCCACCTTGGCCTCTCAAAGTGGTCGGATTACAGGCATGAGCCACCGCGCCTGGCCATACAGAATAGTTTTACTATTCATCCCTCCTCCTCTTCCCTATAATCCTGGGCAATGACTCATCTATTTATATTCTTCAGTTTTGCCTTTTCCAGAATGTCATATGGTTGGAATTATACTCTGTAGCCTCTTCAGGTTGGCTTCTATGGCATAACAATGTGCATTGAAGGTTCCTCTGTCTTTTTGTGCCTTGACAGCCCATGTCTTTTGATTGTTGAATGACATTCCTTTGTATGGATGTACCACAGCCTGTTTTGTGACCGCTGGTTTGCTATTTGTTTTAGGATAGGACCATGAGACTGTGGAATATTGAAGAAATTGATGAAATTCCTTTGGTAATCAAGTACAAAAAGGCCGTGGGCTTAAAGTTGAAACAGGTTGGTATTGGGTAAAATTAAGCCCAGTGAAGGCTTTCGTTAGTTCCCTCTATAAATTAATTTATCATTTGAATGAACTTTGGGCACCTGGAGATGCAATCGTGAACAAACAGACTGACATTTTTGCCCCAGGGGAGCTTAAATTCTAAGAGAGGAAACAAAGAGGAAAGACACAAGAAAAATGTGTAGTAAGTCTCATGGTGATAAGTAATTGACAGAAAAATACATAGCAAACAGGAGTAGGAGTGCTGGAGGTTGCAAGATTTTAAAGGGTGGTCAGGATAGGTCTCATTGAGGACTGACAGCTGTGTCGACTTGAAGGTGGTGAGGGGGTGAGCCATGCAGATATTTAGAGGAAAGAACTTCCAGCTGGATGCGGTGTTTCACGCCTGTAATCCCAACATTTTGGGAGGCTGAAGCAGGCGGATCACCTGAGGTCAGGAGTTCGAGACCAGCCTGGCCAACATGGTTAAGTCCTGTCTCTACTACAAATACAAAAAAATTAGCCAGGCTTGGTGGTGCACACCTGTACTACCAGCTACTCGAGAGGCTAAGGCAGGAGAATCCCTTGAACCTGGGAGATGGAAGTTGCAGTGAGTTGAGATTGCGCCACTGCACTCTAGCCTGGGTGACAGAGCGAGACTCTGTCTCAAAAAAAAAAAAAAAAAAAAAAAAAAAAGAGAAGAAAGAACTTCCCAGCATAGAGAACAGCCAATGCAGAGAGAGCCTGAGAGGCAGGAGCCAGCCTGGTGCATCGGAGGGGTGGAGTGAGGGGGCTTGGAGGGGATGAGACCTGCAGGAGCACTGGTCAGTGGAGGAATGGCCGGGTACACAGCTGGGCACTGCGTCAGCCTCCTACCCTGGGCAGGTCCCCAGTGCCCCACTTCCCATGCAAAAGGCTTAGGTGCCTGCGCTTCTCTAGTGCAAGAGCTTGGTGGTCAGGCCAGCATATTTTCTGCTTCACCAGGCACAGCTGGGGCTGGCCACAGAGGCTGTCCCTGGGCAGTGGAGGCAACTCTCCGCTGGAGCCTCTCTGTGCACACACCTGGCTGCTGCCTTGGAGTGCAGGCTGGGCCCCTTTAAGTCCTTCCCTGGGAATCCTGGAGCTGCCTAGACTTGGCCTCCTCTCAGAAGGTTCGGCTGGGAGCCACTGCTTCTGGGAATGGCTAATTTGGGAGCCGCACTGCAAGGCAGTTGTGTGAGGGGTGGGACTCACATGGACCTTGTCCCTGTTTGGCCCTTAAACTGTGAAAGCTGACTTGCTACAGAGCAGTGATGGCCCTTGTTTTTCACTGGCCACCTAGGGCAAGGCCTGGGAGCCTCCTCCTCTGTGAGCCCTGTTGTTCTGGGGTTGGACCGTGGGATGTAGGAATGTAGGATAAGGTAGGTAAAGGATCAAATTTCCTTTTTTCTTTTTATTTCTTTTTTGAGATGGAGTCTCGCTCTGTCGCCCAGGCTGGAGTGCAGTGGCGCGATCTCGTCTCACTGCAACCTCCGCCTCCCGGGTTCAAGCGATTCTCCTGCCTCAGCCTCCCGAGTAGCTGGGACTACAGGCGCCCACCACTACGCTGGCTAATTGTTTTGTGTTTTTATTAGAGACGGGGTTTCACCATGTTGGCCAGGTTGGTCTCGAACTCCTGAGCTCAAGTGATCCGCCCGCCTCAGCCTCCCAAAGTGCTGGGACTACAGGCGCAAGCTATCCGCACCCAAACTGGGATCTAATCTATTTCTTGCAAAAAAGGAAAAGAAAGAGGCCTACCTGAAGCTGAAGCAAGGATGAGCCTGCTGCATTTGACTTGCTCTGAATCAATCAACATGAGAAGCCTGAGGCCAGGCTTCCCCGAGGCCTGCCCCAGGTAGGGTTTACCCCCCTCTCCAGCAGGCCTCAGTGTCCTGGAGTGGGCAGAACAGCAAAGCCCAGGGGCTGGGAGAGCCAGGGCAGGGGCGCGGCCACCTTGCAGGCTCTTCTCCAGGGGACCATGCATGGTGGGAACCCCTGAGGGGCCTCTGCCCATGGCCTAGGAGACCTCATCCCATGGCACTCTTGCTTGTTAGTGGGAAGCAGACGTGATGGGTGAGCTGTGCCATTTGTTTTCAGTGTACTCTGTGAGCTTTGGCCAGAAACAGGCTCAGGGACGCAGGAGGGCACCTAGCACCTGCATCAATCTGCTTCACACCCCTGCTTTGTTCAGAAATCTTGCCTACTTGCGTCTCATGGTTCTGTAAAAGTTGGGTGTTCTCAGGATGTCAGGGAGTCATCCTCTTAGTCCCACAATTTTACTCGGCACAGAACAATGGATGGGGCGGGACACTCACCCCCATCCTCCCAACTGTCAAGGGGCTTGCCACGCATGTCCTCAGGACCCCCATGGCAGGAGACATGAGCTGGCAGGAGACATGAGCTGGCAGGAGACATGAGCTGGCAGGACCTGCTTAGCCATTGGTGGGGAAGCAGCCTGTGCTCATTCTCTCTGCAATTTCCGCCTTTGTGGGGTTAGAGATTCCAGAGAGGGGCTGCGCCCAGTGGCTCACGCCTGTAATCCCAGCACTCTGGGCTGCCAAGGTGGGTGGATCACTTGAGGCCAGGAGTTCAAGACCAGCCTGGCCAACATGGAGAAACCCCATCTCTACTAAAAATACAAAAATTAGCAGGATGTGGTGGTGCACGCCTGTAATCCCAGCTACTCGGGTGGCTGAGGCAGGAGAATTGCTTGAACCTGGGAGGCGGAGGTTGCAGTAAGCCTAGATGGTGCCACTGCACTCCAGCCTGGGCAACAAAGTGAGACTCTGTCTCAAAAACAAAAACAAAAACAAACAAACAAACCAAAAAGAGATTCCAGAGAGGGGAACCCTTGCCTTGCCCCAGCTCAAGGTAGCTGGGAGAATTCTAATGGCATGCCTGGATCACCTCTGACCAGCACCTCCTTTCTGCTCTTTTAAAATATCCCATGTCAGTGCGAAAGATGTGACAGGCCTTTCTCCATCTTCAAGAGTGACACCTCTTCTGAAATGTTCACCCAATGCGTGTTCTGCCGGATAGATACAAGGGGCTTGCCAGCAGATACTTCATCGTCATCATCATCATCGGAAAGGGAGAACTCACCGCCGCCAAGGGGAAGCAAGGATGACTGACAGCCACAGGCCCCTTTGAGTGACTCCAGCACAGGCTACCTAGCATGTAGGTTTCGGGGCTTTGCAGGGGCTTTCTCTTGGGCCCCTCCCAGGCTCAGCAGGCCTGTCAGACTGGGGCAGGACCCAAGCCCTGGCTGGACTCAGCACAGTGCCACCTCCTCAGCTCTCAGCTTGGGGAGTGAACACTTTCCGTTTTCATGCAGAATAAATCTAATTCCTTTGGAAAACAAGCGTGCATGTGCATCTGAAAAGCAGTCTTGCTATTTCTAAGCTTTATGTCTTGGTGCTCATCCTGTTTGATTCTTGGAACACATATTAGACTCACATTGTGGAGTCTGGAGTTGCCCTGTAAGGTGACCTGTGGGGGCTGGCACCAGCAGTTCTGGAGAGTTTGTCAAATGAGTATGACAAGGTGTGGGGCCCCCTCTGTGGACGTGATGGCAAGACACAATGAGTGCCTCCCTGGCTAATGCTCCCAGATGGCCACTTGCCCGGAGCAGAGGACGGTTTGGTTAGGCAAGGGGGTGGCGGTGGCATTGCCATCACGGGATGTCTCACGCTTTCTCCTCTAGACGTCTTAATTTCCAGAACCCCTTGCTTATGTGCAGCCCTCTTCCTGCTGCCACGGCATTTTGCACAGCGTGCATCAATCCAGAAATAGGCTGAGATAGGAGCTTAGTTTCCTATTGCACACCATGCTGGGTGAACCTTTCTGTGCATGCTGCAGGGATGCTGGGTGGATGGGTTGGCAGTGTTCGGCTTCGTAGTTGCCCACAGGCCCTCTGGAAAGTGCGGAGACCAGTGGCTGGTGTAGTTGCGTGAGGACACCCAGAAGGGGTCAGTGAGAAACTAGGGAGGGGAGGGCCTTGCCTGCTCTGGCAGCAGAAACCCCTCCATGTAAGGTGTTGGTGCTCCACGCCAGCAGCCTGGGAACCCTGAAGTCCACGATCCCTCCTGAGCCTTCCGGACCCCTCGACTTTCCCCCAGCTCAGGATCCGCGGAAGTAGCGACTCAACTGAAGTTATAGTCCCGGGAGCTGGCAGGGCCCCGGGTCTTCTCAGGCTGAGGTCGCGGGGCAGAATGGTCCGAAGCTCACCGGGGTCACAGTCGGACCGAGGCGGGTGTGCGCCTCGACCGGACGCCAGGGGAGCCAGCAGCCCGGCCGCGCTGGCGGGGCCGGGGGTTCTCCGGAGTGGGTAGGGGCTCGACCGCACTGCCCTGAGTCCCAAGCCCTGCACCAGCGTTCCCCAAAGGCGGAGCGTCCTGGCTCCACGTTGGAAGAGACATTACCGTGACCAGGAAGTCTGGCCTTCCCAGGCTCCGCCCGCTCCGTGCAGCCCAAGCTTCCGGTCTCAGTCTCAGCTGCCTGTGTGAATCGGAAGCTACACTACGCGTGCGCCACAACAGGCCGAATGTGTGCGCATGCGCGCGGCCCATATGGTAAATAGTAATGAAGAATAGTTTAGGAAAGTACCTGTACGGGTGGCGCCGTGGCTTAGTTGGTTAAAGCGCCTGTCTAGTAAACAGGAGATCCTGGGTTCGAATCCCAGCGGTGCCTCAACCGAGCGTCCAAGCTCTTTCCATTTTTGCTCCTGCACTTTTGTGCTCTGTACCCGGCTGCCCGATACTATGAGGGTGTGAGCGGGATCCCGAGAGGCCTAGGTAGACGGGCCCCCCAACGGGGCGTGGCCTCGGCCACGGGGGCGGGTGCAGGCGGGCTTCGGACTCCACCTTCTCGGGTCTCAGGCTCTGTGGGGCGTAGGCGGCGCGGGGACCCAGGCGACCGCGGTTGCCATGGTGCTGGCTGGCCGTGGGAGGCGAGCGGCGGGCTGGGAAGCAGCTGTGCGAGTCCAGCGAGGAGCCGGTGTTCGCCCCGAGGCTGCTTCCTCAGGGCGGGCGGTGGACGCGCTCTCCCACGCCGCCTTCTGTGGCGTGGGTTCCTCGCGCTAGTCTTCCTGGCTCCAAGCTGCCACTTGGGGGAGCCCACGCGGGTGCCGATCCTCGACGTTCGCCGGGCTTAGCTGAGCCTCGCAAAGGCCTGAAGATTGCCCGTCTCCCTGCAGCCGCGCAGTGGGTGCAGCCTTTTCACAAATGCAAGACCTGGACCGGCGGCGAGGCCAAGGGGACCCCGTGTGGAGGGATGCGGGACTGAGTCCGGTTAGCGTGATCCTCAGTCCGATGACTGCGTGGAAACTCCAGGCCAGGCAGGGGACTCTGCCCCAGCTGCAGACGGCCGGGTGTGGGCTGAAGCCAGCTGCCTGGGCTGGGGTTGGTTGCTCAGCGCTGGGGTTCTACCCACATTTGTATGTGGGAACCTATTCCTGAGCAAGTGCATTCGAGGCTTTGGGGGTGGTGGGGTAGGGTGGGGTGAGGCATTGGAGTTTTTACAAACATTCTCCAGGGATTCACATGTCAAACCCGACAGGACAGTCCCAGTGCAGAAATTGCAGTCATGGCATAGGCTGTGTAGTCAAATTCACCTGCCCCAGAAGCAGTTCCTCTTCCTGCCTCTTCTATGGATCTGGGTTTATTGTTTTTGTTTGTTTGTTTATTTCTGTCGTTTTCTAGTCAATTCTCGCGCTTTTGTATCTTGGTTGTTTTTGACTGACATTGCCTAGGAAAGCTTGTAAGGAGACTTTGACGTTTTGCAGTGCTGATAGGAGCGTTCACCTGGATCCAATTAGGGATGAATTTATTGGAAACTGGGCTTGCGTCATTGTGGAGCTGGTTTATTTCTGGCTCATACTTACGCCACTGCAATCCAGCCTGGGCGACAGAGCGAGATTCCATCTCGAAGAAAAAATAAAAATTAAAAAGTCCCTCATTGGATACAGGGTTTGAAATCTTTTCTCCGTTTCCTTTTCTCTTTGCTATTTATTTATTTATTTATTTATTTATTTACTGAGATGGAGTCTTTGTCGCCCAGGCTGGAGTGCAGTGGTGTGATCTCTGCTCACTGCAACCTCCGCCTCCCCGGTTCAAGCGATTCTCCTGTCTCAGCCTCCCGAGTAGCTGGGATTACAGGTGCACATCACCACGCCCGGCTAATTTTTGCATTTTTAGTAGAGACGAGGTTTCATCATGTTGGCCAGGCTGGTCTCGAATTCCTGACCTCAGGTGATCCGCCCCGCCCACCTCAGCCTCCCAAAGTGTGGGGATTACAGGTGTGAGCCACCGCATTTTTTTTTTTTTGAGACAGAGTCTCACTGTGTCACCAGGATGGAGTGCAGTGGTGTGATCTCTGCCCACGGCAACCTCCACCTCCCGGGTTCAAGCGATTCTCCTGCCTCAGCCTCCCAAGTAGCTGGGACTACAGGCGCGTGCCACCACGCCCAACTAATTTTTGTATTTTTGGTAGAGACGGGGTTTCACCATGTTGGCCAGGATGGTCTCGATCTCTTGACCTCTTGATCCGCCTGCCTTGGCCTCCCAAAGTGCTGGGATTACAGGTGTGAACCACCGTGCCCGGCCTTCTTTGCTTTCTTAATACTGTCATTAGAAGTGCAAACGTTTCAATATTGATCAAGTCTAATGTATCTACTTTTCCTTTTTGCTTATGCTTTTGATGTCATATTCAAGACTCCATTGCCAAGTTCAAGGTCATAAAGATTTACACTAATGTTTTCTTATAAGGGTTTTATAGCTTTTGCTCTTACATTTAAGTTTTGGATCTACTTTGAGTCAATTTTGTATATGATGTGAAGGAGGGGTCCAGCTTCATTCTTTTGCATGTGGATTTTCATTCATCCAAACGCCATTTGTTGAAAAGACTATTCTGTTCCCAAAGGTCTTGGCACCCTTGTGGAAAATCAATTGACCATAAATATGAGGGCTTATTTGTGGTTTTCTAATTCTAGTACCTTAATCTACATGTCTAGCTTTATGCCTGTGCCACACTCTTGATAACTATAGCTGTGTACTAAATTTTCAAATTGGGACGTATGAGGACTTCAAAGTTGTTATTTTCAAGATTGTTCTGGCTATTCTGGGTCTGTTGAATTTCCATGAGTTTTAGAATCAGCCTGTAAATTTCTGCAAACAATCCAGTTGGGATTTTGATAGAAATTGCATTTGATAGAAATAAATCATTTGGGGGGATATTGTTATCTTAATAATGTTAAGTTTTCTAATCCATGAACATGGAATGGCTTTCAATTTATTTAGGTCTTCTTTAATTTCTTTCAACAAGGTTTTTAGTTTTCAGAGCATAAGTTTTACACCTCTTTTGTTAAGCACATTTCTAAGTATTTTCTTTTTTTGATACCATTATAAGTAGATTTTTTTTTTTTTTGAGAAGCAGTTTCACTCTTATTGCCCAGACTGGAGTGCAGTGGTGCGATCTTGACTCACTGCAACCTCCACCTCCCAGGTTCAAGCAATTCTCCTGCCTCAGCCACCCAGGTAGCTGGGATTACAGGCGTGTGCTACCACGCCTGGCTAATTTTTGTATTTTTAGTAGAGGCAGGGTTTCACCATGTTGCCCAGGTTGGTCTCCGACTCCTCGCATCAAGAGATCTGCCTGCCTCGGCCTCCCAAAATGCTGGGATTACATGCAAGAGACACTGTGCCCAGCCTGGGTCCCATATATTTCTTGCTGGGGTTATTTCTAGATACTGTGAATGGGATAATTCCATTTTTTAAAAATTGCATGCTCCTGCTAAATAGGAATGCCTTTGATGTTTAAATGTGGCTCCTTAAAGCAGCCCTCTTGCCTGACTGTCTTGACTGTCTTATTACTGCTGATTGCTTGTTTGATTTTTGGGCAGATTCTGAATTGTGCAAATTGGGATGGTGAATGATAACTTTGATCTTAAAGGGAAAAAAAGGACAACTTACAAACAAGAAAAAGATATCTACAACACATATAAGTGACAAAATAATTTTTAGCAGAGGAAGGGCCCAAGGGGTATAGCAAAGCAGTGAAAATTACCGCATTCTATCAGAATCTGAAAAGCTGGGTTATGAACAATCCCAGCCTTCAGTATTTATCCAAAATAAATGAAAACAACGTCCATAAGAAAATGCCACAGATGCTCTCAATACAATAGTAAAAAACTAGGAACAGCCCAGGTGTCCACAGGAGATGAATAAACTGTGGGTTATCCAGGCAATGGACCACTACACAGCAAGAGAAAGGGATGGGATGCTGACACTTACACAGACGTGGGTGGAATCTCACGTCGTGTACAGTGAAACAGTACATCATTTATGATTTCACTTACATAAAGCTCTAGGAAATGCAAATTAATCTATAGTGACAGCAGAGCAATGGTTGCATAGGTGGCAGAGATTGATTTCTTGAAAATGGGTACAAAAAGACCTTCGAGGGGTTGATGGAAATGCTCTTTATTTTGTAGGAGTTTGGGTGTGTGTTTATCAAAACTCATTAAATTGTATGCTTAAGATCTATGCATTTCACAGCACAAAAGTCAATCTAATCTAAATAAAAATATTAAAGGCCGGGCACAGCGGCTCATACCAGTCATCCCAGCAGTTTGGGAGGCCAAGGCGGGTGGATCACTTGAGCTCAGGAGTTCAAGACCAGCCTGGCCAACATGGCAAAACCCTGTCTCTACTAGAAATACAAAAGTAGCCAGGCATGATGGTGCACACCTGTAGTCCCGGCTACTTGGGAGTCCGAGGCACAAGAATCGCCTGAACCTGGGAGGTGGAGGTTGCAGTGAACTGAGATTGCGCCACTGCACTCCAGCCTGGGTGAAAGAGCGAGACTCTAACTCAAAATAAAATAAAATAAAAAATAAAATAAATGAATAAAAAGAGTTCAAGACTGGCCTAGTCAACATAGCAAGACTTCCTCTCTCTAAAAAAAACTTAAAATAATAAAAGTCATGTTGACAGCAGTCTGGTTCGTCTTCCCAGCCTGTCCCCACCAGCTCCACGTGGATTTAACTATTTCTTGCACATGGCCTGTGCTCTTCCAGTAGGGCAGAGCCTGCATTTGTTGGGCGGTGGACTGTCCCATTTCCCTCTGTTTCTACCTCCCATGCAACTGTGGCCTGAAGGGCTCCAGACAGGGAAAGAGAGGTTTCATCTGCGCTAGGAGGGCAGAGATACGCACATACCATCAGCTGCTTCCAGGAGAGGGTTTCAGCTTTAATGACTGAGAGGTGGCCTCAGCCTTGGGGAAGAACCCTCCTACAGCCTCTCCGGAGGAGCAGGGCCTCCTCACTGCCGGGGAAGGCTGAGAGTGTGGTCTCCAGTATGCTGAGTTCTCAGCTGCAGGAGGCAGAATCACTCATCCATTTCCCTCACCCACCTCTGTTCAATGATGGTGATCTTTCCTTTTCTTTTTGAAATGGAGTTTTGCTCTATTGCCCAGGCTGGAGTGCAGTGGCACAATCTCAGCTTACTGCAACCTCTGCCTCCCGGGTTCAAGCAATTCTCCTGCCTCAGCCTCCCAAGTAGCTTGGACTATGGGCATGTGCCACTACTGCCTGGCTAATTTTTGTATTTTTAGTAGAGACAGGGTTTCACCATGTTGGCCAGGCTGGTCTCAAACTCCTGACCTCAAGTGCTCTGCCCGCCTCAGCCTCCCAAAGTGCTGGGATTACAGGTGTGAGCCACAGCGACAGGCCAATTTTTTGCTTTTTTAAAGACAGGGTTTCACTCACTTTGTCGTCCAGTCTGGAGTGTGGTGATTCAATCACGGCTCACTGCGGCCTCTAACTCCAGGGCTCAAGCCATCCTCCTGCCTTAGCCTTCCGAGTAGTGGAGACTACAGGCATGAGCCACCATGCCAGGGTAATTTCTAATTTTTTTGTAGAGACAGGGTACTGCTATGTTGTTCAGGCTGGTCTTAAACTCCTGGGCTCAAGTGATCCTCCCGCTTGGGCCTCCCAAAGCACTGGGATTGCAGTCATCAGCCACTGCGCCTGGCCAGTGATGGGTGAGTTTTATAAATCAAAATGTAATGGTGAATGTATTTGTACAAACTATATTTACAAGATTCTATCATTTAATTTAAAAGGTTGACTGGTGTGGAAACAGAAACATCATTTCGCACCACATTTTATTTCCTACAGTCAATTAGATTATACTTTAATACAAAAAACTAATTAAAATTTAATCGAACTTTAGCAAACATGGGATGTCTATGAAGTGTAAGACAATTTACTACATGTTCTGGGGGCTGAACAGGAGCGTGCTTTTGGTTTCTACCAGAAGCGGTCTCTCCCTGCCGCACGTCCGCCCCTGAAAAGAATGCCTAGGATAGGCAAATTCAGGCAGGCGGGGAGAGAAGGGTGGTGTTGGAATTAGTGTGGACTGACTTTCAGCATTGTTTTGTTCTTCACTGATCTGTGCCTCTGAGATAATGTAACACCTTCTTCTGAATTTAGAGTGGCTCCTAAGAAGCAGTTGTGATCAGTTATTTAAAAAAATAAAATGATGCCAAACTGGACACTGGCTGGGCTTACTATGCTGTGTATGGCAGATCACCTGGGGCACGTGTGCGTATCTGGGATTGAATTGCATAAGCAGGTTGGGAGCCTTGCTTTAAGGATGGGTTGGAGGCCAGCTGATGCTCCAGGAGCCTGTCTGCTCTTGAATTCCTCAGCAGAGCTTCTCTGGCTCAGTCCCACAGGCACACAGCTAAGGGTGACTGCAGGCTTCGGGGTGGACATCTGGGATGGCTGCCCAGCAGGTGATGTTCAGTAAATCCACACCTAGGAGAATCAAGCCCTGGAGACGGCCAGGCTGATCAGATTCCTCTGATGCTGGAGTGCGCACCTCTGATTTCCCTCTTTCAGTGAATCCCAAAGCTCTTTTTTTTTTTTTTTAGATGAAGTCTCACTCTGTCGCCCAGGCTGGAGTGCAGTGGCACGATCTGCAATCTCTGCCTCCCAGGTTCAAGTGATTCTCCTGCGTCAGCCGCCCCAGTAGCTGGGATTACAGGCGCCCACCACCACACCCGGCTAATTTTTTTGTATTTTTAGTAGAGATGGGGTTTCACGATGTTGGCCAGGCTGGTCTTGAACTCCTGAGCTCAACTGATCCGCCGGCCTTGACTTCCCAGAGTGCTGGGATTACAGGTGTGAGCCACCACACCCAGCCTACATTTTTTAAAAGAGAAAGTAAAAATGTAAACCATAGGGCCAGGTGTGGTGGCTCATGCCTGTAATCCCAGCACTCTGGGAGGCCGAGGCAGGCAGAGCACTTGAGGTCAGGAGTTTGAGACCAGCCTGGCCAACATGGTGAAACCCCGTCTCTACCCAAAATACAAAAATTAGCCGGGCATGGTGGTGGGTGCCTGTAATCCCAGCTACTCGGGAGGCTGAGGCAGGAGAAACACTTGAACCCAGGAGGCAGAGGTTGCAGTGAGTCGAGATTGTGCCGCTGCACTCCAGCCTGGGCGACAGAGCAAGACTCTGTCTCAAAAAAAAAAAAAAAAAAAAAAAAAGGAAGCCATAGATGGGGAGAGAAATTTGGAATACGTACACCGAGATCCCTCTAAGGGATCTCCGGAGTTCCAAATAGTCTTACTCACTTCCAGCGTGAGTGGTGTTCCAATTTCCCCTTGGCAGGCAGGGTCCATCACCCCAGCCAGCCCAGTCCCTCCCTTCTTTGCTCATTGATTCAGAGGCATGGGGAGCTCAGAGTGGCCAGGAGTCAGTCTCAACTTCCAGTTCGGTGGAATCAGTGCTGTGACTCCTGGCGGAATCATTCCTTCCTTAGGAGCTAAGACCTCTAGGCCAGCAGACCATGAGATGGGAGGAACAGGAAACAAAATTACCTAGTGGCTCACTAAGGGTAATAGTGAACGGTGCCATTCCTTTTCCATTCCTTGATTCCTGGACCCTCGAATCCTGGCTAGAAGCAGCAGCGCCATCTATCGGACGCTAATTCGGAGCTTATGCCGCCTTCTGAACAACCTTGCTCCAACCCTGCAAGGTATCGCCTCTGAGCTGATGCTGTAACTGCGTCTTCAAAAGGCCATTCCAGGCCGGGCGCAGTGGCTCACGCCAGTATACTCAGCACTTTGGGAGGCCGAGGCAGGCGGATCACGAGGTCAGGAGTTCGAGACCAGCCTGACCAACATGGTGAAACCCCGTCTCTACTAAAAATACAAAAATTAGCAAGGCGTGGTGGCGTGCGCTCCTCGGGAGGCTGAGGCATGAGAATCGCTTGATCCCAGGAGACAGAGGTTGCAGTGAGCTGAGATCGCACCATTGCACTCCAGCCTGGGCGACAGAGTGCAAAAAAAAAAAAAAAAAAAAGAAAAAAGAAAAAAGCCATTCCACTGTTCTATCAAGCCAGCTGCTTCAGATTGGTGGGGAACATGGCAACACCAGTGAATTCCATAAACATCGCCGCACTTCATTTGTGGGAAATTGAATTCCTTTTTGTGTGTGTGTGACGGAGTCTCGCTCTGTCACTCAGGCTAGAGTGCAGTGGTGTGATCCCTCGGCTCACTACAACCTCTGCCTTGCAGATTCAGGCGATTCTCCTGCCTCAGCCTCCTGAGTAGCTGGGACTACAGGCGTGCACCACCATGCTAGGCTAATTTTTGTATTTTTAGTAGAGATGGGATTTCACCATGTTGGCCAGGCTGATCTCGAACTCCTGACCTCAAGTGACCTGCCCACCCTGACCTCCCAAAGTGCTGGGATTACAGGTGTGAGCCACCGTGCCCAGCCTACTTTATTTTCTTTTTAAAAAATTTAATTCATGTTTCATAATAATCCTCTCCCTCCCCACTTTTAGAGACAGGGTCTTACTCTGTCCCTCAGGCTGGACTGCAGTGGTGCAATCATGGCTCACTACAGCATTGAACTCCTGGGCTCAAGCTATCCTCCTACCTCAGCCTCCTGAGTAGCTGGGACTACAGACATGCACCACTGTGCCTGGCTATTTTTTTTTTTTTATAGAGATGGGGGTCTCACTAAGTTGCCCAGGCTGGTCTCAAACTCCTGAGCTGAAGTGATCCTCCTGCCTTGGCCCTCTAAAGTGCTGGGACTACAGGCGTGAGCCACCATGCCCAGCCCTTTCCCCCTTTGTAATGTTGTTTCATTTGGTTTGGGCCAACATAACACTGTTCTTAAATAATATAAAAATGAATGGATTTAAATACAGTGATTAAGTTCATAATAAAGATGGGCTGTCTGTGGTGGTGGAGGGGCCCACGGAGCTCCAGCAAGTGGGTAGCACTGCCTGCTTCCTATTGCATCCCCCAGGGAATTCCAGGGTGTGTGTGTGTGTGTGTGTGTGTGTGTGTGTGTGTGTGTGTGTGTGTGTGTCTTTCTCTCTCTCTCTCTCTCAGGGCTGGTGGTCTTGCTACCAGACACCTGGAGCCCCTCTGCCAGCTGCTTTGAGCTTGGCTGAAAGTGAGCTTGGTCTGCTCCTCTCACCTGCTATGATTAAGGAGGGGCCACTCCTTGGGACGGAGGGGCTTGTCCATGGCTTTCTTCATCCACCCCTCCAGCCTTGCATTCCCACAATCTGTACTTAGGCCTCGAGACTCAGGCTGTCTCAGGGTGTCACCTTTATTCCTGTGGCTCTGTAGTAACCTGTTTTGTGTTGCTGTAAAGGAATGCCTGAGGCTGGGTCATTTATAAAGAAAATAGGTTTATTTGGCTCACAGTTCTGCAGACTGTACAAGAAGCTTGGCACTAGCATCTGCTTCTGGCAAGGGCCTCAGGAGGCTTCCAATCAAGGCCAGACATGGTGGCTCATGTCTGTAATCCCAACACTTTGGGAGGCCGAGGCAAGCAGATCACTTGAGGCCAGGAGTTCGAGACCAGCCTGGCTAACATAGCGAAACCTCATCTCTACTAAAAAATACAAAAATTAGCTGGGCGTGGTGGCAGGTGCCTGTAGTTTCAGCTACTTTGGAGGCTGAGGCGGGAGAATTGCTTGAACCTGGGAGGTGGAGGTTGCAGTGAGCCAAGATTGCACCACTGCCCTCCAGCCTGAGCGACAGAGTGAGACTGGGTCTCAAAAAAAAAAAAAAAAAAAATCCAATGAAGGCGGAAGGCAAAGGGGGAGCCAGTGCCATGTGGCAAGAGAGGAAGGAAGTGGGAGGAAGTGCCAGGCTGTTTTAAGCAATCAGCTCTCACTCATTCATTACTGTGTGGGGGGCACCAAGGCATTCGTGAGGAATCCACCCCAAGACCCAGACACCTCCCACGAGGCCCCACCTCCAACACTGGAGGGCCACATTTCGATATGAGGTTTGAAAGCGACAAATATCCAAACCATATCAGGCACCAACAGGGTTAAATAACAAACCTTACCTGTTAGCCCATCTTGGGGTTTCTGATGTGCTTGGCTTCATTAATAATTTAGTGAGGTGGACGAGATTGGACTGACTCTTCCCCCAAATCAATACACAAATGATTATTGCTTGAGGGTACTTCTGAGTGCTTCAGCAAGACCGAGGGAGCTTTTTGGTTGAAAATGGGAACTGCACTCAGCACTGGAAGTTCCTGCAGAGAAGGTTATGTAAACCAAGGGGCGACCTGCTGCTAACATTTTCATTGCAATAAAACACTTTTTTTTTGGAATGGTGCTTTTATGACATACTTACTATCACCGTTTCAGGCCTATAATTTTAAAATTACTGCACAATATTGAAGGTGAAATGATTTTACTGCCGCTGGTCTATTAAGGTTCTAGGAACTGGCTGCAGCTTGGAGAGTGTCTATGGCTGGATGCACTTGGACACACCGTGCCGACTGCCCTGGACGTGCCTGCAGACACAGCAGGCTGGATGGGTGCACTGTGGCTGGGTGTGTCTGGGCACTCCCACAGGCGAGCAGGCATTCAGCTCTGAGCTTTGCAGTTCCCACCTGGACTGACCAAACTCTACCAGCCCTCCTGCCCCCTGCCCCCCCGCCACTGCCCCGGGATTGCAGAAATGCTAGGAAGCTGCACTGAAGTCAAAGCAGCAACCCCGGCCAGCTGTCCCACCCCACTGAACTCAGGAGGAAATGCTGTGATTGCTACCATATATGTTGCCAGTTTATTTGTAGTATTTTAAATTTATTTTTATTTTTATTATTTATTTATTTATTTATTTATTGAGACGGAGTCTTGCTCTGTCGCCAGGCTGGAGTGCAGTGGCGCGATCTGGACTCACTGTAACCTCCACCTCCCGGGTTCAAGTGATTCTCCTGCCTCAGCCTCCCGCGTAGCTGGGACTACAGGCGCGCGCCACCAGGCCTGGCTCATTTTATGTAGTTTTAGTAGAGATGGGGTTTCACCATGTTGGTCAGGATGGTCTCAAACTCCAGACCTTGTGATCCGCCCGCTTGGGCCTCCCAAAGTGCTGGGATTACAGGCGTGAGCCACCGCGCCTGGCCTTAAATTTATTTTTATTATTATTATTATCATTTTTTTTTTTTTTGAGAGAGAGAGTCTTGCTCTGTTGCCAGGCTGGAATGCAGTGGCACGATCTCGGCTCACTGCAACCTCTGCCTCCCAGGTTCAAGTGATTCTCCTGCCTTAGCCTCCTGAGTAGCTGGGATTACAGGCCTGTGCCTCCAGACCCAGCTAATTTTTGTATTTTTAGTAGAGATGGGGTTTCGCCATGATGACCAGGCTGGTCTCGAACTCCTGGCCTGAAGTGGTCTGCCCACCTTGGCCTCCCAAAGTGCTAGGATTACAGGCACGAGCCACTTCTTCTGGCCTTGTATTTTTGTTTGATTTTGTTTTGTTTGTTTGTTTGTTTTTTATGGTAAAAGACACATGGAATTTACTATTTTAACCCTTTGTAGCTGTACAGTTTAGTGGCATTAAATACATTCACATTGTTGTACAACCATCCACATATCCATCTCAAGAACTTTTAATTTTCCCAAACTGAAACTCCTTACCCATTAAATAACTCTCTATTTGCCCCTCCTCTCAGCCCCTGGCAACCATCATTCTGTTTATTGTCCGTATGAATTTGACTATGCAAGATGCCCCTGTAAGCGGAATCAGACAATATTTGTCCTTTTGTGACTGGCTTATTTCTCTTAGCATAATGTCCTCAAGTTTCATCCATGTCATAGTATGTGTCAGAATTTCCTTCTGTTAAGACTGAATAGGTGGCTCACACCTGTAATCCCAGCACTTTGGGAGGCCGAGGCAGGTGGATCACCTGAGGACAGGAGTTTGAGAACAGCCTGGCCAATGTGGCGAAACACTGTCTCTACTAAAAATACAAAAATTAGCCAGGTGTGGTGGCCCGTGCCGGTAATCCCAGCTACTCAGGAGGCTGAGGCAGGAGAATCGCTTGAACCTGGGAGGTGGAGGTTGCAGTGAGCTGAGATTGCACAACTGCACTCCAGCCTGGGCGACAGAGGGAGATTCTGTCTAAAAAAAGAAACCCAAAAAAACAAAGAAACAAAAAACGGAATAATATTCCACTGTATGGATGGACCACATTTTGCTTATTCATTCATCATCCATCAAGGAACACTTGGTTACTCCCACCTTGTGGTCATTGTGAATGATGACGCAATGAACATGGGTGTACAAGGATCTGTCTGAGTCCCTGCTTTCAATTCTTCTGGGTATATACCCTGAAGTGGAATGGCTGGATTACATGGTAATTCCATTTTTAATTTTTTAAGGAACCCGTATACTGGTTTCCACAGTAGCCGCACCATTTTACACTCCCACCAGCAATGCACAAAAATGTCAATTTCTCCACATCCTTGCCAACATGTGTTGTTTTCTGTGTATTCCACCCCTGCCCCCCACCGTAGCCATCCTAATGGAGGCAAAGTGGTATCTCTCTGTGATTTTGATATTTTTAATTCAAATAAACCTTAGCACCTGTATTAGTCCGTTTTCACACTGCTGTTAAAGACATACCCGAGACTGGGTAATTTATAAAGGAAAGAGGTTTAATGGACTCACAGTTGCATACGGCTGGGGAGTCCTCACAGTCATGGTGGAAGATGAAGGAAAAGCAAAGAGACTTCCTACATGTCAGCAGGCAAGAGAGGACTTGTGCAGGGGAACTCCTCTTTATAAGACCATCACATCTCATCAGATTCATTCACTATCACAAGAACAGCATGGGAAAGACCCACCCGCATCATCCAATTACCTCCCACCAGGTCCCTCCCACAACACTTGGGAATTGTGGGAGTTACAGTTCAAGATGAGATTTGGATGGGAACACAGCCAAACCATATCAACACCCTTTCTCAAAAGCTCCATTTTTTCTCTTCTTTTCTTTCTTGTCCTTTCACCATCTTACTCCAAAGTTGGACATTAACTTCTGTTCAGAAATCCCACAGTCACAGGCCCTCATGTTAATTTCTACCCAAATGGCTGAGCTTTTCAAATGTCATTGGAGAAACATGGATTTTAATGTATACGATGGCCGGGTGCGGTGGCTCACTCCTGTAATCCCAGCACATTGGGAGGCCAAGGCGGGTGGATCATTTGAGGTCAGGAGTTCAAGACCAGCCTGGTCAACATGGTGAAACCTCGTCTCTACTAAAAATACAAAAATTAGCTGGGCATGGTGGTGCATGCCTGTAATCCCAGCTACTCAGCAGGCTGAGGCAGGAGAATCATTTGAACCCAGGAGGCAGAAGTTGCAGTGAGCCAAGATCACGCCATTGCACTCCAGCCTGGGTGACAGAATGAGACTCTGTCTCAAACAAACAAACAATAATAAAAAAATGTATACGAGAGCAAAATAGCCATTTAGAAGACATCATCCTGTGAGGCACCTCTGCTAGGGTTCCGGGAGGGATCAAGGCTACAACAAACCATGATCACACCACTGCGCAAAGCATTTCAGGACAGTTTCTGCCCAAGGAGAGACTGGGCAGACAGACCTTCCTCTTTCACTGCTGGCCCCAGGTGCTTGCAGTTCTCTCCAAGGGGGCCCTGGAGACCTGGGGGTCCATCAGTATGTCCATGTGCTGGAGCGGCTGCTGGCAGGATCAAGAACTTCCCTCCAAACGCTCTCTGGCTTGACTATTCGCCTGATGGAACAGGCAGAAGGATAGAAATTAGCTCTGGGGGGAGCGGAAACATTCTGAGGCCAGAGCAAGCTGGTGATGAGTGGGGCTTGGAGAAGGTGGCAGGCAGGGCTGTTCACAGGATCATGCAGCTTGAGCTAAAAACTTTGAAGTCTGTTCTGGAGCATTTTCAGCAGTGGGGATGAACCAATTTGCATGTTAAAAACGTGAGCAATGAATTGAGAGGCAAGGGACCACATGGAGGGAGGCCTCTGTGGAGGTCCAGGAGACAGGAGATGGTGGCTGGGACCAGGGAGGTGGTCACGGTGATGGAGAAAGGTGGGTAGATTTGAGATACATCATGGGGACCAGCAGGTTGTAGTGATGGATTGGATGTAGGGAGATTGGAGTAAAAATGATCAACTCAGTAATGGACGTGGCCATGAACTGAGTAGGGCACAGTAGAGAAGGGGCAGATGTGGGGGTGAGGGGTGTCTGGTCTATGGCTCAGCTAGAATAATGAGAGGTTTGCCCTCTTGGAAGTCACCTGTGATAAACTTGGGCATAAAGGTGATCATAAAACAATTTTTTTCAGTTTTATTTGCCAAAGCCACTTTTGGCCTTTGACCTTCAAATAGATTGTAGGATTTTTGTTGTTGTTGTTTTTGAGACAGAATCTCACTCTGTTGCCCAGGCTGGAGTGCAGTGTGCGATCATGGCTCATCGCAGCCTCAAACTCCTGGGCTCAAGCAATCCTCCCACCTCAGCTTCCTGAGTAGCTCAGACTACAGATGCATACCACCACACCCAGCACATTAAAATTTTTTTTTTTGTAGAGCCAGGGTCTTGCTGTGTTGCCCAGGCTGGTCTCGAATCCTGGCCTCAAGTGATCTGCCCACCTCGGCCTCCCAAAGTGCTGGGATTACAAGTGTAAGCCACTGTGCCTGGCTGGTTCTAGTTATTTGAAATCAGGAAAGACACTGACCATTCAACACAGAGTCCTCTTCATTAGTGTCTGGTAAGCAACTGGATAAGAGAGCGCTTGAGTTTGCATCTGCCTGTGGGTGAATGTTGGGGGAGGATGTGGGACTCTCCTGTGTCATTGGTTTCTTCTGTGTCCCACGAGGGCTCGGGGTATGTGGCTGATGAGTGGGCAATGGTGGTGGCCCTCTCGTATGGGATGGAGTGGGGACTTACATGGGATGCCTCTGTGTCCCTTCCGTCTCCTCTCTGCATGTCCTGTGGCTCCTCACTCCTGCAGCAGATTCCTGAAGGCGTCACTGGCCCACAGTGACTGTGACAGCAGCTTTGCTTCCTCCTAACTGGGAAGGCCAGCTTCTTGCCAGGAAGCCCCTGCTCTCATGTCTGAGCCCTCTGCCCCACCACTGCTCCCTCACCTGCCCCAGCCAGTCAGTTCCCATATTCTGGGTCCATGCCCACCATCTCCTTCCCAGTACTGAATTCTCCAATGGTTAGAAGCTTTTGGGTTGTGATGAATAGACACGTTCTGGATATAGCTTGAGTCAATGAGGGAGGTTTACGAAAAGGTTTCAGAGGTGGAGAGACCCAGGCGATTGCAGCTAGCGTGGAAGAGTGTTGAAGCAGAGACAGGAATACCAGGAACCTTTCCAGATGTGGTGAGAGGGCGGTGGGGGAGAGGACTGGGCCAGAGCTGCATTGGGGACCCCCAGCAAGGGTCTTGCCTGGCACAGCAACCTCTAGGGGGCACTAGACCATCATGAGACAAACGGGAAATGGGGTGTCAGTTATGGGCCGGGGTCTCAATATGGGCCGGGAGTAGGATAGGGCAGTGAGGCACTCACCTTGGGCACAGAATTGAAGGAAGTGCCAAAAAACTCAATAATGAAGATAAATCAACTTTAATGCAAATTTTTTGTGTGTGTGCAATGGGGACAGTTGTTTCCAATCAGCCCAAGGTTCCTGGGTACCTTGGCCGTTTCTTGCCTTATGGGTTTATGAGGGTTCACAATGGGATGTGCATAGATTGGGGAGCATGGAGATTTAGATATAGTCATGTGATTGTAGAGCTTTTCTTAGCCTTTCCACTTGGTTCAAAATATGGGAGGATATTTTGATAAGTGTGTCTAGGGGCTCACATTTTTCTTTTGCTTCAGGCTCCAACATGATTCCCATATTGGTCATTGGTCTGGACCCTAGATTCCTTACATAACGTGCAAAACATGCATTGAAGCAGGCAGCATCTTCAACAAAACCGCATATTTTGGCCAGGTGTGGTGGGTCCTGTCTGTAACTCCAGCACTTTGGGAGGCTGAGGCAAGAGGATCCCTTGAGTCCAGGAGTTTGAGGTTGCAGTGAGCCGTGATCACACCACTGCACTCCAGCCTGGGCAACAGAGCAAGACCTTGTCTCTACAAAAAAATGAAAAAATTAGCCTGACATGGTGGTGCACACCTGTCATCCCACCTACTTGGGAGGCTGAGGTGGGAGGATTGCTTGAGCCCAGGAGTTTGAGGGTACAGTGAGCTATGGTTGCAGCTCTGCACTCTAGCCTGGGTGAAAAAGTGAGACTGTCTCTAAAAAAACTAAGAAGCAGCAGCAGCAGCAGCAACAACAACAACAACAACAACAAACGAACAAACCGCAGATCCACCCTACCATTGCCCCTGCCTCTGTTGAGCATTTTTGCCATGCGTAAATAAATGCCTGCTCATCCGCAGTCAGCAGTCTGAGGAAATTCTGAAACCAAATTACACATAGGCTAGTGCTCTATGCCATCAATCTGTAATGTATCTTGTTATTTGATTTTTACGTCCTTTAATACATTTCCTAAGAAGTCTGCTTTGGAAAAATCACCAAAGGAATTAGAAGAGAGAGAATAAGAAAACCCAGAAAAACTAAAAGGATTTTTCTTCCCCCCATTTTTTATTAAAATCCAATCAACCTGCACAGTGCGAGTGAGTGAGTGACTGTCTACGCTTTCACTAACGGACCATCAGTTTCTCTCAACCTTCTCTCCATAAACGGAGAATATCAAATGAGGGTCTGGGGGTGTTAGAAAAGGGTTGGGAGCCTCAGCTCAGGTTGGTGGGCCCGCTGTGCCATGGAGCCTTTGGGGACCTCTGATTTCACATCCGTCTTGGCCCTAAATGGCCTTCTCAAACCTTCCCCCTGTCTCTCCTGGTTCTTGCCTCATTGGACTCAACCTCTTGGTGGGCAGCTCTCCAGAGGGCACCCCCAGCCTAAGAAGCAGGCCTCCTCCCAAGTCCCCAGCCTCACGAGGATAGTGGGTAACAGGGTGGGCTCAGGGGGCCCTGGGAGATCTCCAGAGGCCTCTGGTGTGTTCACCAATGTCCCCTGACAGGTCTTGCTTGGCACAGGGGGTTCCTCTTAGAGACGTGACAGGGCACTTGGACTGTGGCAAATGAAAGAAGCGGAGGGGCAGGAACAGGGACACCTTGCGAAGAAGACAGGCCTTAGCCTTGTGCCACCCCTATGAGGTCCCTAAGCCGTCCTCTCTCTCCCACCTTTTCCCAGTCCTCGCTCCCCGGTCCTCCTCAGCACAGCCGGCTCCAGGAGGGATCAATTCGTGGGCCCGGGAGGAGGCCAGGCGAGCACCGGCTGCCTGGAGCACTGGGCTGGAGCGCGGGGAGCGCGGCGGGGGGCGCGGGCGGGGCGGGGCTGGTGCGCAGAGCTGTCCAGCACCCCGAGGCGGGGCGTGCGCCCCCGGCCCGCCCCAGCCGCCTCCGCCCGCCCAGCCAGCGCCACTGCGGCTCGGCGGGCGCGTCACGTGGCTGGCGCAGCGCGGCCTCCAGGCTCCGGGCGCGGGCGAGGGGCCGGGCGGGAGGACTGACAGACCCACGGACGCTCTACCGGCGGCACCCGGCCGGGCGGGCTGGGCGCAGCGCGGGGCGGCCCGGGGACGCCGGGGCCGGGCGGGCTGCGCGCCGCGGGGCATGGGCGCGCCGGGGGTCCCCGGGCCCAGGCCGGCCGCGGCGGGGCTCCCGGGGCGCGGGGGCAGCGGCGGGCGGGGGTCTTCCCTGGCGGCCGCCGCTGAGCCCCCGCAGGGCCCGTGACGCCGCGGCCGATGTGGCCGCGCGCGCCCTACGGGCCTGCACCGCCACCGCACAAAGACGCCTCGGGAGCCGCCGCCTGCACCCGGGCCGCAGCAGCCACGCCAGCCGGAGCCCGAGCCCTAGCCCGAGCCCGAGCCCGAGCCGCAGCCAGAGCCAGAGCCGGAGCCGCAGCCGGAACCGGAGCCGGAGCCGCGGGGCAGGAGGCGGCGCCCGCGGGCGGCCGGGCCCGGCATGGAGAAGCGCGCGGCCGCGGGGCTGGAGGGCGCGCCGGGCGCCCGGGCGCAGCTGGCCGTCGTCTGTCTGGGTGAGTGGGCCGCGCGGGCCGGGCAGGTCCGGGTCCCCCGCATGGCAGTCCGCGCCGCGCCCTGACCGACCTCCTCTCCGGCCGCGGCATCCCGAGCCCCCCACCGCGGTGGCTCCCGCGCGGAGACCCAGAGAGGGGCCAGCACCGCTTGCCCGCCTGGCCCCGGGCCTGGGAGGGCGACTCTGGTGGCGCAGCCCCGGCTCCCGCCCCGCTCGGAGTAGCGCCCGGAGCCCGGGCTGAGCGCTGGCAGGAGGCCCTTCGTGCAGGCGGCAGCCTTCAACCCGGCCCGCCCGCGCTGAGCCTGGAGACGAGGGGGCCCCGGGAGCTGGGGACAAAGGCCAGGCCGGCTGTCCCCTGAAGAAGAAACTGTTTCCGGCCCGGAGTTGGGGTGGGGGCTGGTGTAAGCCGCAGATGGGGACTCGGGGTGCGGGGCAGGGCTGGAGGAGGGTGCCAGTGTGGAGGCGGCTTCCAGGGGACTCCTGTTTTCCCTTTGTGTCTCTCAGCCCCCAGGCAGGCCTGTTCAGTTTAGGAGGGTGCTTGGGTTGGGCCAGGGACCGGTCAAGGCCAGGCATGGGGTGGGAGGGGCTCCCGCCCTGTCCGGGAGTTTTTCTGTCCAGCTTTCCAGCGCTCTGTGTAGGCGAGAGGAGGAGTTAAATCCCCAACCCACATGGCTCCTTTATTTACTGTGATGAAGGAGGGAGGCCATTATAAGAACTGGGGGTCATTAGGGGACACCCTGTGATGTCACCAGTGAGGGCTCTGTAACCTGACAGGTTTGCTGAAGCCACTGAAATGACAAAGTAATCACCCCCAGGCCTCAGGGAGCTCCGAGGCTCTGGCAGGCCCTTGCCCCAGCTGTGTGAGCCTGGCTCAGTGGGAATGTGCCATTGGGGAGCATTGAGGGTGTAACCCCAGCGCGCCCACCCCAACCTCAGTGCGGGGTCATGTGTGCTGGGCTCTGAGCTGCTGGGTGCTGGCATCCCTGGTGAGCAGAGCAGGGGGACAGGCGCTCCATGCTTAGGAGCTTTGGCCTGGCTCTGTCCAGGGGGCCTGGGTGTCCTGGGTGGGGGCAGCGGTTCCTGCTTCCTGGCCAGGCGGGATCTGACACACATCCTGAACCCCGGGAAGTTGGGTTTCCCCCCACCCCCCGACTCTGGGCCCGTAACCCCCCGGGCCAGAGCAGAAGGTGAAAGTAAGGGCCAAACCCCACGGAGGTGGGTGCTTGAGGGGTGGCTGGGGAGTTCTGCTTTCCTCCTCAAAGTCAGCTTGGCACGGGGGAAGAGGATGGTTCCGTCACTAGCTGCGTGCCCTGTAAATGGGGATTATCAGAACTGCCTCCCCTCCTGCCTCTGCTGCTGCTGGGCGAGCAAAGCCCCTTGGTAGGGGGAAGCCCTTCAAAGTTGTAGGAGCAGGCCAGGGTGCGGTGGCAGGTGCCTGTAATCCCAGCACTTTGGGAGACCAAGGCAAGAGAATTGCTGGAGGCCAGGAGTTTAAGACCAGCCTGAGCAACACAGTGAGACCTCATCTCTACAAAAATAAAAAATAAAAAAATAACCAGGCATAGTGGTGCACACCTGTAGTTCCAGCTACTTGGGAGGCTCAGGTGGGAGGATTGCTTGAGCTCGGGAGTTTGAAGCTGCAGTGAGCTATGCACTCCAGCCTGGATAACAGAACATGGAGGCAGGGAGGTGGGGGTGAGGTGGTAGGGACCCTCTTGATGGGCAGTCTTGGGCTGCGCTCTGGGCCTTGCCCTGTAAGAGGAAGGGGACCAGCGGGCCAGCCTTGGGTTTAGCTGTGGTGTCCCTCATGGGCTGCTGCTGGTCCCCAGCAGGTATGTGGGACCCCTGACCCTTTCTTTGTATCTCCCACAGTGAACATCTTTCTCACCGGGAGACTCAGCAGTGCGGTTCCTGCCTTAGGTAAGTAAGCACTTTCTCTCCTTCCTCCACTCCTTCAGTCCCTTTTGGGTGAGTGGTCCCTGAAGACAGGCCTTCAGGGTCCTGGCACTACCCCGAGTTCCTGTGTGCATCTTTTCTACATCACAAAGGAGCTGTTTGGCTTTGGACAGGCTTCAACTTGTCTGAGCCTCAGTTTCCTCATCTGTAAAGTGGGTGAAATAACAAGGTCTACTCAAAACCTGTCTCTTAGTATTCCATGAGCCAGTGAGGCAAGCTCTTAGTGTGGTGCCTGGCACGTGGTGGCTTTATACCACCGGCAAGCTGCCGAGGGTCCCGTGGAATTGACATCTTGTGCCTCATTGCAGGCCATGAGCTTCCTAGGATTTAATTTATAGGAGTATGACTGAGGGGTGACACAGAGAGGCCCATGCCAGGGAAAGAAGGCTTTATTAATTTTCTTGAAAGGAGGGGACATGCCACGCCATGCAGGGCCACCTGGGAATTACTAGATTTGGACAAGCAGGAGCAGGGGTGGAAGAAAGGTGTAAGTTAGAAGCTGCATCACAGCTTCCGTGGGAAAGTCTCGACATCCAGGTGCTGTGGCTCACGCCTGTGATCCCAGCATTTGGGAGGCTGAGGCAAGAGAATGCTTGAGCCCTGGAGTTTGAGACCAGCCTGAGCAACATAGTGAAACTCCATCTCTACAAAAAAAATCTGAAAATTAGCTGGGCACGGTGGCATGTGCCTGTAGTCTTAGCTACTCGGGAGACTGAGGCAGGATGATTGCTTGAGCCCAGGAGTTTGAGATTGTAGTGGGCTATGACGGCTCCACCGTGCTCCAGCCTGGGTGACAGAGCGAGACCCTGTCTGTAAAACCAAAACCAAAACCTGAGGTCAAGGTGCAGCCCGGGAGAACAATGGGGGCCTCTGACTTGTTCGTTGCCTGCTGCTCTGCTCGGTGGGGCAGGAGGTGCCTGGGTTTCTAGTTCTGTGCAGGGCCCGGCTTGCTGGAGAAAGGACCCGGAGCTGTCAGGCAGCGGGACCCCTGCTGTGGTCAAAGGGGAGGCCCAGGGTGCACAGAAGCTGTGCTCACTGGCTCCTCTGGCAGGCTTGGGCCTCTTTCCCTCTCTCTCTGCCCTGAGCTGTGCTCTCAGGAGCCCGGCCTCCTCTGATGCTTCGGGCTGGCTCAAGGCCGGGCCTTGCTCAGCGCTGACCTAGCCCCAGCCCTGTCTGCTGTCCTGGTCCACACAACTGATGGAGGCCCAGTCTCCCATCCCAATTTCCAGGAAAAGGCTGACTGGCCCAGCCTGGGTCAGATGTCTGTGGCCATGGTAGAGTCAGGGGAAGGGGGAATGAGGGTGTCACAGCTTATGAATGTGAGCCCCAGGACACCCTCCTGCTGGTGGGTGTGTCACCCCAAATGTGTATATACTCCACTTTCAGAAAAGTGCTTCCCTGGGGACTAGGGCCAGTCATGGAGCTTGGGCGAGGAGGACACTGTCCAGGTCCTTGCGTTTGGTTGTCCTTAGCTGTCAAGACCTCAGGCCCCAGCAGGGTCCACGTTGCCAAACTCCAACGGCTGCTGTTCACCCCTGGTGCCCTCTGTGATGGGAGCTGCACGCCCAGCGCGCAAGGCCATGGGTGGTGATCTGGGACCCTAGCTGTCCTAGAGTCCACTTCTGACACCTCCAGCATTACTGACCACCTGCAGGTGGCCCAAGGTACCCACCTCCCACCACAGCTCCATGACTCTGCATTTCCAGAGCTTTCCCTGGGATTCCTGCTGTGTGGGACCCTGGATTGGGAAACATTCCCCCAGCCCCTTCTCCACCCTAACTAGGCTCAGTTGCTCCAGAGGGTCTAGCAGGGCTACCTGGGGACCTCACAGGTTTTTACCCCTCAGCAAACCCCATCCTAAGCCCAGGTATGTTGGGCCCTGACTGGTCAGAACACCTCCTGCATCCCCCCAGCCTCTGGGCTCAGCCCTGAAGCTACTGTGGCTCCAACGGGGAGGGCCTGGGCAGGGGCTTCATGCAGTTTGCAGGCAGCTGGCAGCTTCCCCGGCACGTCTGGGGTGGGACTCCCAGCTCCCCGTCGTCGGATTACACCAGGCAGGTTGGCGGGGGTATTGATCAACTTTGGAAATTGGATCTGCAAATTGTGCTTTCTCAGGCCTTGCAGTGTCCTCTCAGGAATATTTGATGACTCTTTGGACCAGGAAAGGACACTGGCCCGAAAGTACCTGGTCATTCCTTCCCTACTTGTGTGGGCCACCATGGCTCCGAGGGCCCAGGCCATCTTCTGCCTGAGAGAAGTCAGGTCACCTCCAGCTGAAGCTCAGACAGACCTCTTGACAGCCCCCAACACCTCCGAACCCCTCCCTCTTCCCCATTATCCCGCAAATCATGCAGTCCTCCCATCTGCCCTCACTGCCTGCCCGCTGCTACACAGCCTGTCATGAACCTCACCTCCATGGAGCATTCCTGGAGATCCCCCTCCTCATTGGCAACCCCTGACCCTGTGCCCTACCACATGCACGTCTGCCTCAGGTCAAGCAGGGTTCTTGCCTAGGCTGGGCATGGTGGGGCACACCTGTAGTCTCAGCACTTTGGGAGGCTGAGGTGGGAGGATCACTTGAGCCTGGAAGTTAAGGCTGCAGTGAGCTGTGATCGCACCACTGCACTCCAGCCTGGGAGACAGAGCAAGATCTTGTCTCAGAAAAAAAAAAAAAAAAAGGAGTCCCTGCCTAGAACTTGCAGCTCCCTGCACAGAGCCCAGCCTCCCTCCTGCCTCCCATCCCCTCTGCATGAGGCTGGGCTGCTGCTGCACCCACCATGGTCTCTGCCAACCCGCTTTGGAGAAGAGCAAACAGTTTAACCAAGTTTCCCTGATGTGGAAATTTCCGGGGGGCCCCCAGGGGTGAGGCTGTTTGGAGGCACCCGTTGTCAGGGTTTTGCTGAGAGGCAGGGCAGCTGGCAGTTGTCCCTTCCTCTGCTCCTGATGTGGCTGGTGGCCTCCCAACCCCTGATGAAGGGGTCAGACATAGGTCTATGAGGGAGAAGGGTTCTGGCTGAAGTGAGTGGGAAGAGAGAAAGGTGGCAGGTGACACCTGGCTTTTCCCAGAAAGCGTGGGTGAGACACCTGGCCCCCAAGGGCCCCAAGGAGAGGGGCAGGTCTATGTCTGTCCCCTAGGGGAGGCCTCTGGGGCTGAGTAGGAATGGACAGCGCCTTGCCCTGCCCCTGGCCTTGTCCTCCAGGACAGGGGACCTCACAGGTTTTTACCCCTCAGCAAAAAGGTGAACATGGGAGGTTCCCAGCCACGCTGACTCAGAGGCTGACACTTCAGCTTAGCATGCGCTTTAGAGATGCAATGTGGGGGACCATACCACTTCAGCCTCACTGGGCCTTCCCTTCTGTGGAACCTCCTGTTCGGCCCCCTCCAATGGGAAAGATCTCTTCTTTTGGATTTCCTTCTTTTTTTTAATTTTTTTTGGAGAAAAAGTCTTGCTGTGTCACCCAGGCTGGAGTGCAGTGGTGTGATCTTGGTTCACCACAACATCCGCCTCCTGGGTTCAAGCGATTCTCCTGCCTCGGCCTCCTGAGTAGCTGGGATCACAGACGCCCAGTACCACGCCTGGCTAATTTTATACTTTTAGTAGAGACAGGGTTTTGCCATGTTGGTCAGGCTGATCTCAAACTCCTGACCTCAAATTATCCCCCCGCCTTGGCCTCCCAAAGTGCTGAGACTGCAGGTGTGAGCCACTGCACCCGGTCTCTTTTGGATTTCTTCACCCTACACCTCCCAAGGAATCCCAGTTCAGGACCTCAGGGCTCTGTGAGGTCCTCATGGCCAGTAGCCTCACCCGGCAAAGGGAACCAGGCTGGGGCCGGGGCCACTTTGCATGTTTGGGTGGCTGCACCCTGAGACTCCTTTCTGATAGTTTATCTCCTGCCCTTCCTGGCTGGGAGCAGGGTGTACAGTGCCCTATTTCTGGGGCAGGATCAGAGGCTCATTGTGGGGGCTGCCTCCCAGGGCCATGCATGAGTTCCAGGTGGAGAGGTGCTGGCTTGCACCTCACTGACCTGGGACTGTCAAGGGTCTGATGGTGACGCAGTGGTGGCCAGCCTTGCTTTAGGACCAAGAGTTCTGTTCTTATCCTTGATGCTCTCACGAGCTGTCCGTGGGGGTTACTGGCTCCCTATTTGTCACAGTCCCGACTCACCTGGGCCTTCATGGTCCTAGTAGGCCCCCAGGGGAAGGGGCTTCAGCTCTCAGCTCATGGCTCCAGCTGCCCAGCAGGTCCTCAGATGGACCCGTCCACTCAGGGACCCACATCTCTGGAGCACCTGCCATGCATTAGGCACTGTGCAGGGCCCTGGGACATGGCACGGCCCTACCTGCCTGTGTGATGTTCATCCATCAGTCCCAACAACAAAAGGGAAATGCTCTGTGGCCGAGGCTGGGGGGAGGGATGGAGGGTTGGAGCTCTGTGGGGGCTATCCCGGAGGGCTTCCCTGGGAAGGGACCTTGGAGCTAGGGGTGGAAGCTGAGGAGTCCGTGAATGGGATAAGAAGGTGGGGATAGCACCCACTAGGGACCACCAGGGCCTCCAGGGCAAAGTCCCCTCCAATGTGAGAGATCGGAGAGGTCCGGGGGGCTAGGGGTTATGGGAGGGATGAGGCAGAGTGTGGGGCAGGGAGGGGGCTGGCGCTGCTGTAGTGAATTGTGGTTTTGTCCTAAGAGCATGGGAGGCAGCCAGAGGGCTCTCCTTCCTTTCCTGCAGCTGGGTGCCAGAGAGTCTTGCTGAGAACCAGAGAGAACTTGGCTTGCAAGGTCACGGTGCCAGGGGCCAGCCATGGGAGAGTGAGGAGAGAGTGTCACTGGGCTCGGGAAAGGGGTCGTCCCTCACCTCAGTTTTTCCATCTGCAAAATGGGCCCTGCCTTCATCTCAGGCTGTTGTGAGAATCAGATGGACCAGCGTGGGGAAGGGTCAGGGTGCTGTGGGGTGGGAGGTGTGGTCAAGTGCAGGGGCCAGCCGCCTGGTCCTGGGAGGGTCAGGGCACAGCGGGGCAGGGCAGGCTCACCACACTGCCCTGGATGGTTTAGAAGCAGAGAGCATGGAGAATGGATGGATTAAAGCGAGGCCCATGGGGCTGGGCATGGAGGGCTCCTCCTTTGAGCTGGCGGGCGTGATGCTTTGCTCAACCTGAGCGGTATACAGTTGGCACTCCATGAGTGCATGCTGGCTCAGTGCTGCAGCAAGAAGCTGAGGCCCCCAGAGGCCTACAGTGATTCCTGACTCTGCCCCTCCCTAACTGTGTGGCCCCAGGCAAGTCGCTGACCCTCTCTGAGCCTGTTTCCTCACCTGGTTCCGAGATCTACCTTTGGCGGCTTTGCACTTGTACTCAGGATAAAACTCAAATTCTGCACAAGGTGTGATCAGATCCAGGTGGCGTTTCCAGCCACAGCTGGACTTTGCCACCTCTCTTCAGGCCTGTTGTAGTATCTTCATTCCACTGAGGGGTTCTGCGTAAAGTTCGTCTGCTCCCACCCCCAGCCTATGAGTTCCATAGAGCAGGCCTTATTCCCACCTTACTCAGTGTGCCTACCATGCATGCTTGGCATGTAGTAGGTGCTCAGTAAATACTTGTTGAGTGAGCAAAGCCTCAGGGAAGGCAGGCAGGGGGCCATCGCAGGATGGGCTATGCCGGCTGGGCAGGCCTAGGGGTGTGGGATTCTCCACTGACCCGAGGCCACGAGGCTACACCTTGGAGGTGCCGGCTGGCAGGACGGGTTGTTGGTGGGTTTTCTCCCAGCTCTGCCAGAGATGCGGGGGACAGGACCTAGGCTGTAGTCCACTGCATAGGGTTGGGGGCTACAGCTGCCTCAAGTCTAGGGGGCCCTCCTTGGCCTCCCGTACACACCACCTCCATGAAGTCACAAGTTGTGGCCTTGCCCTTGGCCATGGCCACCCTTGGCTGGACTCGATCCCACCATGGGGGAGGCCTGTGCTGAAGCCCCCTTCCCCCCACTGCAACCCGCATCCCAACCAAAGATGGGCCGGCCTTTCTCGGCCTCCTCTCCCGACAGCGGCCTGCAGTGGGAAGCTGGAGCAGCACACGGAGCGGCGTGGGGTCATCTACAGCCCGGCCTGGCCCCTCAACTACCCGCCAGGCACCAACTGCAGCTGGTACATCCAGGGCGACCGTGGTGACATGATTACCATCAGGTAGGGGCACCCGGGGGTGTCGGAAGGAATCAATGTGGGCCCACGTGCATGGGGTGGGTGAGAATGTGTGTGTGTGAGCAGGTGTGGAGGGCACACGCCTGAGGGTGTACATGTGTGTGAGCAGGTGTGGGATCATGTGCATGTGTGTGAGCATATGAGTGAGGCGTGTGTGAGCACTCGTGTGAACAGGTGTATGGGTGTGTGCATGTGTGTGAGCATTTGTGAGTAGGTGTGTGTGCATGCAGATGTGTGTGTGTGAGGTAGGCGTGTGTAGGTATTTGAGCAGGTATGTGGTGTGTGCATGCATGTGAACACATGTAAGTAGGTGTGTGTGCATATGTGTGTGTGTGCATGTATGTGAACACATGTGTGCTTGTGTACATGGAAAAGCCCATGTCGGAGAAGACATAAAGGACACATGTGAGAGACTGCATGTGTGAGCACATGTATGTGCACGAGCCATGCCTGCAAAGGTGCAGAGAGCGTGTATGTGCGCATGCATGTAAGATAACAGGTGTAACCATGTGTGAACCGTAAGCATGTATGTGCACATGTGAATGCATGCACGCAAGTGTGTCCAGTGCTCTGGGTCTCCACGGGCCTCTGTGGCGAGGTGCCCAAGCTGGACCTCTTCCTGGTTTGAGCCTCGTTCATGGGGTGTGGGGGGTCTCAGTCACTCAGCTCTGCCAGGAAGGCAGGGCCAGCACACAGGCCACTGGGAACACAGCCTGGGACTGGTGGGCATGGTCTGATGTCTCTGAGGTGGCAGAGGTGTCCTCTCTGTCCTGCAGGGGTGGCTGGGGGCCAGGCTGGCACTGAGCCCAGAGCATGGTTTCTGGAGGGGGCCTTGGGGAGGGGAGTGAATCAGGCAAAGCCCGGGTGCTTGAGCTGCAGGGACATGCAGAGGGAAAGGGGGCCAGGCAGTGAGCGGTGGTCCTGGCCAGGGGTGGTCACAGGGACATTTGGCTGGGGAGTCACTATAGGTTCCATCTGCCATAGTTTTCCTAAATGCCAGAGCCCAAAAAGCGCAACCCCTGACTTACTCCATAGCTGCAATGCGTGAGGATGTGATGGGCATGGGCAGGGTCTATCCTAGTCTCTGTGCCTCAGTTTCCCCAAGGGCCAGGTGGTTCAGGGCCAGTGTATCTCCGGAGATGACAAGCTGTCAACCTGCTGCAGCCTTAGCCAGCCCCGTGGGCAGTCTCACCCTCACTTCCCATGCCTGGGACTTTGTGCTGGGCCCATCCCAGTGGTCCCGAGGTGGAGGGTTCTGGGCCCTTGGGCCACTGCCCTTTTGGGGAGGGTGTCGGGGCAGGGGGCTCTTGACTTCCTGCTCCACTTCGGCTTCGGGCTGGGGGTACTGTGTGCACTGATGGAGGGAAGGGGAGCCGCAGCAGAGCTGGAAATGACCTGCGTGGATGTCGCAATTCTTCATGGAGCCTCCCGTGCACACCTGGATGGGGACAGTGTGGGGACAGAGTGGCTGGGAGTGGAGGAACCAGGCAGTCTGGAACATGAGGAGTGGGGGCAGCCGGCCGGGACAGGGCTGGCTGTCCTGGCCGTGGCTCCAGCCTGACCACTCCCTGCTGGTCCTCGGCCATGGAGATCCCACCTACTGCCTCATGTCTGGGTCCTCTCCGCCCCCCCGCAGCTTCCGCAACTTTGACGTGGAGGAGTCCCACCAGTGCTCCCTGGACTGGCTCCTGCTGGGCCCAGCAGCCCCACCCCGCCAGGAGGCCTTCCGCCTCTGTGGCTCCGCCATCCCACCTGCCTTCATCTCTGCCCGCGACCATGTCTGGATTTTCTTCCACTCAGACGCCTCCAGCTCCGGCCAGGCCCAGGGCTTCCGTCTGTCTTACATCCGAGGTGATGGAGGCTGCAGGGCAGGCAGGACACCACGGAGCACACCGTGCATGCCCACAGGCTCCCGGCCCACAGGGGCGGCACCCTCCACAGGGCCCCGGCTCCCTGTGGGATGTCCCCTGACCGCCCTGTCAATCTCAGGACAGTGGCAGGACTGGGCATGCGGATGCCTTGGACCTCTCAAGGTCACTGGCCCCACTTCCCAGTCTTGGCTAGTCCTGGGAACTCACCCCTAACCCCAGGCTCAGGTCAGGGACAGAGCCCACCCTGGTGTTGGAGGGGTCTCTGCTGCCACAGTGATGGGGAACCACCTGCCCGCTTTTGGCCCCAGGCCCCCTGGCCGAAGGGAGGCTCTTCTGTCTCCTGACTGTCCCCTGCTACGTCTCCACCCCACAGGGAAGCTGGGCCAGGCATCCTGCCAGGCAGATGAGTTCCGCTGTGACAACGGCAAGTGCCTGCCCGGCCCGTGGCAGTGCAACACGGTGGACGAGTGTGGAGACGGCTCTGATGAGGGCAACTGCTCGGCGCCCGCCTCCGAGCCTCCAGGCAGCCTGTGCCCCGGGGGGACCTTCCCATGCAGCGGGGCGCGCTCCACGCGCTGCCTGCCTGTGGAGCGGCGCTGTGACGGCTTGCAGGACTGCGGCGACGGCTCGGATGAGGCGGGCTGCCCCGACCTGGCGTGCGGCCGGCGGCTGGGCAGCTTCTACGGCTCCTTTGCCTCCCCAGACCTGTTCGGCGCCGCTCGCGGGCCCTCAGACCTTCACTGCACGTGGCTGGTGGACACACAGGACTCCCGGCGGGTGCTGCTGCAGCTGGAACTGCGGCTGGGCTATGACGACTACGTGCAGGTATACGAGGGCCTGGGCGAGCGCGGGGACCGCCTGCTGCAGACGCTGTCCTACCGCAGCAACCACCGGCCCGTGAGCCTGGAGGCCGCCCAGGGCCGCCTCACTGTGGCCTACCACGCGCGCGCCCGCAGCGCCGGCCACGGCTTCAATGCCACCTACCAGGTGAAGGGCTATTGCCTCCCCTGGGAGCAGCCGTGCGGGAGCAGTAGTGACAGTGACGGGGGCAGCCTGGGCGACCAGGGCTGCTTCTCAGAGCCACAGCGCTGTGATGGCTGGTGGCATTGTGCCAGCGGCCGAGACGAGCAGGGCTGCCCTGCCTGCCCGCCCGACCAGTACCCCTGCGAGGGTGGCAGTGGTCTGTGCTACACGCCTGCCGACCGCTGCAACAACCAGAAAAGCTGTCCCGACGGCGCCGACGAGAAGAACTGCTTCTCCTGCCAGCCCGGCACCTTCCACTGCGGTACCAACCTGTGCATCTTCGAGACGTGGCGCTGTGACGGCCAGGAAGACTGCCAGGACGGCAGCGATGAGCATGGGTGCCTGGCCGCCGTGCCCCGCAAGGTCATCACGGCGGCGCTCATTGGCAGCCTGGTGTGTGGCCTGCTGCTGGTCATCGCGCTGGGCTGCGCCTTCAAGCTCTACTCACTGCGCACGCAGGAATACAGGTGGGCGCTGTGCCCGCAGCCAGGGGACCGGGCTTCTTCATCACCCAGGCTTGCTGTCCCCGTAGCTGTGGGTTTGCAAACGGGGGCCTGGACTAGCTACATGGAGGCTGCCCTGGTGCACACTGGGGTCCCTATATCTTGGGGTGTCTGGGTGGAGGGTCGTCCTGGAATCCTGTTGTTGTTCCTGCTGCAGGTCCCGGGCAGCCCAGTCATGTCGCCCTCCGCCCACTGCTTCTAGGGCCTTCGAGACCCAGATGACGCGCCTGGAGGCTGAGTTCGTGCGGCGGGAGGCACCCCCATCCTATGGTCAGCTCATCGCCCAGGGCCTCATTCCACCCGTGGAGGACTTTCCTGTCTACAGTGCGTCCCAGGTGAGCCCCCGGAGGGCGTGAGGCCCCTCCGGGGCCACTTGGGACAGTGTGCGGAGGAGGCTGGTCCAGGGGTCACAGGAGCAGGAGGCAAGGCCTGCGCAGGGTGACCTGAGGGCCCATGGCCAGGTGGGGGGGGTGGACAAGGTGGTCTCTCGGGTCTCAGGTCCCTTGGGGGTGTGCTGTCTCCTGCCCCTGAGCAGCCTGTCTGCCCCCTCAGCCGCATCCCCCCGCCCCTACCCTGCTCCACCCCACAGGCCTCTGTGCTGCAGAATCTTCGCACAGCCATGCGGAGACAGATGCGTCGGCACGCCTCCCGCCGGGGGCCCTCCCGCCGCCGCCTCGGCCGCCTCTGGAACCGGCTCTTTCACCGGCCGCGGGCGCCCCGAGGCCAGATCCCACTGCTGACCGCAGCACGCCCCTCACAGACCGTGCTGGGCGATGGCTTCCTCCAGCCTGCTCCAGGGGCTGCCCCCGACCCCCCAGCACCGCTCATGGACACAGGCAGCACCAGGGCGGCCGGAGACAGGCCCCCCAGTGCCCCCGGCCGTGCACCGGAGGTGGGACCTTCAGGGCCACCCTTGCCCTCGGGCCTGCGAGACCCAGAGTGCAGGCCCGTGGACAAGGACAGAAAGGTCTGCAGGGAGCCACTGGTAGACGGCCCAGCTCCTGCAGATGCACCTCGGGAGCCCTGCTCAGCCCAGGACCCGCACCCCCAGGTCTCCACTGCCAGCAGCACCCTGGGCCCCCACTCGCCAGAGCCACTGGGGGTCTGCAGGAACCCCCCGCCCCCCTGCTCCCCAATGCTGGAGGCCAGCGATGATGAGGCCCTGTTGGTCTGTTGACCGCTGGGCTCGCTGGTGACCGCCACAGCCCCGCTTTGTAACCAGGGAATACACAGTCATTTCTACCCTGCCTCTGCGTCCTTTCTTATGGAGAGGCCCTCCGGGGACCCCAGCGGAGGGGCTGGCCCCTAAGCCAGCTGGCTGCACTGGTGGGCGGGAGCTGTGGGACTGAACGGCGGGGGGGAGAAGAGTGGAGTGGTGAGCCCGTCTGCAGGGTCCCATTGTACACAAGCACCCTGGGGTCTCACTTCTCTCCCCCCACTCCATTCTGGGAACCCATTTCCAGAGAAGCAGGGGACCAGAGCCTTTTTGCTTCATCTGCCCTGCAGTGGCAACAGCTGCCCCTAGAGCTGGGAGTTGTCATGAGGATGGGGCCGGGCCATGGGGACGCTGGGTCTCATCCGTGGTGACTATTTTGCTCACGCCTCACCCTCTTCCTGTCCAGCAAGGCCTCTGGAGGACCTGGGTTGGGTGGCTCCTGCCAAACCCTCATGCCCCTGGCCAGGCAGGCGCCCTTTGCCCTCCCTGAAGGTCCAATCTCCTGGGCACCGTGGAAGGGCTGGGGTGTGTGCCTGCTGTACATGAAGCCCCTGGAGTTCCCTGCAGGCCTCAAAGCCCCCAGGACATGCTGCTCTGTGCTTTCTGGGGACAGAGAGGCCGAGGCACCAACAGCAGTGGCCACGTCTGTTCCATCCTATCTCAGGGCCTCGGTTTCCCCACCTGTAAGCCAGGGTGAGACTGTGGGCTCTGAAGTCCTGACCTTCACTCTGTGGTGATTTACGGGAAGAAAGACAATCCCAGCCTGGAGCCCCTGAGCTCTCCTGGGTGGCCGAGCTCAGACTGGCATCGAGGGGCCTGGGGTAGGGGCGGACTGAGCTGCTACCCCATCCTCGACATCCCTTTAGGGCAGGGGGACTCTGGGTGCCATGGTAGGGAGCGCCTGTGTCAAGCAGCAAAGCCCCCTAATGTCAAGAGCCTCCTCCAGGGCCTGCCACGGCATCTTCCTGGCCAGCAACATGTGTGCACCCACCGAGGTACGCCCCAGCCACTCCCATCTGTGCCCATCAGGGACTCCCCATAGCACGAGCGAACAGCCAGCCCTGTTTATTTATAGGCCTTTTCAGGAAGAGCTAGCAGGGCAGTGCTAAGACAGGAAACCCAGTCCACATTTTAGGGCTTCCTTAAACAGGCTTCTGAGAGTCGTATCTTTTTTCTTTTTTTTCCAGAAAAAAACAAAACAAAACTTTTTTGCCAAAACACCTCCTCAATAAACAACATGTAAACAGAAACAACTGCTTCAGTCTCTACAAAAATCTCATTGTGGCTTCGAGGGCTTGTCTGTGGCAGGCAGCAGGGAGGGTGGGCAGGGGCCATTCTCCTCCTCTTCGGGGGCGTCCTGGGGGTAGACCACGAAACACAGCTCCTGGCCCCAGTGTGTCATGGACTCTGAGGACAGACAGATGGACCTTGGGGCCTGACCTCTCGGGATAGGGGTGACCCCCAGCTCCGGACACCTCCCCTTGGGCAGGGGTCTTCAGGGAGTTGCTCCGTCGGTACCCGTGGTTCTGGAAACTTTGGGTACATCTTGGGAAGAGACATTTGGTGGCGGCTGGGCCCTGTGTTCCCACCTCAGCTGCTAGGACACCCTGCTCTGGGGTGAGCCTCTAAGAGGGAGGTCTGGTCTCCAGGCCCCGGCCCCCTGTGCTGGGTGACCTGCAGCTGCCCGGCTCACCTGTGAGTCTGTGCACACACTTTGGTTTGCTTCTCCAGAACACTCCCAGAAAGAAAATGGGCACCCCCGTAAGGATGATGATGACGCCGACCCCACAGACCATAGGCTCTGAGATGAAGCTGAAGACCAGCAGGAAGGCCCAGAAGACCAAGTACGCCACGGGGATGAGAAGGTTCACCTGGGGAAGGGGGAGCAGAAACACCGATGGTGCAGGGCCTCCAGCTGTCTGTACCCCCGACCCCTGGGGGTCTGGGGAATTTTCCTCCCTTCCCTGGGAGCTGAGGCCTGAAGGGCAATTGCACCCACTACACCCCCTCTTGGCGACAGCCCAGTGTGTTGGAGGCCAATTCATGGGTCAGGCCGTTGGCCAGTTTTGCTGAGGATTTTTCAAAGTCTCAGCGGCACCGAGCTCCACACAGCGGTTGCGTGTGGACTTGAGGCTTGCACTTGGCTGGAGGTCAGTGATTTTTTGGTGTTTCACATTTCAGGCACTGAGCACTTCTCCACTTAAGGATTTATACACACATGGGGGGCTTTGCTTTTAGCTCAGGCTATGGTCTTCTGTTTTTGTGTGGGCTCATGAAATCCTGGCAGCCTTTGTGACCTTGAACAGTTCCTGAGTCTCATTTTCTTTAATTTTTTTTTTTTTTTGAGACAGGGTCTCCCTCTGTCACCCAGGTTGGAGTACGGTGGCCCTAGCACCGCTCACTGCAGCCTCAACCTCCCGGGCTCAAGCGATCCTCCCATTTCAGCCTCTCAAGTAGCTGGGACCACAGGTGCGCACCACCACACCAGGCTAACCCTTTTATTTTTAACTTTTTGCAGAGAGGAAGTCTCGTTATGTTGCCCAGGCTGGTCTCAAACTCCTGGGCTCCAGCAATCCTCCCACCTCGGCCTCCCAAAGTGCTGGAATAGGCATGAGCCCCTGTGCCCAGTCCTGAGCCTCATTTTCGCCATCTGTACACTGGGAGCATTCAAAGCTCTGTCCTCATGGGGCTGCTATGAGGAATGGCTGCCTCAGTGCACAGAGAGCCCTGAGCAGGGCCCAACACTCCACAAAAGCTGGCACCTCCCATCCCACCTGCCCCTGGTGCCCACTGTGGATGCAGGGGTGGCTCTGGCAGCACCCGGCACAGGGCCAGCTGTCCCAGGGCCTCACCTTGATGGGCCTGTGGAGTGCAGGCCGCCTCCAGCGCAGCAGCAGCAGGCCCAGGATGGTGACGCCGTAGCAGAGGTAGTTGATGAAGGACACATAGTTGATGAGCGTGTACGTGTCGCCCACGAGCATGATGACGGCTGTGGCCCCGCACTGGGAGAGGACCTGGGGCTGACGGCTGGCCCCTAGCCTGCCTCCTGACGCCCCTGCAGGATGAGCCCTGGCCCCACCCCCAACCCCCACCCTGGAATGGCTCACCCCTGCCATTACCCGGAAGGTCCTGCATTGCCGGGTAGCCCTGCCTCCACGCCCTGCCTGGCCCAGGTCCCCCAACTTACACAGACGAGGAGGGCGGGGATGGGGGTGCAGTGTCTGACGTGGATCATGGCCAGCAGGCTGGGCAGGTGCCCCTCGCGGGCTCCAGAGAAGCACAGCCTAGCGTTGGGGACAGATATGGGCACTGGCCACATCCTGGGTCTCAGCTTTGGACCTGATGTCCCTCTTAAGCTGTCGCCTCTGACCTCCTGCTCCGGGCCCAGCAGCCCCACTGGACAGTTCTCCCCCTCATCCAGCCTGCCTGCCTCTTGCTTTCTTTGCCTCCCAGTTGTGATCAGACACTTGTTACCGTGTGGGATCATCATCCCAGCTTCAGGCAGACCCCTCCCCCGGCAGGTGTCCCTTCCTCTGGCCCACGGCATGACTGGTGCACACCTGCACCCCAGCCTTCCCTCCCCATGCCCACGTCTCCCCAGTGCAGTCACCTGGAGTAGGTGAACAGGTAACCATTGATCCCTCCGAAGGTTGACAGAGCCACGGAGACAGGCATGACCCAAGAAAAGTAGCCCAGCAGCTTCTCCCCGAAGGTCTGGGTGGGCACAGTAGAGAGGCCATGTGTAAGGCCGGGGCAGGGGCCTGGGCAGGAGCCAGGGACCGAGCAGGGGCCCACTCACCACAGCCACCGCATTGGAGGAGAGCAGCTCCTGGGGGGACATGGCCGTGAAGTAGGCAATGTTGGTGAACGTGTACACGAAGGTCACCAGTGGGATGGAGATGAAGATGGCGCGAGGTAGGTTCCTGGTGACAGGCAGTGGAGTGCGTCAGCGTCAGCTCCTGAGGGTGCAGGACCCCCGAGACCCAGCCACGAGAGCAGCTCATAGTCTCCATCTCTTGTGTCTGCTGGGGATGTTGGGGCAGGAAAGGGGGCAGCATTGCTGCCCGAGACACAGGGACCCTGTTGTCTGCCCTGCCCCACCCCCACCTGGACACAGGCTGGTAGGATGGGAGATGGGGGAGGGGCCCCATCACATCCTGAGGACAGGGTCTGATGTCTGTGCAGAAAGATAAAATCGCATACAGCCAAAATCAGCCTGGAAAATTCCCCAAAATGGCCCCAGAGCCCAGTCCACAGACCCAGAGTCTTCCTGGAACTTTCCAGTCCCAGCTCGCTCAGCTGCAAAGGTTTACTGTCGAGATCCCTGGCCGAGCATCAGACGCAGTCATTGGCTTCATTTGTAGGGACCATATTGTGTGTATATGCATAATTTTAGGCCAAATGCAAATCTCTGGATCTATTTACAGCAGGATGATGATATTCAGCCTTTCTGAGGCCCTGCAAGGGGCTGTGACGTGTCCATAGCCAGAGAGAACAGGGCCAGGCTAGAATGCAAGCCCCCCGGCTTTCTTCCCAGGGCCATTTTTGCAGGGCAACAGGCGTGGGCCACCGAGGACCAGCCCGAGCCTTGGGTGGCAGTGGGGCTGGGCGGAGAGGCTGCCTGTCCCACCAGAGGGCCTGGCTGCTTCCCAGGGCCCAGTTGGGGGCCCCACTCACTTTCGGGCGTCAACCATCTCCTCGGTGACATAGTTGAGGAAGTTCCAGCCACTGAAGGCGAAGGAGCCCTGGAGGAAGGCCAGGGCCAGGTGTCCCACGGAGGGCGTCATCCAGAAAGCAAAGGCATTGCTGGGCCTCAGCTCCTCGAAGTGTCCTGGAGGCCCAGAAGTCGGGGGTCAGCACCATCTCCCCAGCCCGGCCCTTACCCCGACTCGGCCCTACCTTGGAAGATCTGGAGAAGGCCCACGCCGATGATGAGGGACAAGGCCAGCAGCTTCCCGCCTGTGAACATGTCCTGGATGCGCGTGGCCCAGCGCACACTGGAGCTGTTCACCCATGTCAGGAGCACTGCGGAGGGAAGGCGGGGGTGGGCGCCGAGGCCGGGACCTTTCACAGTGGACCATGGCCAAGTCCAGCCCAGGCGGCCCGAGAATGGCATCCCCTATAGCAGCTGGAATTTTCTGAAGGGAAATTTCACCCCTCTGTCCTCCTGCTCAGGGCAGGATGGAGCCCGGGCAGGTGGCTGATCTGGGGACAGTGGGCCAAAGGGGATGCTTACTCAGGCAGGCCATGGACAGCACCCGGGAGGCTGTGGTGGGGGGGATGCAGTTGGGGAACACGGGCTGCAGCACGTAGTTGGAGAAGGTCATGGAGATGACAGCAAGGCTGGTGGGGTACATGATGAGGACGGCGCTCCAGAGCAGCAGAAAGCTGGAAGGAGCAGGGGCGGGAGTGGCTCAAGCTGCCCAGAGCCCTTCCCGGCCAACCTGGCCCTGATGTGTGCAGCAGGGCTGCCCTGGGCCTGGCGCCCGGGGGCTGGCGAGGCTGCCAGAGGCCAGCACCGGTCCAGGGAGGCAGGGTTGACCTTGTTGAGGTCTTGCGGCTGCATTGATAGACTGTTTTAACAGAGAAGGTGTTACCCGTACTTAAACATTGACAAGGCTGCTGTGGGGCAGGCGCTGGGAACAACATAGGCACCAAACGCTTTTCTTTTCTTTTTTCTTTTTTTTTTTTTGAGACGGAGTCTTGCTCTGTCACCCAGGCTGGAGTGCAGTGGCATGATCTCGGCTCACTGCAACCTCCACCTCTCGGGTTCATGCCATTCTTCTGCCTCAGTCTCCCAAGTAGCTGGGACTACAGGCGCCTGCCACCATGCCTGGCAAATTTTTTGTATTTTTAGTAGAGACGGAGTTTCACCGTGTTAGCCAGGATGGTCTTGATCTCCTGACCTCGTGATCCACCCGCCTCGGCCTCCCAAAGTGTTGGGATTACAGGCGTGAGCCACTGCGCCCAGTCACCAAATGCTTTTCTAATAACAACTAGGCCCCCCATTGGACGGAGGCTGTCTCCTGAGCCAGGGTCCCTGTCCCCAGACCTCTCGGCTTCAGCCCTGGCTCTCGCAGAGTACTGTGGCTGAAGATGGGTGACTCTGAGCTGTGTTCCCCCTGAGGGAGACCTATGGGGTGCAGAGACTAGACCTTACCAAGAGCCCTAGCTGGGGGTGGAGAGTGATGGATGCCCCTTCTACCTAAATCTTGCCTCTGCAGGGCACCCAGACTGTGAGTCTGACCTGTTCTCAGGGGCTTTCCTGCACCCAGGGGTGGGTCTGCCCTTGGGGGTGGTCCTAGCCCCTGGCCAGCCCTCCAGGGAGAGGACTGCCTCATCGGGGACATCAGCCATCTCTGGATCACCTGCCCCTTGCTCTGCACAACCATCCCTGCTGGGCTTCTGGGACATCCTAGCTCCATGGCCCTCCTCCCCTGCCAGGCATCCCCTCTGCCCATCCCCGCATGTTCCGTGCCCAGGGATGAGGTCCTGGCCCTCTTCTCCCTCCCGAACGTCCTCTCCAGGCCCGAAGCATGATTATTCTGCTTTCTTGGGTCCCAGCCCCTTTGAGGACCCTCTCCCCAGAGGAGACTGCCACAGATGCACCCACAGCAGCGTGCAAGCCCTGGCACGTCTCCCCATCCAAGGCTGCCCAGTTAAGGGTCCCCGGCCCATATCCCTCAGAACCAAACTTTGTAAATTTCAGCCCAGACTTTTCCTCTGAGCCCCAGACCATCTAGGAGCCTCTCAGTAGGGAAGTGGGTGCCACCTCCGCTGCACCCACCTCTCCCTCTGCTATGCTGGCTGCCCTATCCTCTCGAATCAGGCTCCTAAACGATTTTAGAATCTGCCTGTACCTTTGCAGCTCTTGGCACAACGCAGCTGGACAAATACAACAGCTTCAATCCCCTGATGCTCTCCAAGCCCCGGCACCTGCCGTAAACCCAACCTGACCTCACCTCTAGCTACAGCAGACTCCCTGCGCTCACCTGGGCCACCACACCCTCTGTTCACACTTCCCCCATCCTGGGATGCTTTCCTCACTGGTCAGCTAGGCCCGGTGGGGAAAATCTTCTTCCTCCCAGCCTTAGGGCAAGCATTGCTTTCCTGGGAGTCCTCCCTAGATGGCGCACACCGTTCTCTTTGCTGTGTAGCTGCTGCCTCTTGTACACACTCTCAAAGCAAGGCTCATCCAGGCCTTAATCCCATTTAAGGGGCTGCTTCCTCTCTGTTCTGTGAGCAGCTTGAGTACAGGGACAGACCTTTCTATCACTGCCTCCCCACCCCCAGGCTCACGGTAGGTGCTCAGCAAATATTCCCTGGTGAACGAAGGAAGGATAGCAGGGTGCTAAGGAAAGGAGACCTCTGGCTGGGTGCAGTGCCTCACTCCTGTAATCCTAGCACTTGGGAGGCTGAGGCGGGTGGATCACCTGAGGTCAGGAGTTCAAGACCAGCCTGGCCAACATGGTGAAACCCCGTCTCTACTAAAAATACAAAAAAATTAGCCAGGCGTGGTGGCGGGCGCCTATAATCCCAGCTACTCGGGAGTCTGAGGCAGGAGAATCACTTGAACCTGGGAGGCAGAGGTTGCAGTGAGCTGAGATCACGCCATTGCACTCCAGCCTGGGCAACAGAGCGAGACTCTGTCTCAAAAAAAAAAAAAAAAAAAAGGACCTTATGCAGGGTATATGGTAAGAATATCACACTTCCTTCCTTGCTCCTCATGCAACATATGGGTTTACCAAAATTGAGGCCCCTCCTCGCCTGGGCACTCACATTACCTAGGGTTTTCAGACAGTAAGAATCCCCCCTCCTTAAGTACAAGGCAGGGGGTGGGGTTCAGAGGGACCTCTATTTAAAAGGAGATCCAGAGAGGCCCAGGGGCCTGCAGGAGTGCCCAGCACACATCAGTGGGGTGGAGTGGGCCTCAGTTCCACCTGCCCTGTCCTCAGAAGGCTGTCCAGCACCCCCACACCTTCTCTCCATCCAGCCCCCACACCTTCTCTCCATCCACCCCCCACACCTTCTCTCCATCCACCCCCACGACCTCCCTAGGAAGCCGGAAGCAGGAGTGGAAACTGATGCCAGGGCTCATTTGGCCATCCCATTCCCAAGAGGGTGTCCCCCTGCCCGCTGGTGCCCCACACTCACCCAGCCAGGCCCCCGAAGATCTCTGTGACGTAGGCGTAGTCCCCGCCAGACTTGGGGATGGCGACTCCCAGCTCTGCATAGCAGAGGGAGCCCAGAGCCGTCACGCCCCCACCCAGGACCCAGACGAACAGGGCCAGACCCACGGAGCCTGAGTGCTCCAGGACCCCCTTGGGCGAGATGAAGATGCCCGAGCCGATGATGTTCCCTGCAGGGGGAGAGATGGGGAGGCATCAGGCCTGGGGTCCCCTTCGCAGCCCGGCCTTCTGTGTGGGGATCTGCCTGCTGCCAGGAGGAAGACAGCCCGGGGTGCTTCCCGGAGGAGGAGGAGGCAGGAGGTGGGCTGGAGGTGTTGAATGCCACTGGCCCCCAAGCCCAGCAAGTGCCATTCTGGGCTCATCATCTGCCCCTTCCTCAGTCCCTCACATAGGAAATGGCACCTCGTTCAGCTGGCCAGGCCCCTCTGCCAGAGACAGGCCCTGTTTGACTTTCTCAGCCCTCCATTGCCCCCGTGAGGCGGGGCCAGCAAAGTGAGGAGGCTGAACCACCTGAGCGACGGCAGACGGTGGCTCCTCAGGCACCCCACAAGGCCCATGCTCAGCCCTCCCGTCTACCTCAGAGCCCCAGGCATATCAGCATGCAGCCACTTGTCCTGCCTCCATCCAGCCCACTGGCCAGAGCTGGCCCCTAACACAGGACTTCAACCACTCTCCTGCCACTTTCCCACCGGCCAAAGTCCAGACTCATGGAGTGGCTCAGGAAATAGCATCTCCTCCATGAAGCCCTCCTTGACCACATCAGGTTTGGGCTTCTCTTCCTACTTCAATTTCCTTTCCTTTCCTTTCTCCTTTCCTTTCCTTTCTCTTTTCCCCTTCCCTTCCCTTTCCTTCCCTCCGCTTCCTGGATTCAAGCAATTCTCCTGCCTCAGCCTTCCAAGTAGTTAGAATTACAGGCATGAGCCACCACGCCTGGCTAATATTTTTTGTACTTTTTTAGTAGAGATGGGGTTTCACCCTGTGGATCAGGCTGGTCTCGAACTCCTGACTGCAAGTGATCCACCCGCCTCGGCCTCCCAAAGTGCTGGGATTACAGGCATGAGTCACTGTGCCCAGCTTCTTTCTTTCATTTAGACAGGGTCTCGCTCTGCCACCCTGGCTGGAGTGCAGTGGTGCGATCATAGCTTACTGCAGCCTGGGACTCCTGGGCTCAAGAGATTCTCCCACGTCAGTCTCCCTAGTAGCTGGGACTCCAGGTGTATTACCACACCCAGGTTTTTTTTTTTTTTACTTTTTGTAGAGACAGGTTCTCACTATATTGCCTAGGCTGGTCTCCAACTCCTGGGCTCAAGTGACCCTCCCTGCTTGGATTCCCAAAGTGCTAGGATTACAGGTGAGTGCCACCACACCCGGCTAATCAAAAAAAAATTGTAGAGTTGAGGGGTCCCACTATGTTGCTGAGGCTGGTCTCGAACTCCTGGGCTCAATTGACCACCCACTTCGGCCTCCCGAAGTGCTGGGATTACAGGCGAGAGCCACTGTGCCCAGCCCCTCTGCTTTCTGACATGATGGGAAACATTCAGGGGGGCCAACTATGGTCTGTAGAGTAGGTTCCCAGGATGAGCAAGACTCTGAGTGCCTGCTGAGCCCTGAGCTCCGCAAAGAGGGACAATGTTCTGGGTTATATGGGTCTCACCATCTGTGCACATGAATCCGGTAACTTCACCAGAGATCTGCACTAGGGCCTGTCCAAGAAGAAATAAACCCAGAACCTCAGACCATATGAACAAACAGCCCTGGTAGAACCTGTAGGTCCTGGTAGGACCAACATCGTTCTCTATGCAATGGCCACACCAGACCGGGTCCTGAGAGGACGGGTCCATCTCCCTCAGAGCGGGAGCCCGCCTCCTCCACCTGCCGGGCCCGCAGGGGGCTGGATAAGGACACGGTTGTAGCTGCCAATTTGTATTCACTCCTTGTCCACGGTGCTCCCCCACTGCCCCCACCCCCAGCCGACACAGATTTCCAGTCTGGACAGCTACGACGCCCCACTCAGTTTTCCAGTCACATCCCAGGAGCCCTAAATACATCCAGATAAGGACGAACTAATTCCTGTGCCCCAGCCCCCAGAGGTAAGCTGTACCCTTAGTCTACTTCTCGGGGGAGAGAGAGAAGCGCCTCTCTCATCTAGCAGAGGGGCCCAGGCCTGGGTGGGCTGTAAGGTTTCTAAAGAGCCTTTGAGTTCCCTCCATCCGGCAGCAGGGCCTCTGTTCTCAGGACCTGGCGGACTGGGATTTGCCGAAAGCCAGGGAGGTTGGAAGCCAGCGGGGGCTGGGTGGCCTTGGAAGGAGCTGAGCATGTTCACGCTGGGAGCATCCCAGGCCCTGAGCCACCCACCCTGCAGAGAGCCCACCATGCTTCTGCTTGGTGGGGCCTCCTGGGTGGAGCTCCGGGGTAAGCCACATCTGGCACCCTATCTTCCAGGGCTGTATCACTAGCCTTGTGCCCAGTGGCTGAAGACTCAGATACTGGGCTTGCCAGGGGTGGAGAGGCCACTATTGTTTGGAACACGTGGCCTCAGGCCACAGTTCAGGACTTTCTCCCTTGTGGCTCAAAGGACCACAGGCGTTAGCCAGTGTCTCTGAGGTCCTCAGGGGTTTCTCCCTCTGGGCCTAGACCACTCGCAGCATCTCCCTCAGGATCATGTTTGAAGGTGGCAGAAAATCGCATCACGCACTCCGCACACTGGCTGCTCCCGGCACCATGAAGGATGGGTGGGGCACTGCATGGAGCAGCCGGGGCTGCGGGCTTGGGCACGGAGGAGGGAGGGGGCTGTGGACAGGGATGGGGGCCTCCAATGCTCTAATGATTATAGGAGGGGTATGGGAGGGACCGGTGGATTTCTTTCTTTCTTTCTTTCTTTTTTTTTTTTTTTTAGTAGAGATGGGGTTTCACCATGTTGGCCAGGCTGGTCTCGAACTCCTGACCTCAAGTGATCCACCCACCTCAGCCTCCCAAAGTGCTGGGATTACAGGCATGAGCCACCACACCTGGCCAGATTAGTGGAGCTGGAAGGGGGCTGCCCTGGGTTCCTCCCAGTGGTGTGGGAAGGTCGGAGGGTCTCCCTTCCCAGACTCTGTATTTCAGCCAAGCAGATCTACCTGATTCGGGGAGCAGCAATGAAGAAGCCCAGCCGTTGGGGGAACCTGGTTTAGAGGGGCAGGAACTCAGAGTGGAACAGGATGAGGGGGCACGGGATGGGCCTGGAGATACCGCTGAGCCCCTGTTGGGTGTCTGACCCATGGCTGACCAGAGAGATGTAGGTTCTGAGGCCTCCACGTTCCTGTCCACCCGGTGGGATGACAGCTCAGTGGTCCCTGCAGGTCCTCCGTGGGCCAGAGCTCCGGGCAGGTAGGCGAGGAAGTGACTGCCCCCCAAGTCGGCCTTCCCAGAGTCTCCACCACCCGCCCCTCTTCCCTGAGCCTTCGCTGGGTAGCTTTTATCACATTAAGATGTTTGGCCTGATGGGGCTTACTCAGCTTCTTGGAGGAACGAAGAAAGGGCCATTGTTCCCCGTGGCCGCTGCGGTGCATGCTGACCTATTTCTGGAGGCAGCGGCAGACCACTGAGGTCACAGGGGCGGCCCACGGAGGTCGAGTCGCAGAGTGAGCCACCTCCTGTGGTGTGTGGGGAATGTGCAGTCTGATTTGGGGAGGGGGCAGGGAGGGCCTGTCAGGCCAGGACACTGGCACCAGTCCTCATGCCTTGAAGCACATTCTGGACCCGACTGTGTGACTCAGGCCAGTGCTGCCCTTCCGAGCCCCAGTTTCCCCATCTGCCAGGTGGGGCCACTGGGCTAGGGGGCAGCAGAGGGCTAGTCCAACCGTGACTTCAGCAGAGGGGATGCACCCTGCATATCTGTGCTGGGCCAAGGAAACAGTCTGCTCAGGGAACATGTCCCTCACTGTGGCAGGCCTCTGCCCAGCTCACTGGTCTCCCTGAAGCAGCACCACCTCCAGGAAGCTCTTCCTGACCAGCCACCCTGGCCCCTGCAATCTGGACATCGCCCCACGGCCACGGTACCTGGATGATGGCTGGGAAGGGATGCTTTTATTTGATGCAGGCATTCTCTTGATCCCGTCTGGCACATCAGAGGCCATGGGAAGTGCTTTTGGATCTCCCTACGCACTGCCATCTGCCTTGGAGACCCCCTAGGCAGCCCCATCTTTCCTCTGAGACCTGAGCCACCCGGGACCCCAACACCCCGGGGTGATCGGCTGCGGCCTGGGTGAAGCCTACTCGCCTCAAGCGCACGGGTGTCCTCACATCCTCACGGTAAGCCTGTGTCAGGTACCTCTCCGGGATGCTGACTGTGACTACTGAGGTCTGGGCAGCACCCCAAGGAGGTGAGTGGGGACATCCAGGATGTGCCTGGAACTGCCACTTGGCCGGCACCCGACTCCAGCCTAACCCACTTTCCTTTGGAGACAGGAGATGAGCGGAAGTGTGCGGCCCTCTCCGGCTCGTTCGGCTCAGCCAGCCCAGCCAAGCAAACCTCGCCCAGGGCCCTGTCTCCTGGCTGAGGCTTCTCATGGTCACCGGTGAGTTCCACGTTGCCAAACGCAACAGTCGAGCCCTAGGCCACGTTATTGACGCATCAGCAACATGTGGCAAGTGGATTGCTTCCTCCTCACTCGGCCTCCTGGCCTCCCCTCGGCCTTACCGGCTTCTCCTTTTCAGAATCCCTTATCTTGCTTGACTTCCAGACACTGGGTGCCCAGGGCTCAGTCCTGGGGCTTCTTCTCTTTTCTTTCTATGCTTTCTTGATAGATAGATAGACCTCATCTATTACCTTGACTTCTGCTGGCAACTCCTAAATTTATATCCCTAGCATAGACTGCTCTGCTAAATGAAATCTGTATATGCAACGAACCACTCAGCCGCGGACATCACAGACTTTCCGTGTTCAAAACGGAATTCCCGACTTTTACCTCCTTGCCCCCAGAATGCTCCTCTCGATCTTCCCTGATGAATAAATGGCAAAACGTCCTCCCAATTGCTTGGGCCACAACCTTGAGTCACCCATGGTTCCTCTCTTTCTCCCCCAGGACCTCTATTCCATCACAAATCCTTCGGCTCTCATCTTCCAAACTCATCCGGAATGGAACCTCCTCTGACACCACCATGGCCACCGCCCTGCCCTGAGCCACCGTGGTCTCTTGCCCGGGGAGACCCAGGTAGCCTCCTGACCGGCCTTCCTCCTCCCACTTCTTCCCCCACTGCCTCTTCTCCATAGTGGGCCCTGTAAGCCCCATCCCATCATCCCTCTGCTCAAAGCCCAGGGCTCCTGCTTCACAGAGAGCAAAAGGCAATGCCCTTAACATAGCTTGCAATGCCTTGCTCACACTGAACCCCACCCCAGATCTCAGCTCATTTCCAAGCTGCAATCCCCGACCCTGGCTCTCTCCATCCTCCTTCCTGGCTGGACTGTCTGGTCTTAGCACTTAACAATACACACATTCAGCTTGTTCATCTTGTTGCGGGACTCCCACACCAGAAGATGGATTTTGTCTGTCTTGACCCCCCCATGGTGTCTCTGGCATGTAAGCCAGTGCCTGACACCGTTCAGTATGTAGTGGTTGAATAAATGGATGAGTGTGCCCAGGACTGACAGGTCCCCGAAATTATAGTTGGGGCTTCCCTTGGGGTCCTGGAGCACACCGAGGGCATCTGACCCCAGGGCAGGTTGCCTCAGTTTCCTCACCTGTAAATGGAACTGTAGTGGGGAACAGCTAAGCCCCTGCACAGTTGTATGGCTCCTCAGGGCCCCGGTGAGGAGGGGCTGGGGTTCTGCAGAGGTCCACCCCTCTGGGAAGCCCAGCCACCTGCAGCCCTGGAGACCAGGGAGGGTCCTGGCTGAGGCTGGGTGAGCAGGGATTGGTTCCTGAGGAGTTGAGGTTCATGATGTCAACTCCTGAGTCACTGAACACACATCTGGCCCACAAACCCCTGCAGGAGCCGGACTCTCAAGTCAAAGAGAGAGCAGAGGAAGGGCCTGGTCAGCAGACCCAGGGGGGACTCCCACTTTGGAGGATCTGGGTGTGTTCCTTGGGTTGTGGATCCGGCAAGGGAGCTGGCCGAGGTTCCTGGGTCAGTATGAGAGGCCCTGTGAGTCCAGCCGCCGATGGGGAGGCAGACTTCCCTGGCCGTCTGTCTGTTTGTCCACCCATAGTGGAGCAGGAGCTCAGTGAAGCCTAGTTGGACAAGCTCCCAGCTTGGTCCCCAACCCTCCCCCGTCAGGGCTCTGACTCTGGCCCCAATTTGCCCAGCATCAGAACAGTATAAAGGGCACTGGGACCGGGCATGATGGCTCCCGCCTGTAACCCTAACACTCTGGGAGGCTGAGGTGGGAGGATCACTTGAGCCTAGGAATTTGAGATCAGCCTGGGCAACATGGCAAAACCCAGTCTCTACAAAAAATACAAAAATTAGCCAGGTGTGGTGGCGGGCACCTGTGGTTCCAGGTGTTTGGAAGGCTGAGGTGGGAGGATTGCTTGAGCCTGGGAGGTCGAGGCTGCAGTGAGCTATGATCATGCCACTGCACTATAGTTTGTGCTATGGAGCAAGAGTTTGTTTTAATAAAATAAAATATAAAATAAAATATAAAATAAAATAAAATAAAATAAATAAAATAAAATAAAATAAATAAAATAAAATAAAATAAAATAAAATAAAATAGGCACTGGACTGGGAACAGAGCCCAAATCTGGTTCCAAATCCTGAGCCTACCCCTTGGAGCAGTATCATTTCACTTCCAACCTTAGTTTCCACTCTGTAAAATGGGTATAAAAATTCCTACCTTGCAAGGTGGGCATGAGATTCAAATGAGATAAAGGAAGAACATGTTTTCATAAGGCAGTAAGAGGTGTTTTTCTGAACAGATATTGGATGTGATGATGTCCTGCAGAGCCCCTGCCCCAGCCAGTTCTATTTCCTCCAGCCTGGCCGATTCCCTTCCATCTGTGCTTGCAGTGGCCGGCGGGCACTGCCCTAAACACACTATACATGAGTCTCACGCCAGCCCATAGCCCACCCTTCCAGGTCTTCCCATTCTCAAAAGCCTCAATTCCCAGTCTGAGCTGGAGCAGAGGGTATACACGAGGGAGAGAGTGACAGGATCTCCTAGGAGGGTCGCTGTGGAAGTTTTGGAAATAACATGTTCAATAACAATAACAAACCAAGGTAGATTATGAAGCAGGACGTTGGCTGGGCAGGGTGGCTCACACCTGTAATCCCAGCACTTTGGGAGGCCAAGGCAGGCAGATCACTTGAGGTTAGGAGTTCGAGACCAGCCTGGCCAACATGGTGAAACTCTGTCTCTACTGAAAATACAAAAATTAGCTGGACATGGTGGTGTGTGCCTGTAATCCTAGCTACTTGGGAGGCTGACGCAGGAGAATTACTTGAACCCCGGAGGTGGAGGTTGCAATGAGCTGAGATTGTGCCACTGCACTCCAGCCTAGGGGACACAGCCAGACTCTGTCTCAGAAAAAAAAAAAAAAAAAAAGAAAGAAAAAGAAAGGAAAGGAAAGGAAGCAGGACGTCAAGTTCTTGACTTTTAGAGCTAAAATATGACACTTTGCAGACATTTTTGATTCTGACCAGGCTCCCCAGGGTATTGGTGGAGAGAGAGTGAGCCCACCTGGGGCAGAAAGGTGGGGTGGGCTGGGGAGGGGAGACCCTTAGTACATCAGGTGGGGAAGGCAGTGCAGACCCCAGCTCAGTCCTCACCTGCCCAGTCCCCACCTCCTATCACCTTCTGGTTGAGGTTGATCTCCTTGTTTTTTCCTGCCTCGTCCAGCCTCCTGCCTGCTGTAATCCTCAAAGGCTCCCCGGGCCAGGCCAAGATCAAGGCTCCCCAAGACCACCACTGAGTGCCCCGGGCTTGGGTTCTGTAGCTGAATCCAGCATCCTTGGTTAGCTAAGTGGCCCTTCACCCTGGCTCAGTGTTCAAGGTTTGGAGGCCAAGGTAGTGGACCTGGCACAGCAGGAAGGAACTGAAGGGTAGGGGAGCTGTCAGGGCAGACCTGGGCTGCATGGGAAACTTACAGAGTCTGTCCTGGAAAAGGAGGGTGATAGTGGAGTTGGCCTTCTCCACTCCCACCACCACCACCTCTACCATCACCACCACCACCACCACCACCACCACCACCACCACCACCACCACCAGGGCCCCTTTCTGGGGAGAAAGGAGCCAGGCAGCCTCCCTGTGGCCTGGGGAGGATGGGATGTGGGGAGGGGATAGAGTAGGAAGACAGGTCAAGGATGCTGGGCTTAGCTGAGGAGCCCAGGCAGAGCTGTGTCTTTCTGCACCTGCCTGGCACTGTAGCTGGTTCTAGGCATGGTCTCAATCCTATGACCCACTCATGGTGTGAGCTTCCCCTTCCCTGGAGGACAGTTCCTGGAGAGGGTGTGGGCCAAGAAAAAGCTCTAACCAGCACCCTGGCCAAATCCCTGGAACCAGCCCTTCCTTCCAGCAGACCGTCCATCAGGCAGGGGCATCCTAGGCCAAGAAGCTCCCAGGGCCAGGTCAGGACCAGGCTCTGGGAGACAGCATTCTAAGGGGAGGGGGTGAGATGGCGGAGTGACCTGGCCAGGGGCTGTGTTCAGGGGCAACTCTGGATGTGAAGAGCTGCTAATGTGGGGGTGGGAGAGGACGAGGTGAAGACCCTGGGTCTGCCCTACTGAGCCCCCAAACTTTCTCCATCTCCAGGGGTCTGAGGGTGGGAAGGCAGTGAAGACACAAGTGGCTCTCACTGGCAGGGGACCGGGAAGACTGGCTGGCGGTAAGGTGAGAACAGTCGAGGCCCCAGTCACTCACCCCCCAAACCACTTCTCCTGTCCCTCCCTGGAGGGGCTCAGAGGCACTCTGTGTAGACAAAGAAACAAGTCAGTATCCATGACTTGGGACAGAGAGTGGAAAAATACCACTGCCATTCCCATGACCTCTGAGCTCTCTGCCTGCCCAGAAACCCCTATGTGGGGGCAGGACATGGACCCATTCTCAGGTGGGGACTTTGGAGTCCAGGGCCTCCAGACCAGGCGAGTGTCCAGTGCCCACCAGGATCCCAGCTCAGGGAGCAGCTGGCCTTCTGCAGGCTGGGTCTGCCCACTGCTGCCCCCAATTGCTGGCTAACCCGCCCCCTCTCCTGGGTCCTGCTGCCAAACCCTGCAGTCATTGCCTGCTCTGAACCTCCGTCCCTTCTGCGCAGGCTGCGCTTGCTCACTCTGCTCATAGGCCCTCCTGCTTTCCAAGAATAAAGTCACTGCACTGCGTGGCACCTGGACCCTGCACACAGTAGGTACTCAGACTGACCCACAGTACAGAACTTGGGGAGCTCAGCCTGCCGCAGCCTGACCAGCCCCTACACTGGTCAAGTTCCTGCGCTAATCGCAGGACTGCAGTCATGGCCATTTCACAGATGAGGAAACTGAGGGTAACTGCCTTGCAAAAGCCCCGCAGCAAAATCGAGTCAGGAGGAAGAGTCCAGCGGTGGAGGGGACCCAAAACTCCCCCAGGTGCAGGCGGCCGGGAGGTGGGAACACGGAGCTTTGGCACCCTGGGCCAGCAGCCCCTGACCTCCCCGCGGTCATAGCGCTCTCTGAGGCCAGACTGCAGGTTCCCCAGGCAGACCCGTCCGAGCGCCCGGAGAGGGGACGCCCCTCGTTCGGAGCGGCTGCGCCCCTCATTCGGCCTCCGCCCGGCGCCCGCCCGCCTGGGTCCCGCTCACCGATGATGATGGTGCAGGCGCTCAGCAGCCCGATCTCCTTCTTGAGCGCCACCCGCTCCGAGGCGCCGGGGACGGTCCCTGGGACTGGGGAGGGCGAGGGCGCAGGCCTGGGGTTCCCGCGCCCGCTCGGCTGCTGCGTGTGGCCGGCCATGTCGCTGTCCCGCCGCGTCCCCGCTCCCTGCGCTGCCCCGTCTGTCCGGCCGGCCGCCCGTCGGTCCGTCGGTCCGTGAGCTCACGGCCCTCGCAGCCGGGACAGCGCCCACAGGCGGGCGCATGCGCTGGCTCCGGGCCCGGGACTGGGGGCCCCGGGCGGCGGGGGCCCGGGAGGGGCGGAAGGAGGGCCGGCCCACAGCCCCCTCCCCCACCTCCCTTAAAGGGAACGCCCCCTCCCCCAGTCCCGGCCTGGGAAGGAAGGAGAGGACTTGGGGCAGATCTAGGAAGGACTTCCCAGTTGGGCGAAGGAAGGGACCCTCCAGTTGCCTGAGTTACATCCATTCTTGGGGCCGGGTTGGGGAGCAGAGCTCCGAGACAAGACAATCCCTGCTCTCAGGGAGGCCGAGGGGGACGGCAAGAATAACAGCTGGCCGCGTGTGGGGATGCAGTGTGTGCTCCCTTTAGTACTCTATGCCTGCACGATGTGTGTGTGTGTGTGTGTGTGTGTGTGTGTGTGTGTGTGTGTGTAGGAGACAGCTCCCAGGGTGAGTCCATTCTACAGGTGGAAGTTGAAGCCCAGAGATCAGTAGCGATCGCCGAGCAAGTGCAGGGCTGAGACCAAACCCTTTCTCGTGCCTCCTGAGGCTCCCAGGCGGACAACCTCAGGAGGGGTGGGGGTTGAGGTCTGGAACTCCTCTGAGGGGTCTGGGTGTCCTATGCACCCTGGATCAAAGGCCTGAGGGTCGAGGTGAAGATCCCGGGGGCTCTCATCCTCATCACGGGGACCCAAGACCTGTGACGAGTCCTGGACACGGCTCGCCCACCCTACCAGGCTCTGGGCCACCTCTGGCCTGAGATCTTCACTACAGGCTCCTCGTCCCAGGTCAGAGTGAGGGCTCAGCGGACTAGAACTCGGGTCTCTGGTGCAGGTCCCGCGCGATCCAGCCCGGCTCAAGAAGGCCAGGCGACCTGGAATGCCCGGGAGACACGGAGAAGGAGGCTGTGGTCGCGGGAGAGGGTCGGGAGTGCGGGGATCCGAGGGAGGCTGCCTCCTCCCGGAAGCCGTCCGGACTGTGCAGCCGAGGCCGGCGGAAAAGATCCAGGGGGGCCGCGTCGGGGCCACCGGGGCGGCGGGCGGGGCGAGCCTGGCACTGTGCGGCCGGCGGCGGAACAGCCTTTGTTTCTTCCTGGCGGCCGCCGCGACGCGCCGTCCCCTGCATGTGGATGAGGCCTCGCCGGGCGCCCCGTCCTTCCCCCCAGTGGCGGCCTCCGGGTTTGCTGGGGCCCTGCCAGGGGTCCGACGGCTGCAGGGTGGACCGGGGTGGGACGGGGCGGGGGCGGGTCCCTGGCAGGGGCGGGTCCCTGGCAGCGGCAGGGCCTGGAGGTGGGAGCGGGGCGGGGCCGGCGTTTGCAGGCACACAGGAGCTTCGAAGTTGGGGGCGGGGACTTGGGGTAGGAGTAGGAGCGGGAGGATCCAGGGTGGACGTGCTGGTGGGACGCCGAGGGGGAGGCCACCCGGCGAAGCTGCATCCCTCTCGCTTCTGTCGTCGGAGACCGGCATTCTTGGCGCCCTCCACCTCCAGCCCCAGAGACCATTCAGAGGCCGACTCTCTTAAAGGAGCCTCGCGCAGGGTAGGGGCAGCCCTGGCTCCGGAGACCCCTGATTGTCGCGGGTGTTAGGGGCCAGAGGCCTCGACCTTCTGGTTTGACTCTCCCCAGCCCCCCAGTTGCCCTCGCAATTCTAGGGTCTGCTGGGAGAGGGTCTAGCCAGGGCTGGTGCAATCAGGGGCAGCTTGCCAAGGGGCAGGGGCTGGCGCAAGCCTCGCAGCTCTGAAGCCTGTGGTTTTCGAGGGTGTCTCTCTGGGACCTGGAATGTGGAGTATGCGTTTGTGGGGGAAAGGTCGGCCTAGGGCTTTGCACAGGATGGAGTTTGTATGTTGTCAGCCAGGCCCCATAGCTCAGGAGGTCCTTTTCGTGGAATTGAACTAGAACCTGCAAATTTCAATGGGAACAAAAGGTTAGTAGGATTGGTTTACCATCCAAAAACCAATCAGCATGATTCTCCACATTAATAGAGAGAAAAAAGGAAAACCTCAACAGATGCAAAAAACAGTCATCCGTGATGTAAACAAACAACTCTTAGCAAATAGAAACAGAAGAGAACCTCCTTAATCTGATAAAAGTATCTACCTAAAAACAAATCTCCAAGAAACCAAGAAACAAACAAAAACCCTACAGCTGACATCATGTTTAGTGGTGAAAGTGTGAATGCTTTTCTACTGAGATTGAAAATGAGAAGGGATGTTGGCACTTGTCAATATTCTATACAATAGTGTACTGGAGGTCCTAGCCAGAGCAATAAGACAAGAAAAATAAGTAAAAAGGTATGAAGATAGTAAAGGGAAAGATAAAGCTGCCATTCACATATGATGTGATTCAGTATGTAGAAAAAAAATTACAGGTTAATTTAAGGAAGATAAGTTCATTTAGCAAAGTCGCTAGACAGAAGTTTAATATACAGAAACTAATTGTATTCTATATACTAGAAATAATTAGAAAATGAAATTAATAATAGCATAAAATCAAATACCTAAAAATAATTCTAGTGAATGATGTGTACAATTTTTATGCAAGAAACTACAAAACATTTCTGAGAGAAATTGTTAAAGACATAAGCTAATGGAGGGATATACCATGTTCATGGATTGGAATTTAAAATGTTGGTCTCCACATTGATTTATAGAATTGATAAATACATCCAATGTAATTTTGATCAAAGCACCAGACAACTTTGTTGTTGATTACAAGGCTTTTTTGGAGGGATGAAACTCAACAAGCTGATTCTAAAGAGTATGTGAAGAAGAACAAATCTGGAGGACTTATACTACAGTAAGGAAGACAGTGTGGCATTGATGCAAAGATAAACAAATCTACTGGTGGAAGAAAACAGAAATCCAGAAACAGACCCATCCTGGTTTATTATGACAAAGTTGATATTGCAGAACAGTGGAGAAAGGACGGGCTTTTCAATAAGTGGTGGTGGATCTATATATTGAAGAAAAAAACCAAAACCCTTTTAATGTCACCCTTCCATTATACCCTAAAACCAGTCCCAGGTGATGTACATGTGAAATGTACGTGTGAAAGGTGAAACATCAAAGCTGCTAGAAGAAAACTCAGGGGAGAGAATAGATACATTTTCTTAAACAGACATAAGAAACACAGTAAGAAAGTGACAGATTGGACTACATTAAGATTAGAAACTTCTGTCAGTCAAAAGACATGATTAAAGAGGAAAGAGTAAGCCACATATGAGAGAAGTTATTTCCATACATATGGCCGATAAAGGACTTCTATCTAAAAATATAAGCATATGAGTTGTATTGAAAAATATGTATCAAATCAATAGGAAAAAGTTTTAAAATAGGCCGGGCATGGTGGTTCATGCCTGTAACCCCAGCACTTGGGAAGGGCAAGGCAGGTGAATCACTTGAGGTCAGGAGTTCGAGACCAGCCTGGCCAACATGGTGAAACCCTGTCTCTACTAAAAATGCAGAGATTGGCCGGGGGTGGTGGTGAGTGCCTGTGGTCCCAGCTAGTCAGGAGGCCGAGGCAGGAGAATCGCTTGAACCTGCGAGGCGGAGGTTGAAGTGAGCTGAGATCATGCCACTGCACTCTAGCCTGGGCAACAGAGCGAGACTCCATCTCAAAAAAAAAAAAAAAAAAAAAAAAAACAAAGGACTTTAAATAGGTGCTTCCCAAAAGAGGATGTCCAATGACTGTTAAACTCCTGAACAGGCACTCAAACCTCATGGGCCATCAGGGAAATGCAAATTAAAACGAGAATAAGATACCACTGAGTAGCCACCAAAATGGTGAAAATTACACACCCAATGTTGGCAAGGATGTGGAGTTGGTACCACCAGTTTGGAAAACCATTTGGCAGTACCTCCAAATCCAGCATCTCCACTCTGTATTAGATGCCTCTTGGATATCACGCCACCTCCCCAGCCCCTAGCCTCACCTTGGTGTCAAGGCTTTGCCACCTTTCCTCCCACTTCAGGTGCAGGTACAACCTGCCAGCACCCCCCATCACCCTCAGGGATTCTCTGATGCCCCTGAGGAATGAGATAATAAGGGACCAATCTGGCACCCACAAACTTGCAATCAGAAATGCAGGAGAGTTAGCACACTCGGGCCTATCCTTGTGTTACTGAATGGTGCCACACAGTTCCAGGATCTGGGCGACTTGAACAAAGAATTGGAAGAGACATATACAGATAGCAAAAAGTGTATTAAGTGCAGTATTCCACTCTTGGAGAGGAAGAGTGGACTGATCTTTGTGAGATGAGATCGGCATTAGTTTGGTGTACTTTGGGTCTTTCTATATGTTGTTTTTTTCCCCCTCTTCCCAAGGCTGCCTAATCTCTAGCCAGTGTCTATCTTTTTGATTGACAGGTGTGTTGCTTAGTTACTTTGGCCCCCGTGCGCTTGCACCTTGCCTCCATCCCATAATCCTAAGTACATACATGATATGCAGCTCATATGCATGAACCTTAAGTAGCTGATTATCATAACGGGGTTATGTTAAGGATACCTTTTCTCTCCAATGCACATGCCCATCTCTGAAGCGCAGCCCCTTACTGGTTTGGTCAGGATCCTGCCGGCCATGGGATACTGCTCGCTTTTTTTTTTTTTTTTGAGACGGAGTCTCACTCTTGTCATCCAGGCTGGAGTGCGGTAGCGCAATCTCGGTGGCTCACTGCAACCTCTGCCTCCCGGTTCAAGCAATTTTCCTGCCTCAGCCTCCTGAGTAGCTGGTAATTAGAGGCGCCCACCACCACGCCCGGCTAATTTTTGTATTTTTAGTAGACAGTGGGTTTCACCATGTTGGCCAGGCTGGTCTTGAACCCCTGACCTCAGGTAATCCTCCCGCTTCAGCCTCCCAAAGTGCTGGGATTACAGGCATGAGCCACGGCACCCGGCCCTGCTCACTTTTTTATCTTACTTTTGTTTTGGCTGCTGAACCTCTGCTTTTTGTCTGGCTTCTTGCTCACCTGCCCCTTCACCTTGCTTCTTCTGCTCTCTGCTTTTACTTATTCTGCCCTTTATCCAACTTTCAATTCCCTTTGCTACTTTCCTGCCTCATTTTCCCTGTTCTCCTATCTCACTTGGACAATGGCAGATGGATAAATGGCAGATGGGAGTCAGTGGATAAATTCTTCCCTCTACCTCATCCCAGATGGACCCTTATGAATCATATTCCTTATAAAAACCTCTTGGAAGATGTTACTACAAGATTCAGCATCAGCTGCCTTTGGCACCAAGTGGTGGCCAACTCTGAAACTCACCCTCATATTGGCTCTCATGCCATCCCTGTTCACTTCCTTTCCCCCTTACTCTTGCTTCCCTGCAATTGCATCCCCCAGTTAAGTTCTACCTAAGGCCAGGCACCCTGGCTCATGCCTGTAATCCCAGTACCTTGGGAGGTTGATGGGGGAGAATCGTTTGAGGCCAGGAGTTTGAGACCAGCCTGGGGAACATAGTGAGACCCCATCTCTGCAAAGAATTTAAAAATTAGCTGGGCGTGGTAGTGCATGCTTGTAGTCCCAGCTGCTCAGGAGGCTGAGGTAGGAGGATCCTTTGAGCCCAGAAGTTTGAGGCTGCAGTGATGAGCTATGATGGTACCACTGTAGTCCAGCCTGGATGACAGAGCCAGATCCTATCTCTAAAAACACAAAACGAAACAGAAGTACCTTCTAAGCTTTTGCCCCAGGCACTGCTTTCTGGAGAGGACGAACTAAGATACACCCCTAGGTATGTCTCCAACAGAAATAAATATATAAATGTACTAAAAGGCATTTACGATATCATTCATAGCAGTCTTCCTAGTAGCCCCAAACTGGAAACAACCCAGATAGCCATTAACAGTAGAATGGATGAACATGTTTAGAGTACATGTAAATTCCGGAGTTCTGTGCTACAAAGGAAATGAACAAATTACTACTATGTTGCAACATGGTGAATCTCATAAACAATGTTGAGCAACAGAAGCTGGACACAAGATTACATTTTGGGATGATTCCATTAATTTTTTTTAAGAGACGGAGACTCTGTCGCCCAGGCTGGAGTGCAATGGCACCATCGTAGTTCACTGCAGCCTCCAACATCTGGGCTCAAGTGATCCTCCCATCTCAGCCTCCTGAGCAGCTACAGCTACAGGCATGCACCCCCACGCCTGACTAATTTTTAAAATTTTTTTGTAGAGACAGGGTCTGGCTCTGTTGCCCAGGCTGGTCTTGAATTCTTGGGCTCAAGAGATCCAGTTCTGGGATGATTGCATTTATAGTTCTAGAATAGGCAAAATGAATGCTGATGTTAGAAGTCAAGATAGAGGTTTATCCTTACCTTCTTGGGGGTAGGAACTGGGCAGCAATTTGGGGATAGGAACTGAGGAGGGGCCCTGGAGTGCAGATCATGTCTGACTTATTGATCGGGGTGCTGGTTTCACGAGTATGTTCAGTTTATGAAAATTCATTAAGGGGAACACTAGATGATTGGTGCATGTTTGTGTGTGTAGGTTACACTCTGACAAACATGGGACATTACACATGGCCTGGGCAGGGTCCTGGGAGGGTCAGGATCTGCATGCTGGGAGGGGGTCTGCGGCCTGCTCTGACTCCCTCGTGGGTGTTAAACTCACTCAGCACTCCTACGCCACTTCCATTCTCTTTGACACTCCCACGTCCAGCCCAGGTATCTCCTCAGGCAGCCCCAGTCTTTCCTTGGTTTCTACCATCCTGACCCCAAACCACTCCCTCTCCAAGCTGCAAGCACCTGCTAGTTTATGGCCTCCTTTCTGCTTCTGTCTCATGGATTCTCAGCCCTGGACATTGTTTCTGTCGTGCTTGCCTCCTTCTCTCTCCCCACCTTCTCTGGCCTTGCCCTGCATTTCCTGCCTCCTCTCTGCACCCTCCCTGGACCTCCCCAACAACAACCATGTTCAACCCTTGCACTGGTGGGCCAAGGGCGCAAACACACATGCAAGCCCCTCACCCGGGAGGCCTACATATTTCCAAGTTAGAGATGAAACTGCACCCACGATGCAGCCCTCATTCACACCCGGCCCTGCAGCCCGCCCCTGGGGCGTGGTCTCCCCTGGTTCTCATGGCCGTCATCCACTGGGGTGGGAGCTAAGACAGTGCCCGAGAACCCTGGGTGTGAGCACGCTCCTGACTGGGGGCTGGCCTGGGCACCCTTTCGCCACCTCGCTTTTCCAACCTGGCATTTCCAGGGCATTCTAATCTCCTCCCCAAAATCTCACCAAGGAGCAGGACAGGGAAGGAGCGCAGACAGGTACCAGGACACCAGGCTGCCCAGACACACACACACACAACCACACACAACTACGTACAACCACACACAACCACACACTCACACACATGCACAGCCATACACTTACACACCCACATGCATGACCACATACACACTCTCACACACTCACATGCACCCAACCACACACTCATATCTCACACACTGTCTTACACGAACAACCACACACTCGCTCTCACATGCACACAACCACACACTATCACACACACGTGCAACCGCATACTCTCACACACTCACACGTACACAACCACACACACATGCACAACCACACATTCTCACTGACATGCACACACCCACACACTCATACCTCACACACTCTCACACGCTGACATGCACAACCACACATACATAATCACAGACACAGTCTCACACACTCACATGCACACAATTACATACAACCACACACACAACCACACACTCACACACCTGCACAACCACATTCACTCACATACCCAGATGCATGACCACATATACACTCACTGTCACACACATGCACACAACCACACACTACATACAACCACATACAACCCCACACACTCCTAAACACTCATGCTCACAACCACACACTCAACCACACACACAACCATATGCACTCAACCACACAGAACCACCTACACGGCCACTCATATTCACTCTCACACAGTGACATACACACAACCACACACAACTACACACTCACAACCACACACACAACTGCATACTCACACACTCTCACACACTCATACACACAACCACACACACAACCGCACATTCACAACTACACACAACCATACAGAACCTCTCACACCACCACACATTTGCAATCACACACAACCACTCACACACTCATCCACACACGCACTCAACACTCAGCCCCACATCTTTGGGCCTGTGGGGTCTTTTTTTCGCATCTGTCCTCTCCGACAACTCACTGTTGTTCAGTTATCAACCTTTAAAACACTCTTACGAGACTGAAATTAAAAAAAAAATTCTTTGCATTTGCTGCTGGTGACGTCCTGGCTCTCCAGGGCACGGGGTCCACAGCAGAGACCCCCTTGCCCAGGTCTAAGGTTGGCCTGGCCTGCATAGCTGGTGGGGCTTCTAGAATGACCACAGGGTGTTGTTCCCTGTAATTTTCAGGCTGTGACATCCCACCCAGCCCCAACCCATCCCTCCTGTGAGTGGGGTCGGGATCCCAGTTGCCACGCCCAGAGCTCCGACCACCCCACCTGGGCCTTTCACCACCTCCCCACTCCCCCGTGCACTGCACCCCCACCCTGTCCTGGGGGCTGAAACAGCTCCTCCCCAACCCAGGGCTGCTGCTCCGAGGTACAAATGGAACCCTCCCTGTCTCGGATCCTCTTCTTTCAGCGCAGCCACAGGCTGTGAATGACCCCACAGGCAGGTGTCAGGAGGGAGATCATTTAATTCATGGTCCAAACTGAGACAGGTTTGCAAGTGAAAGGAGGCACTATTTATAATCACAGCAGAGTACAACTGACAGATATAAACCAGGACGTCCCAGCAAACTGGATGGATGGTCACTCTCTTTCAAGCCAATAACTCCGACTCTGTGTGCCCAAATACAGCAGGCATTGGTCACACCTTGCCTGCTCCTGCTGCCTCCTTGGCCGTAACTTGTCACACCTTGCCTGCTCCTGCTGCCTCCTTGGCCGTACCTTGTCACACCTTCATGCTTGTCCCTCATGAGTCAGGCCAGGCATCACCTTGGCCAGGAAGCCTCCTGGTCCCCAGAATGGAAGACGTGCCCATTCTGTGTCCACATTGCCACCTCCCCAGGCTCAAAGGCAGAGACCTGGCCTTGCCCCCAGCACATCACAGGTTCTCCATGGAGGTTCCAAGTGTCTGCCTCACGAGCTGCGAGATGCAGGTTCTGGTCCCGGCTCTGCCATTGACTTACAGACTGGACATGGAGCGTCTCAGTTTTTCCCTGTGAGGTGGAGAGGAAAAGGGCAGCATGTGATCCCTCGCTGCCCACAGCTGTTGGACGGGCAGTTTGCCTGAACTCGCCTTTCTTGCTCCCCAGGTCCTGGGGTCCTAAAAGGGGCATGGAGGAGGGGGTGACCTGTCAGGGAGGCCAGGTTTCTTGTATCTTCCTATTATCCCATGTCCTCCCCTGAAGCCACTGCATTCACGGCCCTGTGCAGCCCAGTAGGGAACACGAGAAGGTAGGGCTTGGACTTCTGATCTGGAACCGGGATCTCCTCTCCTTCCAGGGGTTCCCAGCCCTGCATCCTGTGGGGCCAGCCTCCGGGACCAGGGTACCCTCTCCGTGGGACCTTTACCCATATCCTTCCATTTAAGGACACCCGCCATTCCAAAACGTGCCACCAGAGGGCAGCCTCCGCGTTGGTCCTTGAGACCAGGTGCCTGAGCTGGACCTAGTGGCCTGACTCTCCCGATGTCAGAGTCCGGGCCTCTGCTGGATCTTGTATTAGAGGGCTGGGGAGAACAGGCTAGGATTCCTGGGCTTCTCCGGGGACCACTAGAGTCAGCTGGGAGCCAGGGAAGTCCTTCCTGAGAGCGGCTCAGGCTCTTTTCTGCTGTAGCCCGAGAGAAGAGATGCAGGGGAGGCCCCAGGGACTGTGGGTGCTGGCCTGGGTCAGGACATTCATAGTGAAACCAGAGAGATCTTGCAGTGAGATTCATTTCGTGCAGCGCACCTGCCTCGGGGCAGGGCTGGGAGGCACGGGGAGGCGATAGAGCCCATGTGGTGGCGGTGGCTGCGGGAGGGACCGGCGCTTATCTGATGGGCCTGGCCTTTCTCACAGCTCGGTGGAGCCGCCCTGCCAGGCCCATCTTGGCCGGTGGGTCGGGGCTCCGCAGGCCCCGTGGGCTCAGCCTCCCCACCTGCCTGGTGGGCAGGGAGGCCTTGAGCCTGGGAAAGGCGCGGGCGGCCACTGCTGGAGGGGAGCGGGCACCGTGGGGCTGCGCGCTGCGGCGGGCTCCCCCCACAGGCTCCAAGACACGTCAAAACCGGGTACAAAAAATTGGGGCAATCTACGTGTTTACTTCTAACAAATGAATGCTTGTAACGTAAAAACAAGACTTTGCACACCACCGGGGCTGTTCGGATCCGAGAACGCATGGGTTCACGGGACCCTGTGGGTGGAGGCCCAGCTGGATGTGGCCCCTGGGTGGCGGCATCCTCAGCTCTGCCGGTGGCTGGGGGACTGTGCGTGGAAGGTCGGTGAGGGACCCCAGAAAAAAGTCTAACAGCCAAAGGCGGAGGTTGCAGTGAGCTGAGATTGTACCACTGCACTGTAGCCCTGACGACAGAGGGAGACTCCATCTCAAAAGAAAAACAACATTTTTGGTTTTGTTTTTTTTTTTGCTCATTAGCTATCGTTAGTGTTAGTGTATTTTATGTGTGGCCCAAGACAATTCTTCTTCCAATGTGGTCCAGGGAAGCCAGAAGATTAGGCCCCCTTGGTCTAAGGCAAAGCAGTCTCAGGGTCAGAAGACCTCCACCCCAGCTCGGGCCTGGGTGACCCTCCCTGCAGAGTGCCTCTCTGAGAGCAGGGTACCAGCCACTTGCAGGGGACTGAGCTATCTGCTGGAGGAGGGTTCAAAACTGGCCCCCAGTCCTGTGCTTATGTGAGTCACCAGTGGGCTACCCAGCGCCACCACTCAGGCCCTGCAGACGGATGTCTGTGGAAGCACTTTCACAGCGACATGTCACAGGGATGGAGAACTGTGGATGAGGACTCTCCAGGCTGACCAGCCGGCTCTGCCCTGACCATGGGTTGGGACCCCAATCAACCTAGCTGGGGCTGGGCCCTGCCAGAAGGGGCGCACTAGCCTGGCCTGACCATGGGATGGAAATGGGACATTGTCTGGGGGAGAGGGGAGTGGGGCCAGCCCTATGTTATCTCCCCTTTTCAAAGAAGGAAAAACCCGGCACAGAGAGAGGGAATCATCGGCCCAAGGCCTCACATCTGGTAAGCGGGGAGCTGGAGTAACCAGACCCTGAATCCTGGGGGTCTGGTAACCGTGATCCTGGGAGGCTTGGCCACGTGGTCCTGGGGCTTCCTGGCCCCCTCCTGGCCTGAGGCACTCATCCCAGCCCCGTTGATTTGATGGGCAGAGACCCAGACCTGCCAATGGCTGGGTGTGGCCAGCCTCGTGAACTGAGCGGGGCCCGGTGGCTTCTGCCCAGAGCTGCCTTTGATCTCAAAAGTAGGCTACCCCCATAGGTGAGACCCGATGTGGGCGCTGCTGTGCTAACCCCATGCCCCAGGACCACTGAAACCTCTCTTGAGCCTCCCTGGACCAAACTACCTGGTTGCTCTCAGTCCCTTCCACAGCCCCTCGTCCTCCACCTGCCCCTGCAGTGCCCTGGGGCTCCCTCCAGCGCTCCCATCTCCTCACTTTTTGGTTTTTTTTTTTGAGATAGAGTCTCACTGTCTTGCCCAGGCGGGAGTGCAGTGGTGGGATTTTGGCTCACTGCAACCTCCGCCTCCCGGGTTCAAGCGATTCTCCTGCCTCAGCCTCCTGAGTAGCTGGGATTACAGGCATGCAGAACCACGCCTGGCTAATTTTTGTATTTTTAGTACAGATGGGGTTTCACCATGTTGGCCAGGCTGGTCTCGAACTACTGACCTCAAATGATCCTCCCCGCCTCGGCCTCCCAAAGTGCTGGGATTATAGGCATGAGCCACTGTGCCTGGCCTCCCTCACTCTTGACACTTTATGGGCCTGCCATCTTCACTCCTTGCTGCCCACACCCAGATGTTCCTCCTGGCCTCAGACCTTTGCACCCGGCCTCGCTCAAGCTGAGGGTCCAGACATTGATCTTCCTTCACTCCCAGGTCTCACCTCCCTTCCCTTAGCCATGGGACATCCTCCTTCTGCAGACAAGAACCCTGGGGTGGTCCTCCCTATCCCCTGCCCCCCGTGAGCATCTAAACCTGGTTCATCTAACCAGACTCCTTCTCCTGCTGTAAAGAATCTTATTGTATCTCCTTACCACCCCAAAGTAAAATTCATAGATCATAGAATCCCAGCCAGACTTTCAAAATCCATCTAATGTCGTAGCTTTAAAATAAGGAAGAAATAGGCCAGGCACAGTGGCTCATGCTGTAGTCCCAGCACTTTGGGAGGCTGAGGAGGATCACACGAGGCCAGGAGTTCAAGGCTGCGGTGAGCCACGACTGCGCCACTGCACTCCAGCTGGGGTGACAGAGCAAGACCCTGTCTCTAAAAACAATAAATAAATAAAATAAGGAAGAAATAAAAGGAAAGTAATTTATAATTTCATTATGTATATTCAACTGGAAAGAGGCCTGGGTGTGACCTACAGTGGACTCAGATGTGGGTTGCACAGAATGGCAGAGGCTGTCACTGCTGCAGACACAGACGGGAGCAGGGTTACCCTCAGGGCTCAGGTGCCTGCTGGGGCCACCCTGTGATCTTGGGGATGTGTTTCTCCAAAATGGCAAATGCTTCTTGGTAAATTTCCAAACAAAACAAAGCTCCATCTCCCCTCAGCTTTCATGCTCATTGCATCCCTAGAAATTGTGCATCTGGAAAAGACGCCGAACAGAAGTAGTCATTCCCGATAGGGTCATTACCGATAGGGTTTATTAGCAATCCTACATCAGAGTTCCTCATGCCCCGCGCTGTGGATATGTTGAGCAGAATAACTGCTGTGCAGTGGGGTATGCTCGGCAGCAGCCCTGGCCTCTACCCTCTAAATGCCAGCAGTACCCCTAGGTCATGACAATCAGAAGTGGCTCCAGACACTGAGAAATGTCCCCTGAGGGGCAAAATTGTTCCCAGTTGGCGCCCCATCCCCACCTCCTGCCCACACAGAACTCCCTCCTCTCTTGTGTGGGGTGCGGGGCAACTTGCCACCAGGCGGGATGCCCCTCACACAGCAGGTCCCTGCCACCCCATGACTACAGCACCCCATTACTGCAGCCAGTGAACCCCCTCACACTTCTAAACTACCCCAGGGGAGAAGCAAAACCACTGTTGTGGGCCTCTGACCTCCCTGATTCTCTAATCTGGGTGGGTGTGGGGGCAGTGATGCCAAGAAGCTCCTTCCCTTCCCAGCACACACTGCAAGATCTGCGGTCCTCATTTCTCCCAGGCCTGGCTACTCTGTAACAGCTGCATCCTTACTGGCCCTGTGGGGACATGGGACGTGTCCCTGCCGTGGCTCCCAGCGGCCCCGGTGTGCTGGGCCTTTCTGCCTCCCTTAATTCCACCTTCCCTGTTCCAGCTGCTTGGAATGTCCTCAGTGCTTTTCCTCTGCAGTTACCCTGGAATTCCAGGGGAGTGCTTGGGTTGGTGGAACCTTCTTAGCCCAGGTATCCTCCTCCTCCAGGGAGCCCTCCGGAAATGTCCCTCCCTTGATAGGCTGGGGCCAGCACTCCCTCCCCGGCTTCTTTAGCCCATGGGAGGCAGCATCCACTCATTGTGTTCCTCCTTCCCTGCCTCCTGCTCCCCCATACCATCCCTTAACCCAGCCAGAGTCATTCCTCTTTGTAGCATCCCAGTCCTGGCCCAGAGTCTGGCTCCTAAAAGGCACTATAAATATTGGTGGCAAAGTTGAGGCTGTGACACTCAGTTCAATTTTTTTTTTTTTTTTTTAAAGAGACAAGGTCTTACTTACTCTGTCACCCAGGCTGGAGTGCAGTGGTGCAGTCATAGCTCACTGCAGCCTCAAACCTCTGGGCTCTAGCAATCTTCCGGCTCAGCATCCTGAGTAGCTGGGGTTACAGGTGTGAACCACCGTGCCTAGCTAATTAAAAAGAAAAAAAGTTTTTTTGTAGAGACAGGGTCTCACCATGTTGCCCAGGCTGGTCTTGAACTTCTGGCCTCAAGCAACTGTCCCGCCTCAGCCTCCCAAAGTGTTGGGATTACGAGTGTGAACTTCAATTCAATTCAATTGGCCCTTCAATTCTGTGTTCATTCACTGAAGATTCCAATGCCCCTCCCCCATCTAAAGTGGGGCAGACCAGAGGGAGGAGCAGTGGAGGCGGGGTGGACAGGGTCCCAGCGCTGGAGGAGACCCATCTGTGAGCCACCTGGAATCTCATCTGCCTGCCCAAGGCTTCTGCCCCTTCTACAGGAATGGGAGTCCCTTCAGGTGGACATAGGAGTTTCTCCATCTGAAAGTGCCCACCAGGGAAGAACTGCGCCAATCCCGATGGGCACTGGGGCTGAGGGAGGGCACTGGGGATGCAAGGACCCTCTAACTCCACCCATAGAACCCTTTTAGGGGCCCAGGCCTCCAGGCCAGCTCCCTGGCACACACCACTTGTGGAGTATGAACTTCCAGCCCCTAAGCCTCCGGGCTTTGAGCACAGCCTGGGCAGCAGCTGCAGGCACACTGGGGTGCCCACTCACTCTTCATCCTGCCCATGCCTGCCCATCTCTAGCCAAGGTCCATACCATGCACACAGGTGAGTGCTGTGGGGAAGAGCACACAGAGGCTGCAGCTGGCCCCCCGGGCAGGTCCTCAGCCCACTAGGCCCCTAGCCCAACCCTGGCTGAGACCCCAGCCTGCCCTGTGGGTGCCCGGCTTCTGTGACACCTCCGTTGCATAAGCGGGGACTAGAGGTCAGGTGAAGGCTGCAGGGGAGGGGGCTCTCTAGTGGATGAGGCCACCTCCCAGCTGGCAGGGCTGAGTGCATGGCAGTGAGGGACGCCTGGGTCCTGGGAAGGCACAGGAGGTAGAGACCCCGAGGCCCTGCCAGCTTCCCCGCGCAAGCCTGGGAAGCAAAGTGCCCACATCTTCTGTTTCTGTCAGTTCCTGCCAAGTCCCAGTGCCTACAACTGGGAAATGGGGCAAGTCACCTTCTCCTTCCTCTCTTGGTGGCTCTGGAAGGAAAAAGCCAGTGGTGTCACCTGAAGGCAGCCCCTTTAGGCAGGCTGGGTCTGGGGTCTCAGATGCCTGGTGCTGCCCGGTGCTGCTGGCCACGTGTGCCCCCGTGCCTTGGTTGGCAGGGTTCTGGGCAGCCCCGCCTACAGGCCTTTCCCCCCGTTCTTCGGGCTCCCCTGTGTGATGCAGGCGGCCTGGCCCTGGCCCGGAAGGGAGGCCGCTCTTGGCTGATGCTCACATGCCCACTCCTGGGCCTGGCCTGGCTCCTGGGCCCTCTCCCATGCCCATGTCCTCGAGGGCCACCAGGAGACGGGCCCTGGTTGGGGCAGACGTCGCCTTGGGGCTGGTCCCTCCTGGGCTTCTGGCTGGGTTGGTGACCTCCTTCCCCACTGGGTTCTGGCTGGGTGTTCACCTGGGGCTCCTGGCTCTGTCCCAGGTTGGCTTTCACAGCAGCAACCGTGAGGCCTGGCTGGGAGGAGGTGGGTGGAAAGTCCAAGGCTCCTCCTCTAGGCCTCCCTCCCCGGGGGGACTAGCTGATCACGGGGGGTGCTCCTGGGCAGGCACTCCTGGGGGTGAGGGGTGGTTGGGGGGTGCATGTGGTCCGGTAGGGCACTGGAGAAGACCCTCTGCCCAGAGGGCCCCAGGACACCCCTTCCCATAGGCCCACACGGCTCTGTGGCCGTGTGCGTGGGAGGGAGGGAGGGATGAGTGTCACAGCGGGTGTGAGTGCGCCTGTGGGTGAGGCCCGGAGAGCCGGCACGGGGGCGGGGGACCGTGAGAACCAGTCTGTGGGTGGAGACCTAGGGCAGGGGTGCCCTTCCTTTCTGGGATGTCCCAGGCCAAGGAGTTTGGGGGCTTGGGGGCCCACAGTGCAAGAGGAAATCCTGGCCACTAGGTGTCACCCGGAGCCCATGGGACAGAAGCAGGTCCCCCCCACCGCCCCCGGGGAGGGGTCGGAGCCCCTTACCTCCCAGGTATGCCCACTCCCGCAGCTGGGGGGAATCCCTGGTCTGTCACGGTGTCTGAGGGTCCACTCGCAGTGGGGAGCTGGTGGCACGGCGTTGCCCTGTGCAGGAGGCCATATGCTCTATGGAAGCACCCCGTCCCCACCTCCTGCCCATACAGACCCAGACTGAGGACGGAGCCAGTGACAGGTGGGGATGCAGCATCCCTCCCAGCCCACCCAGCCCCTCTGATGCCCGGGTGCCTGCGGCAGGGGCCCCCTCGTGCCAGCCCCTCCAAGGGAGCAGCTTGGACCTATGCCTGCCGTGCTTGCCGGCCTCAGGATGGAGGAGGGAAGGGTCCTCGTTCACAACCACCCCCCATCCCCCTTAGGTCCAGCTCAGCAAATTAGGGTCCCAAAGCCCTGCCCAGACCACTGGGGGCCTTTTGCAGCCTTTCAGAGCTGGTCCCCACCCTCCTGCTGTGCATCCACTCATCCAAAGCACAGCAAGGACCTACTGTGTGCTGGGAGGGCCCTGCCCGGCGGAGCTCACGTGTGATGGGATGTCAGCCGCCAAATATAGAAACCAGAAAATTTGTTTTTATTCATTTATTTATGAGACAGAGTCTTGCTCTGTTGCCCAGGCTGGAGTGCGGTGGCACTATCTGGGCTCACTGCAACCTCCGCCTCCTGGGTTCAAGTGATTCTCCTGCCTCAGCCTCTTGAGTAGCTGGGACTACAGGCATGTGCCACCATGACCTGCTAATTTTTGTAGTTTTAGTAGAGACAGGGTTTCACCATGTTGGTCAGGCTGGTCTCAAACTCTGACCTCAAGTGATCCATCTGCCTCAGCCTCCCAATACAGGCATGAGCCACCGTGCCCGGCTAACACTTATATTTTTTGTACAGGGTTTCACCATACTGGCCAGGATGGTCTCGAACTCCAGACCTCAGGTGATCGCCCGCCTTGGCCTCCCAAAGTGCTGGGATTACAGGTGTGAGCCACTGTGCCTGGCCTAAACCAGAGAATTTGTAATGGAGACAGTGACACACAGGAAAACATCATGGAGGAACTGGAAGGGCCGTGGGTGAGGTGGCAGCTTTGGTGGGGCTTGGGGGAGGGGAGCACCCCCAGGGAGGGACTTGTGAGAAAGTGAGGAAGAGCATCAGTGAGGTGAGCACCCCAGGGAAAGGCATTAGGGCAGCTGGAACAGTCCGTGCTAAGGCCCCAAGGCAGGAACGAGCCAAACCTGTCAGTGAAACACCAGGACCTGTGTGGACTGGGGCGGTGATGCAGGTGGGAGGTGGGAGGAAACAGAGGGTCTTGGACCGTGTTGCCTTCTCCCCAGGCCCTCAGGGACCATCCCTGCCACAGTGGAGCCTTTTGGCTGGCACATGAGGCTGTCCTAGCCGAGGCTGGTCCTGGCTGGTGAGGAGAAGATGCCATGGCTCAGGGGGTCAAACGGGATCCAACCCTCACATCCCTGTAGGCTGAGGAGCAGATACAATCCCAAGAGAGGCTGGGTAAGGTAGCTCTCGCCTGTAATCCCAGCACCTGGGGAAGCCAGTGTGGGAGGATTTCTTGAGTCCAGCCTGGGCAACGTAGCACGACCCTGTCTCAACAGGTGGAAAGAAAAACAAGAAAACCCCCCCAAATACTTAGCCAGGCATGGTGGTGTGTGCCTGTAGTCCCAGTTACTCAGGAGGCTGAGGTGGGAGGATCGCTTGAGCCCAGGAGTTTGAGGCTGCAGTGAGCTGTGATCATACCACTGCACGCTAGTGACAGAGTGAGACCCTGCTTAAAAAAAAAAATCATGGAGGGGCCCTTTCCTCACTGGCTGAGCGGTCCCCAAGGCAGGGCATGGCTGGTCTGTCCCAGCTGCCAGGCTCCTAGACAGGGTCTTCTTGGCTGGGGGGCAAGGTTGGCTGAGGTAGGGCAGAGGGAAGGGCGGCAGAGGTCCTGTCCCAGCACCCCTCTGCTGCTCAGCTCTTTGCAGTATCTGCACACCCCAGAGTAAAACCAAAGACCTTGCCACAGCAGTGACCCTACACGCAGCCCCAGAAGCTCGTTCACCTCATCAACTCTCCCTGTCACCCAGCTGGCACCACCACACTACTCCTTAAGTAGGGACGCTCCTGCCCCAGGGCTTTTGTGCTGGTGGCACCTCTGCCTGGAATGCCCTTTCCCCAAAACCCTCAGAGCTCCTCACCCCTTCACCCCACTGCAGGACTCTGCCAAATGCCACCTTCCCAGGAAGCTTTCTCTGCCCGTTCCATTGAAAAGCACATTCCCCACCTCAGCACTTTCTTTCCTTTCCTTTTCTTTTCTTTTTTCCTCCCTCCCTCTTTCTTTCTCTCTCTTTCTTTCTCTTTCTTTCTTTCTTTCTTTCTTTCTTTCTTTCTTTCTTTCTTTCTTTCTTTCTTTCTTTCTTTCTTTCTTTCTTTCCTCTCTTTCTTTTCTTTCTTTCTTTCTCTCTCCTTCCTTCCTTCCCTCCTTCTCTTTCTTTCTTTTCTCTGTTTCTCTCTTTCTGTCTTTCTCTCTTTCTTTCTTTTTTATTTTTTAGAGAAAGTCTCACTCTCTCATCCAGGCTGGAGTGCAGTGGTGCCATCAGAGCTCACTGCAGTCTCAAACTCCTGGGCTCAAGCAATCTTCCCGCCTCAGCCTCCTGAGTAGCTAGGATCACAGGTGAGCACCACCATGGCTGACTAACATTTCTTAAGATTTTTTTTTCTTTTTTGTAGAGACAGGGTCTCACTATGTTGCCCAGGCTGGACTCGGACTCCTGGCCTCAAAGGATCCTCCCACCTTGGCCTCCAATAGTGCTGGGATTACAGGTGTGAGTCACTGCGCCCGGCCAACCACCTTGGTATTTTCTATCCTCTTTGCCCTGCTTCTCCCCTGACCACCATGTGAACTTCTAGATCTTTTACTTGTTTATTTTTATGGCCCATCTCTCCCACTACCCACACTAGGCTGCAAGCTGAATGGTCTGTTTTGTTTACCAAGGCATCCACACCACCTAGCACAGTGCCCGCAAACACAGCAACAAATACTTGAATGAATGAATGGGATTGAATAGGACAAGGCTCCCCCATCCTTCCTGACCTCATCTGGCCACAGTAGGACCAGGATTTGGGCCTTAGCATCCACCCATCTCCAGCAGAGGCCAAGGCCTAAGCAAGGTGTCGTGTGCCTCAAGACGGCCGAGCCACTGACCACAGCACATCTGCTCCTGCTTGATGGTCCTGGGAACTGCGTTTTACCTGCAGCAAATCACATTCAGTCACCTCAGGCAAACACTGCAAGGCGTGAAACGTGGGCAATGTGCTGTGCCACACATGTTACATGGAGGCACTGGGGACATGTAGGAGGATGAAGGAAACTGCATCGCAGGGAAGAGGTGATGCCTTGGGGAGAGACAGGCCTCAACTGTCCTGCCTCCCCTGGGGGAGGTGTCAGTGGACTACTGAGTGAAGATGTCCTGCTATCAGGGTCCCCTCGTGCCAAGTTTCTAGTGGCAAGGCAGGGCCTCCCCTGGGAGCCTCTCACATACCTGCCCCTTCACTAGAGGGCATGAAATCTACTCCAGCCCAAGGCTGCGCAGCTCTGAGATGGACCCTGTCTCTCTGAATTGCCTCTTCTGATTCTCAAGAGGTATTTAAAGCGGATCTCTACTTGCTTTTTACTTATTTTTGAGAAAAGTTCTCACTCTGTCACCCAGGCTAGAGGGCAGTGGCATGATCACAGCTGGCTGCAGCCTCGAACTCCTGGGCTCAAGCTATCCTCCTGCCTCAGCCTCCCAAAGTGCTGGGATTACAGGTGTAAGCCACCAGGACCAGCCTCCTCTTGCTTTTGGCTTATCCAGTTTCCCTAAATTAATTTTGTGTGCCTTTTAGGAGAAGATGGGGTCAGTAATGCATTAGAGCCCAATTAATCATTCTAAAAAAAGATCTGATTGAGACATACTTATAAAGCGACTCCTAGAGCTGAAAGGTCAAAATCTAGCCTAGATATTGAAAAACATTTTTAGAGAAATGTATTCGAAAAGCTCAATGCTCTTTTTAAGGTGAGAGGTGGGGAGCCTCAAATTTTGGGAGCCCTTGAAGGGACCTGAAGGAACCCCAGGGATTTCTTGGAGCATAATTTGAAAACCACAGATTAAACTCAAGATATCCTCATTGCAGGGAGGAACCACATTCTGAGGCCTATTTTTATGACAATGGCTAGTAGAGCCAGTCTGCAGTACCTGATGTCCCCAGTAGGGGTCACTTCTAGGAGGAAGCCTCTGCCAGGCCCTGGTGTAATCAAGGAGGGCTCCAGGCCCAAGTGGGCCCATGTGCCTGTGTCTGTGCCTCAGTGCCAGTGACTTCAAGCTTGAGTCTGCTCTGAGCCAGGCGCCACTACATGCCCCCCCAGTGGACAGAGCTGCCCTCTGGCCACGCCGCCAGCTGGCTAGGGCTGATCAGAAGCCTTCAGTTTCAGGACAGCTGCCAGGGTGTGGACCATGGGGACTGGTAAGAGTTTCTGGCTAAGTCCTGGCCAAGCCATTCCAAGGGACAGCTGCAGTGTCTCTCCAGTCAGCACCTGGAAGGGGGCCAGCCCAGCCTCAGACCTGGGGCCAAACACATGTGAGTATGTGCAAACGTGCACACACGTGTCCACAGGCACACACAAATACACATGTGCATGAACACATGTTCACACATGTACTCCATGCACAAAGGAACACACACACAAATAACATGCACATGCAAGCACATGCACTAACAAGCGCATGAATGCACACACGTGCAAATGCACAGGGATGTGTGCACAAATCACATATGTGCACACACTCACACAGACAAACACTCCCCACTCTGCCTCCCCAGGCAGGCTCCAGGAATGGAGAAACGCCTTTGCATCCAATGTGTTTGGGGTGAGATCAGCTGGGGGAGGGGCCTCTTCCCTGCCTCCCCAGTCCTGGCAGCTCCTCCCTTCTGGGCCAGGCTTCTCCCCTGTCTGGACTGGTTGGCATATGTGTATGGGAGGAGGAAGGGGCAGCAGGAATGTCCTACCACCCCCAGGAGCTGCTCTGGGCAGAGGCAGGGGATGGCGCCTTTGCTGGACTCCCTGGCTGCATCTTTCTGGGTGGGGGGCACTGGGATGGTTCCTGTATCCCATAGAAGCAAACTGGGCAGAGGGCCGAGGTGGGTGCTGTGGTCACTGTCAGGCATTGAAGGGACCCGGGGTCATCCCTGAAGCAGGTCAGCCTGGGAGAGGCCTTCCAGGCTTGCTGCAGTCGGCACCCCCCCCCACAGGAAGCCAGCCCAGCCATAGCCTCCTGCCCTTTTGAAGATGCTCCCTCCTGGCTTCTGTCCCTGCTGGCAGGCTGGGGTTTCTGAACCCCTCATTCCTCAGTCATCTCGACCCTGTGAGAGCCTCAGAGGCCTCCTGATCCCTGTTGTCCCCTGGCCATCCTGGAGTGTCAGCCCGGGGCTGGCCCTGAGCTCATTTTCAGCATGACAACTGGTCCTCAGCTGACACCCCCATCCCCTCAGCCCAGGAGGCCAGCTGTGGTGGGTTCTGCTGAATCCAGCTTGCTAACCACCAGCCCATGCCCACAGTCCCTGGCAGGGGACACAGTTCTGCCCCCTCCCCCACCAGATCAATACCTCCAAGACTGCTGTCAGCAAATCTTTGACCTCTGACCTGGCCACACACAGTGACCCCTGAACCTGTTGGTCTTTCCACCAACCCTTGCTCTAGTCTCTGGGGTGGGTGAGGGGCTGACACCCTGGCTCTGGCCTGGGCTGTTAGGGGCAGGGAGAGGGTGAGGCCATCAGTCCCCACCAGCCCGGCCTCTTCCCTTCACTCCACACTCAGGGCCACAGTGGTTGGTGTTGTTGGGGGGGGGATGGATGCAGTGGGGGATGTGCCACCTATGCCAAGCAGGCTGTGATGAAGGATTCGGGGATTCCTTCTGGAGCCCAGGGGCCCTGGGAGCTCCAGCCATGAGTGAAGAGCCAGCAGCGAAGAGGATGGCTTCCCATCCTCTCTCCAAGGCCCACAAAGGTGCCCACCCCTTTCTGCTCTGGGCCCTCCGGATCGATCTGGGACCCAGCAGCCTTGCAGCCCTGACCTGAGAATGCAAAGGGGCCTGTACAGATTGCTTCCTGAGCCCTGTTCCTTGCAGCTCAGCTGGGAGGGTCCCTGTCCTGCCCACCCATCCTGCCCCAGATAAGGGTCTAGCCCACTGTCTCGCAGAAACCGTGGTGGACCCCAGTGGTGCTGTTGGGAGCCCCACATCCCGAACCACCCTGGGATACAGCCTCGGGAGTCCTGCGCTCCCTGGCAGACACCACTGACCAGGGACCCTGCCTTCAGGAAATCCGGCCAGGACAACAGGACCTGCCCCTCTGGTGTCCAGGTCAGCTCACCATGTGGCCCTTTCCTGGCCCGCCTTCCCTTGCTCCTGCTCCTAGGAAGAGATGCCTCCACCTCCACTCCCCCATGGGGCATTCTGAAGGCCATGGGTTCCAGCAGTCCTGTGCTGGCACCAACTGGGTCTGCGGTAGGACAAGGGGCAGTGGCTCAGAGACTCCAGCAGTGAGACACTTCCCTGTCCCAGGAGGAGGGGAAGAAGAGGAGCAGGAGGAGGAAGGAGAGGGAGAGGAGGGAGGATGGTCAGGGCCCCCCACTAAAATGGGACAGGCAGGTGAGGGGTGCTTGGAGTGGAGACTATGCTGGAAACTGAGGCTGAGAGAAGGTAGTCAGAGGCAGAGCCACGCATGTGTGCTCCAGTGCGCCTGACTCCAGGGTCCTCGCTTCTCCTGACTGCATCAGACTCGACCTTGACCTCTGGGTATGCTGGGTCAGGGCAGAGTGCTGACGCACTGCAGAGCCCCTCGGGCCCCGCCTCTCTGCTTACGGGGGCCTTCTCAGGAGCCAGGAGGGACCAACCCAGGTAGGGGACTGTTTGGACGAGTCCAGGCCAGGTGGAGGTGTGGGCAGCCGGCCCTGAGGTCACTGGGTGTGTGTCAGGGGTGGGGATTGTCCAGGAGGCCCCTACAGAGCAACACGTCATTCTAAGGCTACATTTCACACTGGCCTCGGGTATGACCTTGGCCGTCCCTTCTCCCCTAAGCAGTCCTCTGGGCTTTCTGGGAGCCTTGGTTTCTTCTCCACTTGAGACCTGGGCCAGTCAGGTGGGAAAAGCCAGCAGCCACGGGGGGCCTGGTGCAGAGGAGGAGGTGGGAGAAGCAGCAGGCGGGGGGCGCCCAAGGAGCCTCTCTGCCTACCTTGGGCTCAGCCTTGCACTTGATGACCCCACCCGGGCCTGTGTGACAACCATGCCACTGACGGGGAACTGAGCCTCGGAGAGGGGAGGTGACTCACAGAGGTGACCCAGGAGATGGAACCGCATTGGGAGCTGGGGCTGGACATTCCAGCCGCTGCCAGGAAAATCCTGCCGGAAGAGTGCACTGTGCGGGTGCCCAGGAGGCTGCGGGTCTGCACCCAGCTCCTCCGACCCGGTGCCCAGGACCCCTGCCTGGCTGGCCAGAGAGGGGAAGTGCGCCCCGGGCGGCCAGCCCGCAGCTGTTGGGCAACATCTGGAGGGAAGGAGGAGGTGAGGAGCAGAGGGCGTGGAGCTGGGTCCTGACGTGTGCCCGCGCTGCCCGGCACCCACGAGGGCTGGGGCCCGGTGCCACCCGGGGGTCTCAGCCTCCTTCTAGTCCCACGAGCCCTAGAGGACTTCCTAGTCCCCCTCGCTGTGCCCTGGGGGGTCTGGGCTCTGTCCTAGGGGGTCTGGGCTGTGCACAACACACCACACCCCCGCCCCAGATGGGGGCTCCTGAAGACCCATGCTCCAACACACAGGCACACACAGACACGCACAGATACACACAGATACACACCACACACAGACACACAGATACACACCTCACACACACATCACACACACACACAGATACACACCACATGCACACACCACACACAGACACACAGATACACACCTCACACACACACCACACACACACATAGATACACACCACACGCACACACCACACACAGACACACAGATACACACCTCACACACACATCTCACACACACACAGATACACACCACATGCACACACCACACACAGACACACAGATACACACCTCACACATACACCACACACACACACATAGATACACACCACACGCACACACCACACACAGAGACACAGATACACACCTCACACATATATCACACAGACACACAGATGCACAACACACACACCAAACACCACACAAACCACACAAATACACACCACACACACACCAGACATAGACACACAGATATGTACCTCACACACATATCACACAGACACACAGATACATAACACACACCACACACACACAGATACACACCACATACATACCACACACAGACACACAACACACACAGACATAGACACACACAGACATAGACACACACACCACACACACAGAGGCACACACAGACATGCATAGACAGATACACATAGACACACATGCATACATCACACACCACACACACAGATACACAGATACACACCACATACATACCATACACAGACACAGACACACATGCATACATCACACACCACACACACAGATACACAGATACACACCACATACATACCATACACAGACGCAGACACACACACCACACACACAGACACAGATACACACACCACACATACCACACACAGAGGCACACACAGACAGATGTAGACAGATACACATAGACATAGACACACACAGACACACAGATACACATCAGACACACACACAGCATACAGACACCAAACACACAAACACACCACACATACACACAACACACACATATAAACACACACTACACTCATAGACACACACCTCACACAGACACCACACAGACACAGATAGACACAGGCCACACACAGAGACTGATACACACCACACACCCACACCCCACACACAGACACCACACTCACACCACACACACAGATACAGACACACACACCACACTCACAGACAGAGATAAACACACACACCACACTCAATAGACACACCAAGCAAACACACACCACACACACAGACACACACAGGCAGACACACACGCCACCCTGACCCTGTCCACCTATACTCACGGACCATGCCTCCTCGTTGGCTGCACAAACCCACATAGACTCGCAGTCAGCCACCCTGCAAGGGTCCTCAGCCATGCGTCCCCTCCCCCACCCCTCAGCCCCGTCAGCCCCCGCTGGCCAAGGCTGGAGCTCCAGGCAGGCTTCCTGGGCTGGGTGCCCCTCCCTTTGCCCTAGGAGATGTGCAGGGCAAACGAGCACTTCCAGGGGATTCCCGGGGGGCAGGGCTGCGGTGGCTTCATGGACGGGGAGCTGGATGCCGGCCCCCTGAAGCCTCCAGCATGGGGCTTGTCACCTCCTTGGGGCTGCCCTGAGGAACCTCCTGCCCCCTCTAGAGCCAAGTCCCCCTCTGCACCCTCTGGGGTCTGGGTGGGCACGAAGGGGGCCCTCGTCTTTGACTCTCCATATTCCCCTCACGCTGGCCTAGGGTGGCCTGCGGGCCCCACCTCACTGATGTCCTGGATTGGAATGAGGGAGTTCAGATGAAGGGGCCCCCACACCGTGTGGGGCCTGGCCCATCGGGGCTGCCCTGGCCTGGGCCAAGACCCACCATCTGCTCCAGGCCATGGAGACGCCTTCCCCAGGCTCTTCGTCCAGGCCAGACCCAGTTCTCTGACTCTGAGCTGGTCAGGGCAGAAGCCCCATCTTGGCCATCAGGGCGCCGGGGACCTCTGACCTGCTGCCTCCGTGTGACATTCCACCACTCCAGCCGGATTCTTCCTCTGCAAAGTGCCCAAGGCGCCATGAAGACGTGAAGATATGAATACTCCTGGGCTACTTGTGATGGGATTGGAGGGGGTGGGGCACGGTCCTGGAAGGAGCCGCTTCTCCCTAGTCCGGTGGGGCTCTTCCCTGAGGCTGCAGAGATTAGGCAGTGGGGTTCTGAAGCCCCAGTGCTGTCCTCCCTCCCGGGAGGTGGCCCAGAACGGCAGGAACAGGCTTGCAAATGCGCAGGTGCTGGGCTCCATCTCCTGAGGCATTTTTAGGGTGGATGCCCTGCCCTCCTGGGCAGAGCAGGGCAGTCGCTGCCTAGGGGCGTCCCTGCTCACCAAGGTCACCACTGTCATTCACCATCACTCTTTTTTAATTATTATTATTATTTTAGACAGAGTCTCGCTCTGTCACCCAGGCTGGAGTGCAGTGGCACGATCTCGGCTCACTGCAACCTCCCCTCCCAGGTTCAAGCAATTCTCCTGCCTCAGCCTCCTGAGTAGCTTGGGACTACAGGCGCCTGCCACCATGCCCAGCTAAGTTTTGTATTTTAGTAGAGACGGAGTTTCGCCATGTTGGCCAGGCTGGTCTTGAACTCCTGACCTCAGGTGATCTACCTACCTCGGCCTCCCAAAGTGCTGGGATTACAGGCGTGAGCCACCGCACCTGGCCAACTCTTTGTTAATTATTATTATTACTTTTTAGAGATGGGAGTCTCACTCTGTCACAGCCTGGAGAGCAGTGGTGCCACCACAGCTCACTGCAGACTCAAACTCCTGGGCTCAAGTGCCTCCCCAGTAGCTGGGGTTACAGGCACGTGCCACCATGTCCCCAGCTAATTTTTTATTTTTTGTAGAGATGGGGTCTTGCTATGTTGCCCAGGTTGGTCTCGAACTCCTGGCCTCCAGTGATCCTCCCACCTCGGCCTCCCAAGGCAGTGGGATTACAGGCATGAGCCACCACACCTGGCCTAGTGGCCAGCACTCCTGACTGGGCATCACTGCCCATTCAGACTCACAACTGCCAGTGCCAATCATTGCCTACTGGGCTTTACTGGCAGAAGAAGGTTGGCATTGGCAGTGGTAGTGGCCACTAGGTCTTTAGAGTAATGACCTGGATAAAGACAGCAAAGGCGCCCAGATTCCTGAGAGGCTTCCCCTGCCCAGCACAGGGTCTAGGGGAGGATGCAGCCTTGGCAGGTATTGAGGGTGAGGGCACAGTGCCCATAGTTGGTTCCTTTTGAACCCTGGCCCTCCTTCTGGTCAGCTGCAGGCCACAGTCCCCAACCCTTGGCTCTGATCCTTCTAGAGGACAGTGGGCTGGGCTGTCTGGGCAGGAGTCACACTCATGGCCAGGATGGGTTGAAAATGGGAAGTGGCCCCCAGTGCCTGGTGGGTGCCAGCCATTCTTCTTGGCTGTGGGGGCGGCTGCCTCTGGGAAGGGCCTTAGTCACCCAGCAGCGGCTTCCGGGAACCCGGTGCCCAGTCTCTGGGAAACATCACAGGTTTTTCCAGCGGGACCCCCCCACCCTGCCCTGGGGTGGACCCCAAGGACCACGGTGCAGACACCTGCTGGGAACGGGCCAGGCTGGCTCTCCAGGGTCCCTGCTGCCCCCAGGCTGACTGCCAAGCTACCCACCGCCTCTGCCTACCCTTCGTGTGGGGCACAGAGCTTTGACCTGCACTTGCCTGGCTCCAGAGCCCTTCTTGGCTCCCAAGAACCCAGGATAAGGCCTGACACTCGGGGTTTTTGCCACCTCCATGCTGCCGACTTCTGTCACCACCCCCCTCCGTTCCTGGCCCCTGCCTCAGCCAAGCGGTCCTGGATATTCCTCCCTCTGTCCTACCCCCGAGACATCAACAGAGTCAGCCCCACCCACCCCTCCCTAGCCTGCAGGTCCCATGGCTGTCCTGTCTCTCTAGGGTGCCCCAAACATCTGGGTGAGGGGCGGCCATCCCACCAGCGCATAGCACACTCCCTGGAAGACTGGAAGATTGTAGATCTCCTGTCTAGTCCTGTTCATCCACTGAGAACTGGGGGCTCACTGAAGCCCAGGCTGGCAGGAGTCCCTCCCCGCAGCTCTGAAGCCCGCCATCCCTCTTCAGGCACTCCCTGGCCGCTGCGCCTCCCTGTGGGGTGGGTAGGGGGCTGGCCCTGGAGGCCGATGACCTGACTTTGATTCCCAGCTCGTCTGGTCCCAGCAGCCCTGAGAGCCCGCCTGTGTCCCCCTTTCATTGTCTGCACCTAATGGGGATCGTGTTTGTGCACACACCATACAGCAGTGACATCGGTTCGTATGCAAGGGGCCTGGAACAGTGTTGGGTAGATAGCAGGTGCTCCGTCTGTGCTAGCTACTGTCATGGCTACTATTGCAGTCTAGCCCAATGCTATCTTTGTGTTCTCACTCCTCCCTGGCCAGCAGCGGTGGCTGGGAGAGGGGTCCAGGAGAGCCAGCTTCCCCATGTGGGAAGAGGAATCAGGCCGGGGCTGGGCACCCTCCGTGAGAGGCACTTCTAGCCAAGGGTGCCATGCAGCCTGTGGCCCTGTCCCCTCTCCCCACGCGGCCTTCTCACCTGGATACATCTACAGCCAGAAGCACGTGTGTCTGACTCCAGAGCCCCACTCTCCCTTGCACAAGGTCTCCACCTCTGTTCCCTGACCTCGGCCCCCACGAGAACCCTGCAGACCCCCACTGTGGAGGATCTGCGCAGCGAGCCTGGTAAAGGGAGACTCAGGAGCCCAAGCTCCCACAGGCAGCGGGGTGGGGGCCGTGGGGAGCAGCAGGAGCCGTTGGTGTGAGGGAGTGGCCAGGCCCCAAAACAGTTAGTCTGTGCTGGTAGAGAGAGGCTGGGCTCAGGGTTGGGCCGAGCCAAATTCTGCAGGTCACGTGCAGCTCAGCCCAGCCCCTTCTTCTGCAGTCGCAATGCTGAAGACAGGGCACCAAGGCTCAGCCCAGTCAGTACCCACAGTCCTTGGTGTGAGGACAAGGCCAGACCAGGGCCTGGAGTCCTCCCCATTCCTAGCTTGGGGCTGTGGCTCCCAGCTCCCCAGCACAGGGGACTCCTTCTCTAACCCCATAAGGGGATGTAGATAGCAGCCCCTTTATGCTGACTGCTCACACCTCCCCAGACACCGCAGGATGCAGCCACCACGCCAAACAGGTGTTGAGTGCTCCATTTCACAGATGGGGAAACTGAGGCCCTAAGAGGGAAAGGGCAGAGGCATGGGGGCCAGGCTCTGGGTTTCCATCCCTGTCATTGCCCCCAGACTCTGCTGAATGTCCCCACCCTCAAACACAGCTTGCTGGGCTGGAGAAGACCTTGACTGCCCGAGGTCGCAGGTCTGTCCACTGCAGCCCCAGCCCTCAGCCCTGCTGGGGCAACTGCTAGAAGCCAGCACGTCCTGAAAGCGTGAGTTCGTTATTCCAGCTCATCTTCCCAGGACCTCTGCAAGGCAAGCCTGTGTTGCAGAAGAGGAAGGCAAGGCCCAGGGAGAAGAGGTGACCTGCCCAGGGTCCATGGCCAGGAACGAGTGGTATTGAGACTTGAACTTGGGTCTATCTGAGCCCAGGATCAAAGTGTGAGGAGAGTGAGGCCCAGCCATCCAAGGTCTGGTGCAGGGAGAAGCGGGAAAATGAGGCCAGGGAGCTCTGTGGGGAGGGGTCACCAGAGTGGGGCAGGGCTTGGCATCAGGGGCACCGGAGGCTGGCGTTAGCTCTGGTATCTATTGCAGCTTTTTTTGGTTACAGGGTCTCACTTTGTCACCCAGGCTGGAGTGCAGTGCTACAATCACAGTTCACTGCAGCCTCAACCTCCTGGGCTCAAACGAGCCTCCTGCCTCAGCCTCCCAAGTAGCTGGGACTACAGGTGTGCACCCTATATCCAGCTACCATTTCATTTTACTTTTTTTTTTTAGAGACAGTGTCTTGCTGTGTTGCCTAGGCTGGTTTTGAACTCCTGGCCTCAAGTGATTCTCCCACCCTGGCCTCCCAAAGCACTGCAATTATAAGCATGAGCCTCTACATCTGGCCAGTTTAGCTTTTAATAAAGGCCACAAGAGACATAAATCAGCGTGATGAGTGAGTGAGTGACTGTAAGGGTGAAGACTGTAGGTAAGGAGGTCAGGAAAAGGATCCCTGGTGGGGGTGGGGTGGGGTGATACTTCAGCGAAGATGTAAAGGACAAGAAGGAGCTGACCAAGAGTCTAGAAGGGGAAGAGTGTACCAGGCAGAGGGAGCCACCAGTGCCAAGGCCCTGTGGCGGGAATGGGTTTGGTGTATTTCAGGAACAGACAGGGACCAGATGATGTGGTTCTCAGATGCAGCCACCCCCACCATGCAGATGACCTGAATTTTGCCCCGGATCTGAGTGGGGTTGGGTTCTGTCTAGCTCCGGTCAACGGAGGATGCCCTGGATCTTGAAGTGTGTGGAGGGTTCCTGCTGCCACGGACCAATAGATGGAGGCCTGTGACTTTTCCTGGGAGGACGGGCCGGGGGAATACAGGCACTGATGGCAGCTTGACACGACCGTAGCAGATGGCTCACTCATTCCCCGCTGTGCCCCAGGCCGACCCACAGGGCCTTCTGACCCTCTGTGTGAGGCATGGAGGGTGGTCCTGGGGCAGTGGGAGGCACGCCAGCTCTCAGGACCCATTGCAGCCTGCCCTGACTGGATGCAGCCAAGCCTGTTAACAGCCTCTGAGGACTGAGAAATCCACCCTTTCTGGCACTCTCCCCAGGGAAAGTGAGCCATGGGAGGCTTGGGTGGAAAGCACTGACGAGTTTCCACTGAGCCAGGGGTGGGTGTTTCAGAGGGGAAGGGAATATAGAGGCCCAGAGGAAAACAATCTGAGCTGGCATAGAGGAGAGAAGTTGCAGTGGGTGAGGAGGCCGGGGAAGCCCTGGAAAGAAGCCCTGAGGGCAGGCGACGGCCCAGGCAGAGATGCAGGGACAGCGTGGCTGTGTCAAGCCAGAGCGGGTCCAAGGCTAAAGGGGTCCCTCGCAGCCTCTGACACACTCTCACCACCTTGCCGGGAGCAGACACAGGGCTGGCTGGCTGGGACTCTCTTGCTACTTTATCTCATTCTTCTCAGGAACGTAGCTCAGAGTCTGACCTTGGCCTTCAGCACTTTCCTATCTGAAGTGTCCATCCAAAGCGAAGCCATCCTCCAAAAGCCCAGATGAACACACCTTGACATCTGTCTCACCACCCATGACTTTTTGTAAAGACCCCAGTCTTCTCACTGCACACTCTGCTTCAAGCACATGTCTTTGTATCCCAATTCTTTTTTTTTTTTTTTAAACATGTTTTTGTAGAGGCAGGGTCTCCCTATGTTGCCCAGGTTGGTCTCGAACTCCTGACCTCAAGTTATCCTCCCATCTCAGCTTTCCAACTTGCTGGGATTATAGGCATGAGCCACCTTGCCCAGCCTCAATTCTTTATTTCTGTATAAACTGTGTAGTTTAGGTACAGATAGTATTCTTTTTGGTTTTTTCCAAAAGAAAGCATCTGCAAGCATCGCAAAGGATTCTTTTTTTTTTTTTTTTTTTTTTTGAGACGAAGTCTCGCTCTGTCGCCCAGGCTGGAGTGCAACGGTGTGATCTTGGCTCACTGCAACCTCCATCCCCCAGGTTCAAGAGATTCTCCTGCCTCAGCCTCCCCAGTAACTGGGATTACAGGCGTCTACCACCACGCCCAGCTAATTTTTGTATTTTTAGTAGAGACAAGGTTTCACCATGTTGGTCAGGCTGGTCTGGAACTCCTGACCTCAGGTGATCCACCTGCCTTGGCCTTTCAAAGTGCTGGGATTATAGGCGTGAGCCACAGTGCCTGGCTACATAGGATTCTTGGTGGAAATTTTTCCTTTGCACCTAGAAGGTGTTACCCACTAGTCTTCTGACCAGTTGCTGAGCTGACATGTCTATTGTGAGGCAAATTCCTTTGTAGTATGCATTCCTTTGTAGTATGCATTTCCTCCTGGTACTTTCAAGGTAGTATTTTTGTCTTTAATGCTTTTTAAAAATTACTTATTTATTTATTTGTTTGCTTATTTATGTATTGACAAGGTCTTGCTCTGTCACCCAGGCTGGAGTGCAGTGGCACAATCATAGCTCACTGCAGCCTCCACCTCCTGGGCTCAAGAGATCCTCCCACCTCAGCCTCCAAAGTAGCTGGGACAACAGGTGTGCGCCACCACGCCTGGCTAATTGTCAGTGGTCTTTAGTTTTACTGTGGTGTGTTTGTTCTTAATTTATCCTTCTTAGGACTCAGTGTGCATCTTCAATGTGAGGACTTCATTCCCTAGTTCTGGAAATTTCTCAACTATTAATTAGGTTTTGAGGTTTTCCAGTTTTCACCTTCTGCAATTCCTATTATATGTGTGTTAGCCCTTCTTGGCCCTTCTCATTCATATCTCCAAGAATCTTAGACTCTCATATATTCCTTGTTTTCATATCTGTGTGCTGCATGTCATGAAATTTCCTCAGATATGCTTTATATTTTTCTTATTCCCCTTTGAGCTGCAACTAATTTGCTATATTCGCTGAGCTTCTATATTATACTGCAATGAGTATTTTTTGAAGGACTCTTTGATTTCTTTTGAAATCTACTTGTTATTTTAAAATAATATTTTTATTATGTCTTCCACTCTCTTTTCTATCTTAATTATTTTAAGTATACTTATTATTATGTAAGTATACTTATTATGTAAGTATACTTATTATTATGTAGTCTTTTACAAATTGTTCTAATATCTCTAGATCTAAGATCTCCCACTGACATAGTTGCTTGCTTTTTTGCGTCATTCATGATTACTTTTTATTGTGAGCTCATCTTCATCGGGGTTAATTTTCCTGTGGATCTGTGTCTGGGCTGTGAAAGTGTCCATGCAAAGTAGCTTGGAAGTAAGTTTCTTTCATGGCTGTATATACATTTTTCTTTTTTTTTGAGATGGAGTCTCGCTCTGTCCCCCAGGGTGGAGTGCAGTGGTGCCATCTCTGCTCACTGCAACCTCCACCTCCCGTGTTCAAGCGATTCTTCTGCCTCAGCCTCCCAAGTAGCTGGGACCACAGGTGTGTGCCACCACGCACGGCTAATTTTTGTATTTTTAGTAGAGACAGGGTTTCACCACGTTGACCAGGCTGGCCTTGAACTCCTGACCTCATGATCTGCCTACCACGGCCTCCTAAAGTGCTGGGATTATGGGTGTGAGCTACTACACCCAGCCATGGCTGTATATACATTTTTATGTTAATTTCTGGATTTGGAGTTTTAGAACTATTGGACTGTGTACATTTGAATCCACACTTAACTTTTTCCTGCCATTGCCTCAGGAGGATAGAAAGCTTCACTAGCACTTCTTTTTTTTAATTTTTTATTATTTTTTTTTGAGATTGAGTGTTGCTCTGTTGTCCAGGCTGGAGTGCAGTGATGTGATCTTGGCTCATGGCAACCTCCACCTCCCAAGCTCAAGCAAGATCCTTCCACCTCTGTCTCCTGAGTAGCTGGGACTACAGGTATGTGCCACCACTCCCAGCTAATTTTTGTATTTTTTGTAGAGATGGGGTTTTGCCATGTTGCCCAGGCTGGTCTTGAACTCCTGACCTCAAATGATCCACCTGCCTCAGCCTCCCAGAGTGCTGGGATTACAGGCATGAGCCACTACGTTGGCCTTGCTACTACTTTTTTCGGATCAGCTTTACACATCCCTTTTGTACAGAGCAGCCCTTCCAGCCCTGCAGTTTATTGAAGGGGGTCGGTTCCAGCTCGCCACCTCGGGGAGTCCAGGACTCATATCCTGGCCCTGTGTTCTGCCCTGATTCTGAAGTTTTTCCCGTTCTTTCTAGCCTAAGCCCCCAACCCTGGGCCTTGTGGCTCCAAGGTGCCTCACTTACGTTCCATGATACAGCTCCTGGATCTGCTCTTGAATAAAACCTCCCAGTTTCACCATCTCCCTTCCGGTCACAAGGGTGCTCTTTCCGGCTCCAGGCTCTGCAAGGCAGTTGTGCTCAGAGCCCCAGAGCAGGCCCTACAGCACAGATCCTGCAGACGGGCACAGCCTCCACCTCCCAAGAACTCCAGGCTCTGACTCATTAGTCAACTTAGTCCATAGCTTTCTAGCAAAAAAAAAAATTGTGACGCAGGCCAACTGAGACCTAGAACTTTTTAGTCATGGAAGCCAGGGTCTTTTGGTGCACCTGGATCACTGATTCTTGACCTAGGATAGTCTTGTACTCTCAGGAGACATTTGACATGTCTGCAGACATTTCTTTTAAGAGAAGGGGTCTCACTATGTCACCCACGCTGGAGTGCAGTGGTATGATCCTAGCTCACTGCAGCCTGAACCTCCTGGGCTTAAGCGATCCTCCTGCCTCAGCCTCTTGAGTAGCTGGAACTCCAGGTGTGCCCCGCCATACCTGGCTAATACTTATATTTTTTGAAGAGAGAGGGGTCTTGCTATGTTGCCCAGGCTGGTCTCGAACTCCTGGGCTCAAGAGATCCTCCCGTCTCTGCCTCCCAAAGTGCTAAGATTACAAGCATGAACCACCGTGCCCTGGAGACATTTTTGATCATTGCAATTGGTGGTGGTGATGGGAAAATTGTTCCTGGTGTCTAGTGGATATAGGCCAGAGATGCAGCTAAATATCTTATAATGCACGGAATGGCCCTAACAACACAGAAGTATCCAACCCCAAACACCCACAGTGAGTCCTGAATCCCGAGGGGGTGAGCCCTCTGTCCGCTCTGGGTAGAGGGATAGAGAAGCTGGCTAAGGCCCTATCCCAGGGTATTCCCTGTGGGGAAGCTTGGAGCTGAGGCTGGGACTGGAGGAAGGATGTCTTTCATCAGATCTGGAGGACGCCAGATATCCTGACTGCTCCCGGCTGGCACAGGGAGCCTCATCTGAGCCCACGAGCCAGGGTGCATCCCACATCCCACCCGATCTGCCCACGAGGCCTCCCACCCGGCCCCTCCCTGGTGCAGCCCTGCACACACGCGCCAGCCACACGCACGCCTGTGTGATGTGGTGAGCAGGCCCCGTATGATGTGGGGAACGGGCGTGTGGTCGTTGGAGCAGGCCAGGCCCTCCTGGGGGCGGTGAGGACATATCTCTGGTGCCATCTTTCCTGTTCTGATAAATAACTGATCTGTGGTTGAGGCAAGAAGGTCACCTCTGCCCAGGGAAGCTCAGGAACAAACCACTTGTGACCGGTGGGAAGAGCCCGGGGGGGCAGCGGGAAGTCTGTCTTCCCTGGCCACCGGGCTGCTGGGGGCAGATTTCAGAAAAGGGAAGTGCTGAGCTGGGGCAGTGCTTCCTGTGGTCGCGGCAGGCAGGGCATCAGGGCGGGCACGGCAAATCAGAGGGGTGACTGCCCTAGCTTGGAGGGGCAAGGAGCTGGGGTCCCTGGCTGGGCCCCATGTGCTGCCAGCCTTCATGCATTGGGCTGAAGGCCTGGGGGGGATGGAGGAACATACTAGAACACCAACAGCACTGAAGCTCCCCTGCTTGGGAGTGCCCCTGGGCTCCTCTCTGCACTCAGAGTGAAGTCCCCCTGGGCTTCGTGATTTGCTCCTCAGCCTCTGCTTCTCTGGCACCTGCTCGTCAAGTTCCCTCTGCATAGGGCCCCCTTCTCCCACCAGCTCTGAGCACTGGGGTCGGTGGAGGGGGCACCCCCTGCCCCTTCCCCTCTGCTAAGCCCGGAGCCCCTGGCTTGGCTGCTCTGGGAACCCTCTTCATCCCCAAAGGAAGGCCTGAGCCCAGGAGCCTGTGAGATCCTTCCCAGGCCCTGGCGCCCCTCTGGTGGGCAGCTGTCTGTACCCCTCTTCTATACTTAGGGGGGATCTGGTGCAGGGGCTTAGGAGCAAGGGAGGTGGCCGGGCCTCTGTAGTTCCTGGAGCTCCCATTTCCTCTTCCACTAAACTCTCAGCATCACCACATGACCCAGACTGTGAACCCAGGGGAGTGCTCGGTTGGGGAGGGGAGTGGAGGGAAACCGGCTCCCTCCTGTCCCAGCCCTGAGCACCAGCACTGCGGTTCCAGCTCCCTGCAGGCACTTCCTGCCTGCTCTGGGAAAGCACAGATGGCTGCCACGCCATCACAGCCCTGGGGTTGAGCCCAGACCCCCGAACCTTGACTGTCCAGCCCTGCCAGACCCCGTCAGGATCCACATAGACCCGATGGGTTGCTCTGTCTCCTTGGCTCTGGCCGAGTCCATGGACAAGGAGCATGGCTCCATCCGCCCCGCTCAGCTCTGTGCAGCCCACAGCCCTGCCTGCCCCACCTGAGGGTTGGGGCTCTCTGGACTGGTCAGGGGTGTGTGCTGTCCCTGCCACCCTGCCCCAGCTGAGGCCTGTACCTGGCAGGGGTCGAGCCAGTAAAATCATTGTCCTGCCCTAACCCATGGTGTCTAGGCAGTATGGGCAGGGCCAGGGAGGGCCCATCCAGCCTCGCACCCCACCACTCACCGTCTTGCTCTCTCCTTTTCACTCCCTCTGTCTCCTGACCTTGGGTCACCTCTTCCCTTTCTTGCTCTCACTCAGTCCCTTCTCTCTGTTTTTCTGTTTCTTATTTTGAGACAAAATCTCACTCTGTTGCCCAGGCTGGAGTGCAGTGGCACGATCTTGGCTCACTGCAACCTCCACCTCTTGGGCTCAAGCGATTCTCCTGCCTCAGCCTCCCGAGTAGCTGGGATTACAGGTGTGCGCCACCACGCCTGGCTAATTTTGTATTTTTAGTAGAGATGGGGTTTTGCCATGTTGACCAGGCTGGTCTTGAACTCCTGACCTCAAGTAATCTGCCTGCCTCAGCCTCCCAAAGTGCTGGGATTACAGGCATGAGCCACTGTGCCTGGCCTGTTTTTCTGTTTCTCTATCACTTTAGTAAGTCCTTCTAGCCCCCAGGACCCCCCAGCCCCTCTCTGTATCTGCACACATTTGTCAGTCTGTCCCTCCACCACTGTCCTTGTTTCCTCTCTCTTCCTCGTCACCCTGCCCTGACCTGGGGGGTTTGTGTCTCTCTGTCTCTCTCCGCCTGTCTCCATCTCCCCCTTATCCTCACTCTCTCTCTGTCTGTCTCTCATTTTCATTCTCTTTCCTTTCCTCTTTCTTTTTATTTTATTTGTATGGGTCCATAGCAGGTGCATATATCTACGGGGTACATGACATACTTTAATACAGGCATGCAATGTGTCATGATCCATCAGGGTTAATGGGGTCTCCGTCCCTCAAGCATTTATCTTTTCTCTGTGTTACAAACATTCTCATCATGCTCTTTTAATTATTTTTAAATGTACAGTAAATTCTTGGTGACTGTCATCACCCTGTTGTGCTATTAAATACTGAATCTTTTTTTTAAAAAAATTATTTTAAGTTCTGGGATACATGTGCAGGACGTGCAGATTTGTTACATAGGTCAACGCGTGCCATGGTGGTTTGCTGCACAGATCAACCCATCACCTGGGTATTAAGGCCTGCATGCATCAATCCTGGATCTTAGTCATTCTACCTAACCATATTTTTGCACCCGTCGACCATTCCCGCTGCCCTCCCCTCCCTCTCTTTCTCCCCCTCTCTCATTCTCTCCCCATTTTCATTTTCTCTCTCTCTTCTCATTCTCTTTCTTCCTCTCTCTGTCTCTGCCTCTGCAATCACCCCTGGTCTTCGCCCTCCCTGTCTCTGCTCCCCGGAGTCCCTGCACGTGGCTTGACAGTGGCCTTGGTAGGACCCACTGGGGTGTTTCTTCGTCGCCCATGGGCCCTCATGCTGTTATCAGTTGGAAATGAATCAGAGATTAGGAAGCGGGGGGAGTGGTGGGGGTGTTATCGCCCAGTGCACACGGGGCTCTCAGCTAATCTCTGGCGGCCCTGGGTTCGAGAGGAAATGCAGTTGCAACACTGAGTCCTTCTTACCGTCACTGTCATGTCCGCGGCGAGGCTGTGGGGGACACGGGCAAGAGATTGGAGAGGGGAGAGGGAGAGGAGAGAGGGCCTGGCCTGAGCTCCTGGCAGGCGTTTGTACAGGCTCACGTGCACACGTGTGCACACACAGCATGTACACCTCCTGGCCCTTGACACCTGAGCCGTCGCCAGGCCTTGCCTGTCACCCTTCCATTGCCTCTGCATGCCCGCACCTGTCCACGTCTTCCCCTGCCGCCCCACGTCCCCAGCCACCATCTCTCTTCATGGGATGGCAGCTCTGGCCTCATCCAGGCTCTTAGCCAACAGAGTGGCCATATTATTATTATTATTTTATTTTATTTTATTTTTTTGAGATGGAGTCTTGCTCTGTCGCCCAGGCTGGAGTGCAGTGGTGCAGTGTCAGCTCACTGCAAGCTCCGCCTCCCAGGTTCACGCCATTCTCCTGCCTCAGCCTCCCGAGTAGCTGGGACTACAGGTGCCCGCCACCACCCCCGGCTAATTTTTTGTATTTTTAGTGGAGATGGGGTTTCACTGTGTTAGCCGGGATGGTCTCGATCTCCTGACCTCGTGATCTGCCCGCCTTGGCCTCCCAAAGTGCTGGGATTACAGGCGTGAGCCACCGTGCCCGGCCCAGAATGGTCGTATTATTAAATGACCACATGATCGGGCTGCTTTCCGAACTTCACCTTCCCACGGTTCTAGGAAGCAGCCACCATTATCATGGTGGCCTCCAGGCTTGCGTGTCTAGCTCCTGTCCTTCCTGCCCTCACCTCCCACACCCCTTGGCTTCCTAGCACCTGCAGTTCTGCCTCGACCCCTCCTCAGTGCCCCGGCTTTTGCAAATGCTCTCCCCTCTGCCTGGAAAACTCTCCTCCCCATGACAACTCCCATGCCTCCTATGGCACTCGGCTTTCCTGTCCTTCATGAAAGCATCCAGGGTCCCCGAGTGCCAAGCTGCAGCAGGTCCCTTGTCTCGGGGCTTCCACCCTCGAGGCGTGAGCTCCCCCTGTCACCATCCTGCCTAGGGATTATGGGTGTAATTCCTACTTCCTGCTCACCTCCTGCCAGACTGTGGGCCTGATGGGGCAGGGACCGAGCCCTCCAGTCTGTCTAGGGCCTGGCCGCACCAGGCAGTGATTGAATGAACAGATCCATAAACACACCGAGAGACACGGATGTACCCAGGCCCATGCACAGACACACAAATGCAGTCACCAGCCATGCACGGAAACTCACATTGACAGACGCTCAACCTCACAAACGTGCAAACCAAAGTTACCTAGAGACGCACGCAGTGACCAAGACACACACACGCCCACTGTCTTCTGTCTATGCTCTGGGCTCACTGCCTCTCATCCAGCCCTGCCCCTCGGGCAGGATCCCCTGCGGGTGTGGGCCTCCTGCACTGCAGCCCTGGCCTTAGCTCCAGGGGGCCAATCCCATGTTATGGGCCCCCAGCAGGATTCTCTGGGCCCCAGCCGTGGTCTTGCCACGTGACTACTTACAAGTGGCTTTTATGCTAAATGCACATAATAGCACATTGGCATAATATCATTGCCAATACTCACAGGTACCATGGTTCACACAGGGAGCATGGTGTGAAGCTCCTCTTACAGGGCTTGTTAGAGGAAAGTTCCAGCTCAGGCAAAGGCTTGGGGTGGAGCGGACAAAGCTACAGTTTGGCCTTTTCCTCAGCAGCGTCCTGCTTCTAGAATCACCACTAAAGTTAACCCAGGCGAGGGGTTCTCTCCCAGCCTCCAGGAGGCTCCAGCTGGAGGCAAACCGCCGGTCTGGGAGAGGTACAGTGGCCAGGGAGAGGAAGGGTTTCAGGGTGGTGTGGGTGGTAGGGGCTGAAGGCAGGGGCAGCAGGGCAGGGCCTGGAGGCCAGCAGCACAGAGGGTCCCCACCTGGCTTCATTTTGGGGGAGGGGGCTGGGCAGGGTATCTGGCGGAGGAAGCAAGAAGGGGTGGCCTCAGAGACTGGCTTGCGGAGATGGGGCTGCATTCCCTGTGGAAGGGAGTGGGCCTTCACGGCTTCAAGGCCGTTTGTCACCTAAAGCAGCTACGGGCATCTTCTCTCTTCCCTCTTTCTTTTTAGAGACAGTGTCTCACTCTGTCTCCCAGGCTGGAGTGCTGGGGTGCGATCATAGCTCACCGCAGCTGCAAACTGCCGGGCTCAAGTGATCCTCCCACCTCAGCCTCCTGAGTAGCTGAGACTACAGGTGGGCACCACCATGCCCAGCCAATTTCTGTATTTTTTGTAGAGATGGCTGTGTTGCCCAGGCTAGTCTCAAAGTCCTGGCCTTAAGCAATTCTCCTGCCTCAGCCTCTTAAAGCACTGGTATTAGAAGAGTGAGCCATGGCGCCCTGCCTCTCTTAAAGATGGCTTTAACCATCACTTACAGCACAGCTGCATCCCTCCTTGGCGGGGTGGGGGAGATTCTTTCCCACCTCTCTGAGTGTCCCCATCTGGGTCCTTGCTCAGTGAGAGCCAGACTTTCTGCTATAACCAGGCCCTGAATGAGAGAGAACCAGAGTCATGTGCTGTGCACCAAATGCAGTGGGAAGACACGAGGGATGCCTCGGTGACCTTCTTTTCAAACAGGAGTCTTTCCCTGGTAACCTGCCTCTGACCTTCCATCAGCCAGATGTTATCTTCCCAAGGCAACAGTGTTCCAGAATTCTTTCTGAGGTGGCCCTGGCAGCTTCTGGGTCCTTCTATTCTGATTTCCAGTTTTCTTTTTCCATTTATTTATTTATTTATTTATTTATTTATTTATTTATTAATTATAGGGTCTTGCTTTGTTGCCCAGGCTGGAGTGCAGTGGCACGAACACAGCTCACTGCAGCCTCAAACTCCTGGGCTCCAGTGATCCTCCCGCCCCAGCCTCCTGTGTAGCTGGGACTACGGGCATGCACCACCATGCCTGGCTAACTTTTTATAGAGATGGGGTCTCACTATGTTGCCCAAGCTGGTCTCAAACTAGCAGACTCAGTGATTCTCCTGCCTCAGCTTTCTGAGTAGCTGGGACCACAGGTGAGCACCATTATGCCTGGCTAATTTTTTATAGAGATAGGGTCTCACTATGTTGCCCAAGCTGGCCTCAGACTAGTGGGATCAAGTGATCCTCCCACCTCAGCCTCCTGAGTAGCTGGAATTACAGGCATGTGTCACCATACTGGGCTAGTATTTGTATTTTTTGTAGAGACAGGGTCTTGCTATGTTGCCCACGTTGTGCTTGAACTCCTGGGCTCAAGCGATCCTCCCACCTTGGCCTCCCAAAGTGTTGGGATTACAGGCGTGAGCCACTGCACCCGGCTCCAGGTGCAGTGGAGCCGGCCCAGGCCTCACCCTTTCTCCAGACCTCACATTCCCAGGCTCGTTGAAGGGAGCAGGGTGCTTCAGGCAAACTTGGGGCTCGGGTCTCCAGGCACTTGGGGTTTTCTCCTCCCCCGGCGCTGGCAGCTGGCCTGGCTTCTCTCGGCTGGAGATGCTGAAGACTCCTCGGCTGGTCTGAGAAGCATGAGAACAGAGCTGGGAAAACTGGCCGTTTTTGTGGTTTGGGGGTTTGATGCAAGTTTCACAACTGATCTCCCAAGAACACGGTCGGTCCGGTCAGATGCGCTCCCTGGCCAGGGGCCTGCTTCCCTGCTGACGCCGGTGCTGACCGCCCGAGGCGGGGGCTCCACTCGCCCTCCCCACCCCATTCCCCGCTTTCCTTCTTTAGGGAACAGCCTGGAGGTGTGGAGAAGATGGCTTTGTTTTGGGGGCTTTCGTGGTTTCCACCTCATCCTTCAGCCTGGGGAGAGCTGACGGCCTGGTACCCCTCACTCTCATCCTGGAGTTTTTCTCAGACACCTCTGGGCAGCTGTTCTTAAAGCTTTCATTTTGAGGGGACAGTGGGCCAAGGACGTCTTTTGTAGTGATAATCTTGGGCCGGGGCTGATGAGTGGGAAGTCTTAGAAAGACCTGCTCTAGGGCTCCGGGAGAGATGAGGGCCGCCAGGGAGGCACACACCTCCGTAGCCAGCCCACTCCAGGAACCCAGAGCTGCCTCCCCGGCAGACAGCTGGGCTGGGGAGGGGGTCCTCAAGACCTGGCCCTGCCTCCAAGTAGCCTGGCCCCCGGACCTATCCTTCCACCCTGGGAAGTCCCGAGCTGCCTCAGGCCAGCTGGGGCAGAACTGAAATTGGTGACATGTGCCTCTCTGGTCCCTTGACTCCCGCCCCCGCTCCCTCACCCCCAGAGTCTTCCTGAAGGAGCCTCCAGACCCAGCGAGGAGCCACAGGCAATGCCCACCCTGAGTGGGAGCTGCTGTCCTGCCTTCCACGTGGCCCCAGCCTAGCTCGCCCTTGCGTGAACTGGGAGCTGCCCCACTTCCGGAGGTTGGTGCGTGGTTCTAGATCCTGTCGTCCCTCCGCTTGGGGGCACAACGGGCTGGGACCCATGCACGTTTCTCAGACACTCCATCTCTCATCTCACAGAGCAGGAGGGGTCTGCAAAGGGCAGGCTGGTCAGGACACAGTGTGAGGCAGGGGGCCCCGGGGAACAGAGTCCAGGCTCCACCTCTGCTGAGCAGGCAGTCCTGAGTGTTGTTACCAAGTTTGGGTGAGGGCCTGGGACCCTGTCACATCACAGCTGGGGAAACGGCCAGGGCTGGGACTCAGTGGCGAACAGCAGAACCCAACAGGCGGCCGCACAGACTCACGACCAGGGGGCTCGGTCAGAGGTGGGGACAGAGGGTGACCTGGACTTGCTGAGTCAAGGAGTCAGGCCAGCGCTGCGGAGAATCCCACAGGGCTACGCTTGGGGGCCAAGGAGAGGCACGTGGCCAGGCACATCTGGGTGGACAGAGGGGTTCCAGCCACTCACAGAGCCCTCTCAGTCAGAGCCAGATAAGCCTGGGCAACTGAGCCACTCAGGCAGGGAGCGGGCGGGCATCTGAGGTCCCCAGGGAGTCTGCCCTCCTGGTGGGCACAGCTGGGCCCAGATGAGGCCCACAGCATTGGGACTGGGCAGAGACACCCAGACATGGCTGCTGCTGTGGGCCCCAGGAAGGCCCCATATTTGGGGTGCATCTGCCGGGTGCCTGCGTCCCCTTCCCGTTCCCTATCCCTGTGCCCCCCTCCCAGCTTCCTGTTTCTGTTTTGGGGCTGCAGGAACTTCCTCTTCTCATCACGGACCAAAATGGCTTCTTGGTCTCAGCTGAAGGCCTGGCGGGGGGCTGGTCACCCCAGCCTGAAGGACAGCCACAGAGCGAGGGGGGCTCCGAGCCTCTGGGGGCGGTGACATCTGCCAAAGGGTGAACTGTGGCCCTTTCCCAAGAGACTCCCACAGCTCCTCCGATGGAGCCTGTCATGTGAGCACCTGCCCAGGCCACGGAGGGCCTGGGTCCTGCTGGAGTGACCCTAAACGGCCCCCTTGTGCCCTTCCCGCCTCACGCAAGGGACCCAAAATATGGATTGCCTGGTCTCCCCTTCCTCCTGCTCCCTCCCAGGCACATGGTGCAGACACTTACGGGCACCGTGTTGGCCTATGTGTGTGGATGAGCAAATACACACACACGGGGTAGGGGGGTGCCCTGAGCCTGTGACCCCCTGAGCCGGTGACCCCTGCCTGCCAGGGAGCAGAGCTGCAGATTCCTGGATGCCGAGGGAATAGAAGGCCTGGCCCGGCCTGGGCAGTACATGGTGAGGGTGTGTGTGTGTGTGTGTGTGTGTGTGTGTGTGTCTGGGTGAGTGTGCCTCTACGCATGTCTAGGGGGCACCATCCTTTTCCTCCCACTCCCCCTGCCCCCTTCCCCTGAGCAGAGCTGCTCCCTTAAATAAAGCTGAGCTGTGCCCTTTGGAGCCCCTGGGCCCTCGAGGGAGTGCAGGGTGACAGAGTGGGCTCCCCTTACTCCTGGGACTCCTCACTCAGGGGGAGCCTGTGGTGGGTGTTGGGGGAGGGCGTAGGAGGTGGGCACACGCCAGGGAGGGCACACAGGATGGTGGCCCCTGATCCCCTGGAGTTGTGATGCCCACAGGAGGGGTGCTTTACCAGGCTTGGGCACCCCAGGAACATCCTGGCCTTGGGATGGGGTGTGGGGGTAAATGGGGGACGGTGCTGAGAGGCCGAGCCCCGGTCTACCTCCCTGCCCATCCAGGGGTCCCGGGATGGAGTTGAGGAGCCAGATGCATCCTCTGGGGGGTTGTGGCCTGGGTCAAGGTCAGGACAGCGCCAGGGAAACTCCTGCTACCAGCTGCCCCTAGCCCCAGGCTGCCGCTGCTGTCCAGAATTCACCCAGCGTTCACTCCATGCCAGGCACCAACACGGACAGCTCCTTTAATGCCCGATGTCCATCCTTGTCACGGACAGGTGAGTACCCTGTGGCCAAATGGGCAGGAGGTTGTGGAGCCTGGCACCCACACTGCAGAGATGCCGAACTCTGGCCAGCGGCCTCCCTCCCCAAGGCCCGCTCCATGGGGAGACAGTGAGGGGAACCCACAAAGCCTGGGGTCACTGGGTCCCCCTAGCTGGCACCTAGCTTGTGCCCCCATTAGCACAGAGAGGAGGCGGTAAAACAAACACTCCCGACTGTTTACCCCAACATCTCGGGGCCATAATTAAGCTTCCTTCAATCGGGCCCTTATCAGCCCGGTATCTTGAGCAGCCTCTGACGGGGAAACATCCCGGAGCATCTAACGAAGGAAAGTTGGACGCCTTTTGAGACTTTTTAAATCCTGAAGAATAGGCCTCTGTTGCCAGCTACCCGCCTGTGGCAGCCTGCCTCATCTCTGGACTCTGCCGGCTGCCCCAGGGGCAGGGGCAGGACCAGGCGGCCCCAGCCCTGGCACCCCAGCCCTGCTGGGATGAGCCCCCAGGCCCTGCCCACCATCTGGCTCCTCCAATTGCAGTGTCCCTGCTGGCCAGCGGTGGGGTCCTGAAGGCACCCCCTCTTCTGCCCTCAATGCCCCACCTCACCCTGCCAGATGCCAATATCTGCCTTCGGCAGGCACCCTTGCCAGCCTGGGCCAAACCCAGGTGGTGGGTGGGGCTGGTGATGAAGGGTGAGCTCTCATTGCCCACAGCCCCCCATCACCTGGTTCTACAAGTTCCCCACCAACCAGGTCCAGACCTGCCACTCTCAGCCTCTGAGCTTTGCTGAAGCTGTTCTCTCCACTTGCAAGGCTTGTCCCTGCTCCTTCCTCCTGGATAATTTCTGCTTATATTTTAAGACTTAGCTTCCAGATGTGGCGGTTCATGCCTGTAATCCCAGAATTTTGGGAGGCTGCATTGGGAGGATTGCTGGAGCCCAGGAGTTCAAGACTGGCCTGGGCAACATAGTGAGACCCTATCTCTACAAAAAATTAAAAAATAAGCTGGGTATGGTGGTGCATGCCTGTAGTCCTAGCTACTAGGGAGGTGGAGGTGGGAGGACTGTTTGAGCCCAGGGGTTCAAGGCTGCAGTGAGCCACTGCACTCCAGCCTGGCCAACAGAGAGAGACTCTGTCTTTTAAAAATTAAAAGAAGACTTAGTTTGAGTATCACTCCCTCTGGGAGCCATCTGTGCATTCCAGGTCAGGCTCCTGTCTCTCCTCTGTGCCCCTCCAACTTCATGGTCTCCATGCCCCAACTCCGTGTGTGTCCCTTGGGGGGCAGACCTTGGGTATCAGGCCAGCCCTCTACCAGGCCCAGAGCAGCCTCTACAAGTGCTCAGCTTCTGTGTATTGGAGTTAAGAAAGCATGACCTGGGGATACCCATGCCGCCCAGCAGCCGACGGTAAACCTGGAGTCCTCACCGCCATGCTCTGAGGGAGGTTCTGTTCACTCCACATCATAAACCGGAAACAGCGCTGGAGCAGAGGCGACAGCTGGGTGCATGGTGGCTGGAGAGCCTAGGATACCAGGCAACAAACCTTTTCTGCAAAGGGCCAGATGGTAAACATTTTAGGCTTTGTGGACCGGACAGTCACTGCTATAGCTTTTCAACTGCTTTTGCAGGGCAAAATCAGCCATAAATGAATGGGTGTGGCTGTGTTCCAATAAAACTTTATTTATAGACACTGAAACGTGAATTTCATATCATTTTCATGTGTCATGAAATCTTCTTTAGATTGTTTTCCAATCTGGTGGCAGGCTGTATTTGGCCTGGGGACTGTAATGGGCTGATTCCTGGTGCAGGGTGAGAATTAAATATGTTTTCCCACCTGGTTCAGGGCCAGCCTGGTCAGTCCTCCCTCAGGGCCCAGCAGCTGCTCGGAGGAGGAAGCAGAGTCACTCCATCTCCAGCCCAAGTGGAGGACACAAATGAGTGAACAAACTCACCTACTATCTAACCAACTAACCAGTTAACTAAGCCCTTATCTCCTGGATTCAGAGTTACCCCCGCCTCCTCTCTGTTTTTCTGTTTTTTTTTTTGTTTGTTTGTTTGTTTGTTTTTGAAGACGGGGTCTAACTGTGTTGCTGAGGCTGGAGTGCAGTGGCACGATCATGGCTTACTACACCCTGAGCTCATGTGATCCTCCTGCCTCGGCCTCCCAGAAAGGTGGGATTACAGGCATGAGACACTGTGCCCAGTCCTGTGGGCTTCTTTAGACCCGACTGACCCCTTGTTGTCTGACCTATCTCTTTGACCCCTGGCCAGGTATCTTTTCACCCCCTCAACCTGCCCAAGGTGGTGGGAACCTCAAGAGAAGCCCATTGAGCGCCTGAAAGCTGCCGACGACCACTCACTACTGATGTGGTGTGGCCTGGCCTACAGCCTGGTACAGGCTAGCAGAGGAGATGTGTACAGCCTCAGGGCTGTGTGTGATGGGGAAGGGGGCTTTGGGACTGGGAGGGGTGTCTGGCTGCACCTGGAGAAGGGGAGGGAATGGCCAGGCAGACAGAGGAGACATTCCAGGCAGTGGAATGTCCTAGACAAAGGTGCGGAAGCGGGAGCTGGCGGAGTGCGGGGTCCCTGTAAATCCAGGACACTAAACGCAAGGGGCTTCTCGCCTTGTAGGGCCAAAAGCCAGGGCAGAGCTAAGCCCACCAGGAGCAAAGGCTGTGGCCCTACATCCCTATCCTAGCACTGACCCATGCAACTGGACCTGCCTATGTGGTATGGGTCAGGAGGACGCCAGGAGGCCCCCACATCCCCCTCCTAGATTGCCGAAACATGAATTTCATATGATTTTCATGTGTCACAAAACACTATTATTCTTCAGATTATTTTTTCCAAAAAATCTGGGCAGGGCATGGATGATGGGCAGGCCGGACATGTGGCCATTCCTATTTCCGACCTGCATTTGGGTTCTTCAGCATTGCCCTCTCTCGGTCATTCATTCACTCTACAAACACTGGTCCTTGGTGCCAACAACCTGCCAGATAAACCCCTTCCAGGATGCGAATGAGACAGACACGGTCCTTGCCCTTGTGGAACTGACAATCCAGCAGGGATGACTGACAGGTACAGTGCCATTTCAGAGCACGAGAGGTGCCCGCAATACTATGCATCTGGGCAGTGACCAGGGGTGGCTTCAGGAAGGCCTCCCCGATGAGGAAAAAGACCAGCCAAGGAAGACTCAGCAGGAGCTGCCATGTGATGTCCTGGGGGCAGGAGGCAGCTGTTTGAGGGACAGAAAGGAACCGCCACAGCCAAGGGAGGTGCAGAGTACGGAGGTCTGTGGCAGGTGGGTGGCCAGGAGGGCCTCACAGAATTCATGGGGTGGCTGCAAGCAGAAGAGGCTGGAAAGGCTTTGGGGGCTGGGCCAGGAACACGATCTGATTGACTTTTGCAAGGATCCCTGGCTGCTGTTGAGAGGTGGAGGGCAGGACCTGCAGGGCGGGAGGCCGGTGCTCCTGGGAGGCTGCCGTGTGGATAAGAGTCGGGGGCCAAGTCTCCCGCTGGAGCAGCATGGAAGGCTGGGCCGGACGTGGGCGGTGGGCAGGCCCCAGGACTGCTGCTCTTGGCCTGGCTCTGGCGTTGGCTTAGCGTGCAGCCGCGGGGGAGCCGTGTGTGGGCACGTCCCTGTGCTGCCGCCCCCGCTGCCCCAGAGACACAGCCATAGGCAGGCTGGCTCCCCTGGGCCTGGCTCACACGTGGTGGAGGTGATCAGGGATGACGAGGCGGGTCGCAGGGTGGCAGGGACCTACAGGGCCCCAAGGCCAGCCCGGGGGACAGAGGACTCCCTTGCCAGGTCCTTGTTCATTCATCCCCCCCCTTTGTATGGTGAGACCACTGGGAGCCAGACACAGCCCTGCCCCAGGGGCCATGGGGAAACGAGTGTCTGTCTCTGGTCCGGGGCCAACCTCAAGGTGGGTGTCCTCTCCTGCAGCAGGGCCACGGGCACCTTCCGGCTCCAGCCCCAGCCCAGCCAGGCTCTGAGGGAGCCTGAGGCTGCCTCTCCTCCTCCAGGTTCCTGTTTCCCGGGTGGCCCCAAAGACAGAAGATGGTGTGAGGTTCAAGGGCTCAGTCCCAGGCTCGGATTTCCTGGGCGTGTCAGATTTCCTGGGCGCTGTGTGGCTGGTGTCTGCCAGGGAGGCCACTGAATAACGTGAAGACCACTGGGAAAGCATAGCAGAGTGTGCAGTGGCTGAGTCTGTGTGTGTGTGTGTGTGTGTGTGCGTGCGTGTGTCTGTGTGGGTGTGGGGTGTGACTCACACAGGCCTGGGCTTCATGATGTCTCTTGGGAGCAGGAAGGTCTGTGTGAGTCTGTGTCTGTCTGTGTGTGCATGTGTGTGTGTACCCGTGTGACTACAAGCATGTGTATGAGTGCACACAGTTGGTGCAGGTGTACCTATGTGTCTGTGCACATGTGTGTGCATGTCTGTGAGCGTGTGTGCATGTGGTTATGAGTGTGTCTGTGGGTACGCATGTGACTGTAGTGTGTGTGACTGTGTGTGTGCACGTGTGTGTGTGTGGACACAGCCCTCTCTGGCCTGCACTCCTGGAGCCTGTTTTCCTGCTCCACCTCCCTCCTCGGCAAGTGTTGACTCAGGGAGGGATAGGCAGCCTTGGTTCAGGATTTCCTGGTCAGGCAGAAGTGGTGCCTTGAAAAGGGAACAATCTCGTGCTAAAGTGGACGCTGAGGGTCCACACAGTGCAGTGCTCTAGGGTGCCCAAGGCCGAGAGACCTTGTGCCTTCCTTGCCTGGGTTTACAGTGGGGGTCCCAGAAAGCTTTGCCCCTAGGGTGGCCCATAGGATGTGCCCTCAGGCTTTTTCTAAATGCTTCCTGATCTGGGCTGCCCGGGGTGGGGGCTCTGGAGCTGGACACTCCTCTGACTGCTGTGGAGGCAGGGACAGCACCCCCACAAGAGGTACCCCAAGAGAAATGGGGGCCCCCAATGTCCCCAGGCACTAGCTGTCCCAGGTTCCCTTCCACAGTGGGCAGCTTTACCCCTGCACCGCCCCATCCCCCAAAGCCTTAACAAATAAAAATGAAGCTCTTTGAGGCTAAGAGTCTATTCAAGCTCCAAGAGCTCTCTGCCATGTTGGGAGGAGCCTTCTAGAAGCGCTGCTTCTCTCAGGGGCTGGGAGGGCTGGCCTCACTGGGTACGCCTGAGAGATGCAGCATCTTAGTCGGCACCCATCTGCCGCGTCCACATCTGGGCTGTACCAAGGTCCCCCAGAGGCGCCACTGTCCCTGAGAGACGCTGAGTGAGCCCAGGGCCCAAGGACAGCAGCCACTTACTGTGCAAATGCCGGACCTTCCCTGTCCCCACCACCTGGATTCCTCCCGGGGTGGCCCTGGGTCTTGGGTCAGGCAGGGAGGCTGAGTGGGGTGGGCAGCCAGCACAGCCACCATGTCCTTGTCCCCCTGCCCCACAGGGGCTGCCTTCTCCAGCTGGAGGTTCAGGCCTAATCCCCAGGACAAAACAGGGATTTGCATCCTAAAAGCTGCTAATGCGGGTGCTGCTCCTCTGTCAGTGCCCGCTTATCGTAGAGGAAAGACACTGTCCCTGGGGCGTTGGGAGCCGCTGGTCTCAGCTGGTTCTAGGGATGATGGAGACACAGCTGGGTGGCATGGAGCTCAGCTATCCTTGAGCTGGGTCAGCCCAAGCAGGAACCCCAAGGGGGCCCCCGAGAACCTCTAGCCCAGACCCCTGGACTCAGGCCTAGGTGCCTGTCCCACTGTAGACACCACCCCAGCCCTGCGTGCTGCCACCAAACCTGTCCCCTGCCAGTGATGTGGGCACCCCTGACCCCTTGCACCCACTGGGACTCTTCTCCTGCACAAGGTCCCTGTCCCCACTGCTGCTTCTGCCCTGTCCCCTCCCTGCTGGGTGTGACACCCAGAAACCGGGCTGTGGGAGGCAAACATGGAGCTGGCTTGGAGAGCTTTAGACCCCCTTTCTTGCCTTGGGGACCCCGGGATCCTGGCATAGGCCTGCCCTGAGTGGGGAAAGACGATGTCAGAGTCCCTGGGACTGCAGAGAACGCGGTGTCCTCCGAAGCATGCCTGGGTCCCCCTGATCAGGGTGGCAGCAGGGGGCAGTGCCTGGGCTTTGGGTGCTGGCCCCCACCACGCTGAGCGGCCACGAGCAGGGCTGGCCGGGCCGCCATTAATGATTAACTTGGGGCCTGGGCCTTGACCTCGTGGGCCTCTGAGTAAACAGGCCTGCTGGAGCCTGCCGGGCCCCTCATGGCCTCTCCACCCCCTGACCTCTCCTGCCCTCCTGGTCCTGGCCTCCCTCACCCACCTTTGCTGCTGAGGTGGAGCAGTGGCAGGCGGTCTAGAGGCGCTGGCCTTTCTCACCCCCACCCTGGATCAGCCTACCGCTGATTCCTGCCCCTGGCCCCAGCCCATTCTCTTTGGAGCCTTTGAGGTGGGCTTTTCTTCTTGGACTGGGGCTTGCCCACTGGGGTGTCTCAAGCCCTGACCTCAGCCCCTTGCGTCCACACTGCTGGGGCTTGTTGAGACTGGCCGCGTGGAGCATGCTGTGTAGACAGTCAGGACCGGCTGTCAGAAGACCTGTGTTCTAGCTCCAGCTCTGGTCTCACTGGCTGTGTGACCCCTAGACCATGCCCTGTCTCTCTGGGCCTCAGTTTCCCCATCTGCACAATAAAAAATAGAGCAGGAATCCCAGGGCTTTCTAATCCCAGAATTCTAGATGCCAGTCTGGTTTGGAGTGAGACTGAGGATAGGAAAAACATATGTCCCCACCCCGCCCCAGAGGACCCCTTCCCGAAGAGTCACTGGGGTGGACCTCCAAGTTCCTGGCTGCCCACACTCACTTCCTTCTTCTGGGGCAGCCCCTTGTGTTCCCTTGGAGGACCAGCCCTCAAGCTCTCAGACCAGGGGCTTCAGGCAGGGCAGCCCCTGCCTGGGGCTCTGGAAGTGGGTCATATGACCTGGGCCTGGCCAATGGGTGTCTGCCCTGAGACTTTTGCTGGAAATACTGAGAAAAAAAAATCATTTTTTCTTCCCTAGCAAAGCAGGAGAATGTGAGCCCCATGGTTATCTTGCTGGGCACAAAGGAAAGGAGAGCTGAGGACCCGACACGGGTTTTGACGACGGAGCCCCAGCTGTGCCCGAACCGGCACCTTGTGGACTTTTCCATGGCAAGAACCAGTGGATTCCTTTTCTGCTCAAACCAGTGAGAGTTGGGTCTCTTCCCTGATTCACACATTCACACACTGGACTCACACCATGCAGGCACAGAGGCTACAAATGCACAGTTGTCACCGTTACACACGCACCGCGAAACATCTGTGGAGAAAATGTGCGTGACAAACAGGGCTGGGGAGGGAACCCGGCTGGCCGCAGTGAGCAAGGGTGGCAGGGGGTGGGAGAATGTGGGCCCAGGGTGCCGACCCAAGCTCTCTCCCTGTCACTTCACCCGCCATTTGCCCATCATCCCCACGTCCAGAACCCTCAGCCGGCCATTGTGGATGATGGGCGAATGGCGGCTGAGGTGGGCAGGCTGAAGCTGATTGGCCAGGGACAGAGGTGAATGCTCCTGTTTGCACGTGTGCGTGTGTTCACATGCACGCTGAGCTTTGCATGCAAGAAACATGCTGTGGCCCACTCGGGGAGCACTTTCAGTCCCTCCCCACTGCAGAGGCCTGAAGCTCAGTGAGTCGGGGAGGGGTCTCTGGTCAGTCGGGCCCTCCTCCACCCTGGGACTGTGTGGTTCCTGGGAGCTCAAGGGCCACCTGGGTGGGGGCAACCCGAGGAGAAGGGACTGCCTCTTCTGCTCCACTGTGGGATAGAAGGATCACCAGGGCCTTCTGCAGGAGCAGAGAATCCGCCTCATTTGGGCCTCCCCAGTTCTCCAAGGAGTGCTGGCCTCATGGGGCTATACTGGGGGAGAGGCTTTGTTCTGGAGCCCAGGCTGCCTTTATGACACTGGGTAGTCCAGGGTCCTAGATGCAGATGGCTTCAGGCATATTGCACATACCACATGCACACGCAGACACGCACACAGATGCATATGGGCACACGCAGGCACAGCTATCTTGTGTGAGCTCTGCGGATGGAAAAGGAGAAGCTTTCTGTGGACAGGGAACAATGGCGACAGAGGAACCCCTTGGCCCTCCTGGGAAGGCCCCACCCCACAGCTTGGCTCTTGCCAGGCCCCTTGGGCTCTAGCCTGGGGAAGGGCTCTCAGCCAGCAGCAGGAATAGCTGGATCAGGTGTCTGGAGATAACCCTGGCTCCCTGCTGCTGGCTAAAAGCCCTTCCCCCAAAGCTCTGTCTTCCCCTCCTGCTCCTCTTCCTCTCCGTGCCTTGCTTTTGGACTTTCAGGCCACATCACATTCCTTTTTCTTTTCTTTTCTTTTTTTCTTTCTTTTTTTCTTTTTTTTGTAGAGATGGGGTCTTGCTATGTTGCCCAGGCTGACCTCCAACCCCTGGCCTCAAGGGATCCTCCTGCCTCAGCCTTCTAAAGTGCTGGGATGACTCTGACTCTTTCTCTGCTTCCTCCTGTCTCTGTTGGTCCCAGTTTCTGTCTCTCTAGGGGGGCATCCCAGGAGAGGGGCAAGGTTCAGGCCTCAGGGCTTAAGCCCCTTGGCTGCTGGGCCAGGCCTTCCTCTTTCTGCTGTCTGTCCCCTGCCCTGCTTCCTTACTCTGGCCAGAGCCGACTTGCCCTTTGCCCTGGAGCTGCGGCACCTCGGGGTTGGGGGAACTGATGGCCTCACCTCCCCCACCCCCTGCAGCCCCTGCTCCTCCCCACAGGAGTCTGGCCAGAGAGTTGGGCCCTGGGGAGGCCACACAGCCAGGACACATGTCCTGGCCCCAGGCAGAACCCTTGCCCTGGCCACAGAGCCACACCAGCCAGGTCAACTCTGTCCTCTGAAATCCCTGGAGACCAGGGCAAGCCCCCCCCACCCACTCCCTGGGGCAGCTTCGGACTCCCACTCACCTCCAGGTTGGGAAAACTGACCCCCAGCCCAGGGCAGGAGGCAGGATGTGGAAGGGCCTCTAGCAGAGCTGAGGTCCAGCCGGCCATGTCGGGGGAAGGACGACCCTGTACCCTGTCATTCCCCTCACAGTGTGAGGCCCCAGGGAATAACCTGCCCTGGCAGGGGACTGAGAAGCAGGAGCAGTTTCCCAGCTCTGGAGCATGCTGGGTGGGAGCAGGCACGGGGCGTCTCTGGGGGTGGGGAGCAGCCCCTCCTTGCCTAGGCAGTCACTTTCTGGGGGCCAGCACTTCCCACACTCTCTTTTTTTTTTTTGAGACAGAGTCTCACTTTGTCACCCAGGCTGGAGTGCAGTGGCACGACCTCGGCTCGCTGCAACTTCCACCTCCTGGGTTCAAGCAATTCTCCAGCCTCAGCCTCCCAAGTAGCTAGGATTACAGGCGTGTGCCACCACACCCAGCTAATTTTTTGTATTTTTAGTAGAGATGGGGGTTCCCCATGTTGGCCAGGCTGGTCTCGAATTCCTGTTGATTCTCGAATTCCTGGTGATCCACCTGCCTTGACCTCCCAAAGTGCTGGGATTACAGGTGTGGGGCATCACGTCCGGCACTTCCCATGCTCTCAGAGCATTCACTGCTGCTGTCCAGGTCAGAGTCTGCCAGTGCCCTCCTCCAGGAAGCCCACCTGGGCTGGACCAGAAGAGGCAGGAGCCTGAAGCAGCCGGCCTTCCTCCCCACCACACACCGGGACCGGGGCTTCCCCTCGCCACACTGATTAGGCTGGAAGTGGGGGGCTTCCAGCTTCCCACTTCTGGAAGACCCCACCTGCACCCAGCCTGCCTGGGGCTCAGGGCTGCATTGAAAATGCCTGACTTTCCACCCCAGAGTCCAGGGCAAGGCACAGCTTCTGATAACCCCTGGGCTGATGTTTGAGCAAGGCCCCTGGGAAAAAGTCCTCAGGCCTTACTGAGCCCAGTGCTGCCGCTGTTGCTACAGCAGACAACCTGGGGCAACGTCTCCGGAAGCTGGAGAACGGGCAGGTGGGGCAGCCACAAAGAGGGCTCCAGCGGTGTCGGCTGCCTCGGTGTGCGGTTCACTGTGGCTGTGTCCACCTGCTGCCTTCCTCTCTGGGCACTTCCACTGATATCTGGGAGGAGGCCACCTCCAGGGGTTGTGAGCACTCAAATGAGACAATGTGGGCAAGTGCCTGGCCTGCTGCTTGGCGCACACTGAACCCTCAATGAATGCAGCCATCAGCCCTGCTCAGGCTGGCAGGGTTGTGAGGACTGGAGGATCCAGGTCATCTCTGCAGACCAGGGCAAGGCCTACTGCTGGACAAGGGGAAGGCTTGGGACTAAATCTCTGCCTTCCTGGCCCCCAGAGTCCACAAGGCACAAATGTGCACTTGCACGCCCCCCCCAACACACATACACACACACATACACACACACACATACACATACACACACACACATACACATACACACACACACACACACACACACACATACACACATACATACACATACACACACACACATACACACACACACACCTGGCTTGGCTTCCCATTACCCAGCCACCTGCTGGAAAACCAAGAGCTGTCTCTTGAAAAGGATGATTAAGAACCAGCCTTGACTACTCAAACTGAAACTCCAAACCCTCCTCTGGGGTACCCAGCTCCTCTGGAGCCTGTGGGCGAAAAGCTCTTACCATAGTGGAAAAAATATTCTGCCGAAACGGAAGTCTTCCTCAATTTAGCTGAGTCATTTTCTTGTGGTTAAGGAAGTCCGGGTTACCTCTGGCCCTTCCCCTGATGCCCATGGCCTAGCCAGCTTGGGGGACCCCAGTCCACACTCCCGCCCTGGCAGGGGGCATGCCCATCCCGGCAAACCTGCAGGGCCCTTGATTGTAAGTCACCCCACTCACCCCGGGCTGCTTCTCACCACTGTTTCCTGTGCTGAAGTGGGAGTCCAGACCCCCAAGAACCAGGATCCAGGGTCACTGATCACCAGGTCACCAGGGGCAGCTCCTACAGGCCTGGGGTCTGCCTGCGCTTCCTGTCGGGGATGGTGGCCCCTTGAGGATAGAGGCCTCCTGTGGATTGACACTCTGCTCCTGTGTCCCCAGCTTGGGCAGCTCTTAGCACGAGGTCGGTATCAGGAGCCCAGTCTCCCAGCATTCAGCAGCTCACAGATCCCCCAAGGAGCCGGTAGCTTGGAATGAGTTCCTAGTGGATGGGCAGTGGAGGGGCTGGGTGCCAGGCCCTGCTTAGATCTCAGACCCAGTTGGGCTCATGGCAACCAGGGATGGAACCTGTTTCATTCTGGATCCTAGGAGTCTGAGCCTGCAGGCCAAGGCACCTGGCCCAGGTGTGGCAGAGCCTTGCCCAGTCGGGGCTCTGGCTGGAGGGAGGCTGGTGCTGGTGGGTGCCCCACCCTGGCTGCAGGTGGCTGCCTCCTCCCCGGGAGACCTTTTGGAAGGTGCCAGAGGCTGTTGTGGGGGAAGGCGGAGAGATGACGGGGCGGGCCACCTGAGTGCCGTGGGGAGAGCCTTGAAGGTGCCAAGTGGTGCCAGTTGCAGGTGGGGCGTGGAGGCCAGCTCTGTGGGCGCTGGGTCCTTCCCCTGCGGCCACACCGTGTGCCAGGAACGAGAGACCCCCTGGCTGTGCGTTCCACCCTGGCCCTCCATCTGAGCCCTGGGCTACTGGGGAGGCAGCAGGAGCCCGGGCAGACGGCTCATCTGAGCTCGGCCTTCTGTCAGCTGACAGGGGTCACGTGCTGTCTGGGCTTGCCTGGGGCCTGAGAAATGGGGATGCGGACAGCCATTGTCAGGGCTGTTGGGGAAATTCAAGGAATGGAAGAGTCAGAGGGAGTTGGGAGGCCATGTCTCGGTGTGTGCGGGGGCATCGAAAGCCCTGCTGGATTTGGGGGATCAAAGGACCGCCACGCATCACTTGTGGGGTCTCGGGATGATGGGGGTCAGGCCTGCTCTTTGCTGGGGAGGCCAGTGGCTAGCAAGGTCTGGGGCTCAGTGAATAAGGCCACGCTTGCAGCCGCCCTTGTCCCAGTGCTTGGAGAGCCACCAGGCAGACTTTATCTGCATCCCTGGAAGTGACCTGAAGAGACTGCCGGGCACTAGAGGGGTCCATGTGGGACCCGGAACCCAAAGGATCAGGTTCACCAAAGCCTGGACTTCCCTGGAGGGCCCCTGACCCGTCTCAGCGGCCGTCAGGCATCCGCCAGCTGGGCCCTGCGGGCTGTGCTGCCCGGTGACTCCAGAGTCCTCCCACACCCACTTGGACTGGGTCCTCCCGTGGCTCTGGCAGCCAAGGTTTGGGAAATTAGGTGAGGGGGGCCTGGGACGAGGGTGAGGAAAGGAACAATTTATGTTCAAAAGTCATCTTGAAATTTTCAACATATTTTTTTATTTTTCAAAACAAAAGCTCTAAATGTTGGGGCTGGGGGGTGGCGGTGGACCTAGCTTTGTGGGAAGTGAGTCAGATGGCCATAAAATGTGTTTTTCTGAGCCGAGGGGATTATTTTACATCTTGTGGCATGGAGACGCCAGGAGGAAGCCCTCCTCCTGGTCCCTGGTGGGGCTGCCTGCTGCTGGGCCTCAGCACTGATCTCTCTTCTTGAGATGGGGGCTCCTGCCCTTCCAGGACCCCTCATCAGCCCTCTCCCTCCCTGACCTCACATCCCGTTCTTTTAGGCAAGAGTGAGGCTGGGAAGGTCGTGGCTTCATGGTGGGGCCTCGTACTGGCTGTGCCATGCCAGAGAATCTGGGTAAAGTATGCCTTGGGGACCCTCCCCAACCCCTCGTCTGATGGATAGGCTGATGGCGGGACCACCTCCCAGAACAGCCACCAGCATGAAAGGAGGGATTTGAGAACTCATTTGCAGGCCGTCAGGGCTCGGCAAGTGGGTGCCCTCCCACCTCCAAGAACATCCTTGAGTGCAGGTGAATGAATGAAGGGCAAAAGGGGCAACTAGGCTCTTTGGAGACCCTTCCTAAAGCCAGAGGCGCAGGGGTCCTCCCCTAATCTCCGCTATCAACGGCATCTTCCCTGGGACCACAGCGGGGCAGTGGTGGCTCAGGGGAAAAGTCATCTTGAAATGTTCAACATATTTTTTTATTTTTCAAAATAAAAGCTCTAAATGTTGGGGCTGGGGGTTGGCGGCGGACCTAGCTTTGTGGGAAGTGAGTCTTCCCAGGGAAGAGGACGCTGAGTCCCCACCTCAGCGACCAGAGACCTCAGAGGGGCTAGGGTCAGGGACTCCAGATGCCCATCAGGACAGGACCTGGTGGCTTCAGAGGCCTCAGGGTACAGGTCCCACCACCCAAGGCAGGGACTGGGTGGGACCCGTAGGGAGGGCTCCGCCTGGAGCCTCCCATGCCCTCTGCCTCGCTGGGGGCTGCTGTCCACTGCCATGCATATCCCCTGAACCCTGCCTTCCCTGGGCTGGAGTCACAGGCCCCATGAACAGCTTGGGGTCCAAGAGCCCACGCTGCCTGTGAAGGGAGACCCCTGGTAGCCTGAGGCCGGCAGAAATGGGGAAGAAATCTGGGGCCCAAACCACACTGGCTGATTCCAGAAACCCTCCACCCTTCTCTTGAAGCTGCAGTAAAGGGGTCTCCCTGAGCCATCCCCACTGACCATGGGCTCTGCTTCTTCCTGGGACCAAGGCCAGGCACAGTGGACACCCACTGTTTTGCCTGTCTCAGCATCCATTTCTCTCCTTCCAACCAACACATGGATTTTCCTTGGAGAACCTCCCTCCCCCACGCTCATTCCTTGCAGTGTGGGTGGGGCTGAGCCCCCAAACTGTGTGTGTGTGTGTGTGTGTGTTGGAAGTGTGGGGTAAGGACGTGACTCAGGACTGGCCAATCAGCGTCTTCTATGCTCCTGGATACAGTGGCTGGTTCAGTGATGAGCCCATGGTCCAACAGCATCCAATTCTGGAATTTCTAATGGAATTATTTAGAAATGGAAGCTCTACGGCCGGGCGCAGTGGCTCAAGCCTGTAATCTCAGCACTTTGGGAGGCCAAGTTGGGCGGATCACTTGAGGCCAGGAGTTCAAAACCAGCCTGGCCAACATGCCGAAACCCTATCTTTACTAAAAATACAAAAATTAGCCCGGCATGGTGGCACACACTTGTAATCACAGCTACTCGGGAGGCTGAGGCACGAGAATCGCTTGAACTCAGGAGGTCGAGGTTGCAGTTGAGCCAAGATCGCATCATGCACTCCAGCCAGGGCGAGAGAGTGAGACCCTGTCTCAAAAGAAAGAAAGAAATGGAAGCTTTAGTCCAAGTTGTTGGGTGTCTGTTTGGAAGCCTTAGTTACTGGGAATCCCCAACAAGTGGCTGAAGCCAGCGCAAAGGATGGCAAAAGCAGGAGATGGAATGGGAAAGGACTCTAGATGACATAATTTGGGCTGCTGGATCCAGCCACGCCTGAAGATGAATCCTGATTGTTTTCCTCATTGTGCCCGGCTCTGTTCCTGAATCTCCATCTAGAGGCAGAATTTTTGGTGAGATGTGTCAGTGTCGTGTGCCCTTTTCTGATCAGGCCACTCGAGCTGGGATCCTGTGTGCATAAGCCGGTTACTGAGAGCTAGAACCTGCGTGGGGTGAGGGGCCTGTCAGGGCAACCAGCACACAGCTGGGCTCACCAACTACAGGAGCTGGATACGTGGGTGAGAATGGGAGTCAGGTAGCTCCCTGCAAAGGCCTGTCCTCGGGGGTGAGTTTGGGAGAAGACTTCATGGGAAGTAGCTCATGATTTTCCAATTATTAAACCTAGAAAAAGAACCAGCAGAACATTCTCTTTGCCTTCATCTTTCTGTCTTTCCAATGGGTACCTTGACACGTCCAGGGCACTGAGCTGTGGAGAACCGGTTAATTTTGTCAGATGTCAGCCTTCCTGACACTGGAATGTAAGCTCCCGATGGCAGAACTCCTGCAAAAAGTGGCTCACTGCTGTGTCTGCGGCTTAGGAGAGCTCTCGGCACTCAGTGAATACTTGGTGAATGAGGAAAAGGCGTGATGCTGTCACTCTCTTTCTCGAAACACTCAAATGCCTTCCTATTGCAGCTAAAATATATAAAAGCTATACTTTTTGCTCTGCCCTCTAAGTAGAGTGACTGTGTCATTTGTTGAACAAGCAGGGGCATTTTTTTTGCAGGTCAAAGGGAATGCTACCAATTAGGCTGGAACAATGGGAGCAAGCCAGAATTATTCCAGGCAAAGTGGGATGCATGCCTTCCCCAGATCCAAGGCCCCCCGGGATGCTGGTTTCTGTCCCAGGCGTCAGCCTCATTTTCTGCCCTCCGAGTCACGGGCCACACCGACCCTCCATCAGAACTTCGCACTGTCTGTTTCTCTATCTGGAGAAGTCCTTTGAGTGGCTCAGTCTTTTCTGGCACCTCGGTTTCCACTGCACACCACCTACTCAAAGAACCTACCCAAAGAACTCTTTTCTGACACCCATCCTCACCCAGGCAGCCTCTACCAATAGGCTGTGTTTCCTGTTCCTCATTGCCCTGGACTCTATGCAGGCAGGCAGGGAGTGAGCACTGAATTTCAGGGCACAGCTCCCAAGCTTCTGTCATCCTCCGAGTAGGTGCTTGTGTGCCCAGCACGTGTCTTCAAAGGGAAAGTGAAGTGAAGCCAGTGTCAGCGCAGAAGTGGGGTGGAAGGGGAGGAAAGACAAAGGAAAGGCAAGAAGAAATGAAGCCTGTGGCAGAGAGGCCAAGTCACGGCTCTATGCACAGCTTCAAAACCAGTGAGTCCACTCCAGAAATCAGATGCACTTTGACCTCAATCACTGCGGCACCTCTTTTTTTTGTTTTGTTTTGCACTCTTGTCGCCCAGGCTGGAGTGCAATAGAGCCATCTCGGCTCACTGCAACCCCTGCCTCCGGAGTTCAAGTGATTCTCCCGCCTTAGCCCCCCAAGAAGCTGGGATTCCAAGTGCCTGCCACCACACCCGGCTAATTTTTGTATTTTTAGTACAGAGGGGGTTTCGCCATGCTGTTCAGGCTGGTCTTGAACTCCAGGACTCAGGTGATCCACCCTCCTCGGCCTCCCAAAGTGCTGGGATTACAGGCATGAGCCACCACACCCGGCCTGGGGCACCTCTTTTAAGATGTGTTTGGAAGCGGCATTTGAATGCAGATTCCCCCTGCCCCGCCCCATGGCTGGAATTCCTGTAGACACATGCAGGAATTGTGCAGCCACAGAGGCCACCACATACGTTCCTCATTTTCCCGATTTCCTCTGTCCTTGCTGCTATTGGGGCTCTGTAACATTGTCCCAGCTGTGTTTGTCATTTGGCTCTGGCTTTCCATGCACACCTGTGGGTGTTTGTTTATAGAATGCAGACACCACCCCTTTGGCTGCCACGAGGGACTGGCCCTGGGGACTGGCCTCCAGGATCCCCAGACAGATTTGCTTCTCTGCCTTCTAATTTTTTTTTCTTTTCAAGACAGGATCTTGCTCTGTTGCCCAGGCTCACTGCAACCTCTGCCTCCTGGGCTGAAACAATCCTCCAACCTCAGCCTCCCAAGTAGCTGGGACTACAGGCATGCACCACCACGCCCAGCTAATTTTTGTATTTTTAGTAGAGACAGGATTTCACCATGTTGCCCAGGCTGGTCTTGAACTCCTCGCCTCAAGTGATCCGCCCACCTCAGCCTCCCAAAGTGTGGGGATTGCAGAGGTAAGCCACCGCACCCGGCCTTCTCTGCCTTCTTTAAAGCAAAAGGACTGGAGTAGCAGGGATCCCTCAGGGTCCTGGCTGAAACCAAACTCAACCCTGATGATTCCAATAAAGATCCCTTTATTTAACCAGGGGGCCAGTTTATGGAGGTGTGAGCAGGGGTAAGGGAATGAGGATGGGATGCTGAGGCCCCAGAAGCTGGCCATGGCAACCATCATCACCACCTATCAGGCTGAAGGGGCGAGGGGAGGAATCGATGCTACTGGATCCTCGTGGAGGGCGGAGAACAGGCCACCTGACAGGGGTTGTAGTCTTGCGGGTGCAGATGGGGCATGGACGCAGAAGAGAGCAGAGAAGAAACACCGCAGCCTCTCTCTCCTTCCTCCGTCTGATTTCCTGCTGGTGCCGCCCATTGGCCAAACCCAACAGGAAGCCAGACGGCCTGGGAGGCCCTGAGTGCGGCCCACACAGAGCAGACTCCAGGGCCCAGGGCAGGATGTAGAGGGGATGGGGGCAGAAAACCAGCACAGGCGGGTAAGGCAACCGGGAACAAGTCTATGCTCAGTCTTGGTGCAAATCCTCCTTTTCTGTGGCTCCATCCACCTCTGGCCACAGAGCTTCCTCACTGGGCTGACAGAGGTCCTTTTGCTGGTTACAACCCATGCTCCACACACCAGCAGAGTGATCTTAATAAGCAAACCTGGCCTGGTACGGTGGCTAAGGCCAGTCATCCCAGCACTGTGGGAGGCTGAGGGGAGTGGATCGTTTGAGCCCAGGAGTTTGAGACCAGCTTGGGAAGCACAGCAAGACTCCGTCTCTACAAAAAATTAAAAAGTTAGCTGGGTATGGTTGGACATGCCTGTAGTCTCAGCTACTTGGGAGGCTGAGGCAAGAGGATAGCCTGGGCATGGAAGGTCAAGGCTGCAATGAGCTATGATCACACCACTGCACTCTAGCCTGGGCAACAGAGTAAGACCCTGTCTCAACAACAACAACAACAACAACAAACAAACAGAAAGCAAACCTGTCCTCCATGTTCTGTATGGCTCCTGTTGCTCTTGGGATATTGACTAAATCTGAACCCCTGCGTGTGAGAGCCTGTGTAGTCTGACCCAGCTGACCCTCTGACCTCGCCTCTTGTCCTCCACCTCCCTTACGCCCCACTCCCTGCTCTGTGCACTGTGGCCACACTGGATATTTTTCAGGACCTAAGAATGTCATGCTCCTTCTCAATTCTGAGTTTTGTATATGCTGTTCCCTCTGCTGGGATTCTTTTGCTCCAACCCCAGCTACTTATAAATACCACTTCAGATCTTCAGATCTCAGCTTAAGAAAACACACCCCTAAGAGTGACTTCCCTGAGTCTACAAAGCAGGTGAGGACTCTGGGCAGACACTCTCACCACCCCTGAATTTCCTTACTTCACAATATGTGTCACAACTGCAATTAGCTAATAAATTGTGTCACTCTCTGTTTACTGTCTGTCTCCCCAGAGAAACTAGGAGCTCCCCAAGATCCTGGTCTGTCTGTCTGTTTCACTGCTGTGTTCACAGCATAGTGCCTGGCACATAGGAGGCACTCCACCAACACTTGATGAATGAATGAAAGGAGGACTTCCAGTTCCCAGTACAGGCACACTTGATTATTTGGGCTTATCCTCTTGCTGTAAACAGCTGGATTAAAAAAAATTAAAATGTATTAAAAGGAAGGAAGGGGACCACCAGGCCAAAATTGAGGAGAAAAGGAATCCAGACAGGTGAGCAAGAGAAGAAGCCACTTTTTCCCTGGGACACATTCTGCACCCCAAAAATGCAAATCTTGTTTTGATAGCTTCATGGAATGAAAGAGACAGAAATCAGACTTTGGGGCTCATACAAGGTGGGGCATATAATAGGACACCCATCCCATGTTGATGCAGAACTTCAAAGGGCTACACCCTCGGGATAAAGGTGAACCAGAAGTAAACCAGAAGTAAACCAGCCCTCATATGAACTTCCAATCTAAGTTCTCATCTCCTGGATGGGATAGGGACCACTAAACCTTAATAGTTGATTAAGGTGTCCCTGGAATGTCAGTATTCCTTGGTGTTTGGCAGGAGAAAATGAAAATGATCTCCAGTGGAAGGCACCTTTGTCCTAAATCTTTCTTATAAACGATTTATCAAAACAATGACCAGCACATAGTCAAAGATAATCAGACACACACACAAGACACTGTGAGTAAAAATTGGAAGAACTGATACACAGACTTCAAATTATTGACTATAAAGTAATTGTGCCTATGATGTTTAAAGAAATAAGACATGCTTAAAAATAACTGCAGAAATGGGAATCTATAAAAAGTGAAATATCAGATCTGCAAAAGAATCAAGTAGGATCTCTAGAAATGAAAACTACAATAACCAAGACCAAGAACATCAATGGACAGGTTTAACAGATTAAACACAGCTGAGAAGAGAATTAGTAAACTAGAAAGGATGTCAGAAGAAATTATCACAATTGTAGTACATAAAGACAAAAAGAAAATACAAAAGAGAAGATATGAGATAAAGAATAAGACCTAATATATTTCATATTGTCCTTGAAGGTGAGGAGAGAGGAAATGGAGTGGAGCCATTGTTTTAAGGATGAATATGGGTAAACATTTTCTGGAACTGATACATGACTGTGTGAGAAGAAAAACTGAGTCATTGTGCCTTGGTGACAATCAATCCATCTCCCATGTTTCAGACAACCTAGAATTCAAAACATACTAATGGGAGATTCTGGACCTAGTCTACTCTTGGTCAAAGGCCACAGTGTTGTACAATACCAAGTAAAATATAGCAAATGACACATGAAAACAAGATCAGGAGTGAGAAATCAACTCTTGCCTGTCTCCTGCCTCTGTGGTTCACCCCTGCCTTCTTAGGAACTATTTGGGCCACTCTGAGATGACCACAGCTGTGTCCTCCTGTTCCTTCTTCCCTCCCATGGGCCTTGCTGACCAGCACTAGGAGATAGCAAGACAACATTCCACAGGCAACTGGGGGTCCAGTGGCATGAGTGGGTGGGTGAGGAATGCCTCTCTCCCACCCTGATTCAGTGCTGATGCTGATATCTTCCTCCTAGACACTGTTCCTCTTCTGTCCACCGACCTTTGTCTCCCCATTCTGTGCCTGGGCCCTTAAGGGTGCTTGGTGGAGACTCATTCACTAGCTGACTGATATGAATTGGTCCAAAGGAGCTTTGTCCCTCGCTTCCCAGCACACCAGCATCACCTGGGACCTGGCTGTCAAAGACCTAGGAGCTGGGCTCCAGGGGCAGGCAGGGTATTACCCAACCCTGGGTCCTACCATCCTCTACCTCCCAGCCTTGTGCTTTCTTGGACAGGCGAGTGATCTGGCTGGCAGGTGGGTAGCTTGTTTGTGACTCACGCTCCCCACCTTGGTGGCCAGGTGGCCTGGTCCCTGGCCTCCTCATGGTGACTCGTCCTGGAATCAGGTTCCTGCAGTTGCTCTGTTCTGGAGGGACACCATTCATCATCTTGCCTCTGGGAATCTCGGCACGCCTCTCAGACATGCTCAAACAGAGAGGCTGCCAAACCTGTGCCGGGTCACACAGCAGGTGTGTGATGAGGCCAGGGCGCACACACAGTCCCACACCCCCAGTGGGCGGGAAGGCAGGCCCAGCCCTTGTGTAACCAGCGTCAGGGCCTGGGCACTGTGAGCAGCTTCATGGTGGAGCTCAGGGAGGCCCTGGTCCCACCCTTGTCCTCAGGCATGTGCCAGATTCCCCCACCCCCAGCAGCAGGTCCCTCCAGGCCCCTGTGCTGGGCAGGACACCAGTCCCAGGGCAAAAGCAGAGAGGGGTGGCCAAGTGGTGGTTGATCTCTCAGCCCCTAATGAGCAAAGCCTGGGGTGTCATGTGGTCTCCCAGATCTGGCTCTGCAATGTCTCAGACATGCCGTTCGATTTTGAAATTCTCAAAGATGTTCCAAACAGCATGCAGTTGATTTAATTTTTTAAATTGAAAACTAAAGGAAATTGAGTTGAAGAATGTTGAGTGGAGGCAGTGGCGGGAGGTGTGATGGAATTGAGCCAATCATGAGGGCATTGGGGAAACAGGAGCATTTCACTCCCCTGGGTGGATTTGGGGGTACAGAGGGTTAAACTACCCCACTGGATGGGGAGTCTAGGAGCTCAGGTGCCGCTCCTGCCTGTGTTCCAGCCCTGGTCTTATCACTGCTTCCGGTGAGAAGGGTCCCTGAGGGGCCTAGGCTCTATGGCACTGGGCACCTGGCTGGGGCATCTCCTAGGATGCCTGGCTCCTGGGTGAGCGGCTGGGACCCTGAGGAGTCTGATGCTTCCCAGGGAGGCAGAGGAACCCAGAGCAGGCTGCTGTCCCTCCAGCGTGGCTCACGCACCGCCCCCAGGCAGCGCTGCCCCATATAGCAACATCACTGCCTCACTCAAGATGCTCACCTCACCTCTGACACATTTCAGGCTTGGAGCCATCGTCCCCACCTCCCCTCGGCTCAGGGGCCTGGCCTGTGACTCATGCCTCCACCTCTCCCAGACAAGATTGCTCCTTGAACAAAGGAGCACAGGCCTTGGTGAACTTGGGAATTGCACTTGAGGGGACCCTGAGCCCCTGGGTCTGACCCCTCCAGCCCTGCATCGGCCTTGAGATCACATGCAGGTGGCACGTGGCTGCACCCGCACCAGCACCCCCACATCGCCCCTCTCCCCGGTTGCTCTGGGAGTCACCCACACCCCAGCCTCTCCTCTGTCCTTTCTGCTGCCCTGCACCGAGCCCAGCTGATCTGCAGGGTGAAGAAGCCAATGATTTAAGGCCTCCCAGCCCCTCTTCATAATTGTGGCCCTCCTTTGCCTTGGCAAGTGGAATCCAACAGCTTCCTGTGCTTGAACAGGGAGACGAAGGGGCCCAAGAGCTGCCTGCCTTCCTTGCCTGAGGAGTTTGCTTATTAACTTGAATTACCCTCGTGGTAGCATTCCTGGCAGGGCAGGGAAGAGCAGGGTTGGTTTCTAGAACCTTTTCCTGTTGGCGGCCCCGGCGCTAGGGAAGCTTGGCTGAGGCCTCCTCCTACCTGCCTTCTTGCCCCTCCTCCAGGACACCCCAGGACCCCAGAAGCTTCCCTGGTTGTTGGAAGCCCTGCCTGGGTGGCTCTCCTGCAGGGCTCACGCTGACCTCCTGGGCCCGAGCTGGGTTGGGCAAATGGAAACCAGCTGTGATGCCAAGTGCTGAGATGACACAGTTGAGAAGTGAGGGGGCAAGGGAGCAGGATGTGTCCCCCACCCCTGACACACACAGCACATGTCTCTGGCTCCCTTCTCACCAGCAAGGGGAAGGCAGGACCCCCACCCTCACCCCTTTACTTGCTGAGGTCACAGCCTTCCAAACAGAAGTTAACTGGGAGGCCCTTGGGGCCGAGGACTCTCTCAGTACCTGGGGAGGCTGCCACCCCAGTGAGAATACTTGTTCTCTCTTGAACTCCCCATGGGTCGTCACCTGGGATTCTGCACTTGTATGAAGGACATTAAAACAAATCTTGTAGAGATGGGGGTCTGGCTATGCTGCCCAGTCTTATCTCAAACTCCTGGCTTCAAGCCATCCTCCCACTTCGGCCTCCCAAAGCGCTGGGATTACAGGCATGAGCCACTGCGCCTGGCCCACGAAGAGCATTTTACTTCGACAAGCACACGGGGCACCTGTGCCTGCTCATCTGAGTGTCGTACAGGCTTTGACCACTGTGCTTAGCCTTCAAAGTCACTGGCAAGGGGGCTCTGCCCCCAGAATGAGCTCATTAAGTGTTTTCTAAGCAAATGAAAGGCATCCTTTGTGGGGGGGAGGGGGTGTGGAAATCTAAGCAACATTAAAATGACTTCAGTTGTTTGGTTATTTGGAACAAGCATTTTGCCCTAAATTCTTAAGAAGGCTGTCTCCTTCCACTGCGTTTTTCAGGGACCAAGGTGTGCCCTAGCCTCCCACTCTGCCTTCTGCCCCAGCACGTGGGAATCATTAGCTGGAGCCAAGTGTCTCATAAGCTTTCCCTGTTTATCTTTCACAACTCCATGACATGCTACTTGTTTTGCATACATTTTGCATAAAAGGAAACTGAAGCTCGGAGAAACTGACAGACTCAGTGCGGGGCCACCCAGTCAGCAGGAGGCAAGGCCAGGATTTGGTTTGATGCCAGGATGGCACGGCCCTCTTCCCATGGGCCATCCTCATCACGGGATGGGAGAAACGGGAAACGCCTCCTTGTCACCCGTGAACAAACTGCTTTGCTCCAGAAACCGACTCAGCACACACCTCGAGTGTGCACTCTGTCAGGGTGCCCGGGCTTCACTTACGTGTCCGGTACGAGACTGAAGGCCCACTGTGAGCCAGGGTTCTGTAGCCTTCAGCTCCATGCCCAGTGGTCCTGGCTCCAGGCAAGTAGCACTTGTGATGCTGAATGAGGCATATATTTCAGCATGACAGACCACAGTGCCTTCAGATTGTTCCGGGATAAATCCTTTGTCCTGTGGCCTCCTGGGCTAAGGCCAATTAAACAGCTGCCAGGTAGGGCTTATTCCCTATAAATCAGTGGGAATGTGGCCACATGAATTTTAAATATCAGATTAAAATCAAATTAGTGGGAAAATTTGGAACAAATTGCCTTCAAGTACAGTGAATGAGTCTATTTTTAAAACACTGCCGCACCAGGCAAAAGAGTGAAGCAAACACACATTTCCTAACAGCGAGTAGACACCGTGCTGGGAGTGATCTGTCATGCTTAGTCACGGTAATTGCTCTAGCAAAACTCAGGAATCAAATAAAACGTGTTTGCAAATTGTAAATCGCTCCAGGAGGCTACTTCAGACGGGTCCTAACCTGATGCTGAAGGTCACGGCGGCTCCCTTTGGAGCAGACACCCAGCCCTGACGCCCCCTTGACCCATCCCCACCCCCTTTCTCTGAGCAGGGGTTGAGCCGGCTGAGACCATTGCCCAACATGTGCACGGGAAAGGCCGCTGTAAATCAGCCACATTTCCGCATCTGCGGGAGGGCATGGCATTCTTGGGGGGTGCTGGGGAGGGTGCTCTGGTTGGCTGGAGGGAGGTGAGGGAGTCTCCGAGGCCACCATGGCCGAGGCAGAGAAGAAATGGCGGCGGTGGCTCAGGGAAGAGAGGCTGTGTTTCTGGTGAAAGGTTGGGCTGCCATTTGGCTGAAGAAAAGATCTTCAGATCCAAGAGGGCTTGGGACAGGCGGTGAGGGCTCCCTCAAGCCCCGTCCGGGTCCCTGTGTGACATGCCCTGGCTCTAGGCCACCACATTTGGTCCCTAGCCTCCCCACCCTCAGGCTGTAGTCCCTCAATAACAACCTTGCCAGTCGTCCTAGAGTGGAGATAAGAGGAGAGACATGAAGCCTTGAAATAGCTTTTAAAGCAGAAATGTGGCCGTTCTCGTTCCCCCGTGCTCACCTGCGGCTCCTGCAGCTTGGGGGCAGACAGGGCTGCTTCTCCCCTACCCTGTCCTCTCTTTTGGAAATCTTACCTCCTCCCCGCACAGTCTCCTGCAGAGCATGACTGTCTCTCTGGGGCCTGGCCAGACCTCTGATTCTGGTGATAAACTAATCACATGAAGGCAGGGAAGATTATCTAGGACCGGATGGGTTACCTTTCTTAGGATTCTTGAATGTTAAAAGTAACTTCAGGGGCCGGGTGCTGTGGCTCATGCCTGTAATCCCAGTGCTTTGGGAAGCCGAAGAGAGAGGGTCGCTTGAGCCCAGGAGTTCCAGACCAGCCTGGGCAACAAAGTGAAATCCCTTCTCTACAAAAATATTTGAAAATTAGCCTGGTGTAGTGGAATGTGCCTATAGTCCCAGCTACTTGACCTCTTGAGTCCAGGAGGTGGAGGTTGTACTCCCGCCTGGGCAACAGAGAGAGACCCTGACTCAAAAGAACAAAACAGGCCAGTCATGGTGGCTCACGCCTGTAATCCCAACACTCTGGGAGGCCCAGGAGGGTGGATCACCTGAAGTCAGGGGTTCGAGACCAGCCTGGCCAACATGGTGAAACCCCTGTCTCTACTAAAAATACAAAAAGTACCTGGGTGTGGTGGTGTGTGCCTGTAATCCCAGCTACTCAGGAGGCCAAGGCAGGAGAATCACTTGAACCCGGGAGGTGGAGGTTGCAGTGAGCTGAGAATGCACCATTGCATTCCAGCCCGGGCGACAAGAGTGAAATCCCATCTCAAAAAAAAAAAAAAAAAAGCCAGGCGTGTTGGCTCACACCTGTAATCCCAGCACTTTTGGAGGCCAAGGTAGGCGAATCACTAGAGGTCAGGAGTTCGAGGCCAGCCTAGCCAACATGGTGAAACCCCATCGCTACTAAAAATATAAAAAAAAAAATTTAGCCAGGCTTGGTGGTGCATGCTTGTAATCTCAGCTACTTAGGAGGCTGAGGCAGGAGAATCACTTGAATCTGGGAAGCAGAGGTTGCAGTGAGCTGAAATTGCGCCACTGCACTCCAGCCTGGGCAACAGAGTGAGACTTTGTCAAACAAAACCAAACAACAAAGTAACTGTAGAAGCTGCAACTCAGTGGGCCACCACGGGGGAGCCTTATTTACTGTGCTCTTGCGTTGCCTCTGACAATGGTGCGGCTTGCTTGGCGGACCTTGGGCCAACCCAATGGACCCTTGGATAGAAAGGAGAGGGTGAGGATGTCTTGTAAAGAAGGAGAGAGATCCTTGCATTCAAACACGTATGTTCAAGATCTGCATAGCCAGACACTGAAAATCTGCTGCGGCCAAGTTCAGTAGGAGGCCAAGACAGGCAGGAAGGACCCCAGGAGTGGTCATTTGATTTGGCTTTAGGGGCTGGTGTGACCTTGAGGAGAAGAGTTTCCAGGGAGGATAAAGGTGGAGGATGAGGATGAGGGGACAGTGAGGATGAGTGTCAGAAAATGGCTCTCTGGCTATGTGACAACCACAAAGGATGTTTCTTAAACAAGCTAGTTTCCCACCCCAGCTTGATGGCTGCAGGAGAACTACGTCTTTAAGTCGGGTGAGCCTGCAGACAAGTCTGAAAAACGGGGCTGCTATAGAAGAGTCTCACTTCTTGGCTCTGCCTAGAAAAGGCTTTGAATTCGTAGAGGATTCTTTGCCTGTCGCCCTGGTCCAGCCTCTTCTGGGCCCCTCGAGGTAGCTGGGCAGTGTGAACCCTGTGCCCCGCTGCCCCAGAAATCATGCTGGCTTTTGAGAGCTCAGCTGGTCTTGCTCAAAGTGTCTACCACTTTGCATTCTGTTTTTTCTTATTTTTGAGACAGGGTCTTGCTCTGTTGTCCAGGCTGGAGTACAGTGGTGTGATCTACAGCCTCCAACTCCTAGGCTCAAACGATCCTCCCACCTCAGCCTCCCGAGTAGCTGAGACTACAAGCATGTGACACCACACTTGGATAATGTTTTTGGAGACAAAGGGTCTCACTATGTTGCCCAGACTGTTCTTGAACTCCTGGGCTCAAGCAATCCTCCCACCTCAGTCTCTCAAAGTGCTGGAATTACAGGTATGAACCACTGCACCCAGCCTTTGCATTCTAAGGGGAGTTTCTGGACTTCAGGCCTACTGGAGTTCCCCAACACTGTCTTCTGCTATTGTCAAGCACAGGCAGCGGATGTGGGCACAGCAAATGGAGAGAAAGGGTGTCTATGCCAGCCAAACCCGGAGAGGCCTGTTCCTAGTGGGTGGGGCCAGAAGGCTAGAAAAATATAAATAAAAACAAACCGAAGGGAAGCAAAGCTCTTGGGTGCCAGAACGGGGCTGGCCAGGGCTGCAGCTGTCTGAGTAATGGGTTCCACATTTGTCTGGCTTGGTCTGCAGCCACCAGGATCCAGGGTGCACTGTGGGCCTTGCAAGGGCTGGAGGGGACAGTGCAGCTGCAGCTGGACCTAGCATACCCTTACGGCGGCCCCATCCCCGGCCGCCACAACAGGGTGGAGATGTCGCTGCGAGCTTCCACTTCGGCACCCCAGCTTCCCTCCCCTCACAGCCCCACCCCTGCCTGGGGCTCCTGGGTTCCCCCGGCCAACACAGATTGTTCGTGTTATTAATGCCGTTTTCCCAGAGATTCCATCTGGCTTTTTAATTGCTCTGGGATGGGGCTAGGATGCTTTGATAGTGAATCGGTATCTTCCCTGGGCCTCAGCTTACGTCAAACACTCCATCGGCAGAGAGGGGCGTGGGGGAGGGGGAGAGGTGGGGTTGTCCAGAGAGAAGAGATAGCAAGAGTCTTTCACAGAATCAAGAAAGCTTTCAAAGGTGCTAGTGGGTTAGTTTTATCTAAAGAAAGGAAAAAGAGGCCTGGCAGGGTGGCTCACGCTTGTAATCCCAGCACTTTGGGAGGCTGAGGAGGGAAGATCACTTGAGGCCGGCAATTCTGAACCAGCCTGGGAAACACAGTGAGACCCCCACCTCTACGAAAAATAAAATTAATCCCAGCAGCTACTTAAAGGCTGAGTAGGAGGCTGAGGCACGAGGATTGTATGAGTTCAGGAGTTTGAGGTTGTGGGAGTGGTGACTGCACCACTGTACACCATCCTGGGTGACAAAGTGAGACCCTGTCTCTAAAAAAAGAAAAGAACAGAAAAGCCTTCCCGTCCTCACTAGTATAGGAAAGAAACAGCTGGAATATCAACACCATCTAGGCAAGGACTCTGCCCCATGCCTGGAGAAGGCCTGTGGGTGCCTTGGAGGCCCCTCTTGGCTAAACAAAGTCAGGGGTTTCTGCTATCCCTTGTCCTTCCCCATGAGTGGCCCCTTCCCCTCCTGTGAGACCAGCAGCTCCTGGAGGAGGCCTGGCAGGTTCCTGCCTGGGAAGGAGCAGGTGGGAGAGCTGGGAGGGGCAGACACTCCTCACCAGGCCCAGTGGCTCATCGCAGGTGTCAGGGCCAAACCCCACGTTCACAGATTCCCAGGAGATCCAGGAGATAACAGTAATATCCGTGACAGCACTAAGCCATCAGGACGCATCTGGCAGCAGAGGAGATGCCTCCCTCCCTTCTACCCTTGCCCTTTCCTTGAAGGCCAGCTAACCCTGAACAGCGCTGTCACGGGACACAGGGCTCAGGAGTGGCGCAGCAAGGGGGGCGAGGTCCCTGCAGTCAGGTGCTACATGTCAAGGGGAGATCGATCAGGGCAAAGGAGAAGCATCCAGGCATCTTGGGACTGGGGCCAGCAGGAGGCCACCCTCCCCAGGTATTTCATCAAAGCTGCTGCCTCCATAAAGCCCTCCCTGGTGGACCCTGTTCACACTCTGAGATCCCCTTCATTGCACTTGGCAACCTTAAACCACAGCTTAGGGCCTCAAGGGTGTGAGCTCCCCAAGAGCCAGAGCAGAGTCGGCTTGTTCCCAGCCCAGTGCCCCATCTTTGGCGCAGGCCCTGGCATACAGTAGGCATCTGATAAATACTTGAGGTGTGTTCAGTGCTGGGCTCTTGGAATGGTTCTTCCTGAAGGCTGTAGTCAGGAGGGGAACTGTGAGGAACCCTGCAGGAAGCGGTGGGTGGCCAAGGGTGACTCTGTTCCCGGGAAGCCCCTACAGCTGGACACGGGGTACATGCTGGGCAGGTTCACCCCATGCCGCCCAAAAGACCTTCCTCCCCTCTACTTTGGCCCCCCCCGGGGGCCTCGCCCTCCTCATCCCTTTCCTGGGGCTGGATGTGATTGGATCCTTCTTGTCCCTAACAAAGCCCACCCTGGAACTCAGGACCAGGAGGAGGACTCGGGGTAGGAGGGATCCCTTCCGGGAGCCATCAGCTTTAAAAGAGGAAGCCCCTAGCGGGCTGGCACAGCAGAGAGGAGGGGAAGGAGTGAGGGCAGGAGGGTCGCCCCACCCCCTCCCGTCCTAGGACCTGTTCTGGGGGGAAAGGGGGAAGCCAGGGATCAGCCCCCTCAAACAAGAAAAACTGGAATTAGCACTGAACTCAGAGGGTTTGCTGGGGCTTAGCAAGCTGCGACCTGCCCCAGGCCTCGGGGCACGCGGCGGGGCTCTGCCTCCTCTGTTCCCAGGGTGGCGGGGCAGGCGCCGCCTCCTCACTGGGCTCGTGGCCTCTCCTCTGCCAAGGGCGGCCGTGGGTGAGGAGGCGGCCAGACACAGGACAGAGTGGGGGGCCGGAAGGGGTGCCAGCTAACCACGCAGGCAGGTAAAGCTAAGCTTCCAGAGTGTAAAAGGAATGTGTAATTTCTCGAAAATGCCCCAGCCCGCATTGGTACACACAGTAAGCCACTCAGTGAACATTCTCTCGGTACAGAGTTAAAAAAAAAAGAAAAGTGCAATTTATCTTTTACCCTCCGTGAGGGTAAAATCTGAAAAGCACCATCAGCCTCCTGGGCCTCTTTCTCCCGGGCCTTGTTAGTTCAGGGATAAGGGCTGCCCTCCCTTGCTTGGCTGTCACTGCTGCTAAGGGGGTGCCGGAGTGCCTGACCTTACAGGGTGCTCATTGGAGTTGGGGGCACACCAGCACTCAGTCCCCTGCTGGGTCTGGGATGAATGCAGTGGGGAGTGTGGATGCTGGGTGGGTTCTTGAACAGCCAGTGTGTGGGGCAGGACCAGACCCCTGTTGCAGGCCTGCCTCAGCCCCCTTTCTTGTGAGGGCTGGGGCTGGGCAGGTGTGGAGGGCTGGATGGAGGGGTCTCTCTCTTCAGGCTGCCTTCGGGCCTCGCAGGGGTAGGGTGTAGCCACATGGTCTAGGGAAAGAGGAGAGGGTTGGAGGGTCCTACCACTGGAGGCCTCTTCCTGCTGGCCGAGGGTCCTGCTGGAATCTGGAGCTGCGGTGTGTGTGAGTGGCCAGGGCTGCAGCTGTAGGTGATTTGCAAGGAAGTCTGCACAAAGGGCTCCTTGAGCCTAGGGCTGCTTAGCCAGGCCTACCCCTCAGGCAGAGGACTCCCTCTCCTCCTCCCCGGGGCAGATAAGAAGCCTCGCCAAGGCCTCAGCCCAGTAACCCCTTCAGCCCCCTCCCCTGACCCCAAGAGACTGCCTTCAGGCTCTGGACATACTCCATTTGGAGCCTTGTCCTCTGCTATTTATTTGTCTTGCCTGGGGGAAGTAAGTCACCCCCTTAGGGTAAGAGGGGCTCAGGATGGATGGAGAGCTCATGAAAGTCAGGATTGCCGCCAGGGAAAATGCTGTATTATTTACAAATGTGACCTGGCCCACAGACAACCTTGGAAGTAGCTTCTTTCTGGTTTTAAAAAGACACCGACATTGACTTTGATATGTTTATATTATAGATATAATACATAAAACATCTAGAGTGAGACTCTACGTTCTCCCCAAAAGAAGAGAACCAAGCCGTCCTTCCCTGCTCCCAGCCCCAGTGATGCGTTGGCGGGAGGCCACCTCCCTTCCCGACCAGGAGCCAGGGCCTCTGGGGGACAAGCCTTGTGGGCAGCCCAGGCCGGAGGGGCTGGGGAAAGCTGAGGGCAAAGGAGAACCCCCCTCACCTCATTGGTCCCCCAGGATCAAAAGTAATCCCAAAACCAAAAGGAAAGGGAGTCTCAGACCCTTCCCCCAGCTGCCGACGGAGAGTCTCATTTTGGCAAGTATCCGAGCAAAACCAAAACAAAACAAAAACCAAATAAAATGGTGGTTTAGCAGAGACGCGCACATTCACATTGCACAAGGCACTGCTGGGGCACAGAGGCCAGATACAAGTGTTGATATCGGCTGATAAAGCAAAATATTTGGAAAGCTTGTCATAACTCCGGTCCCTCTGGGATGGACTGATCGTGCTTCGTGTTCCTAGGCAATGCTGAAGGCATACAGTACAAACAAGGCTGAGGGTCCCAGTGGCCCTTCACCCCCCATGCCCGCCCCACAGCCAGATCTCTAGGTCTCCCTCTCCCACCAGGGGTATACATCCTCAGAGCTGACCCACGACCTAGCTTTCTGGTGTGACTCGGGGTGGGGGCTCCCACTGGTCACCTGGTGACCCCCATCGCAGTGAGTTCCGCCCCAAGGGGAAGCCCAGCCTATAGCAGGCTGGGGTGGGGTGTGTGCGGAGGGAGGTGGGAGAGGCGTGGAACTAGAGACCCTCCACCTTCATGTAGAACTAGGGGAACAACCTTAGGTTCCAAGCCCCAAGTCCCTATGTTTCCACCCCTTTCTAAGGACAGGCGTGGAGGAGCGGCTGGGGCTGGCGGGCTTGTCGGGATCTCAGCTCCCTGAGCCCTCCTCCTGCCACGGGCCTGCTCCCCTCCTTCTCTCATGGGGGTCTGCTGTAGCCTCGGGAAGGAGGCAGGAAACCTCCAAATAAAATGACAAGGCACGATTTGCTCCCCCTACTCAGTAGGCATTGGAGCGGTGAGTTTGCATTTCCAAGGCACAAGGTTATCCTAAATACTAGAGTTGCCGGGCTCCCAGCTCAGCCCCAAGAATTCTCCCCTCCTCGCAGGGAGAAGCCACCGCCTGGCCCCCTCATCTTAGACGCACCAAGTCCGGCGCAGAGGAAGGGAGGGGACACGCGGAGCAGGCCAGGCTTTCAGGAGGCACCGGAATCTCCTAGTCCTGGCTCGCACGGCTCGGGCAAGCCTCGAGATCCGGCGACCCCAAACCACTCCCTGGGTCCCCGCCGGAGGCTGGCCCAGGGCGGTCCCACAGCCGCGCGCCTCACGCGCAGTTGCCCATGGCCTTGACCAAGGAGCTCTCTGGCAGCTGGCGGAAGATGCCCCGCAGCGTGTCCAGTTCGCGGCTCAGCTGTTCCACCCGCTTGCGCAGGCGGTCATTGTCACTGGTCAGCTCCAGCACCTTCTGCTGCGTCTCCACGTTGCGCTGCTTGGCCTTGTCGCGGCTCTTGCGCACCGCGATGTTGTTGCGCTCGCGCCGCACCCGGTACTCGTTGCTGTTCTTGTCCACCGACTTCTTGGCCTTGCCCGCGCCGCTGCCGCCACTCGCGCGGAGGTCGGGGTGCGCGGCGCCCAGCCCCTTGAGCGCGCTGCCAGGGCCCGGCAGGCCGGCGGCACCGAGCGCGGGCGCGGGGTGCGGGCTGGGCACGGGCGTGGGCGGCGGCGTGGGGTGACCGGGCTGCAGGTGCATGGTGGTCTGGCCGCAGTGCGCGATCTGGAACTGCAGGTGCGGGGCGGCCAGGTGCGCGGGCGGCGGGTGCGGGTGCGGGTGCGAGGGCGGCGGCGGCGGCGGCGGCTGGTAAGGGAAGAGGCCGGCCAGCGCCAGCTGCTTGGCTTCATCCTCCTCGCGGGGCTCCTGCTTGATCACCAGCGGCCGCAGCGCCGGCGCCCCGACGCGCTCGTACAGGGGCTCCAGCCTGCCGTCCAGGTAGCCGGCGGCCGCGCAGCCGTAGCCGGGCGGGGGCCCGTGCGCTCCCCCGGGCATGACGGCGCCGCCGGGGCCCGCGGGCGCGCCCGGGTAGTCAAAGTCGCCGCCGCCGCCGCCGCCCGTGGGGCCCACGGCCGCCTTGGCCTTCTCCTGCTGCCGGCTGTGCTGGAACAGGTCGGCCAGGAACTCGTCGTTGAAGGCGGCCGGGTCGATGTAGGCGCTGATGTCGATGGACGTCTCGTGCTCGCAGATGCCGCCCAGCGGCTCCGGGGCGGCAGGTGGGGCGGGAGGCTGCGCGGGGCCCGCGCCCCGGGGAAAGCCGAAGGCGGCGCTGCTGGGCGCGTGCGGGGGGCTCTGCAGGTGGCTGCTCATCGGGGGCCGCGGCTCCGCCTCGTAGAAGTCGGCCGACTCCATGGGGGAGTTAGAGTTCTCCCGGCATGGCGAGCCTCGGCGGCCTCCAGCCTGCGCGGGGCGTCGCCGCCGCCCACCCGGAGACCCTGCTCGCCCGCGCCCGCGCACCTCCGGGTCGCGAATGGCCCGGCCCGCGCCGGCCCAGCTTTTATACCCGGCAGGCCGCGTCGCCCCCTAGAGTCCGAGGCGGCCTCTGTCCCCGGGCTGCGGCGGCGCGGCGCCTGCTGGGTCCTAGCGCGCGGCCGGCATGGGGCGGCGAACCAGCGCGGCACAGCGCCGCGCTCCCCAGGCAGGCCGCGGCGCAACGCCCACCGCCTCCAGCGCGCCCAGCAGAGCCGCGGCGCTCGCTCCAAGCTCCGCCCCCGGCCCGGCCGTCGCCCCCGCGCCCACGTGGTCGGTAGCGGGGGCCCCCTCCTCCTGCCTGCCCTAGGCGCCCGTATCCAGCCACGGCCGGGAGCCCAGGAGTATCCCGAGGCTGCACGGGGTAGGGGTGGGGGGCGGAGGGCGAGTCTTGGTCTTGAGCTGCTGGGGCGCGGATTCTCTTTCAAAGCCAGAACCAGGCCTGTCCCGGACCCGCGTCCCGGGGAGGCTGCAGCGCAGAGCAGCGGGGCTGGGGCCGGTGGGGGGCCGTTTGGGACGCGCGGAGAGGTCCTGAGCGCGGTGGCTCTGCGTCTCCTAGCTCTGATCTCCAGGCTACCCCTGTGATTCCGCGCAGAGGTACCTCTCGGAGGACGCCGGGGTCCCATGGGCGGCGCCGCGCAGGGCGCTAGGACCCCGCGGGGAGCGGAGGCGGCCTCGGCCCGGGAGCCTGGAGGACCTGGCCGGTCGATCCGCCCGGGCTGGAAAACTTTCTTTATAATTACTTCTCCAGGTCGGAGCGCGCGGCTTGCTAGGCGCGCGGGGCCGGCGCTGTTACCCGGCGTGGAGTCGCCGATTTTTTTTCCTGCGGGACCGCGGGGCCCCCCAGACTAGCGGAGCTGGACGCCGGGGCGAGCACGGGGAGGGGCGCACCGAGGGAGGAGACAAACTTAACTCTGGGGCCGGGATTCCGAGGCGGGGGCCGCAGCCCTCGAGGCCCGAAGCCACCGCTTCCTCCCCCGCCTCCCCATTCAGGTGGGCGCCAACGGCGGGAGCGAGGGTGTCCAGGCCGCCGGGCTGCCAGGTCCGAGCACGCACAGGGAGAACTCTGCCCAGTGGTTCGCCGGGCGCTGTAGTCCCCGGGATCCTAGGGACCGAGGCGGCCAGGCCCTGGGGCCCCTTGAGTGCGGCAGCTAATGCTCTCACCGCGGCGGGGGAAGGAGCTTGCCACCGAGACCCCCAGCCACGTGCGTCCCTCGCATTCTTTACCGGGGCCGGGGTGGCGGCTACGGACCGTCAGCTGGGCCCAGATGGAGTCTTGGGAGCCCTCAAGTGTCTCCTGTCCTTGCCCGCGCCGCCCCTCGCCACTGGCGCTGAGGCCTGACGCCGCCTGCGTCCCGGCTAGAGGCGCGCTTGCCTACAGGTGAGGGAAGACCCCCTTCACCGACAGTGGCCTTAGGCCTGGCAAGGCGCCACGACCCGCCCAGGAGCCCCGGAGGGGGCACAGCTAAAAACACCGCTGGAGAGCCCCGAGCTTCCACGACGATCGCAGTAAAGAAGCAGTTTCATCTGGGCAACGCACACTGCGCTTTAATCAAGTTCCTATTCAACATAGTCCCAGTGATTAATAGCCCAACTGCTTCGTTTTCGGTCCAGAGCTCATAAACAAGATATTTTTAGCTTGACGCTTTTGGACGGGAGGGAGTAAAAACCAGATACGTTAAATAAATATCCCGATGTGAGCCGGAGAGCTGCTTGCTGAGCCAAATGCAGGACCCATTCATATAGCATTCACCTGTGGAGGGAGACCTGGACGGAAATCAAAAAGCACCAAGAGCGATTTGCGTTTTTTTCTGCGGTGCTAAAACTAATGGCTTTTCCTACCTAGGAACAAAGAAACGCCACTGTACATGCACGGTTCCCGGCCTGTGGAGTTGTGGGAGGAAGGCGATGTCTGGCCTTTTTTGCACAGCTGCTGTTGCCTGCCCAGAGATCGGGAACTCTGCCCCGTAGGACTGGAAGAAACCTCAGTAATGGGAATAAGACTTTGTCCAATAGGGGGCTGATGAATGTGTGGGGGCGACAATGGCAAGGAGTGGGACTCCCGGCCCGGGGTTCGCCAACCCCAGGGGCCACAGGTCCTCCTACAATTGAACCAGAATTCACCCACCCGGGCCTGCCCTGTGCAGGGTGCCGAGAGCCCAGGGATGCATGAGAGGGTGGCTCCTGCCTCTGGGAACTGGGACAGTGGGAGAGACGGATAAGTTGTCACACAGAGGCTGCTGGGAGGAAGGAGGAGACAGAAGGAGTAGGGGATGGGACTTCATTCATTCATCAAATGCACACGAGGCACAAATGGGAATCAAGGGTGGATGTGCTGTGATGAAGAGAAGTCCTGCCCTGAACAAGGTGGCGCTGTGGAGGAGGCAGAGATCAGATTTGTCTGCGGAGGTGTTATGGACTGAACTGTGTCCCTGCCCCAAATTCCTATGTTGAAGGCCTAACCCCCATGTGACTGTATTTGGAGATAAGGCTTTTAGGAAGTCATTAAAGTGAGATGATGTCATATGGGTAGGGTCCTAATTTGATAGGATTGGTGGCCTTATCAGAAGAACAATGTCATGGGCATGCACAGAAAGGAGGTGGCCGTCTGCAAGCAGGGAAGAGGCCCCTCACCAGAACCTGAGGGTGCTGGCAGCTTGGCTTTGGCCTTGGGCATCCAGCCTCCAGAACCATGAGAAATAAATGTTTATGGTAGGTCTATGATGGCAGCCTGCTTGGACTGAACCGGCGGTGAGACAGGGCTTCATGCAGGAGCAGACCTTTGAGCTGGGCCTTGAAAGTTGAGCAGGAATTTGCTGGAAGGATAAGGGAGGAAGGCTCTTCTAGGAGGAGGGAATGGTAAGTGCAAAGGTGGAGAGCCTGCCAGTGCATGTGTTCTGGTAACAAAGAACGAGATGGTTGGCCGGCTGGAGAGTGGGGTGAGGGAGGGTGGGGCCTAGATAAGGCTGGATCCGCAGACAGGGCTGGGCTGATGGCCAAGGCCACTGCAGGTGAAGGGGGAACCCTTATCTCCCAGGCTTTTGACCTCCAGATTTTAGCAGGGGAGCTTCGTTGTCGGATTTGGGTTCCTGAGAATCTACTCTGGCCAAGACGGAGAGGGGGTGTTGACCAGATGGGAAAGGATGGAGACTTGTATTGCCCCAGTAATGAGCGGGCAGGGTAGATTAGAACAAGATGTCAGGACTTGGGGGCTGAATGCCAGGCTTCTGGCTGGGATTACCACCCCCTGACACATATAATGCCCAGGAAATTGGAGGCCCCTCTCCAAGCCCCCAGGAGGCCACTGGGGACTCATTCCAGGATACTCACCTGCCTGCTTTGTGGTTTTGGAGGGGAAGACCTTGGAGCAGTTGCGAAGATCCATCTACCATGTTCTGGTTTTTCCTTGGAAGCCTAAAAGTGTACCTCGGGATGAGGAGGAAATGGTTTTGAGGGCAAGTGGTAGGTCTCTGGCTAGGCCTGGCGGGGTTCTCAGAGGACAGGGGGTGTCTAGGGCCCTAGATAGAAGTGTCCTGCCCAAGCCCTAAAGCAGGAAATTAGCTGGGGAGTTGGGGTGAGACCCTGGGGTCGATGGAGGCACTTTCCATGGGAGAGTCCCACAGGGTAAGGGAGAGGGGGCTGATGTCTGACAGTCTCATAGACAGTTGGCTTGTGGCTGGAGAAGTGGGAGCAAAGGAGAAATCACCTTTGATTGGGAGAAGTGGCTCTGGCTCATGTGCAACTGAGACAAAGCCAGTCCTAAGAGCAGCTTGTAAATTCTTCTGTGACCACCTTTAAGGTCCTTCTTCCTGAGGCTGTGGATGGGGGTGTACACAGGCCCAGTGTGGGGGGTTGAGCGTGAGTCCCCGGGAAACGGTGGTCCTGAGTTTTGGATGCTCCAGGATGAAGCCTGATTCTGGAGTCAATCACAGCACTAACCATTTTGAGAAGACAAACAGAGCCCTAGAAATGTTTTATTTTACTTTGGTTTAACCTTCCTAATGCAAGGCCCACGAGAGAATTAGTACGTAAGTTTGGAAATCAATCAAATTCTGAAGAGCAAAAACGGAACTAACCCTTCTGATGTAGTTTTCTGACTTTATCTGAAGCTGAAATGTGTGTGTAAGATTGGTCGCTCCAAACAGGACCAATTCAGATAAGATAAAAGTCCAGAACTATGATTTCAGGCTCAGCTGAGCTCTGGCTAGGGGTACAAGTATCTAATATGGTATAGCTAATAATGTCTCAATCATTCAATAAGATACTCTCAAAGGCCTTCCTCCAACTAGACAAACAAAACAAAATAAAAACACTAGTTACTTTTTGTTACAAATGGATTCATAAACGGTTTTATACTGATTCATTTTAGGCTTTAGATCTTGACATGTAAAGCATATGAACTCAACGCATAATCAACCCAAAGTCCAGTGTTTCTTTTTCTTTCTTCTTTTTTTTTTCGAGACAGGGTCTCACTCTGTTGCCCAGGCTGGAGAGCAGTGGTTGGATCTCAGCTCAATGCAACCTCCGCCTCCCAGGCTCAAGTGATCCTCCCACATCGGCCTCCTGGGTAGCTGGGACTACAGGCATGCACCACCATGCCTGGCTAATTTTTTGTATAGATGGGGTTTCACCACGCAGCCCAGGCTGGTCTCGAACTCCTGAGCTCAAGTGATCCTCCCACCTCGGCTTTCCAAAGTGCTGGGATTTACAGGTGTAAGCCACTGTGTCCGGCCTAGTGTTTTTTATCCACAGGCGCCCAGCTCTACCCATGAGATTACTTATCCTGTCTCCCCAGGAGGCAGGTGGTGTAGGGAGCTGCTGGGAGGATTAGGGAGAATGTTGTGCCAAGGCCAGTTCCTGGCATGCAGGACACACTTGCTCAGTAAATAAGAGCTTGGCATACGCTTCCCTACTCTCCTTGTCTCTCCATAAGTGCACTTTTGAGGTTCTAGTTTCCCCCAAAACTTTGAATATTAAGCAACTCATTTCTTTTTTTCTTTTTCTTTTCTTTTCCCTTCCTTCCTTCCTTCCTTCCCTCCCTCCCTTCTTTCTTTTCTTTCTCTCTCTCTCTCTCTTTCTTTCTTTCTTTTCTTTCTTTCTTTCCTTCCTTCCTTCCTTCCTTCTTTTTTTTCTTTCTGACATGGGGTCTTGCTGTGTCACCCAGGCTACAGTACAGTCATGCAATCTCAGATCACTGCAACCTCTGTCTCCCAGGTTCAAGCGATTCTCCAACCTCAGCCTCTGGAGTAGCTGGGACTACAGGCATGCACCACCATGCTCGGCTAACTTTTGTATTTTTCGTAGAGACAGGGTTTCACCATGTTGGCCAGGCTGGTCTCAAACTCCTGACCTCAGGTGATCTGCCTGCCTCGGCCTCCCAAAATGCTGGGATTACAGGTGTGAGCCACCACACCAGGCCTAAGCAACTCATTTCAACACATAGTTATGGAATATTCTGGCAGTGTATTAGGCTGAGGTTCTCTGTGTGTTCTGCGGAAAAGTACCTAGAAGGCATGGTACTCTATGCAGAACGTTCCAAGGCATAACAAATTCTGTCTTCATAAGGTAGAGATCATTTAACCATTAGGAAGTGTAACTATATTGTATGTATACCACATAAAATCACAACCATAAGTACTCAAGTCTATAACGAGTCCATACTGTCAAATTCACAAAAATCAGCTGTTTCCAGTTTTCTCTCTCTCTCTCTCTGTCCTGTCTTTTTTTATTTTTTTTTGAGATGGACTCTTCCTCTGTCACCCAGGCTGGAGTGCAGTGGCATGATCTCGGCTCACTGCAACCTCTGCCTCCCCGGTTCAAGCAATTCTCCTGCCTCAGCCTTTCAAGTAGCTGAGATTACAGGTGAGTGCCACCATGCCTGGCTAATTTTTGTATTTTTAGTAGAGACGGGGTTTCACCATGTTGGCCAGGCTGGTCTTGAACTCCTGACCTCAGGTGATTCACCAGCCTCAGCCTCCCAAAGTGCTGGGATTACAGGCGTGAGCCACCGTGCCCAACCTCCAGTTTTTTCTTAATATTCATCTACTATACCATGTGTGTGATTTCTTTTGTCATTTTTCATGTTTATAATATAGTTAGGCTTTGTGTCCCTGCCCAAATGTCATCTTGAATTATAATCCCTGTATTCCCCACAATCCCCATGTGTCAAGGGAGAGACCAGGTAGAGGTAATTGATTCATGGGGGCAGTTTCCCCCCAACGTTGTTCTCATGATAGTGAGTTCTCATGAGATCTCATGGTTTCATAAGGGGCTCTTCCCTCTTCTCTCGGCACTTCTCCTTCCTGCCGCCTTGTGAAGAAGGTGCCTTTCTTCCCCTTCATCTTCTGCCATGATTGTAAGTTTCCTGAGGCCTCCCCAGCCATGCTGAACTGTGAGTCAATTAAACCTCTTTTCTTAAATTACCCAGTCTCAGGCAGTTCTTTACAGCAGTATGAGAAAGGACTAATACAGTTTGTTGATTTTATTTGCTTGCAACTGCTAGCAGGTAAGCAGTAGCTGGCACCAAACATTCTAGAAAAAGAAAATTGAGTCAAAATTTAAAAATCAGGGCTGGGCACACTAGTTCATGCCTGTAATGGCAGCACTTTGGGAGGCCAAAGTGGGAGGATGTCTGGAGGCCAGGAATTTGAGACCAGCCCGAGCAACATAGTGAGACCCCGTCTATAAAAAAAATGAAAAAAATTAGCGGGCATGGTGATGTGAGCCTGTAGTCCCAGCTACTCGGGAGGCTGAGGCAGGAGAATTGCTTGAACCTTGGCGTTTGAGGCTGAGGTGAGCTATGATGGCACCACTGCACTCCATCCTGGGTGATAAAGCAAGATCCTGTCTCTAAGAAAATAATTAAAAAAAAAATAAACATTCAGAAAATTCTATCTAGTAATTTTGTTGAGCAAATTGGGAAAAGCCCTTCATTCTATTTTGGTGGAAAACTTCTTTGGTAAATGATGGGTCCCCAAACTCTGCATCTAGCATTTGGGGAGCACTGCAGAAGGCAAGCATTGGATGTGGCAGGTCGCCCATGCTTCTGTGAGATCCGAGACAAGAGTACAAATGGCAGCCCCCATAGCATCTGTTTAAATATGAAAAGTTACCAATCAAACTGAGAAACCGTTAGAGAAAATATGTTCTACCTTCTTGTCTTAACACATACATCTTTATCATGTCCTAGAAGACCGGATAGAATCTGGTTTGGGAACATGGTGGTGTGGGGATACCCAGCCATACCAATTCTCTTCCCATCCCATCCTCTATTCCATTCCCCGCCAGAAAGGTCCTGAGTCAGGGGTGTGGATTCCCAACACAGGGCACAAATGCCGCCTGTGCCCCTTGAAAAATGCCACACCTTCTTCCTTCCCACATCCTGGGGCTTGGGGGCCTGGTGAAGAGGACCACGCAGGTCCAGGCAGCTGGCCCTGGGCTGCTAGGGCAGGAAACTCCTTCGCCCGTGGGCAGGAGCAGCCAGAGCGGGACTAGCGGGCGCCCTCTCCTGTGAGGGTCCAGCACAGGGGCCCTCCTGCCTGAGTCTAAGGGTGGGACTAGGCCGGCACTCACAGGGCAAGCAGGAGAGCAGGGACCCCACTGGTCCTCGCCTTGTCTGGGGGCCCCTGGCCCTGCTTCTGTAGGAGGACACGACAGTTGGCAATAATTCCACACCTGTGTCCCCAGTTCTTCCCTTCCCTCCACCTCACCATTCACATCCTGCTTCTTCCCTTCCCTCCACCTCACCATGCACATCCTGCTTCCAGCCCCGGGGCTTTCTCACCTGGACCACTGCACCAGCCTCTGACTGGCCTCCCTGTGGCTTTCCCTGCTGCCATGCCCCCCACTCTCTCCACAAAGTAGCCCGAGTTATCCCTTAAACATGCACTCAGCCTGTAATCCCAGTGCTTTGGGAGGCTGAGGTAGGAGGATCACTCGGGGCCACGAGTTGGAGACCAGCCTTGGCAACATAGCAAGACCTCCCTCTCTACAAAAAAAAGTTTTTTTAAAAAAACAAAGTGAAACATGCACTCAGATCACACCACTCACCAACTTAAACCCTCCTGTCACCACCCATTGCGCATGGGAGAAAACCCGTGTACATCCAGCTGGCCACAGACCCTGCCTAAATTGGCACTCGTCTCTGCTCATGCCCCATCCGCTCCTTGACTCCCTAGCTGGCTTTGCCAAGCAGAGCGTCTCCCAGCCGCAAGGTGCTGCGCTTTGCACTTTTGGTTCCCTGGAATGCTCTTCCCAGGTTGGCACGACTCCTTCCTTCCTGTCATTTGAGAAGGGGCTCTCAGGTTCCTCGCAGGGACCTGCTGCACACTCGTCACCCCTCCCCCATTGTTCCGTAGGCCACTGTGTGTTTTATTTTCCTCATAGCACCCTCTAAAAATGGTATTTTATGTGTTCCTTATCAGCTTCTCCCCACTAGAGTGCCAACTCCACAAACGCAGGAACCTTGTCTGTCCTGTTCTGCCCATTCCCAGAGCTAGGGCCAGCCTCAGCCTATGCGAGAGCCTCAAATATTTGTTGAACGAACACAGATGGATTTGACTGCAGAAAACTGCTACCCCGCCACCCTCCTGGAACTGAGTCTGTTCCTAAGCCTAGAGTTGTTCAAGGGTGGCCCTGAAGGATGCTGGAGAAGACCCGACTGACCCCCGGGTCAGGGATCACTACATCTGACTCAGTCCGGAGCTTCCTGAAGCAGTTTCAGGCAAGGCTGCCAGGGCCTGGAGGACCTGCTCAGTGCCTTTAGGGTAACTCCAAAGAGGCCACTGACAGGCAGTTATGGCCCCCAGGGGCTTGGCTAAGCAAGAAGAACCTTTGTAGGGAGGAAAATGGGGCCTTTTTTCGGGGTAGCTGCAGTCCAGCCAGGACACAAGGCTTTGTGAGCAGAGGTCACCTGAGTTGGGCCCTACCTGAAGCGCCCCCTCCACCATGGCTCCAGAGCTCCCCCTACCTGTAGGGCACTGCCAGGAGGGGCGCCCAGGGAAGCATGGACATGGCTGAGTATCAGACCCACCTAGGGAAATGGGCCTGTCTCCCAGCTGGCTCATAGGGGCCACAGGGACTGCTCTATCCTGCCGACTTGGCAGGCCCCACTGCTCCAGAGATAGGGTGGAGTCCTTGGAGCCCATTCTTGTGCACCCACCGTTCTGACCCCATTTCTTCTCTTTGCTGAATTCCAAGGATTTGTGCCTCAAGAGGCATCTTTTAAAAAAATTTTAGCTTGATGCCTCAGCTCACACCTGTAATCTCAGCACTTTGGGAGGCCAAGGTGAGAGGATCTCTTGAGGCCAGAGTTTGAGACTAGCCTGGGCAACATAGTGAAACTTCGTCTCTACGAAAAATTTTAAAAATTAACTAGGTGGGGCCAGGCGCGGTGGCTCAAGCCTGTAATCCCAGCACTTTGGAAGGCTGAGGTGGGCAGATCACCTGAGGTCAGGAGTTTGAGACCAGCCTGGCTAACATGGTGAAATCCTATCTTTACTAAAAATACAAAAATTAGCCAGGTGTGGTGGCGGGCACCTGTAATCCCAGCTACTCAGGAGGCTGAGGCAGGAGATTCGCTTGAACCCGGGAGGTGGAGGTTGCAGTGAGCTGAGATGGCGCCACTGCACTCTGGCCTGGGTAACAGAGTGAGACACTGTCTAAAAAAAAAAAATTAGCCAGGTGTGACGGTGCATGCCTGTAGTCCCAGCTACTCAGGAGGCTAAGACAGAGGATTATCTGAGCCCAGGAAGTCGCGGTTACAGTGAGCTATGATTGTGCCACTGCACTCTAACTTGGGTGACAGAGCAAGACTTTGTCTCTAAAATTAAAAAAAAAAAATCCTAATAAGGTGAGAAGCCAAATCTTTTGAAAAATCAAAATAAGAGTGTCTAGGGGCTGACTGCATGACAGCCCCAGTTCCAGCCTTTTTTCCTTGTGATTCTACTCAGCTGCCTCAAGTCTAAGCCCCTCAACACTGTGTAAAGTAGCCCCAAAGTGCAGACAATGAAGCTACGGGAGGAACGAGCTGCACACAGTGGGCTACTTGGAACATTTCCAAAGGCTGCATCTGCTCTAGCACAGTAGTTGGAACTCGATTTTTCCCAAAGGAAGCTAGTATCAGGTCCTGCTGTGGCCTGTGGAAACACACTGTCAACTTACAGGTTAAGAAACCGAATTTTAGAGTGTAAATTAGTTCAACCGTTGAACTAATGGTTCACATTGAAAGCAGTGTGGCAATTCCTCAAAGAGTTAAAAGCAGAACTACCATTTGGACCAGCAATCCCGTTACTAAGTATATACCCAGAGGAATTAAAGCATTCTATCATAAAGACACATGCATGCGAATGTTCACTGCAGCACTATTCACAATAGCAAAGACATGGAATCAACCTAAATGCCCATCAATGACAGGCTGGATAAACAAAATGTGGTACGTATATACCGTGGAATACTATGCAGCCATGAAAAAGAATGAGATTCTGTCTTTTACAGGGGCTGTTATCCTTAGCAAACTAACACAAGGACAGAAAACCATGTTCTCACTTATAAATGGGAGCTAAATGATGAGAACTCATGAGCACAAAGAAGGGAACATCAGAAACTGGGGTTTACTTGAAGGTGGGGGGTGGGAGGAGGGAGAGGAACAGAAAATATAAGCTTTGGGTACTGGGCTTAATACCGGGTGATGAAATATCTGGACACCAAACCCCTGTGACACGAGTTTACCTATGTAACAAACCACATGTACCCCTGAACTGAAAATAAAAGATTAAAAAAAAAAAAAAAAGAAACCGAATTGCAAAGGTTACCATTCTTGACATCCAAGATAAAACCTTAACTGAAACAAAGCAAGCTGCAGAATAGCTTGCAGCTTCCACTTTTCTGGGGGGAAAAATAAACCTCTTTAAATATACATTTGTTAGGTGTATAGAAAGAAGTTAGGAGGACTTCACATCAAACTGTTAATGGTGGGTTCTCACTTTGTGGGAAGGGGGATAATTTGCACTTTTTAATTTATATACTCTTGTATTTTGGACTTTTTAAAGAGATGAGTATATATTTATTAATTTTATAGTTTTTAAATTATAAAAATATGTTGTCACTTCAATTTTATAGTTTTATAAACTGTAAATTGTTTTAAGTCACTTGAATTTACTCTACAAATTATATAATGCTATAATGGATGACATATTTTTATAATAACTTCAAAATGCTTTTCAGTGACCGTATTTTCCAAATAAAAAAATCTGGAGGCTGGCGTAGTGGCTCACGCCTGTAATCCCAACACTTTGGGAGGCCAAGATGGGTGGATCATGAGGTCAGGAGTTCAAGACCAGCCTGGCCAAGATGGTGAAACCCCGTCTCTACTAAAAATACAAAAAAAATTAGCTGGGTATGGGCGCACGTGCTTGTAATCCCATCTACTCGGGAGGCTGAGTCAGGAGAATCACTTGAACCCGGAGGGTGGAGGTTGCAATGAGCTGAGATCATGCCACTGCACTCCAGCCTGGGTGACAGAGTGAGACTCCATCTCAAAAAAACAAAACAAAACAAAACAAACAAAAATCTGGAAACATGCTCTAAAATAGATTTTTTAAAAACTGATTTGTGGATTTTCTCATATGAAGAATCATATGCAGTTATAGATAATAAGTCACATTTAATTCTACATTTAACAAGTCATCTTTATTTTAAAAGAAAAAAGCTCATTTATTTATATATAAAGAACTTCTGGCCAGGCGCAGTGGCTCACATTTGTAATCCCAGCACTTTGGGAGGCCGAGTCTGGCAGATCACTTGAGGTCAGGAGTTCGAGGCCAGCCTGGCCAACATGGCGAAACCCTGTCTCTACCAATAATACAAAAATTGGCCAGGTGTGGTGGCACGCACCTGTAATCCCAGCTACTTGGGAGGCTGAGGCATGAGAATCGCTTGAATCTTGGAGGCGGAGGTTGCAGTGAGCCAAGATCATGCCACTGCACTGCAGCCTGGGCAACAGAGCAAGACTCTGTCTCAAAACAACAACAACAGCAACAAAAAGACCTTCTAAAAATCAGTATGAAAAGGAATTACAATCCAAAAGAAAACTGAAATATAGAGAGAGTTTATTTTAAAAAGTAAACACAGGCCAGGTGTCGGGGCTCACACCTGTAATCCCAGGACTTTGGGATGCCAAGGTAGGAGGATTGCTTGAGGCTAGGAGTTCAAGACCAGCCCGGGCAACATAGTGAGACCTTGTCTCTACTAAAAATAAAAGCTTAGCCAGGCATGGTGTTGCATCCCTGTAATCCCAGCTACTTGGGAGGCTGAGGAAAGAGGATCCCTTGAACTCAGGAGTTCAAGACTGCAGTGAGCTATGATTGTGCCACTGTACTCCAGCCTGGGTGACAAAGTGAGACTCTGTCTATCAAAACAAGGGAAATGCAAATAGATTTTAAACATGCTTAAAAATGCTAATTCTCTGAAAATGATATACAAATTGATATACAAAATGATATACTAAATGATATACAAACTACACCATTGGACAGGTGAAGTTGAAAACGTATAATAATATGCTGGACTGGTCAATGAATAGAGCAAATAGGTAGAATTCTATATTGATACAACCTCTTTGGAGGATAATTTAGCAATACTTACCTAATTTTAAAGTGTCATTTTCCTTTCAACTTGCAATTCCACTTATAGAAATTGAATCCCATAAAGTCTTATGTATACACAAAGGGGTGCATGTTGGATATTAACTGGGGTACAAGGGATATTGACTGCAACATTGTTTTTGTTTGTTTGTTTGAGATGGGGTCTTGCACTGTTGCTCAGGCTGGAGTGCAGCGGCATGATCTCGGCTCACTGCAACCTCCGCCTCCCAGGTTCAAGCAATTCTCCTGCCTCAGCCTCCTGAGTAGCTGGGATTACAGGCATCTGCCACCATGCCCGGCTAATTTTTGTATTTTTAGAGATGGGGTTTCGCCATGTTGGCCAGGCTGGTCTCAAACTCCTGACCTTAGGTGATCCACCTGCCTTGGCTTCCCAAAGTGCTGGGATTACAGGCATGAGCCACCGCGCCCGGCCAACATTGTTTATAATTGTAAAATAGAAGAGTGGTTAAGTGACCATGGGCTAACTGGTTAATAATCCCTGTGTCTGTTAAAAAGGAGGAGAAAAAGGCTGTATGAACACTTAAAGAAATATCTCTGGGCTGGGTGTGGTGGCTCATGCCTAGCATATTGGGAGGCCAAGAGAGATCACTTGAGTCCGGGAATTTGAGGCCAGCTTGGGCAACATAGTGAGACCCTATCTCGACAAAAAGATTAATAAGATATATATAGCCAGGCATGCTGGCATGCGCCAGTAGTACCAGGTACTCAGAGCTGCGGTGGGATGATTGCTTGAGCCTGGGAGGTCGGGGCTGCAGTGAGCTATGATTGTACCACTGCACTCCACACTCCTGGGTGACAGAGTGAAACCGTGTCTCAAAAACTAAAACAAAAAAACCTCTGATATATTCATTCATCGTTACACAGATTTGCCTACGTGGACCTGGAAATATGCTCTAAAACTGGATTGTTTAGTGATTTGTGAGTTTTTGCATATGAAGAACATACACAGTTATAGACACTAAATCACTTTTTTGTTGTTGTTGTTAGATGGAGTCTCACTCTGTCGCCCAGGCTGGAGTGCAGTGAAGTAGCCGATCTCGGCTCACTGCAACCTCTGCCTCCCAGGTTCAAGCGATTCTCCTGCCTCAGCCTCCCGAGTAGCTAGGATTACAGGCACACACCACCATGTCTGGCTAATTTTTGTGTTTTTAGTAGAGATGGGTTTCGCCATGTTGACCAGGCTGGTCTCGAACTCCTGACCTCACGTGATCCACCCACCTCGGCCTCCCAAAGTGCTGGGATTACAGGCATGAGCACTGCACCTGGCCAACAGTACCTTATTTTTATTGCTGGCCCTGAAGAAACCTATACAGTACTCAGATACAGTAAAGTTTTTCATACAACACGAGCTCATTTCTCTCAAACATGGACTGGGGTTTCCTGTCGTGTTGATTTAGCAGTTCGGGGACTGTAGGTGCGGCAGGATTGTCCCATCCCACCTCTCTAATTAGTCTCGTCTCTACCATTTTCAGTCAAAATTCCAAAGGTCACTTGGAAGGCACATAGCCCACGAAACTGTCCAGACACTCCCTTTTGGCCAAATAACCCTCCACAGCCCAGATTCCAGTGCAGAGCCCTGGGAACCAGGGGCATGCTGTTTCCAATCCTCATCTGCTTAGCCAACAGGGAGAGGTAACAATGAACAAATTGAGTTTCAACCAGCATATCTTTAGAACCCAATTTTTGTTATAATTGATTAGAAAATCTAGCTTACATTCCAAATGCACTCTTTTTTTTTCTTTTCTTAATCTTAGTCAAGGTGCAATAACAGTTAAACGAAAACCAGCATGAGTCAGGTTCCTATAAAACTGTCTGCTCTCAGAGTTCAGCATTTTTCTAGAGCAGGAACATTTGCCGGCAGTCAGCATAGAACGGGGTTATTCTGGCCTCTTACTTTTCTAGGGGAACTCATCATAAGACAAGCAGCTCACGTGGAATCTGACACTGACATGGAATGCACACACTGGGTGGACATTGATGGAGTTCTTGGGTCTCACTCTGTTGCCCAGGCTGGAGTGCAGTGGTGTGATTTTGGCTCACTGCAACCTTTGCCTTCTGGGTTCAAGAGACTCTTATGCCTCAGCCACCCCATAGCTGGGATTACAGGCACCCGCCACCATGTCTGGATAATTTTTATATTTTTAATAGAGACGGGGTTTCACCATGTTGGCCAGGCTGGTCTGAACTCCCAGCCTCAAGTGATCTGCCCGCCTCAGCCTCCCAAAGTGCTGGGATTACAGGTGTGAGCCATGTCGCTCGGCCAGGGAACTCTTAAGTAGAATTTGAAAAACAGCAGCAGCAACAACGATACACCTAGGGACATTGGAGTCAAATTGATAAAACTAAATAAAAATACAATGTTGAACATGGTCAGAAAAAACAAGACCTTGCATACAGGGGTGCAAATATTCAAATGACCGTGGACTTATATCAGAAATAAATGAGGCCAGAAGACAGTGAAACAACATCTTGAAAGCACTGGGAAAAAAAACCAGTCAATCCAGAATTCTGTATCTAGTGAAGATATCTTTTAAGAATAAAGGTGAGGCTGGGTGTGGTGGCTCATGCCTGTAGTCCCAGTGCTTTGGGAGGCTGAGGCGGTGGGGGATCACTTGACCTCAGGAGTTTGAGACCAGCCTGGCCAACATGGTGAAACCCCATCTCTATTAAAAATACAAAAATTAGCTGGGTGTAGTGGCGCGCGCCTGTAATCCCAGCTTCTTGGGAGGTTGAGGCACAAGAATTGCTTGAACCAGGAAAGCAGAGGTTGCAGTGAGCTGAGATTGTGCCATTGCACTCCAGCCTGGGTGATAGAGCGAGACCCTGTTGCAAAAAAAAAAAAAAAAAAAAAAAAGAATAAAGGATAAAGGTGAGGCTGGGTGTGGTGGCTTACGCCTGTAGTCCCAGCACTTTGGGAGGCTGAGGCTGGAGGATCAACTGAGGTCAGGAGTTTGAGATCAGCCAGGGGAAAAAGGTGAAACCCTGTCTCTACAAAAAAATACAAAAATTAGCCAGGTGTGGCGGTGTGTGCCTGCAGTCCCAGCTGCTCAGGAGGCTTAGGTGGGAGGATTGTTTGAGCCTGGAAGGCAGAATATGAAGTGAATCAAGATCATCCTGCCACTGCACTCCAGCCTGGGTGACAGTGCGAGACCCTGTCTCAAAAAAAAAAAAAGAAAAAAAAAAGAAAAGAAAAAGAAAAAAGAATAAAGGTGAAATAACGTGGACATAAAGATGGGAACGATAGACACTGGGGACTACTGGGGGGAGAGGAAAGGGGGTGTGGGCTGAAAAACTACCCGTTGGGTACTGTGCTCACTACCTGGGTGATGGGATCATCCGAACCCCAAACCTCAGCATCACACAATGCACCCACATGACAAACCTGCACACGTACCCTCCAAATCCAAAGTAAAACTATATATATATATATAAAAAGGTGAAATAAAAATGTTTTTAGTTTTTAAAAAAACTAGGGGAATTTGTTAGCAGCAAACCTGAGCTACAAGGAATGCTAAGGGTACTTTAGGAGGCCAAGGTGGAAGGATCGTTTGAGGCCAGGAGTTCAAGACCAGCCTGGGCAACATAGTGAGATCCCATCTCTGTTGAAAAAAATGCTAAAGGAAGAGTTCTGCAGGCTGAAGGGAAATGAAACCAGATGGAAACCTGGATCTACAGGACAGAATGAAGCTCGTCAGAAATGGTAAATATGTGGATAAGTAGAAAAGATTACTTTTGTCCTCTTAATTTCTTTAAAACAGATAATTGTTTAAAGCAAAAATTATATTGTGTTATGGGGTTTATAATTTCTGTAGGTGTAGTAATTATGACAACTATAACATAAATAACAGGGGGTGTACATGAGCCTATATAGTTGCAAGCTTTCTGCATTTTATGCAAAGTGGTGCAATATAAACTTTTGGCAGGCTATAAAAAGTTAAGGGTGTATATTCTAACCCTAGGGCAGTAACTTAAAAATAAGCCAAAAAGGTGTAGCTGTAAAGCAATGGACAGGTTAAAATGGAATTCAAAAATATATTCAGGTAATCAAAAGGAAGGAAGAGAAACAGAATTAAAAAATAGAAGACAAACAAAACAGTAAAATTACAGGCTTAAATCTAATTATATCAATAATTATATTAAATAAGAAGGAATAGCATTGTAGTTAAAAGGCAGAGATTGTCAGAATAGATAAAAATGTTTGGGAGGCCGAGGCAGGTGGATCACAAGGTCAGGAGTTTGAGACCACCCTGGTCAACATGATGAAACCCTGTCTCTACTAGAAACACAAAAATTAGCCTGGCGTGGTGGTGCGTGCCTGTAGTCCCAGCTACTTGGGAGGCTGAGGCAGGAGAATTGCTTAAACCTGGGAGATGGAGGTTGCAGTGAGCTGAGATCATGCCACTGCACTCCAGCCTGGGTGACAGAGCAAGACTCCATCTCAAAAAAAAAAAAAAAAAAAAAAAAATTCCAAGGCCCAATTATATGCTGTCTATAAGCAACCTGCCTTTTTTTTTTCTTTTTTTTCTTTTTTTTTTTTTCTTTTAAGACAGGGTTTCGTTCTGTCACCCAGGCTGGAGTGCAGTGACACCAACACAGTTTACTGCAGTCTCCACCTCCCAGGCCCTCATTTCTCAATCTCCTAAGTAGCTGGGACCACAGGCATGCACCACCATGTCTGGCTAACTTTTGTATTTTTTTTTAGAGACAGGGTCTCCCTTTGTTGACCAGGCTGGTCTCAAACTCCTGGGCTCAAGTGATTTGCCTGCCTTGGCCTCCCAAAGTGTTGGGATTAGAGGTGTGAGCCACCGTGCCTGGCCTATAAGCAACCTACTTTAAATATAAAGACACAAATGGGTTGAAAATTGATAGGAAAAGATATATCATGTAAACCTTAAGCATAAGAAGGCTTAATTGGCTTTACAAACATTAATAGTTTTCAAGACAAACAATATTACCAGAAAAAGGAATCTTTTATAATGATAAAAGGTCAATACATTATGAAGTTGTGATCATTGTAAATGTGTATATACCTAATAACAGAGCCCCAAAACACATAAAGTAAAAATGGACAGAAAAAAAGGGTGTGACTGGAGGTTGAGGGTGGAAGACTTTTTTTTAAATTTCAATTTTATACTTCATATGGTTTAAATTTTAACACCAAATGTGTATTCTGCCATCATCATCATCATCATCAAAAGAGTGAAAATAATATTTGAGCCAAGTCTTAAAAGATGACTAAGAATTTTTCAGAAAGGTGGTAAGGGAGGGCATTCCAGGCAAAGGTCATATGTGTGCCAGCACAGGGAGGCATGAAATTGCCTGATGTGTTCTGGTCCTGCAGTTTTTTGGCAAGTCTGAAATATAGGATTGGGTTGGTATTACTGAGGAGGAATGGGAGATGAGCAACAGACAAGTAGAAGCCAGATGTGGAAGGGGCTTATCAGTGTGCTCATTTGAACTTTATCTTGACAGTCATGGATAGTCACTAATGTGTTTTTCAAAGGGAGGATACAGGATTTTCTCTGGGCTTTAGAGAGACAATTCTGACTGCAGCTTAGAGAATGGTTTAGAGGAGACCAGAGTGAAGGCAGAGTAACTTCTGGGAGATGCTGTAGTAATGCAGATTAGAAATGCTGGGGGCCTAAACCAGGAAAGTAGAGCAGAGATGGAGAAAAAACAAGTGTGGTTTTGAAAGGTATGTAGGGACCAGGCACAGTGGCTCATGCCTGTAACTCCAGCACTTTGGGAGGCCAAGCCAAGTGGATCACCTGAGGTCAGGAGTTTGAGACCAGCCCAGCCAACATGGTGAAACTCCGCCTCTACTAAAAATACAAAAATTAGCCAGACATGGTGGTGCATGCCTGTAATCCCAGCCACTCAGGAGGCTGAGGCAGGAGAATCATCACTTGAACCTCAAGAGGCAGAGGTTGCAGTCAGCCGAGATCATGCCTTTGCACTCCAGCCTGGGTGACAAGAGTGAAACTCCATCTCAAAAAAAAAAAAAAAAAAAGGAAAGAAAGAAAAATAAAGGTACATAGTAAGCAAAATAATGAGAATTTTGCAATTCTGGATCTAAGTGATGAGAGACATTGACATCTATTAACTCCTGCAAGTTTAGTCTCATGAAACCACTTAGTGACACGATACTTTATTCCCATTTCCATAAAACAATATTGACATAATGATATCTACCATTTAAAAAGTTTATTTTATTCAATGCAATCCCTATAAGAATCTCAACTGGTTTCTTTATGTAATAGAAATGGACACACTGCTGATCCTAAAATTCATGTGAAAATCAAGGGACTTAAAATAGCCAACATAATCTTGAATAGAAGAAAAATGTTTGGAGGACTTAAACTTCCTGATTCCAAAACTTACTACAAAGCAAAGGTATTCAAGACAGTGTGGTACTGGCATGAGGTTAGACATATAGATCAATGGAAAAGAATTGAGAGTCCAGAAATAAATCCATATATTAATGGTAAATTGATTTTTCAACAAGGGTGCCAAAAGCATTCAGTGGCAGAAAAAAATAGTCTCTTCAATATATGGTGCTGGGACAACTGGATATCTATATGTGAAAGAATGAAGCTGGACCCCTACCTCACACCATATACAAAAATTAATTCAAAATGGATCAAAGACCTAAATGTAAGAGCAAAAACTATGAGATTCTTAGAAGAAAACAAATAAGTAATTCTTTATGACCTTGGTTAGGCAAAATGGTTTCTCAGATATGACACCCAAAGCATAAGCAACAAAATAAATATAGATAAATTGGACTTCATCAAAATTAAAAATTTGTATGCTTCAAATGACACTAATAAGAAAGTTGGCTAGGCTTGGTGGCCCATGCTGTAGTCCCAGCACTTTGGGGGGGCTGAGGTGGAAGGACTGCTTGAGGCTGAGAGTTTGAGACCAGCCTGGACAACATAGCAAGACCCTGTCTCTCAAAAAAAAAAAAATTAGCCAGGTGTGTGGTGCATACCTATAGTCCCAACTACCCTGGAGCTAATGTGGGAGAATCACTTGAGCCTAGGAGTTTGAAGCTGCAGGGAGCCATGATTGTGCCACTGCACTCCAGCATGGGTGACAGAGGGAGATGCTGTCTCAAAAACAAAAAACAAAACAAAACAAACAAGAAAGTGAAACGACTAAACAATGGCAGAAAATACGTGCAAATTGTACCTCTAATAAGGGACTTATATCTAGAATACATAAAGAACTCTTACAACCCAAGAATAAAATTATCCCAATTAAAAAGTGGACAAAGGCCGGGCGCGGTGGCTCACGCTTGTAATCCCAGCACTTTGGGAGGCCGAGGCGGGTGGATCACGAGGTCAGGAGATCGAGACCACGGTGAAACCCCGTCTCTACTAAAAATAAAAAAAAATTAGCCGGGCGTGGTGGCAGGCGCCTGTAGTCCCAGCTACTCGGAGAGGCTGAGGCAGGAGAATGGCGTGAACCCGGGAGGCGGAGCTTGCAGTGAGCCGAGGCTGCGCCACTGTACTCCAGCCTGGGGTGACACAGCGAGACTCCGTCTCAAAAAAAAAAAAAAAAAAAAAAAAAAGTGGACAAAGGATTTGAATAAACATTTCTCCAAAAAAGTTCTACACCTGGCCAATAAGCACATGAAAGGGCGCTCAACATCATTATTCCTCAAGGAAATGCAAGTAAAAACACAATGGGCTACTCACTTCACAGCCACTAGGAAGCCTGTAATAAAAAAGACGGCTAGTAAGTGTTAGCGTGGGGAGACTGATACCCTCATACCCTGCTGGTGGGGATGTAAAATGGTGTGGCCACTTAGGAAAGCACTCTGGCAATTTCTCAAAAAGAGCTGCCATTTGACCCAGCAATTCCATGCCTAGGTATATAGGCAAGAGAAATGAAAATATGTTGTATTAGTCTGTTTTCATGCTGCTGATAAAGACATACCTGAGACTGGGTAATTTATAAAGAAAAGAAGAGGTTTAATGGACTCACAGTTCTACGTGGCTGGGGAGGCTTCATAATCATGACAGAAGGCAAAAGGCATGTCTTACATGCTGGCAGGGAAGAGAGGGCTCTTGCAGGGAAACTCTCCTCTATAAAACCATCAGATCGCGTGAGACTTACTCATTATCACGAGAACAGCACGGGAAAGACCTGCATCCATGATTCAGTTATCTCCTGAGTCCCTCCCACAACACGTGGGAATCATGGGACCTACAATTCAAGATGTGATTTGGGTGGGGACACAGTCAAACCATATCATATGTCCACACACAATCTCATACATGAATACTTATAGTAGTATTATTAATAACAGGTAAAAGGTGGAACCAATCTAAATGCTCACCCACTGCTGAAAGGATAAACAAAATGTGGTATATCCACATGATGGAATATTACTTAGCTGTGAAAAGGAATAACATGCTGATATGTGCTACCACACAGATGGACCTTGAACATATTATGCAAAGTGGCAGAGACAGTTACAAAAGATGACACAGTCTATGAGTCCATTTATATGAAGTGTCCTGAACATGCAAATCTATGGAGACATAGAGGAGATTAATGGCTGCCTAGGGCTGTGAGGAGGGGGTGATTGGGGGTGGCACATGATAGCTAAAGGGGACACAGCTGGTTTGGAGAGTGAAGAAAATGTTCTAAAATTGTACTGATAGTTGCACAACTCTGTGAATATACAAAAAAATCATTAAATTGTACACTTAAAATGGGTGAATTGTATGGTGTGGGAATTATATCTCAGTAAAGAAGTTACCAATAACATTACAAAACAAGAAAAAGAGTTTATTTTATTTTATTGAGAGGTGGGGCTTCACCCTGTCACTCAGGCTGGAGTGCAATGGCACCTTCTTAGTTCACTGCAACCTCGAACTCCTAAGCTGCCTCAAACTCCTGGCCTCAAGCGAGCCTCCCACCTCAGCTTCCTGAGAAGCTGGGACTACAGGCATGTACCACCATGCCCAGCTATTAAAAAAATTTTTTTTTTGTAGATGGAGTCTTGCTTTGTTGCCCGCGCTGGTCTCAAACTCCTGGCCACAAGCAATTCTCCTGCCTTGGCCTCCCAAAGTGCTAAGATCACAGGTGGGAGCCAGTGGGCCCAGCCCTTTTAATTTTTAATTTTTAAGTTGTACAGATGATATATGTGTATTTTATTTTTAAGAAAATCAAAGTATAGCAAGGCGTAGAGGAAAACATTTTAAATTACCCCCTTATCCCAAATTTTGAATCCTACCGCAGTTCTAAGAGGAAGCCACTGTCATCAGTTTAATGCAAATCTTTCTTCACCTTTTTTTGTGATGTATAGGTATGAACGTAAATAAGAAGATGTAGATACATCATTTAGTTTTCTGACTTTAAAAATAAAAGGGTTCGTGTGGTATGTATTGCTCTGCTGCTTGCTTTTTCACTTAACATTGTGTTTTGGAGATCCCTCTGTGTTATTACATAGAGATCTTCCTTTGCTTTAAAAAATACTGCATGGTATAATATTATATAGCAAAGATGTGTGTAGGCTTAATACTTAGTAGTGAAATTGTTGGGTCAAAGGGTGTGGGGTTTAAAATTTAACAGAGGCCGGGAGCAGTGGCTCACACCTGTAATCCCAGCACTTTGAGAGGCCAAGGTGGAAGGATCACTTAAAGCCAGGAGTTGGAAACCAGCCTGGGCAACATAGTAAGACCCTACGTCTAAAAACTTGGCTGGGTGTGGTGGCACACACCTGTGGTCCCAGCTGCTTTGGAGGCTGAGGTGGGAGGATTGCTTGAGCCCGAGAGTTCAAAGCTGCAGTGAGCTATGATCACACCACTGCACTCCTGGAGGGGTGACAGAGCAAGACCCTGTCTCTTAAAAAAAAAAAAAAAAGAAAAGAAAAATAAAATGTAACAGATACTACACATTGTTTTTTAGAAAGGCTACACAGTTTCACACACTCACCAGCAGTAAATACATACATCTTTCAATAACATTTTGTAATATCAAATAATGGATATTAATACTTTTAAATTTTGTTTGTTTGATAGCTCATTGTTGCTTTAACTTCTATTTTCCTGATTACTTATAAGGTTAATGAATATGAAATTCCCTAATGTTTTCACTCTGAGTTATTTTTCTTAGGCTGTCTGGTGTATTTTTTACATCTTTTTATTTCAAGGGCTTTATTTTTAGTTTGTTTTACCCATAGCTCTTGTAAACAGCAAGTAGCTGATTTTCTTGGTTGAAGTTCTTATAAATTTACCTGATCTGGCAGCTGAAAAAAAGGGAACTTGCAAAATTTAACAGTTTGTTAATGACAAATCACTAAAATTGTTTAAAAGTTGTCTATTTGGCCATGTATTGTCTTAGTTTAGCATATTATCATGTGCTGTAGAATTAAAGTTTATTTATATAGTACATTTTACGTTTTTGTTTGTTTGTTTGTTTTGAGACAGTCTTGCTCTGTCGCCCAGGCTGGAGTGCAGCGGCACAGTCTCAGATCACTGCAACCTCTGCCTCCCGGGCTCAAGCAATTCCTGTGCTTCAGCCTCCTGAGAAGCTGGGATTACAGGTGTGCACTACCATGCCTGGATAATTTTTTGTATTTTTAGTAGAGATGGGGTTTCACCATTTTGGCTAGGTTGGTCTTGAACTCCTGACCTCAAGTGATCCGCCCCCCTTGGCCTCTCCAAACGCTGGGATTGCAGGTGTGAGCCACTGCGCCCAGCCCATTTTAAGTTTGACCAAAAAGAATTCCACTTGGTCATTATGATGATTTTAAAACATGTCCACAAATTGTTTGCCACTTCTCTCACTAAACGTGGAGTCTAATTCCCCTGCCCTCGAATGTGAGCTGGCCTTAGTGACGCACTTCTAACAAGCAGAATGTAGCTCTGGTGCTGTGTTCCCTTCCAGCTTCCAGCTGGCTCTTTTCCTATTGAAATCCATGTCCTTGGAACCTAGCCACCATGTTGTGAGGAAGCCCAAGCCACGTGGAGAGGAAAGGAGGCTCCCAGCCAACAGCCAGTATCAACTGCCAGACACATAAATGAACCAGCCCTGGGATGACTGCAACTCCCAGCTTATAAGTCTTCCAACCAAGGCCCCAAACACCCTAAAGCAAAAACAGGCCATCTTCGTTGTACCCTGCCCAAATTACCTATCCATAGAATCCGTGAGCAAAATAAATGGTTGATGCCATTAAATTTTGGGGTAATTTATTATGCGGCCACAGTAACTAGCATATTTATTGATAAAGAGAGTTAGCCAGGCATGGTGGCTCACACTTATAACCCCAATGCTTTTGGAGGCTGAGGTGGGAGAATCACCTGAGGCCAAATATGTAAGACCAGCCCGGGCAACATAGTGAGATCCTCTCTTAAAAAAAAAAAAAATAGCTGAGTGTGGTGGGACATGCCTGTGGTCCAGCCCAGGAGGACAAGTTGCAGTGAGCTATGGTTGTGCCACTGCACTCCAGCCTGGGCAACAGAGAGAGACAGAATCTCTCTCTTTAAAAAAAGAGAGACAGTTTTAGAGGTGTTTCTCAACACCTTCCAGGTGGGGTGAAAAAAAGAAGACAATCTTGCCTAGAAATGTAATTATGTTATTCTAGTAAATCACTTCTCCACTGTCCTCGGTGAGATATGTTTGAAACTGTTTATACCATCTTATTTTAGGTTTCCTATTTTTATTTCTAAATAGAAATATTTTTCTTTTTTTGTCTTTCTTTTTTCATTAAAAAAAATCGTTTCCTTCATTGAAGAATAGGATTTTCTTTCTTCCATTCTTTTTCCCTCTGGGAATTAGGATATATAGAATTTATGCATCTTTTATTCTTCTAGGATTACAATCTTTTTTTTTTTTTTTTTTTTTTTTTTGAGATGGAGTTTCACTCTTGTTGTCTAGGCTGGAGTGCAATGGTGTGATCTCGGCTCACTGGAATCTCCACCTCTTAGGTTCAAGCAATTCTCCTGCCTCACCCTCCCAAGTAGCTGGGATTACAGGCATGCACCATCACGCCCGGCTAATTTTGTATTTTTAGTAGAGACGAGGTTTCACCATGTTGACCATGCTGGTCTCAAACTCCTGATCTCAGGTGATCCACCCACCTTGGCCTCCCAAAGTGCTCGGATTACAGGCGTGAGCCACCGTGCCCAGCCTACAGTCACATTTTTAAAAGATATTTTTTCTACCAATATTTAGTGGTGCCCAGTATCTTTCCTGTCCTGAACAAGACAAAGAACTTAGTAGGATTTCACGCCTCTCCTTCTTCTCTGCCCCTCCATCTCTCATGTTTACGTCATCTGAACTTGAGTTTTAGACTACCTTTAAAAAAAAAGCAATTATTTATCTTTAATTATAAGTTCATGTCCCCACCCCATTTTTTTTTTTTTTGCTTGTCACTGTTTTTAGTATCACTTATCTTTCTCATGGATTCATTTTCTGACTTGTTGGAATTTGTCTTATAATAAAATTTTCAGGGAATTCTTTGAGGGTAAATTTTATGAGTCTTTAGATGACTGAAAATGTCTTTATTTTGTGCTTTCCATTTTTTTTTTTTTTTTTTTTTTTGAGACAGAATCTTGCTCTGTTGCCCAGGCTGGAGTGCAGTGGCGCGATCTCGGCTCACTGCAAGCTCCACCTCCTGGGTTCACACCATCCTCCTGCCTCAGCCTCCCGAGTACTGGGGACTACAGGCACCCGCCACCACGCCTGGCTAATTTTTTTTGTGTGTTTTTAGTAGACACAGGGTTTCACCATGTTAGCCAGGATGGTCTCGATCTCCTGACCTCATGATCTGCCCACATCGGCCTCCCAAAGTGCTGGGATTATAGGCGTGAGCCACCGCGCCCGGCCTGTGCTTTCCATTTGAATGATGGTTTGACTTGGTGTAGAGCTCTGGGTTTAAAAATTGTATTTCTTTTCTTTTCTTTTTTTTTTTTTTTTTGAGAGAGAGTCATGCTCTGTCACCCAAGCTGGAGTGCAGTGGCATGATCTCGACTCACTGCAACCTCTGCCTCCCAGGTTCAAGCAATTCTCATGCCTAGGCCTCCTGAGTAGCTGGAATTACAAATGTGCACCACCACACACAGCTAAATTTTTGTATTTTTAGTAGAGACGGGGTTTCACCATGTTGGCCAGGCTGGTCTCAAACTCCTGACCTCAAGCGATCAGCCCACCTCAGCCTCCCAATGCCTGTTGGGATTACAGGGATGAGCCACCGCACCCGGCTTAAAAATGGTATTTATTTCAGAACTATCTATAGTGTGTTCTATCATCTCAGCACCCAGTGTTGCCAGTGACAGACATGATGCTAATATGATTGTCATTCTTCTGTGGGGGCCTGATTTCCCATCTCTGTTTGGCAGGATTTTCTCTTTCTCATGCTGAAATTTCATGAGATGAACTTCCTCTTCATTCTTCTCCCTTCATCAGTCTTCACCCATCTTCTCTTTTGTTCCTTCTATTGTAACAAGGGAGGTGACCCTCCTTCTGCCCCCAGTCAAGCCCTGTTCTCATGCTCTGGACGCATTTTCTTTCACGTTCTCAGGGGTGCCACCCCACCTGCATTGAACTATGCTCTAGGGTCCCCCACTTAAGAAAACAAAACGCCTCTCTCTGACTACGCACCTTTCCACCCATCTCCCTATTTCTTTCTTTCTTTTTTTTTTTTGAGACAGAGTCTAGCTCTTCTCCCAGGCTGGAGTGCAGTGGTACAATCACAGCTTACGGCAGCCTTGACCTCCGGGGCTCAAGCCATACTCTCACGGCAGCCTCCTGGGTAGCTGGGACCACAGGTGTGCACCACTGCGCCCGGCTAATTTTTTTTTTTTAATTATTTGTAGAGACAGGGTCTAGCTATGTTGCCCAGGGCTGCTCTTGAACTCCTGGCCTCAACGATCTTCCTGCCTTGGTTTCCCAAAGTGCTGGGGTTACAGGCGTGAGCCACCACACCTGGCCCTTACTTCTTGACTCTTCACTCATAACTAAACTTCCTGACAGAGTTCTCTGTAAACACTATCTCTGCCTATTCACCTTTCATTGATTTCCCAATGCGGTTTCATCTGCTCCCTACACTTTACTGAGGTTGTTGTTGGAAAGGCGCCCTCCCTGTTTTAAGGCCCAGCAGTGGCCCCTCCCCTGGTCCTCAGCAGCGTGCTGCAGCCTCCCGTTGGTGAAGTGCTTCCTCTCTTGCTGTCTACCTGCTGCTTCCAGTCTCCGGCGTCAGCTCCTCCTCTCCCAGGGGCAGCCTCACTTGTCTCCTCTATCTGCACTGTTCTTCTGGGGACTCTAATCCTCTCTAAGGGCACCTTGTTGATCGCCTTGTTGTTTAGTACCAAATTCATGTCTTCAGCCCAGAGGCCAAGCCTGAGCATCACCCTCTAACATCTGATCTCTCTATCTGTCTATTTCACAGGTATCTCGGAATTAACAAGTCTAAGATGAAATCTTGGTTTCCCTGTGAACTTACCTCCTGCCCCTAATCTGCCCCTTCTTTCCAGCTACTTAAGCCAGAATTTGAGGAGCCAATCTCTACCTCTCCTTCTTCCCCACCGTTCCATGCCTAATCTCTTATAATCTATTCTCTCCTCTTTGGCTCAAAATAGACCTATCAACTTCTTATCCCCGCTGCCAATACCCTAGTACAAACCACTGCTGTCTCCCACCTGGACCACAACGATGGGCTAACCCTAACTGGGCTCCATGCCTGCCTTCCTGTTCCCTTACCATACATTCTCCAACCAGAGGCACTGTTGCAAAAACATAATCCAGTGCATAACTTCCCTTTGCGCTTAAAATAAACCCTACAAGGCCCAGCATGATCCAGCCCCTGCTTCTCTCTCTCCAGCAACACCTATGTCCTTCTCCAGCCCCACCCAGCTTCACACCTTCATTCATGCAGGAACTTCGGTCTTTCAGTTTCAGCCTCTGTGTCAGCAAAGACCCCTTCCATTTTGAAGAGAATCAACCAGTTGAGGAGCGGGTGGATGATAGAGCAAGTTGCCCACAGAGACAGCAAATTGGACTCATTCTCCCTTCCAGTGACGAAGGATATTTATTTTTCTGACTCAGGACTAAAGGGGGCTGAGAGGCCCATGCTGGGAAAAGTACTTGCAATACATATGGCAGAGGAAGGGTTAATATCCTACACGCACAGACATCCTTGAGAAGAAAAGCACAAAAAATTCAATGGGAAAAGGAGGGGGAGGAATTTAATAGGTTTTCCACAGGAAGAGAAATTTAAATAGCCAATAAATAAGTGAAAAGATCAGTTTCATTAGTAATCAGGGAAATGCCAATTAAAGAAACTAGAGCAGGTTTTTAAAGAAAAAACTCATCAGATTGGCAAAAATTAAAGAGTGGCTGGCTGGTAAGAATACATGAAATCAGACACTGTACCTTGTGGGTAGAATTGCAGCAATGCTTTGGGGAAATAATTCGGCAATGTCATTCAGATAAAAAAAACATACACGTGGCCGGGCAAGGAGGCTCACGCCTATAATCCCAGCACTTTGGGAGGCTGAGGCTGGTGGATCGCTTGAGCCCAGGAGTTTGAGACCAGTCTAGGCAACATGGCAAAACCTTGTCCCTACAAAAAACACAAAAAATTAGCTGGACATGGTGGCACAGGCCTGTAGTCCCAGCTACTCAGGAGTCTGAGGTGGGAGGATTGCTTGAGCCTGGGAGGCAGAGGTTGCAGTGAGCCAAGATTGCGCCACTGCACTCCAGCCTGAGTGACAGAGTGAGACGCTGTCTCCAAAAAAAAAAAAAAAAAAAGGAAAAAAGTTCCCTTTGACCCAGAAATGACAATTCTTGAGAATCTATCTTCTAAAATTACCAGCCTACAAGTATATTTACACCAAGATGGCATTTTAGCACTGTTTGCAATGGCAGAAGTCAGAGGAGAGGGTAGGAAAAGATTCTACCAAAACAGAAAATCACTCATGATGTCATGTTAAGTAAGATAGGAAGAAACAAACTTCTATCACTATTACTCCAAATCTGTAAACATTGACTAAGTATGTGGACAAAGGGTAGAGGGTGCCATGTATCTACAGAAATATTGATTTAAACAGCTCGTGGAACTGTGGGGGAGTTTTGTTTGAATTGTAATATTGTTTTGCCAATTATGTAAATAATTTTTTAAAAAATTATTTTATTTTATTTTATTTTATTTTATTTTTATTTATTTATTTTTTTTGAGATGGAGTCTTGCTCTGTCACCGAGGCTGGAATGCAGTGGTGCCATCTTGGCTCACTGCAACCTCCACCTCCCAGATTCAAGAGATTCTCTTGTCTCAGCCTCCCAAGCAGCTGGGATTACAGGCGTGTACCACCATGCCCGGCTAATTTTTGTATTTTTAGTAGAGATGGGATTTCGCCAGGTTGGTCAGGCTGGTCTCAAACTCCTGACCTCAAGTGATCACCCTGCCTCGGCCTCCCAAAGTGTGGGATTACAGACGTGTATTTTAACTTTTTTGAGACAGTTTTAGTCTATCCCCCAGCCTGGAGTACAGTGCTGCGATCATAGCTCACTGCAGCCTTAAACCCGTGGGCTCAAGTGATCCTCCTGCTTTAGCCTCCTGAGTAGCTGGACCACAAGTGTGCGCCACCACGCCTGCCTTATTTATTTATTTATTTATCTACTTATTGGCATATTTATTTATAGAGGTGGGGGGTCTTGCTATGTTGACCAGGCTGGTCTTGAACTCTCAGCCTCAAGCAATCCTCCCTCCTCGGCCTCCCAAAGTGCTGGGATTACATAGTGAGCCACTGTGCCTGGCCATGAATGGCAAATAATAAAAAAAAAAACCCACAAAGAAGCCATAACTGAGCATTCTTCTGTTACTTGATGGATCTGTAGAGAAATTAAACTTTGCTTTCAATAAGACAAACTACTTTCATCAGAGAGATTTCCAAAAATAGTACTTCCTCACTTTCTGGTGAAACTATTCCTCATTTTGTATTGCTTTATACTAATATTTTTTGGTTTAATATTGAACTCAACCGCTTTTTCAAAGTTTTTGCAATACAGCTAGTATATTTTCCCTACTGAAGACATCCTCTTCCTTCTAAAAAAACAATTGCTTGGTTGGTTTTGCCCATTATATAATTGTAAACAGTGGACACAGATGACCCAAACTACCCCTTGGAGCTTTAGTCTTTCGTGATGGACCAATTCCTCCATTCTTTTAATAGCTTTGGTTCCTCTTTGCACGCTGCCAGCCAGAAAACTCTACATGCTTGTGGTAGAAAGCTGCCCTAGCTAAGCACAGTTTTCTGGGTGTGGCTCTACCGTACTTCCCTCATCTGAGCAGCCATGGCTCTCGCTGGCCTTTTTGGGTTCTCTGGCACTAGCTGGTCTGTGACCTTCTCCTGAGAGGGCCTCTTCAGTGTCTCTATGTGACTGTGCTACCACCAACTACGGCCACAGTCTCTATCACTCATACTCTCTGCCACTTATAGACTCCACTAAATAGATCTATACTTTCCCAATCACATGTGAGCGTTAACATGTCCAAGCTCACTTACTATGATGACTGTTATCATTTTTAAAAGGAGAATGACAAGTGTTGGTGAGGATGTAGAGAAATTGAACATTCATATATTGCTGGTAGAAATGTCAAAGGGTGGCCAAGCATGGTGGCTCATGCCTGTAATCCCAGCACTTTGGGAGGCTGAGGCGGGTAGAACACCTGGGGTCAGGAGTTCGAGACCAACCTGGCCAATATGGGGAAACCCCCTCTCTACTAAAAATACAAAAATTAGCCCGGCGTGGTGACGTGCACCTGTAGTCCCAGGTACTCAGGAGGCTGAGGCAGGAGACTCGCTTGAACCTGGGAGGTGGAGGTTGCAGTGAGCTGAGATTGTGCCACTGCACTCCAGCCTGGGCTACAGAGCAAGACTCCGTCTCAAAAAAACAGTGAAAAGTTGCAGTCACTGCAGAAAACAATATGGTGGTTCCTCCAAACATTAACAATAGAATTCCTATATGATCCAGCAATTTCACTTCTGAGTACAGACCTGAAAGAACTGGAAGCAGGGTCTCAACAAGGTATTTGCACATCCGTGTTCATAGCAGCATTATTCTCAATAGCCAAAAAGTAGAAGCACCCCAAGGGCCTATCAATGCATCAATGGATAAACAAAAGATGGTACGTCCATACAATGGAATATTATTCAGCCTTATAAAGGAAGGAAATTCTGGTGCGTGCTACAATATGGATAAACCTTGAGGATATTATGCTAAATGAAATAAGCCAGTCGCAAAAAGCAAATACTGTATATTCTAAGCAAATACTATATGAGGTACCTAGGGTAGTCAAACTTATAGAAACAGAAAGCAAAATGGTGGTTGCCAGGGGCTGGGGCTGGGGGGAGTGGAGTTGTTCAGTGGGTACAGTTTCAGTTTTGCAAGATTAAAAGAGTTCTGGAGATTGGTTGCACAACAAATGAATGCATTTAATACGACTGAAACATACACTTAAAATTGGTTAAGGTGGTGAATTTTATCTTATGCATATTTTACCAGGATTTAAACTTTTTCTTAAATAAAAAAAAAAAGGCTTGGAGCTGGGATCCAAACCCCATCATCTGGTGGCAGTGCTAACTCTGAACAGTAGGCTATGCTAGTCCTGCAGGTAAGAGGACCCACACACATTAGAAGGCAGTTCATGTTCCCACTCCTGCCAGAGCGTGCACCCTGGCGGTCTCACTCCCCAGCCCAAGCAGCTTATCAATGGATTCCTTATATGTACATTCAGGGCACTGCCCCTCCACCCACCCCACCTCTGTCCAGCTGGGTTCTGGTAAACTCATTTCTGTGTCTTCATTAATTCTCTCATGACTGGTGTCTTAGCAGCCACCCTCAATCACACACAACAAAAGCAGCACATCCTCTATCACCTATAAAGCTGGAGCCTGGGCCAAGCGTGGTGGCTCACGCCTATAATCCCAGCACTTTGGGAGGCTGAGGCAGGAGGATTGCTTTAGCCCAGGAGTTCGAGACCAGCTTAGGTAACATAGTGAGACCCTCGTCACTACAAAAAAATTTAAAAAACTAGCCAGGTATGGTGGTATGCACCTGTAGTCTCAGCTACTTGGGAGGTTGAGGCTGGAGGATCGCTTGAGCCTGGGAGGTCAAGGCCGCAGTAAGCCATGATCTGAGCCACTGCATTTCAGCCTGGGCAACAGAGCAAGACCTTGTCTCAAAAAAAAAAAATCTGGAGCCTAGTGAGTGGTGAACACACATTAATTAATAATTTAATAAATTATTAATTAATTGTTGGTAATTAATAATCACCATCTGGTTATTAATAAGCATTTAATTAATATGTAATAAGTAATAGCATTAAATGAATATAGACAAAAATTGAGAATTTAAAATTGGATGTAAGAAATAACTTCTTGGTAGGTCCACTTTATTTCTTTTATTCTTTTTCTTTTTTTCTTTCTTTTTTTTTTCTTTAAAGCGATAAGGGCTTGCTCTGTCATCCAGGCTGGAGTGCAGTGGTACAATCACGGCTCACTGCAGCCTTGAACTCTTGAAGTGATCCTCCCACCTCGGCCTCCTGAGTAGTTGTGACTATAGGCATGCACCACCACACCTGGCTAATTTTTTTGTTTTTTGTAGAGACAGAGTCTTGCTATGTTGCTCAGGATGGCCTGGCCTCAAGTGATCCTCCTGCCACAGCCTTCCAAAGTGCTGGGATTATGGGCATGAGCCACCATGCCTGGCCCACTCCATTTCCTAATAGGTGACATTGTGGCATACACTATTTGTACATATCTATGCTATATTATGCCTTTCTGAGGTCATTTATTATTAAAGGAAATTTTTTTTTGAGACAGGGTCTCACTGTTGCCCAGGGTGGAGTACAGTGGTGAAAGCACAGCTCACTGCAACTTCAACTTCCTCAAGCAATCCTCCCACCTCAGCCTCTCAAGTAGCTGAGACTACAGGTGCATGCCACCACACCCAGCTAATTTTTGTATTTTTTGTAGAGATGGGGGTCTCGCTACATTTCCTAGGCTGGTCTTGAACTCCTGGCCTTAAGTGATCTGCCTGCTTTGGCCTCTCAAAGTGCTGGGATTACAGGCATGAGCCACGGCACCTGGCCTCTGAGGTTATTTAAATCTAATTCTGCTTAATAACAATTTAGGAATATGCTAAATTGCCTCTTAACGTGTTTTCCCATTGGTTAAGTCCAGAATCCATCAGGGTTTTATAGGTCTTACTGACTTACAAGCAAGAGGAACTGAGTCTAGTTAACTTAAACCAAATAATCTATGGAAAAAATATGGAGAAGCTCATAGAAACCAAGAAAAAACCTGGAACAACTGCACAAATGACAGTCACTAGAGCAACTCCAGGAATCCAGATGGCAGGAACGGACCAGCATCTACTATGGTGCCGCTGCTGCTGAGAAGAACCAGCCCAGCCATTTTCTTTGTCCCTGCTGTCATCATTGGAATTCGCAAGAGGAACATCTGATATTGCTCTAGCCTGCTTAACCAACCAATCACAGTGACTCTGTTGTGGCCCGGCCAGGCTGGCTGCTCAAAGAAGAATTTGTGCCATTATCAAAAGAATCAGTGGGTGATGACAAGGACGAGCTGTGTCCACCCCAAAGACTCATGAGCCTTTCTCCTTGGCAGTGCCTTCCAACCAAGCATCTTCTTTTTTTTTTTTTTTTTTTTTTTTTTTTTTTGCCCAGGCAGGAGCACAATGGTGTGATCTCGGCTCACTGCAACCTCCGCCTCCCAGGTTCAAGTGATTCTCCTGCCTCAGCCTCCCGAGTAGCTGGGATTACAGGCATGCGCCACTATGTCCAGCTAATTTTTGTATTTCTAGTAGAGATGGGGTTTCTCCCTGTTTGTCAGGCTGATCAAGAACTCCCAACCTCAGATGATCTGCCCCCCTTCGGCCTCCCAAAGTGCTGGGATTACAGGCGTGAGCCACTGCACCCGGCCCCAACCTAGCATCTTATGGACGTTACTTGGCTTATATAGACTCAGGTATGGCTTTAATTTTTTAAATGTTAAGTAATTTTTAACCAGTCCCTAAAATACTGTCACCCTCCGTGACATCACCTCTCTGTCCACACAGAGAATGGACAAGGTCCAGGAGAGCACAAATCTACCCCATCCATTTTGACCCCAATTCCAGTTTATGAAATTGATAAATACCTGGACTGTCTATGCAAGACACTTTCTTGTGGCAAGTCAAGTTCTATTTTCCTATTAAGTTATTTACAATATTAAGGTTTTGTCCTCTTCATTTTTGACTGTTCTTCAGTAAATACTGGCCATGACTATGGGACTGTCTTATGAATTAAGTGATGCTCTGTTCAAAGACTACTCCATGTGAGATCCTGTAACACTGCTGCTTCAGTAAAGCTGTTTTCTTCTACCTTTGGCTCGCCCTTGAATTCTTTCCCGGGCAAAGCAAAGAACTTTCTTGGGCTAAGCCCTTATCTGGGGCTCACCTGCCCTGCATCAGTATTAGCACAAGGACAGACAAACTGACCAGTGGAAAAGCACGTACAGATACATACAGTCAACTGATTTATGACCACAGCCACCTGTATTGCAATGAGGAAAGAAAGGATGAACTCTTCAGCCAGGCACAGTGATATGCACCTGTAATCCCAGCTACTCAGAAGGCTGAGGCAGGAGGATCCCCTGAGCCCGGGAGTTTGAGACCAGCCTGGGCAACAGTGAGACCCCATCTCTTAAAAAAAAAAAGAGAGAGAGAGAGAGATTATCTTTGATAAATGATGGAAATAATAGTGGGTCATGCTGCCCTATCCTATGTGGATGGGCCTCATCCAATCCACTGAAGGCCTGAATAGAACAAAAGGCTGTGTAAGAAAAAATTCTTTCTCTCTGTGTGGTTGTCTCCAAACTGGGACATGGGTCTTCTCCTGCATGGAACTTAAACCGTCAGCTCTCCTGAGTTTGGACTTCTCAGACTCTGTAATTAGGTGAGCCAATTCCTTGTAATTAATCTCTTTATAAACACACAGACAGACACACACATTCTATTGGTCTGTTTTTCTGGATAGCCCTAATATAGTATGTTATACTTTGACAAATAATTTTTTAACTGTTTAAGAAAATATGTGAATAAAAAATCTGGCCTGGCATGATGGCTCATGCCTGTAATCCCAGCAGTTTGGGAGGCTAAGGTGGGTGGATGACCTTAGGTCAGGAGTTCAAGACCAGCCTGGCCAACATGGTGAAACCCCGTCTCTACTAAAAATACAAAAATTAGCCGGATATGGTGGCATACGCCTGTAATCCTAGCTACTTGGGAGGCTGAGGCAGGAGAATCACTTGAACCTGGGAGGTGGAGTTGCAGTGAGCTGAGATCATGCCACTACATTCCAGCCTGGGCGACACAGCGAGACTCCATCTCAAAAAAAAAAAATTTCTCCAGTGACTAAGATCTATAAAAATATCATCAAATGGAAAATCTAGTGTGAAAAGGGCAATAGCCAAAATTAAGACCTCAATAGATGGAGTTAACAGTCAATGCACATTGAAGAGAGGTCACTAAACTGGAAGGCAGGTGGATTGAAAAGCTGAATGGAGAGATGAGAAGGTCAGTGAACTGGAGGATAGGTCCAGACTGAAGTACGGTGAGAGGAAGAACATGGAAACTATAGACAGTAATTTAAGAGGTATGTTAAAAATGTTTAATGTCCTATCATTGGGGTTCCCAAAAGAGGAAAGAGAGAAGGAGGCCGGGCATGATGGCTCATGCCTGTAGTCCCAGAACTTTGGGAGGCCAAGGTGGGCGGATCACTTGAGGCCAGGAGTTTGAGACCAGCCTGGCCAACCTGGCGAAACCCCATCTCTACTAAAAAAAAAAAAAAATACACACACAAAAAATTAGTTGGGCCTGGTGGCACATGCCTGTAGCCTCAGCTACTCGGGAGGCTGGCGCATGAGAATCACTTGAATCTGGAAGTCAGAGATTGTGGTGAGCTGAGATCATGCCACTGCACTTCAGCATGGGTGACAGAATGAGACTCTGACTCAAAAAAAAAAAAAAAAAAGAGAGCAATAGAATGAATCCTAAGCTGCATATATACAAAGAAAGCCATACTCAAGCACATCCTCACAAATACACTAAAAATCAAAGAGAAATCTTAAAAGTATCTAGAGGAAAAAAAATCACATTATCTTAAAAATGAACAATATAAATGACAGCTGAGTTTTTGATAGAAAGGATAGAAGCCAGGTGAAAATGGAATAATGTCTTCAATGTGATATTAAGACATAATTTTTGACTTCAAGTCAAAAATGACTTTAATAATCAAAAGAGTAATAAAAAAAAGAGTAAAAAAGAAGATAATTGCCAACCTAGAACTCTATGTTCAGTGACCTATGCTTCAGAAAGGAAGGCGAAATGAATAAATGTTTAAGCAAACAACTGAGAGAATTATTTACTTGTATACCCACACTAGAAGAAATGCTAAAGGAGTTTTTTGTTTTTCTTTTTGTTTTTTTGAGACAGGGTCTTACTCTGTTGCCCAGGCTGGAGTGCAGTGGCGTGATCATGGCTCACAGCAGCCTCGACCTCCTCTGCTCAAAAGATCCTCCCACCTCAGCCTTCCAAGTAGCTGGGACTACAGGTGTGCACCACCATGCTTGGCTACTTTTTGTATTTTTTTTGTTGAGGTCTTGCTTTGTTGCCCAGGCTGATCTTGAACTCCTGGACTCAAGCAATCCTCCCGCCTTGGCCTCCTAAAATGTGGATTTGCAGGTGTGAGCCAATGTGCCCCAAAGGAGTTCTTCAAGCATGAGAAAAACCATTCCAGAGTTAAGGGCAGAAATTCAGGAAGGAATAAAGAGTAAGAGAAAGCATAAAATATGTGGGTAAATCTAAGTGAACACTGGCCACATCAAACAAAAATAATAATGACTTCTGGGTTTTATAAACACCTAGAATCAGAATATATGTCAATAACATCACAAAACAAGGGAAGGGACTTTACCAGAAGCAACCTTTGAAACAAAGATCTGAGTCCAAATGATTTATTTGGGAAGTTAACCCAGATCACATCAGTATGGGACATGGGAAGTGAGGTAGGGAAGGGAAGGGAACCAATAAATTGTGCATAATCCCACAAAGTATCGCTCTGGCTAACTGAAGCTTAATTCTGCTTGGAAACCCTGGGAACAAAGGTGGAAAATGCAGCTCAGAGTTAATAGCACCTGAAGCACATAGAAGATGGGCGAGTTATGCAGCAACTGTGGCCAGTGATGGGTTGAAAACTACTCCAGGGAAATTTTAATGTCCCGGCACTTCTAGCCAGCGCTATACTCAGCCTCCACAGAAGCCCTTGGGCGGAGGTGAGTCACAGATGCTGGGAGTTGTAAACTGAGCCAGGATGTGCAGGAATGGGAGTGCCAGGGGATTTAGATGGGGGCATAGAAGGCATCTACTGCAGGAAAAGAGGAAGTTAAAATATTCTAAATGTATTCTTAATCATCCGGGAAGAAATAAATGTACCAACTCATACTGGCGCTAGTAAATACAGGATGCATATTGCAATCTGCAGATTTCAAATAGTAAAATAATATGTATTTGAGAAGCTAGTAGAGTGGTGAAATGGAGTAATAAAAATGACTCAGCCAGGTGCAGTGACATGTGCCTGTAATCCCAGCTACTTGGGAGGCTGAGGTCAGAGGATTGCTTGAGGCCAGGCGTTTGAGACCAGACTGGGCAACATAGAAAGACCCTGCCTCTACAAAAAAAATAAGAGTTAATTAAAAACAGCTGGGCACAGTGACTCATGCCTGTAATTCTAATGCTTTGGGAGGCCGAAGCAGGAGGATCACTTGAGTCTAGGAGTTTGAGACCAGCCTGGGCAACATGATGAGACTTCATCTCTATAAAAAATTTTAAAAATTAACCTAGCACTGTGGCACATGTTTGTAGTCTCAGTTATTCGGGTGGCTGAGGAGAGAGAATCCCTTGAGCCTAGGAGTTTGAGACTGCAGTGAGCTATGATCACACCACTGCACTCCAGCCTGGGCTACAGATGAGGAATTAAAAAAAAATGACTTGAATAATCAAAATGAAGATAAGAGAGTTAAAACAATGAAGAGAGAAGAAGGACTGATGATAGATTTTAATCTTATGTGTCACTAATTGCATTAAATATAAAAAGATCAAATATTCCAATTAAAATACAATTATCAGATTGAATAAAAAACACAATCCAACTAAACATTGCTTACAAGAGACACACATTAAATATAAAGATATAGAAAAACTAAATATAAAACTATAGGAAAATGTAGACACTGTAGACATCAACCAAAACACAGTGGATGCGCAGTTATAGTCAGATAGGACAAAACAAGGCTAAGGCAGAAAGCATTAAGAAGTTATGACTAGGGCTAAAGAGGGGTAATGAGAAAAGAATCAATCACCAGGAAGATACGATAATTCTAAACTTGTCTGACTTTTGGCTCTCTGAGCAGCGCCATGGTGGTTGGCAAGAACAAGCGTCTTTTGAAAGGCAGCAAAAAGGAAGCCAAGAAGAAATTGGCTCATCCACTTTCTAAGAAAGATTGGTGGGCTGGGTGTGGTGGCTCATACCTGTAATCCAAGCACTTTGGGTGGCCAAGGCAGGAGGATAGTCTAAGGCAAGGAGTTCGAGACCAGCCTGGGCAACAAAGTGAGACCCCGTCTTTTCAAAAAATAAGTAAATACATACATAAACAAACAGACAAACAAGCAGACAAATAAATAGCAGGGTGTGGTGGTGCATGCCTGTGGTCCCAGCTACTTGGGAGACTGAGGTGGGAGGACCTCTCAAGCCCAGAAGGTCAAGGCTGCAGTGAGCTATGATCACAACGTTGCACTCCAGTCTGAGTGATACAGGGAGACTCTGAGAAAAGGAAGGAAGGCAAGAAGGAAGGCAGGAAGGCAGGAAGGAAGGAAAGAAGGAGGGGAGGGAGAGAGGGAGGGAAAGGAAAGGAAAAGGAAGGAAGGAAGAGAGAAAGGAAAGAAGGAAGGAAGGAGAAAGAAAGAAGAAAGAAAGAAAAAGAAAGAGAGAAAGAAAGATTGGTATGATGTGGAAGTGTGAAAGCTCCTGTTATATTCAATATAAGAAATATTTGACAGACACTAGTCACCAGAACTCAAGGAACCAAAATTGCATCAGTTGGCCTTAAGCGTCATGTGTTTGAAGCGAGCCCTGTTGATCTGCAGAATGATGAAGTTGCACTTAGAAAATTGAAGCTGATTACTGAAGATGTTGAGGGCAAAAACTGCCTGCCTAACTTCCATGGCATGGATCTTACCTGTGACAAGATGTGTTCAATGGCCAAAAAGTGGCAGACCATGATTGAAGCTTATGTTGATGTCAAGACTATCAGTGATTATTTGCTTTGTCTGTTTTGTGTGGTTTTACTTAAAAAATGCAACAATCAGATACGGAAGCCCTCTTATACTCAGTACCAACAGGTTTGCCAAGTCTGGAAGAAGATGATGGAAATCATGACCCAAGAGGTGCAGACGAGTGGCTTGAAAGAAGTGGTCAATAAATGGATTCCGGATGGTGTTAGAAAAAGACATAGGAAAGACTTGCCAATCTGTGTATATTCCTTGTGATGTCTTCATCAGTAAAGTAAAAATGCGGAAAAGCCCAAGTTTGAATTGGGAAAACACATGGAGCTTCATGGGGAAGGCAGGAATTCTGGAAAAGCTACTGGGGATGAGGCCGGTGCTAAAGTTGAATGAGCTGATGGATAGGAACCACCGGTCCAATAATCTGTTTAAAATTCAGACTTTTTTTTTTTTTTTGAGACAGGGTCTCACTCTCTCACTCTGCTGCTCAGGCTGGAGTGCAGTGGCCCAATCATAGCTCACTGCAGCCTCAAACTCCTGGGCTCCTCCTTCCTCAGCCTCCCAAGTAGCTGGGACTACAGGTGTGTACAACCATGCCTGGCTAATTTTGTGTGTGTGTGTGTGTGTGTGTGTGTGTGTGTGTGTGTGTGTTTTGTTTTTTGCTGGCTTTTTTTTTTTTTTAGAATTTTTACATCTATATTCATGGGAGAGATGGGCTAATAATTTTCTCTTCTTACGATATCCTTCTTAGTTTGGGGATAAAGGTCATTCTGTCCTCATACAAGTTGAAAGGTGCTCCCTCTTTTAGTGGTCCCTGGAACAGCAAATATTTATCCTCCTGGAATATTGGATAGAATCCATCAGTGAAGCCACCTGGACTTGAGTTTTCTTCGTGGGAAGGTGTTAAATCATAAATTCAATTTACTCAATTGAGTAAATTGAGTAATGAGATCATTCAGATTTTTCTACTTTGGTAGGTTGTGTTTTTTTTCTAAGTTTCATCCGAATTTTCAAATTCATTGGCATAAGAGAGTCATTGTTTATCATATCCTCTTCTTTTTAATGTTTGTAAGATCTGCGGGCATAACAAAGTACCACAGATTGGGTGGCTTAAACAATGGAAATGTATTTCTTCACAGTCCTGGAGGCTGGAAGTCCATCAGGGTGTCAGCAGGGTTGGTCTCTTCTGACGGCCTCTCTCCTTGGCTTGAAGATGGCCATCTTCTTCCAATGTCTTCACAGAGTCATCCCTCTGTGTGTGTCTGTGTCCTGATCTCTTCTTATATGGACACTAGTCATATTGGATTAGGGTCCACCCTGATAACCTCATTTAATCTTAATTATCTTTTTAAAGGCCCTATTTCCACATATAGTCACATTCTAAGGTAGTAGAGGTTAGGGCTTCAGGATATGAATTTGGGGGGCCACAATTCAGCCCAGAACATGGGGTGACTGAATGTCTCATATGCTTTGAGTGTAAGTTGATAGAACCACTTTGGGAAATGATTGGACAACACGAAAGCTGAACAGACACACATTCTGTAACCCACGGATTCAATTCCTAGGTGTATACGCAACACAAATGCACATGTGCACATCAGAAGACGTAGGACAATGTTCATGGAGGTGTTCATAATAGCCCCAAACTGGAAACTAACCACTTCTCCAATGGATAAATCTTGGAATATTCACACAGTAGAATTTTATGGAGTAGCAAAAATGAGTTATCTTTTGCTACTGCCAACATAGGTGAATCTCATGAACATAATGTGGAATGACAAGAGCCAGATATGAAAGAGGACCATCTGCACATTCCATGGAATTGCATTTATATCAAGTTTTCTATCAAACAGGCAAAACTACTTCATGGTGTTTGAGGGGGAGGGAGGGTGGAGACTGGGATAAGAATCACAAGGGGACTTCTGTTCCTTGATCTGCGTGCTAGTCTTGTGAAATTTCAGAGCTGTGCCCTTATTAGTTCCTTGAAAGAAAAGTAAAGCAAGGCCGGGTGCAGTGGCTCATGCCTATAATCCCAGCACTTTGGGAGGCTGAGGTGGGAGGATTGCTTGAGCCAGGAGTTCAAGATGAGCCTGGGCAATATAGTGAGACCCCTGTCTCTATAAAAAAAATGAAAAAAAAAATAGCCAGGCACAGTGGTGCACACCTGTAGTCTCAGCTACTCCGGAGGCTGAGGCAGGAGGATCACTTGAGCCCAGGAGTTTGAGGCTGCAGTGAGCTATGATCATGCCCCTGTAGTCCACACTGGGCTATAGAGCAAAATCCTGTCTCAAAAAAAGAGAAGGAAAGAAAGAAAAAGAAAAAGAAAGCACCTCAAACAAGCCTGATACTGATTTGCAACTCATTAAACAACAAACACTTTTGTCAGTACAATGCAAGTATCCATCTTCTTAGGTCCTTGCCAGGCAGGTGGCCAAGAGGTCAAATCAGCGTGATTCTCTCCTTGCTGCTGACAGCGTTTCTAATTCAGCTGCTCATCAACAGTTCTGAAAATTTCCCCTAAGGGACTACATTTTCCATGGTCAGAGAAACATTAAATTGACTATTTTTAGAAAAAGGAGCTTTGATAAGAGACTACTTTTCATTATGGAATTGAGAAGAAAGAATTAGGACAGAAAACCTGGGTAAACGAGACAGAAATAGACCCAACAAACGTACCCAGATGTGGTCTTGATCCCTTAGGAATCCAAAACTAATTTATACCACGGATTCTTCTTAAGGATATGGTTCTCTTATTCCCAGCTGATTTTTAGGAGAATTTCGGTATGAGGTGTCCCCAGAGCTGGCCGAGTCTACAGTTGCCATTCCCAAGCCCCTCCCTTCTCCTCTCTCTTCCCGGATACCATGGAAACCCATAATCAAAGGCAACGCCAACAACTCCTCTTCCTTCTCCCACGGGGCAGAGCTGAGCGCTCAGAGATGCAGCTTTGGATGAAAAATGAGAAAAAAAAAAAAGAAAGAAAAGAAACTGAGCTCGCTGGAGATTCACCCTTGCAACTCTTAACAAGATTTGGCATCTGTGTACCTCATGTGATTCTGGGAGAATTCTGTATCAAAAACAGTTTTGTGTGTGTATGTGTGTGTGTGTGTGTGTGTGTGTTTTAATGACAATCTTGACTTGATGAATATCCCAGTAATCGAAGGTGAGGTTTTCCTCATATGCCGGTGCCTCTTTTTCCCTTCCCTCTAAGGAGAGCAAACTCCTGGCAGATCTCATGTGAGTTTTTGGAAATAAGTGTGGCTGTTACTAAATCCATGCACAGGAGAACACATTCTACTCTCGGGTGGATCCCACTGGCTCTTGTTTGCACGTGTTTTGGATGGAGAGGCCCCTTTTAAAAGATAATTCACTAAGCATGTCATTTCGGTGAGTTTTACTTAAATTTCAGTTACAGTAAAATTCTCCCCGCAGGAACACATCTCTTGTCAAGAGAAAGGAACTTAACATTTTCCTTTGTAGGAGTCTAGCTGCCTCTGTGAGCACAAATCCTATATATATAATCCTTGAAGAGAAGGTGGAGAGGAGGGGAGGAGACATTTCCCAAGGGAGTGGCTGTGATTATACCTACGATAGCAGGTGGTAGGAGAAAAAGTGAATTTGGCAGTTTTCAGAGTAATACGACATCTCTAGAAAGCCATTCTAGATAGTCCAATCTCATGGCCCATTTTGGGGGCTTTGATCCTATTGATGGGACTGTGTAAGTCTTTGGTTCCACATGGCCTTCTCACTGTGGCCTCGGCTGTGCTATTTAAAATGTACTTTATCCCACGCCTGTTCCTCTTTAGCCTCCTCCGCTTTCCACCCCCACGATACTTACCACCTTTTAATACAGCATGCACTGCTAGTGGGAGTGTAAATTAGTCAGAAATAATAGAAAACAGCATGGAGGTTCCTCAACAAATTAAAAATAGCACTACCATAAGATCCAACAATCCCACCAGAGGGTACAGATCCAAAGGAAATGAAATCGGCATGTCAAAGAGATTTCTGTACTCTTATGTTTATTACAGCATTATTCACAATGGCCGAGATATGGAATCAACCTAAGTGTCCATCAATGGATGGATGAAGAAAATGTGGTATATATACACAGTGGAATACTATTCAGCCTTAAAAAAGAATGAAATCTTGTCATTTGCAGCAACATGGATGAACTTTGAGGACCTTATGTTAAATGAAATAAGCCAGGCACAGAAAGACAAAGTCTATGTGACCTTACTCATATGTGGAGCCTAAAAAAGTTGATGTGGCTGGGCACTCTGGCTCATGCCTGTAATCCCAGCATTTTGGGAGGCCAAGGCAGGCATATCACCTGAGCACAGGAGTTTGAGACCAGCCGGGACAACATGGTGAAACCCGTATCTACAAAAAAATACAAAAATTAGCCAGCTGCAGTGGAGTGCGCCCGTAGTCCCAGCTGCTCAGGAGGCTGAGGCAGGAGAATTGCTTCAATCTGGGAGGTGGAGGTTGCAGTGAGCTGAGATCACACCACTGCACTCCAGCCTGGGCGACAGAGCTAGACTCTGTCTCAAAAAAAAAGCTGATCTCATAGAAGTAGAGAGTAGAATAGTGATTATCAGAGAAGCAGGGGGCAGGGGGTGGGGGAGATAGGAAGAGACTGATACGAAGTTACAGTTAGATAGGAGGAATAAGTTCTCCTATCTATTGGTGATCCATTGCACAGTAGGATGATTATGTTTGTTTAGCAACATTGTATTGCATATTTCCAAATAGCTAGAAAAGAGAATTTTGAATGCTGTCACCACAAAGAAATGATAAATATATGAGGTGACAAATATGCTAAATATCCTAATTTGATTATTGTACGATGCATACATGTACTGAAATATCACACTGTTCCTCGTACATATGTGCAATTATTATATGTTAATTAACGCAAAAAAAATAACACGGTGTCCAGCTTACCTCTGTTTTCTATTGTTTGTGGTCTGTTTCCCCTGCTAGAATGGGACCCCAGGAAGGCAGGGAGTTTCCTCTCTTTTATCCCCTGGTTCATACTAAATGCTTAGGACTGTGCCTTGCATACAGTGAGCACTCAATAGATACTTGTTGGCAGTTTAAAAAGTCAGTACCTTAATTAACCAAGTATCAAGGCTTTTAATCTTTTTGCCTCAAATCAAACTAAAAACCTTGATTAAAAAGTCTTACCCTGTCTCTACAAAATAATTTTTAAAAAATTAGCTGGGCATGGTGGCACCTGCCTGTAATACCAGTTACTCAGGAGGCTGAGGTGGGAGGATCTCTGAGACCCAGAAGAGCTGTGATTGCACAACTGCTCTCCAGCAGCCTGGGCAACAGAGCAAGACCCCACCTCTAAAGAAAAAACAAAGTCTTTGCTGTTATCCAAAAGGATAAAACAGATTTTCCAGACAGAGGGTCAAGTTGTGCTATCTTTTTCCATAATATCATTTAAAACAAATTATTAAGAAATAAGTTTTCTAATATGAAATTATACAAATCCTGGACATTAAAAAATTATGTCTGCAATATTTACATAGCCTATGATATAAAGCAAATTTGGGGTTAATCAGTTTCTCTAAAGAACTTAAAGACACATTTGTCTTTAATCATGGCATGAAGTGTCTGATAGAGGAAGATCATACGAAAAAGTCCACATCTGATTATAATTATTAAACTGTGTATTAAACGCTTGGTATGTGCCAGGCATTTTTGCCTAAATTATCTCCAATTTTGCCAACAACACTTCAAGGTAAATATTACCATCCTCAGATGAAAAAGTTGGGACCCAGAAAGAAGAAACTGGCCAAGGTCACATGGATCTCAGATGAGGACGTGGGTTCGCTCCACTCCCGGATTTCTCCCCAAACAGCGTTCTGGGTTTTTCAGAGCACAGTGCAATGCAATTTCACATGTGTCATTGGTTTCATATTCGCAGTCAACACACATGTTTTGAGTAATTGTTATGTTCCTGGCACCGTGCAGCCTTTCTTGGAGATCACTGTAGGAAGCTTGGCATCTCGCTGGGAGGTACTCGGGAACCCTGGGCACATTTCGGGATGTGACAGCTGAGTGAGAGCCATTGTAGATGCCTGGGGAGTTCGGAAGAGGGAGGGATCCTCATGGGCTGGGCTCTTGAAGCCTAATCATGGTGTCCCTTGGCCTTCCCAGCCAGGCAGGGGCCATTGTTGGGTCTGGCTGCCTGGCTGCTGCATCCCCTTGCAGGGGCACCTCAGTCCTCAGGAGCAGTGACCTGTCCCGTACCATGTGGTCTTGGCAGAGAGGTAACTTCAGATCCATGTCTCCCACTGTCCCCCGCTGCCCCCCTGGCCTCTGTGGAAGCTGGAGAGGCCAATCCTCCTTCTCTGGGATGCTGGGGACCGGGGCCTGTGACCCATACTCAGACAATTTCAGGTCCAGTCCACTGCCCAGACCTTGGATCTTAAAGATGGTGGAGCATCTGCTCACAAGGATGGCGGGGCATCCATAGGCAGTGATGGCCATGGCGGGAAGAGGCCATAACGGAAGATATCTGGCTGTATCTCCAACTGGCTGTTCCTAAGATGAGGCGGTGACCAAGTTCCCTGAGAACAGGATTGTCTTCCAGCTCCCACCAAATGTGTGAGCCTACAATAGCTTCCCAATCAACTCCTTTTGAATTAATACAATCTTAAACCTGTTGTCCAGCCTATACTGGAAAAGTAAGCTTTTTCCTTTACCCTTTATCCGAAATTCAACATGGATGGATATAGGTCATGAAAAGACGTTCTGCGGACAATCACAGAATCAGAAGGTGAAATCTGCTTTTAAGGAGTTTTTCTTTACCTACTCTGATGCTTTCTCCACAGGCTGATGAAGGCTGCCTGATTCTTACTTAACAAAGCTGGGAAATTTCATCAGCCTGGGCAATATAGTGAGGCCCTGTCTCTACGAAAAGAAAATAAATACAACTTTAAAAATTAGTCAGGCATGAGGTGAGAGGATCGGTGAAACCCAGGAGTTCAAGGTTACAGTGAGCTACCATTGCACCACTGCACTCCAGCCTGGCCGACAGAGCAAGACCCTGTCTCCAAAAATAGTTATCATAATAAAACGCTAGGAGGTTTCAGTGTTTTCTTCATTCTTCCGAAGCTAGGGAATCACACACCAGGACAAGAGAGAGAGCCCATCAATTTGCCATGGGAGAGCTCAGGCTTTCCGGGTTGGGCTGGGGTTCTGGCTGAGGCATCAGGAGCTGGGCATCAAGGCCCTGGGCTCCCTGCTGGGTTTGATCTGTGGACTGATGCAGGGAGAGGCTTTCCTGTATTTTGGCCCAGAGCACATGATCTTATCTGCAAAACCGCAGCACTGTGCCTGGTGCTGAAACCATGAGAGAATTAAGCCTCGATGACCCAGTTACTGGACAATGCTGTCCAGCTCCAGGACTGCTCGTTGCTTCCACAGTATGATGTGTTAATTCGCTGACTGTATTTTCAGAGTCCATCCACTGCCCTAAACTCTCTGCACCCACAGTTCCAATGGGGAGCAGTAACTTCAGTTCATCAAAGCCAATTATTCCAGTTCTTCTTTTTCAGCTTGGATTTTTCCATTTCAAGTCGTCATGGGAAAGTAAGTCTTAATAAATCCCTTTATGCACGGAGAACTAGGGCAATTACTGACATTTTAAGAATTATTGAAACTTTTTTAAAGTTTTTTGATTAAAGTTCTAAAGGACATAAATAATCCTTTTTTGGTTTTTGGAAGGGCTTCAATTATTTTCAAGGACAGAAGTTGGGCACACGGGCTGTTCAAATCTAATTAATTATCTGGCTGCGCCCACAAAAGTCACACCTTCAAAACACTGAGGTTACAGCTAATCATCTGAGATTCTCCCACACTGGGATAACTGTACCCACCCTCTGGGGCCATGACAGATACAAGTACAGGATGCGTTATAGGAACTCAAGGTGCACCTCTGCAGGGAAATCAAGTTTTGTTTGTTTGTGACTCAACGATTTAGTCGTGCATTAAATATTCAATATCTGATGCAAGAGATTTAAAATCCTGAGGTGGTACCTTGAAGCAAAAAACACACAGGCTGGGTTAACCAATCACATTAATATTTTTATACCATAAATTAGATTAGAAATCCCACAGCTGGGAAAAGCCAGGGTGGAAAGATCCCAGGGAATGATGTGGCTCCGAAAAATCAGTGGTGAGCAAACTTCATGAGGCTGGATAGGGGTCTGTTTTGGTTTAGGATCAATAGGAAACTGAAGGCAGGTAACCTTTGACCATTGGAGAGACATACCCATGCCAACCAGAGTTCACTGGAGTTGATTTACTGCACTACGGTATGCTCTAAAAATAAGCACATAGTTTGACTGAAACTTGCATTTGAGTTAAAAAAAAAAAACAAACTATTGTTTTTAGTTTACCATGCATTGGTAAATTTCGAAAGAGGATAAGAGCTGGGCAGGAGGATCACTTGTGGGTGGGAGTTCGAGACCAGCCTGGGCAACATAGCAAGACCCTATCTTCAAAAAATTAAAATAACTTCGTTGGGCGTAATGGTGTATGCTTGTAGTCCCAACACTTTGGAAGGTTGAGGTGGGGAGATCCTTGAGACTTGGAGTTCAAGACTAGCCTGGGCAACACAGCAAGATCCTGTGTCTACAAAAATTTTTTTAAAAACTTAGCCAGACATGATGATTTGCACCTGTAGTCTCAGCTACTTGGGAAGCGGAGGTGGGAAGATCACTTGAGCCCAGGAGTTTGAGGCTGCAGTGAGCCGTGATCGTGGCACTGCACTCCAGCTGGGCAATAGATCAAGACCTAGACTCTAAATACATAAATAAAAATAGGATAAGAGAAAAAATACTTGACTTTGAAACCTCTATTGGAAAAGCTGCAGAGGTCATCTGTAATAAGGCAAAGGAGAGAATGGAGCAGCCACACCTCCGTCATTGCTGAAAGCCAAATTCTTTCTATTGACTCCAGAAGAAGACATATTACGCCAGTTTTTTAAAGCTGCCATATGTCTTATCAGAGTCACAGTTGAGTAGTGGTATGTAGGTCTACGGTACAAATACAAAAATAAGTGTTTGAGCAGGTCACAACATGCCCACACACCGTCAACTGCATCTTTTCTTTGGCAGAGGAGTCTGGAATTCACGGCTCCAAGGAAACAACTGTTTGTCAATCCAAACCTTGGATGCCGATACTGGTGGGCGGCTCAGTGATGACGTTCCTGTGTGACTCAAGTGGTTTCTAAAAGGCAAGAAGCCATCCCCGTGAGGCATACGGTGACCAGTGCTGAATCTTCCAACACCATTTCCCACAGGGATCAGTTGCAGTCAAGAGAATCTGTTTTTTTCAGAGGAGGATGCCCTGTGTGAGGGAAGAGAGGGGTGAGCAGCTGAAGGAAGGTGAATGGACAGAAAAGCTGGACACACTGGCCAGACTGGGGAGGGGGGTGGGGGCTCATGCCTGTAATCCCAGCACTTTGGGAGGCCCGGGGGACAGATCGCTTGAGCCCAGGAGTCCAAGGCCAGCCTGGGCAACATAGTGAGACCCTGTCTCTACAAAAAAAATACAAAAAGTAGTTGGGTGTGGTGGTGCACACCTGTAGTCACAGCTACTCAGGAGGCTGAGAGGTGGGAGGATCACTTGAGCCCAGGATGTCAAGGCTGCAATGAGCTGAGATCACGCCACTGCATTCCAGCCTGGGCAGCAAAGGGAGACCTGGACTTAAAAAAAAAAGAAAAAGAAAAAGAAAAAGTTGGACACGGCAGGCCAAAAGACTGAGTTCTACTTGATCATTGTTGTTGAATCTGGGAGAAGTGGTATTTGGACCCGAATGCCTGAGAGCAAGTATAATACTGCCAACAGGGGCTATGACTTGGCTACAAATGGCTTTAAACTGAAGTTGCCAGTGTGTGCCCCCTACTCTGTGTGTGCCCCCTACTCTGAAACCTCTGGCAGCACCTCATCTTTCTGAGGATGGGCAGGGAGCAGGGCCGCCGCTAACTCCGTATCTCAGTTGCCCAACTTGTTCCGAAAGGCCCTCGACTTTTCGCCTTCACCTTTTCAGTGATCAGATACAGAAATTCATGTGACGAAACCAATTGCTGATGAAAAGTTCATTTGCCAAAGGTCCTCATTATCCTAGAACAGATAGAATGGCGATAACAAAAAAGGAATTGGAGTGAATCCACTTAAAACAGGAACCCATATTGCATATACAGTGAAAGAAGATATGATTGGAGCTTTGCCTTGAGAATTAAACAAGCATTACAAAAAGTCAGTTTTATTTTATATTTCAGAAAACTAGGTTATAGCTGCAATTATGCATTGTTCTTAAAAATCAGTGACGAATGAGTCAAGTGTTGATGGGGGAAAGCTCTGATGAAGGCACGTGATGAAGGCATGTGATGATATTCTATGGATTTCCCGTTGGACTGTCACAGTGTAATCACAAAGACAGCCACTTTATTAATTTTCCGAAGAGCATCCGAATCCTCTGCTATTAAACTCATTCTCTTTCATGTCAGTATCCTGTATCCACCGATTTCTCTTCTACAGTTGTTAACCTGTCTGAATCTTGTCTCATTCACCTGTCAATGGCTTTGCTCCTGATACAAGCAATCAATATGGCTTTCACAGGCTGTGTATAATCTGGCTTCTTCTGCAATTTCACTTATGGTAGACCTATCTTATGTGTCTTGCATCCCACTCCATTGCTAGGAAGAGACTGAGCCCTCAGAATGGTCACATGGTAGGCAAAATGGCTCCCCTATTGGGTCAGGTACAAATAAAGCTTTGACTATAACCTCAAATTGTAATATATACTGTTCACATCACTCTTTTTTTTTTTTTTTTTTGAGACGGAGTCTCGCTCCGTCGCCCAGGCTGGAGTGCAGAGGCGCAGTCTCAGCTCACTGCAAGCTCCGCCTCCCGGGTTCACGCCATTCTCCTGCCTCAGCCTCCCGAGTAGCTGGGACTACAGGTGCCCGCCACCACACCCGGCTAATTTTTTTGTATTTTTAGTATAGACAGGGTTTCACCGTGTTAGCCAGGATGGTCTCAATCTTTTGACCTCGTGATCTGCCTGCCTCGGCCTCCCAAAGTGTTGGGATTACAGGCGTGAGCCACCACACCCGGCCTGTTCACATCATTCTTTTGTCTTTTTTATTTTTTATTTTTTTATAGAGATGGGGTCTTGCTATGTTGCCCAGGCTGATCTTCACCTCCTGGGCTCAAGCCGTCCACTCACCTTGGCCTCCCAAAGTTCTGGGATTATAGGTATGAGCCACTGTGCCCGGCCCTCATCATTCTTTTCTAAACATAATTGAAATTGCCATATTATATCTGAAAGATTTATTATACTCCAAATAATTTTCTTTTTTAGACGGAGTTTTGCTTTTATTGCCCAGGCTGGAGTGCAATGGCATGGTCTCAGCTCACTGCAACCTCTGCCTCCCAGATTATCCTGCCTCAGCCTGCTGAGTAGCTGAGATTACAGGCACATGCCACCACGCTGGGCTAATTTTTGTATTTTTAGTAGAGACGGGGTTTCACCATGTTGGCCAGGCTGGTCTCGAGCTCCTGACCTCAGATGATCCGCCTGCCTCAGCCTCCCAAAGTTCTGGGGTTACAGACGTAAGCCACTGTGTCCGACCTCCAAAAGATTTTTAAAAGATGATTTCTCTTTTGATTGGCAAGTTATTTGATTATTTAAAAGATCCTTTTTATTGCATTTTGGACAATGAAAGTCCTACTTTTTTGGAATATATTAACTTTTCTTTATTGCTTAAGGTAAAATTCTTTTGTGTGTGAATGTTCTATCGATACTTAAAAAGAATGTATATTATTTGACCTATACAGCATTAATGTATTTTCTCTATTAAATCATGTTGTATGTTGTTATTCAGATCTTCCTTGTCTATTTTAAAAAACAGACTTATGAAGATATAATTTATATACAATTCAATGATTTAAGGTATGCAGTTCAATGTTTTTTGGTGCATTCACAGAGTCATGTAGCAATCACTGTATTGTAATTTAGCCTAACTTACCAAAGTCTTTGCAGATTTATAACGACTTAGTTCCAGTGAAATATAGAATCCTGAATAGCTCCATTATACTCCCTTCTAATGCTATTATTATGCATTATAGTATAATAGTATTTATGCATTTTTAATAGCATTCCTGCATTATTATTGTTTATGCTAATATGTTATACATATTATTATACATATTATGTTTCTATATGTTAAAAACCCAACAATTCTTTGGTATCATTAATGCATTAGGTAGTCTGAAGTCTTTTAAAGAAACTGAGAGAAGAAAGGAGAAAAAGTATATCTACACAGTTGGGCACGGTGGCACATGCCTGTAATCCCAGCACTTTGGGAGGCCAAGGAGAGTGGATGGCTTGAGTCCAGGAGTTGGAGATCAGCCTGGGCAACATAGTGAAACCCTGTCTCTACGAAAAATATGAAAATTAGCCAGGTGTGGTGGCACGTACGTCTATAGTCCCAGCTACTTGGGAGACTGAGGTTGGAGGATCGCTTGAGCCCAGGAGGTCAAGGCTGCACTGAGCTGTGATTGTACCACTGCACTCCTGTCTGGTGACAGAGCAAGACCCTGTCTCAAAAGTATATCTATAGAGTTTTAAAATTTTATTTATTTATTTATTTATTTATTTATTTATTTATTTATTGAGATGGAGTTTTGCTCTTGACGCCCAGGCTGCAGTGCAGTGGTGGGATCTCGGCTCACTGCAACCTCTGCCTCCTGGATTCAAGAGATTCTCATGCCTCAGCCTCCCAAGTAGCTGGGATTACAGGCACCCACCATCTCGCCTGGCTAATTTTTGTGTTTTTAGTAAAGGTGGGGTTTCACCTTGTTGGCCAGGCTGATCTCGAACACCTGACCTCAGGTGATCCACCCGCCTCGGCCTCCCAAAGTAATGGGATTACAGTGTGAGCCACCATGCCCGGCCACTACCTTTTAATTTACCCATTCCGGTTGTCTTTGTTTATTGCTATAGTTTCAGCTACCATCTCATGTCCTTTCCTTTTCCCAGTATAGCTTTGCTCTCACCTTCCATGTAGCATCAGTGTCAAGTACACTGTATTTCAGTAGATTATAGCCCCAACAACACAATTATATACACATTGTTCTATGAAATTACTTTATAAATCAGTTAAAATAAGAAAGGAGAAGAAGGTCAGACATGGTGGCTCAAACCGGTAATCCCTGCACTTTGGGAGGCTAAGGCAAGAGGTTCACTTGAGGTCAAGAATTCGAGACCAGCCTGGGCAACATGGTGAGACCCCATCTCTACAAATTTTTTTTTTTTTGAGATGGAGTCTCGCTCTGTCACCCAGGCTGGAGTGCAGTGGCGTGATCTTGGCTCACTGCAAGCTCCGCCTCTCAGGTTCATGCCATTCTCCTGCCTCAGCCTCCCAAGTAGCTGGGACTATAGGCGCCTGCCACCACGCCTGGCTCATTTTTTGTATTTTTAGAAGAGACTGGTTTCACCGTATTAACCAGGATGGTCTGGATCTCTTGATCCACCCACCTCGGCCTCCCAGAGTGCTGGGATTACAGGTGTGAGCCACCACACCCGGCCTCTACAAAATTTTTTTAAAAAATTAGCCAGGTGTGGTGGTGCGCATCTGTGGTCCCAGCTATTTGGAAGGGTGAGGTGGGAGGATTGCTTGAGCCCAGGAGGTTGAGACTGCAGTGAGCCGTGTTTGCACCACCACACTTCTGCTTAGGTGACAGGGTTAGACCCTGTCTCAAAAAAAAGAGAGAAGAAATATACAATTATATACTGTCTTTTGTAATTTCTACATAATTTCCTTTACCAATGTTCTTTGTATGTGTGTATTGTGTGTTTGTGTATGTTGTGTGTGTGTGCATGTTCACATTACTGTCTGGAGTCACTTGCTTTCTGCCTGAACACTTCTTGTCAAGCAGGTGTGCTATCAACAAATTCAGGTTTTGTTTATCTGGGAATATCTTTATCTTGCCTTCGTTTTTAAGAGAGAATTTTGCTGGATATAAGATGCTTGCTAGATGAAATTTTATTTTCAGCACTTTGACTGTATCAACCCACTGCCTCTGGCTTCCATTGTTTCTGATGAAAAGACTGCTGTTAATCTTACTGGGAACTCTTTACATGTGACATGTTGTTTGCTCCTGTTGCTTCTAAGATTTTTCTTTGTCTTGCAGCATCTTTACCGTAATATATCTGGATGTGGATCTCTTTGTTTGGCATACTTGGAATTTGTTGAGCTTCTTGGCTGTGTAGATTAATGTTTTTCATCAAATATGAGAAGTTTCAACCTTTGTTTCTTTGAGTACATTGATGCTTCTGCCTTTCCTCTTTACCTGCTAATTCTTCTGTGTGTATTTTGGTGCATATAATGGCATCTCACATCTTCCTGAGGCTTTGATAATTTTTCTTTCTGCTCTTCATTTTTTTAATTCCCTGTACTTATGATTGGATAATCTATATTGATCTAGCCTCAATTTCACTGATTTGCTCCGGCCAGCTCAAACCTGCTGTTGAATCTCTCTAGTGAAGTTTTAATTTTTTTAAATTTTGCTTTTCAATTCTAGAATTTCTATGGGTTTCTGTTTAAATAATTTTGTCTTTTTCTTGATGTTCTCTGTTTGATGATATGTTGTTATCATCCTTTCTTTTAGTTCTTTAAGCATGGTTTCCTTTAGTTCTTTAAGGATGTTTATAGTAGCTGCTTTGAAGGTTTTTATGCTATTTCACCATCTGGGCTCCCTCAATTTCATGTATTTTTAAGTATTTTTCTCCCTGGCCTGTCAAAGAATGAGAGGTATATTAAGGTATCCCACTAAAAATGTGTTTTGTACATTTTTTTCTTCAGGTTCCTAACTTGCATTTAAAAAATTTTGTTGATGTTAGTAGGTGTATAGTTTTCTATTATGGTATTATTAAATATTGAGCAGGTATAAATTAACATTCATAAAATAGGAGTTAAATATTAATGGCATAACAAATATCTGAGTTTCTACCCATTGCATTTGAGAAAACACATTATCACAAATTTTTTCCCTTTTTATTTTGAAAAATGAATTTGGAGGATTTATACTACCAGATGTCAAACCTTATTATTATGTTTACCATAGCATATTATTATGCTATCATAAAAGACTGTGATATTAGCACTAGTGTAGACAGACCATTGTAACAAAACAGAGAGTCTAGAAATAAATCCACACATATATGGCCACTTAATTTATAATTAAGGAGACAAATGCAGAGTGGTAGACTTGATGTATAGAAGCTCATATATTAATAGTAACCCCGTACGTGTTATACATGTTACAAATGTTTTCTCCCATTTGGTAGTTTATTCTTTAACCCTTTAACTTAAACCTCTACTTTTTTCTTAATAGCTGTAGAGTGTAATAACAAAGAAAAAAAACTCTTTTTTCTTTTGGTCACACAGAGTTTATTTATTTATTATTTTTATTTTATTTTTTTGAGACTGGGTCTCACTCTGTCACTCAGGCTGGAATTCATTGGTGGGATTACCGCTCACTACAGCCTCGACCTCCCCAGGGTCAGGTTATCCTCCCACCCCAGCCTTCTGAGTAGTGGGGACTACAGGCACACGCCACTATCCCTGGCTACTTTTTGTATTTTTTTGTATAGACAGGGTTTTACTATTTTGGCCAGGCTGTTCTTGAACTCCTGGGCTCAAGTGATCTGCCTGCCTTGGCCTCCCAAAGTGCTGGGATTACAGGCAGGAGCCACCGTGCCCGGCCTACTTTTTAATTTTAGGTGGTCAAATATGTTGCTTGTTCTTTTTTGGATCCTAGGTCTCATGAGATCATTACTAGAACTTTCTCTAACCCAAGTTTATAAAAATATTTCCCTCTAATGATACAAAAAGGGCTTTTTAAATACTTAGATCTTAATTTTCATTCAGAACTTATTTTCATGCACAATGCATGGTAGGTGTCTAACAACAGCAAATTGTCACTTTACCATTTATTGACTAAGCCTTTCTTCCCCCAGTAACTTAGAGGGCCAAATTTTTATCCTGTACATTCCCACATGTAACTGTCTGTGCTTTGGGGCTGTCTGTTCTGTTCCACTGGTTTATTTGCCAACTCTTGGGCCAATATCACATTCTTTTAATAAATATAACTTACTACTATATTTAGAGTTGTGCTAGAACAGTGTCTCTTCATAGTTTTTTTCCCCAAGCCTTTCAAATCCAGATGCACTGGCCTAGGCCAGGCAAAGCTCCTAAGTCAGATTCCAAGAAATATCTTTGATGGTAGTGTTCCTAGAAACAACCACACAAATACACTGGACATAATTCTATCTCCAGCCCCATGCTGCCCTGAAGTCTCACTTTTTCGTGGTCAGCTCTTTTTTTTTTTTTTTAGATGGAGTCTCACTTTTTCACCCAGGCTGGAGTGCAGTGGCATGATCTCTGCTCACTGCAAACTCCGCCTCCTGGGTTCAAATGGTTCTCCTGCCTCAGCCTCCCGAGTAGCTGGGATTACAGGTGCCTGCCACCACACTGGGATAAATTTTGTATTTTTAGTAGAGACAGGGTTTCACCAAGTTGGCCAGGCTGGTCTCGAACTCCTGACCTCAAGTGATCTGCTGGCCTCGGCCTGTCGAAGTCCTGGGATTACAGGTATAAGCCACCATGACTGGCCCAGGGTCAGCTCATTCTTTCTACTATTCTTCTTAGCTCTCATTTCACACTTAACTCTCTCTGTAAATCACCATCTCTCCATTTCCTCCTCCAGGATGAACTTTCCTTCTATTTTACAGAGCAAAACCCATGATATAGAAACCCCTTAACTTTCTAATGGCAAACCTAAAAACTTACACTTAGATCCATCTGTTTCTTTCCCTATTATTAAAATAAGAGTAGAGTCCTGCCCTCTCTCTTCCTCCTAAGCTAAAGTAAGCTCTATTGAGTGAGATCTGGTTTCCTCCCATACCCTTAGGATACAGCTCGGCTCTGTCCTCCCTGTCTGTGTTTAAACATGCCCGTCCCTCCCACTCGAACACACACATGTTCACGCACACATCTTTAGGCTCCAGATTCTCCTGCAGCCATCTTGCTATCTCCTCTCGTTCAAAGCTACACTTCTAGAAAAAGTTGTCTAACTCATTGTTTCTTCTCTCATTCATTTCTCAGCCTACTGCAAGGGCCGCTGGTCACTTCCTTACTGTTAAATCTTTACTAATATTCCTGTCTCCAGTCTTGCTCTCCTCTAAACTGTTTCTCACCATAGAAGCCAGAATAATCCTTTTAAGATGCAAATTTGGATATATGATTCCCCTCCTTAAAAGCTTTCATGACTTCTTATTGATCTCAAGATCCAGACTCCTTGACAAGGCCTCCGCCTCCAGTCTTCTCAATCCCATGAGCCCTTTCCAATCCTAAATCCTGGCCACACCAAGCCTTTCCCTGCCCCTGGCTTCCTCACTATGCGATCACCTGGTCTTTCATTCCGCACGTTTGCCTGGCTAGCTCCTACTCACCTTCAGTACTCCAGCAAGAAGACGCGAGTGACCACCCTACCACTCCTTCCCCCACCCCAAGACCACATGAAACACCCCTACTTTGTATTCTCCCGGCACCCAGCGCTTATTCCCACTACGTGGAACATTCCTTACACTGTTTACTTCTCTCTCTCTCCAACTAGATGGAAGACACTCTGACAAACGGGGTCATTTCTTAATTATTATTTAACTCCAACATTTAGCCAAGTGCCTATCGCACAGAAGATGGATTATGGCTATCCGAAATGAACGAATAGCTCCTCTATTAGCCACAGAACTCAGCATCACCTGTGACCTTTTGTTTTAACTAAAGCTATTCACTCATTCGTTCATCTTATTGCGGTAAAAACACATATCATAAAATGTACCATCTTAGCCATTTTTAAGTATACAGCTCAGTAGTGTTAAGTGTATTTACATTGTTGTGAAGCAGAACTCCAGAACGTTTTCATCTTGCGGAACTGAAACTCTGCACCCACTAAATGATTCCCCATCTCTCTCCTGCTCCCAGGCCCTGGTAACCCCCATTCTGCTGCCTCTACGAATTTGACTGTGTTAATACCTCCTATACTGAAATCATTTGGTATTTGTCCTTTTATGCCTGGCTTATTTTATTCAACGTTTATCCAGGTTGTGGCAAGTGATGGGATTTCCTTCCTTTTTAAGGCTGCATAGTATTCCATTGTGTGTATATACTATATTTTATCTGTTCACCTGTGAACATCCGTGAACATCATATTTTTACCTGTCTGTGACTTTTTATGATGATTTTCTATAGTATTTAGAATTTTGGATTTTTTGCAAGTTTCTGATTCCACAACATTCAAATATACTATTACAAAGAATACATGCAAATATATGCTTTCTATAAATACAAAGGGCTTTTTAAAATAGAAGCTTTTGTTACTATCATAAAGTTGTTCACACTTTTTGAAATAAGAAGCTCTTTTTGTTCAAATGTTTTATATTTTAACATATATTTCACTGTATCAGTCCTTTTTTTTTTCTCCACAAAAACACTTTTTATTTGAGGCAAAGAGAAGTCTTGCTGAAGGGATTACAGTTCCAAGCAGCCAAAACTCAACTGTTAGTGGCACTATTTTGACCTGGTAGATGTTGCTTCTCTTTGGTCAGAAAAGGGTATTCAGGTTGTACTTTCCCCAGTGGGGCAAAAAGGAGGGCAAAGCAAACTGGAAGAGACTTCTACTCTATTGACAGGGCTCTTCAGATCCAACATCAAGCTAGACATGCCCTTGCTGGCCACTCTACAGGTTGCTGTCCCACTGCTGAGTGACACAGGCCATGCTACATTTGCAAGGAAAAAAATGAGACAGGAAACACAGGTATAGGTCACTTAGGGATGAGCAGGCATCCACAGCTTCAAAACTCTTCATGGAAGGGGTAATCCTTGTGGGAGGCACAGCTCACCAAGGCACAGACTCTCCAATTCCTGTTGTAGCTGAGTAAGGCGGTCATATCCTGGCTGTTCAGTTCAAAGTCAAAAACCTTAAAGTTGTCAGCAATGAGTTCTGGTGTCACAGACTTGGGGATCACACCCAAATTCCTCTGCATGGGGAACCGGATCAGGACCTGGGCTGTAGTTTTATTGTGCTTGGCTGCAATCGCCTTGATCCTGGGATCCCTCAGGAGGGAAGGGTCCTCGGGGTTGACCCAGGGCCTGCTGGGAGTGCCAACGGGGCTATAGGCGGTCACCACGATGCCTTTGGACTGGCAGTACTGGATTAACTTCTCCTGAGTGAGGTAAGGGTGGCACTCAATCTGGTTAACCACAGGCTTATACTTTAAGCCAGGTTTGTTTAAGAGCCTCTCCACTTGGAGGTGGTTGAAGTTGGAGATGCCAATAGCTTTCATCAGCCATTCATCCACCAGCTCTTCCATGGCTGCCCATGTGTCCAGAATGTTGGTGTCACTGGGAACCACATTACCCAACTCATTCAATGGAAAAATTCCCTCCCAGGCTTAAAGCCAGTCGGCCAATGAATAAGGTAGAGGTCCAGGTAGTCCAGCTTCAGGCTGCTGAGGGTCTTCTGGCAGGCTCCCTTCACCAGGCCCTTCCCATGGTATGTGCACCACAGCTTACTAACGATGAAGAGCTCCTCACGCTTTACCACCTGCTCCCTGAGCTTCTCCTGAATGGCCACCCCCACCTCATTCTCATGCTAGTACACGTGGGCACAGTCAATGTGGCAGTACCCGACATTGATGGCCACATTCACGGCCTCAGTCACCCGGCCTGGAGGGGACTTCCAGGTGCCCAGCCCCAGGATGGGCATCTTGGTGCCATTGTTGAGCACAAGGTGGCTGGCCATGGCTGCTGCGCTCCCTGGAATTGTTTCATACTGTCTTGTGTGCCTTGGAAGACTTATCTCCTGTTCTCTGCCATGCTAACCAGTGCTATGTATAACCCTGCCTAGTACAGGGTGGTGAGGGAGGGGTGCCTGTCTCTTCAGCACAAGGCTACTTCCACTCCCCACTCCCAGCAAAAGCTGATCTGACCGGAACAATGATCAAAAGTAGGAAAATAACATTGGCCAGGTGCAGTGGCTCATACCTGTAATCCCAGCACTTTGGAAGGCCGAGGCAGGAGGACTGTTTGAGCCTGGGAGTTTGAGACCAGCCTGGGCAACATAGCAAAACCCCGTCTCTACAAAAAATTTAAAAATTAGCCAGGTGTGGTGGCACATGCCTGTAGCCCCAGCTACTTGGGTGGTGGAGGTGAGAGGATCCCTTGAGCCCAGGAGAGCCAAGATTGCCCCACTGCACTCCAGCCTGGGCAACAGAGCAGGACCCTGGCTCAAACAAACAAACAAACAAAACCAAAAAACCCAAACCCACCAAAAAAAAAAAGACAAAAAAAAATTAAGGAAAATAACATTGACATAATACTATTAACAGACTTACAGATCCAATCTGATTATTTTCTCGTTTTCCCACTGATGTCCTTTCTGTTCCAGAATCCATTCTAGCAGCCTATGGGACATTGTTGTCATGTCCCCTTCATCTCCTCCACTACAGAGCAGTTTCTCAGCCTTTCTTCATTTTTCATGATGATATTTTTGAACAGTACTGGCAGCTATTTCATAGAATGTTCCTCAGCTTGAGTTTCTATGATATTTCCTCATGATCGGATTGAGACTGTGTATTTGGCAAGAATGCCACATGGGAGTGAGACTGTGCACTTCTTGGTGCATTGCAGCAGGGGGTCCGTGATGTCTCCGTGTTTTATTGCTGGTGATGTGAACTGTGATCACTTAGGCTAAGATGGTGTCTTCCAGGTGCACCACTGCGCCCAGCTAATTTTTAAATACGTTTTGTAGAGAAAAGGTCTTGCTATGTTGGCCAGGCTGGTCTCAAACTCCTGGCATCAAGTGATCCTCTTGCCTCGGCCTCCCAAAGTGCTGGGATTACAGATCTGAGCCATCATCCGGCAACTCTCTCACTGTTTCTACCCAGTTCCCATATACCTCTTGTAGGTAACCATCTCATTAGCCTCTGATTTATTCTTCCTGTACTTCTTTTGCAGATATGATCCCCTGCCCAAGTTTGATGGTAAATCAACAGGTGCAGCAGCCAAGACTTGAGAAGGACATGGTAATAGAGCATGCAGATTTCTCAGACATGAAGGTGTGGGTCACCCCACAGGTGAACTACTTAGACCAGGAGAGGTGTGCTAGCCAAGGGTGAGGGAATCTCGAATGGGTAGTAGGGGAGGCAGATGATGAAAACCAGCTATAGCCTTGAGGTCAGCTGTAGCAGTAGGAGCTGCTGTTCATCCTTCATCCCACTAGCTGTCCTCTTGGAGGCTTCTCCAGGAAAGGAGGCCATCCAGAATCCCAGAGAAGCTGTTCACTGATGGGATTAACTTACTACGTGTAAGTAAGAAGTGGATCCGAGTGACGCAAGAAGTGGATTGCAGTGGAGGTCATTGTGTGCCTCCCAGATCCCACATTCAGGTTGGAGGGACCCATTTCCCCAGCTGTGTTTTCTAAAGTCTCATAGGTACATAGCACAGTAATATGTATATACAACAGAGTCTTGCCAAGCACAGGGGCTCATGCCTGTAATCCCCATTTGTGGGGCTTAGGTGGGAGGATCACTTGAGCCTAGGAATTCAGGACCAGCTTGGCAACATATTGAGACCCTGTCTTTACAAAAAATTGAAAAATTAGCCAGGCATGGTGGTCCACAACTGTAGTCCCAGCTACTCAGGAGACTGAAACAGGAGTCTCTCTTAACTCTTCAGCCCAGGAGGTCAAAGCTGTAGTAGCAGGCCATGATGGTGTCACTGCACTCCAGCCTGAGTGACAGAGCAAGACCCTGTCTCTAAAGCACACACACACACACACACACACACACACACACACACACACACAGAGAGAGAGAGAGAAAGAGAGACAATCTTCTCTATAAGAACAAAGTATACACACAGGCCAGGACTGAGACTGGAGTTTGGGGAATGGGAAGGATTTGGATATATGGAATTGGGAGGAAATGGCCCACCAGATGGCATATCAGAATGAGGCGGGCATTTCCAGCTTTTCTTGATCATCCTCCACCTCCCTCTCCCTAGAAGGAAGAATCCTCCTCCTTCCCTCTCCCACTTCCCTCTGCCCTAGACACACTCCGATCTCACAAGCCATTCTGGCTGCTGCGACTTTTAGTTTTATCCGTCGTCTAGCTGAGATTAAACTGGAATGTTCCATTTGCTCTTTTGGCTCTCAAGTAGGCTCAGGGCTTCCCACCTATGGGTGCAGTTGGATCTTTTTCACTGTAACAGAACAAATGCTCTGACCTCCACCACAAAGTGTTTCTGAGGGTGCCCGGCCTTAGTGAGTTCCTGGGCACCCCCCATAATGTACCCAGGCCATTCATATTTAAGGCCCCCAAAGTCTCCTGAGGGCTTCAGTGGAGCCTCTGCTTCAGCTCCTTCTTCTTCTTCTTCACAAAGTTGATACCCCTATGCCAAGGGCACGGATTCCTGATTTTTACAAGAATCACTTCCTAGAGGCATCAAAGTGGTTTCTGCATTCACTCCAGTTCCCACTTGGCTGAAGGCACAGGGGATCGTTCACGGAGGTCGGGGGGAAAGTCACTCTCTTTGTAAGGACTACAAAACAGCACTTGTCTCTCCCCAAATCCCAGTTTCTTCTGCACCTCAGTTCCCCCCCAGAAACCTCTGCAAAGGAAAGACAACAACCCCACCTTCCTCTTCCAGCCAAAACCCCAACATTTATGCAAATAGACTGGCGACTCCACCTGCTAAACCCAAGTCAATATGAATCCCAGTTGAGGCTGACACAGGAACTGATTATTACCGTGGGAATCTAAACGAAAAATAAGATGAAAAAGGAGCAGTCACGGCGGCCTAGGAGTGGACGCAGATTCCTGACGCTAAGCACAGGGATTCTAGGCCACAAGCCCACCTGGCCTGGCTGTGTCTCCTTGGCCCTGTCTCATCTGTTGGGCACCAGCTCCCCCCTGCCCCCTTCTCCAGCCCCTTGGCTTGGTCCTCACAGGACTCCCAGAACTTGGGACAGGGCCTGGCTCAGAGCAGGAATTCAATCAACATCTATTGACTGAGACAGATGAAAGAGAATAGGAGAATGAGTGCCAGGGACAACCATGTCCCTCTGTCTGGGAAGCTTCTCATTTCCTTCTCAGCTCAGTCTTGTGGCTTCCAGGGGTTGACCTGGTGTTTGGACCTTCAGCGGAGGATGGGGCTTCCCCACTAGACCCAAAAATGGTGTCCTGGGCTTCTCCGTCACCCTGCAGTCTCAAAGTGGACCCCTCCACCTCCCCTTCCTTCTTTCTATCCCTCTCTCCTCCTGGAGGAGCTCCTGTAGATCTACTCTCCCTCTCTGCTCCATTTCTCTGCATGATTTGGGTTTGCCTGGCAGAAGCACAGTCACCGCTCGTGGACTGAGGGAGGGAGTGGGGCCTGAGGCTCTTCTGCTGCTTTCTTCTTTACCCATTTGGCTAAAATCTGGCCTGGGTTGTTAATGTTTTAAAACAGTACTGTTTTAGGTTAATGTTAAGACTGCAATGCATCCCAAATACTTAAAAAAATTTCTCAGAACTATTTTATTTTTAATTAATTATTGTAAGAGATAGGGTCTCGGTCTGTTGCCCAGGTTGGAGTGGGATGGCACTATCGCAGCTCACTGTAGCCTCGACCTTCTAGGCTCAAGCCACCCTCCCGCCTCAGTCTTCCAAGTAGCTGGGACCACAGGCACACGCCCATGCTCGGCTAATTTTTAATTTTTTTTTGTAGAGATGGGGCCTCACTATGTTGGCCAGGCTGGTCTCAAACTTGACCTCAAGCAATCCTCCCACCTCAGCCTCCCAAAGTGCTAGGATTACAGGCACTGTGCATGACTCAAAACAACTTAAGATTTATAAAAAATTGAGAAGGAGGTATAGATTTCCCAGTTTCACCTATTACTAACACCTTACATTCATATATTTGTTATAGTTAACGAAGATATATTGATACATTATCATTAATTGAAGTCCATTATTAAATATTGCCCGTACTTCAAATCTGGATTTCCTTAGTTTCTAATATCCTCTTTCTGTTTCAGGATCCCATCTAGGATACCACATCACATTTAGTCATCATGTCTCTTTAGGATCCTCTAGACCAGGTGTCCCTATTTCCTGAGCCACAGACCCATTAGCAACCGGGCTGCCCAGCAGGAGATGAGTGGCAGGTGAGCAAAAGTTACTGCCTGAACTCTGCCTCCTGTCTTATCAGCAGCGGCATTAGACTCGCACAGGAGCACAAACCCTATCGTGAACTGTGCATACAAGGGATCCAGGTTGCACGCTCCTTATAAGACTCTAATGCCTGATGATCTGAGGTAGGACAGTTGCATCCCGAAATGATCTCTCCTCCCCTCCTGCTCCCTATCTGTGGAAAAACTGTCGTCCATGAAATTGGTCCCTCTTGCCAAAAAGATTGGGGACTGCTGCTCTAGACTGTGATACTTTGTCTGACTTTCCTTGTTTTGATGATCTTGACGGTTTTGCGAAGTCTTAGGTAGGTATTTTACAAAATGCTGCTCTATTGGAATTTGGTGTTTTTCTTAGACTGGGGTTATGAGTTCTCAGGAGGAAGACCAAAGGGTAAAGGGCCATTTTCATCTTATCTTATCAAGGATACTTGCTATCAACACGGTTTATGACTGCTGATGTGGACTTCGATCACCTGCTAGTCTTTGTCAGGTTTCTGCACCATAAAGTTACTCTTTCTTCTCCTCCATATTCTACGCTTCGAAAGGAAGTCACTGTGTAGCCCACAGTTAAGAATCAGGGAGTGTAGCTCTCCAGCCTGAGGGCAGACTATCAATTATTTTGAGTTCTGCATGGGAGATTTGCCTCTTCTCTGTCATTTATACATTTATTCCATCATTTATTAACATCCGTAGGGACTCATGGATATTCATCTCATACTTTGGGTTATAATCCAATACTACGTTATTTGTTTTGCCACTCAAATAGTTCCAGCTTTGGGCACTGGGGGCACTTTCATTTGGCTCCTGTGGCCCTTTGATATAGTCTTATGGATGGAATGTTTATGTCTCCCCAAATTCATATGTTGAAGCCCTGCCCCACATGTGATGATATTTGGAGATGGGGTCTTTGGGAGGTAATCAAGGTTAAGATGAGGTCATGGGGTGGGGCACTCGGGATGGGATTAGTACCCTTATATGAAGACATGCTGGAGAATTCGGTCTCTCCCCACACAGACTCCCCAACAAGTGCACAAAGAAGAGATCATGTGAGCACACGGGGATATTGCAGCTACCTCCATGCCAAGAAAAGAGGCTTCAGAGTAAAATTTACCTCGCCAGCACCTTGATCTTGGACTTCCCAGCCTCCGGACCATGAGAAACAAAGTTGTGTTGTTTACGCCCTCAAGTCTATGGTATTTTGTCATGGCAGCCTCAGCTGACTGAGACACACCTCCCCAATTGCTTCACTTTCTGAGGACTTCCTTACTTTCTGGCACTGCAAGATGTTCCAGGCTCACCTTGTATATTTCCTGCCCCAGCCCTAGAATCAGCCACTTCTGTAAGGAGCCGGCTCCTGTTATTGGAGAATAGTATTGGAAACCAACAACAGGCTCCTAGGTAGCAAATTATTCTTGGATGGACACACTAGAAAACAGTTATTTTGTGCCTCCTATGTGCCAGGCACTATGCTAGCTCCTTTTCATGTTGGTTTACTTAATCCTCATAACAATTCTATGAAATATTTACTGTCAATCCTCCCCAGATGAGGACTGGAGGTGTAGCTGGGTTGAGTGCTAGCCAACACCACTCTGTTCTGTCTCCAAAGCCCATCACACTGCCTTGATAAAGACTGGTGTCACATACCTCACAAACACCATGTTTTTTTTTTTTTTTTTTTTTTGAGACAGATTCTCGCTCTGTCACCCAGGCTGGAGTGCAGTGGCGCTATCTCAGCTCACTGCAACCTCTGCCTCCTGGGTTCACGCCATTCTCCTGCCTCAGCCTCCCAAGTAGCTGGGATTACAGGCGTGTGTCACCATGCCGGGCTAATTTTTGTATTTTTAGTAGAGATGGGGTTTTGCCATGTTGCCCAGGCTGGTCTCGAATTCCTGGCCTCAAGTGATCCCAGATGGCACACATCTCTCCTTATGTGCAAAGATGACAGCCACCTGTGTGTGCACAGATGCATGCAGCTCTCCTCATGTGTGCAGGTGATATGTACCTATTTGCATGTGCTCACATACCTTTGTGTGCAGAGATGACATGTACTTATCCTTAAGACAGATGATGTGTCTCAACTCATGGAATAATGAAATCTGACAAACTGAAAAGTGCTTTAGAATGGACATTCACAGTACTTGCCAACTGCTCAAGCTTAGACCGTGTCAGATTTTTTGCTATCATCCATAGGACTCCCTTATGAGATGTGGGTATGTTCTAAGACAAACACTTAGCATCACAGCTGTTAGGATTTCAAACAGTGCTTCCAGAGATAAAACTGGAGGTTTACATTTTGCCCTCAAGCATGGGGATCATATCACACAAGAAAGAACAGATTAGTCAGCCAGGGTGAGTAAGGCTTCCATCAGAGCGACCACAGTGTGATCTGCCACTTGAAATGCCTATTGATGGGTTTGTCTGCCCAGCACTTCTTTTTCCTCCGAGATCAGCCCCTGCCAACCTCTCCAGAGCAGCCATGTTCATCCATCATGACCTGCTTTTAACACTTGATCATTCCTAGATGAGCACGTGACCCAGCTGTGCCAATCCAAGAGTCCTTGCCTAGGACTGTTGGAACAGGAACTTAAAATGAGAGTTGGCCCTTCTTTAGGGACTGAAGCTGTGAACACTGAGATTGTCATTGGCCGTGTGAAGAAGGTTTATGTGCCAGCAGAAAGCATAATGAAATCAACAGGAAGACACATACACACTTACACACACACACATACACACAGAGAGAGAGAGAGAGAGAGAGACAAAGACATCTGTTCTTGGTTCTGACATGACCTGGGTATTTCATGGAGTGGCCTAGCATCTTTCACCAAGGGCTTGCTTAATGCTTAGGCTAGTCAGGGATGGTTTTCACTTACTTCCAACCAAAGAGCCTTTACCAATGCAGAATGATTGATAATCATATTATCACCAACATACTGCAAGACATCAACTGAAACTCAAATCTGACGGACATTTTCCCAGCTCTCAAATATTACAGATACAGTCTGGATCTCCTGTCAAAGGTGGTTAACTTGGCTGTTTAGTTTTTCAGAAACTTTCCAAATATACATTAATTTATTTCAGTTTGCATAGTAAACTTCTATTGATCTGGCTTTCAAATACAAAAAAATCAAATTACTAAATTGTTCCTCCACTCTACCTTGTGGAAACAAATGAAATAAGGTGTGGTAACTAAGGAACTGCTCTAAAAATAACACCTTTTAGGATACAACATAGGGTCAACATCATGACCTTCAATATTTTGTGTGTTTAGTGCCTGAATCAGCAAAGCAGTATAAGCACAGCTTGGCCTCATTTTGCAGTGTGTTTTAGTCTACTATGATTCTATGGATGCAATTTGTTTATAATTCATGTATGAGCATCGTGGTAATAATAGCTAATACTTTTTTTATTTTTTGAGACTGAGTCTCGCTTGGTTTCCCAGGCCGATCTAGGCTCACTGCAATCTCTGCCTCCCGGGCTCATGTGATCCTCCCACCTCAGCCTCCTGAGTAGCTGGGACCATAGGCACATGCCACCCATCACACCCAGTACTTTGGGAGACCGAGGTGGGAGAATCATAAGCCCAGGAGTTTGAGACTGGCCGGGACAACATAGTGAGACTCCATCTCTAAAAATATTTCATCTCTCAAAAAATTTTAAAAATAAACCAGGTGTGGTGATGCACGTCTGTAGTCCTAACTACTTGGGAGGCTGAGGTGGGAGGACTGCATGAGCCCAGGAGTTCAAGGCTGCAGTGAGCTATGCTCATGCCATTGCACTCCAGCTTTAGCCTCCCAAAGTGGTGGGATTACAGGAGTGAGCCACTCTAGCCAGCCATGTAGCTAATACTTTTGAGGTACCAAGCAGGCACTGTTTTAGGGGTCTAGCACACTAATTCCTTTAATCCTCAGAGCGACACTGTTGTCTTCTCCATTTACAGATGACAGAGAGGTTAAGTAATTTGGCCAAGGCTGCACATCTAGCAAGCGGTGAAGCTGTGGACACTAGTGTTCATATCTCTTAGGTAACTAATGTAGTTAATCATAGTGGCTGTCAGGTAACTACAATATTCAATGAATACAACAGCCTACTTCCCAAGTCCTTTGGAGGGTTTTTTTATTTTAAATTTTTTTAAATTAAATAGAGATGAGGGGTCTCACTATGTTGCCCAAGCTGGTCTTGAACTCCTGGCTTCAAGTGATCCTCTCACCTCGGCCTCCCAAAGTGCTATAGAGGCTACTCAGTCTTTGGATTTGTAGAATATATATTGATTACTGTAAGGCAGAGAGATATGCAGGAAATTTTTCTTTTACTGTGATGGCTTGGATCCCTGTGACTTGTAAAAAAAGCTACATAGTAGACCTCCAAGGCTTCACCAGGCTCTCGTTTCCTTATGGAGAACAAATCTTTCGGAAGCTTCTATCTCTTAGGGTAAAAATCTGAATGTTTCTTGGGCCCACATGGCCCTGCCTATCTTGTTGGTCTCCACTTTACTTTCAGCCACTTTAGCCTTAAATTTCTCCCATCACAGGGCCCCGGACAAGAATTCCCTGTGACTGCTGCACCCACGTCCTCTGTATTGCCTAGCCAAATCCTGTCAATTTTTCAGGCTTCCCCGGACCCATCAGACTAGGTCTGGTTCGCTTCTGATTTCTCACAGCGTCTTGTACTGCTTTCTTGTAGTATCTATGAAAATGGTAATTGAAAAATTGTGGACCAGGGGAGGTAGCTCATGCCTGTAATCCTAGCACTTTAAAAGGCCGAGGTGGGTGCATCACTTGACCTCAGCTGTTCGAAACCAGCCTGGGCAACATGGTGAAACCCTATTGCTACAAAAAATACAAAAATTAGCCAAGCATGGTGGCGCATGCCTTGTAGTCCCAGTTGCTTGGGAGGCTGAGGTGGGAGGATCACCTGAGCCCAGGAGGTCCAGGCTGCAGTGAGCCATGCTTGCCCCACTGCACTCCAGCATAGGTGACAGAAAGAAAAATTGTGTAATTACCAAACGCCTGTCTGCCTGGCTGTAAGTGTAAGTTCCATGTGGGCAGTGACTGTGTGTTTGTCTTGCTCATTGCTGAATCTCCAACACTTAGCCTACGGCTTAGTACATAGTTGGCACCAAATGCATACTTGTAAACTGAGTAGAAGAAAAACTACCAGCTACCAGCTGAAAAGAAAATAAATACCCGAGTGTCCTGGGCACTGACTAGACTTGCTGGGTGTGTAAGAAGGCCTGCCCAGACACAGATACAAAGAATGCTGGAACAGCTTGGCAGGGCGGTTTGCAAACCAAAGGATAACTGAATATACCTATGCAAGTTCTTTTTTTTCCCCTTACACATTTTTCTTTTTTCTTTTCTTTCCTTTTTTATTTTTATTTTTTTATTTTTGAGATGGAGTCTTGCTGTCACCCAGGCTGGAGTGCAGTGGCGTGATCTCAGCTCACTGCCAACATTTGCCTCCCGAGTTCAAGCAATTCTTCTGCCTCAGGCTCCCGAGTGGCTGGGATTACAGGCACCCGCCACCACGCCTGGCTAATTTTTATATTTTTAGTAGAGACAGGGTTCCACCATGTTGGCCAGGGTGGTCTCAAACTCCTGACCTCAGGTGATCCGCCTGCCTCGGCCTCCCAAAGTGCTGGGATTACAGGCGTGAGCCACTGTGTCTGGCCCCCTTACACATTTTTTAAGTGATTAGGAAATATTCAGGGTAAAATTATGATTTTGTGAGCAATAAATCACAATCCTATTTTAATAGTACTAAAATCTTGATCAAAGCAAGTTCAGGCAGGACTTGGTTACTCACACCCTTAATCCCAGCAATCTGGGAGGCCGAGACAGAAAGATCACTTGAGCCCAGGAGTTTGAGACCAGAGTGGACAATATGGTGAGACCTTGTCTCTACAAAACATTTTTAAAAAATTAGCTAGGTGTGGTGGTGCATGCCTGTAATCCCACCTACTTGGGAGGCTGAGGTGGGAGGATGGCTTGAGCCCAGGAAGTCGAGGCTGCAGTGAGCTGTGATCAAGCTGTGGCAGTGCCATTGCACTCCAGCTGGGGCAACACAGCAAGATCGTCTCAAAAAAAAAGAAGAAAAGAAATTTAAGCTGAGAATACTGAGAGCCAACGTGAAGAAACACACTTGTTTCAATGACACTTATTCTCCTAAGTGTGCATCTGTGAGCATTATTACCTGTTTTTTTTTTTTTGGAGACAGGGATCTCATTCTGTGGCTCAGGCTGGAGTGCAGTGGCTCAATCTCAGCTCACTGCAACCTCCGCCTCTCAGGCTCAAGCCATCCTCCCATCTCAGACTCCAGAGTAGCTGGGACCACAGGCACAGCGCCACCACACCCGGCTAATCTTCTGTATTTTTGGTAGAGATGGGGTTTTTCCATGTTGCCCAGGCTGGTCTCTAATTCCCGACCTGAAGTGATCAGCCTGCCTCGGCCTCGCAGAGTGCTGGGATTACAGACCTGAGCCACCGCGCCCAGCCCATTGTTCACCGTTGTGACCCCTTTTAATTTTTATTTATTGCTTTATCATCTTACTGATTCCTCGAAACAATCTTACGGGGCGAGCCGGTTCCATGGGCGCTGAAGAAACATTTCCTCTTTCAAAGCCTCAATTGTTTGAACGATACGCGTTGCTAAAGAGGAAGCAATTAAACCTATCAGGCGAGTTCTGCCCTCCGCCCAGCGAGCTGCTGCTTCCTGGTGTTAAAACGCTTTCGGGGCCAGGCGCGGTGGCTCACGCCTGTAATCCCAGCACTTTGGGAGGCCGAGGCGGGCGGATCACGAGGTCAGAAGATCGAGACCATCCCGGCTAAAACGGTGAAACCCCGTCTCTACTAAAAAAATACAAAAAATTAGCCGGGCGTAGTGGCGGGCGCCTGTAGTCCCAGCTACTTGGGAGGCTGAGGCAGGAGAATGGCGTGAACCCGGGAGGCGGAGCTTGCAGTGAGCCGAGATTGCGCCACTGCACTCCAGCCTGGGCGACAGAGCGAGACTCCGTCTCAAAAAAAAAAAAAAAAAAAACGCTTTCGGGTTCTCCTGGCGAGTTTTAAGTCACACTGGATCGCTGCTTATTTTCAGAGATCACCTCGCACCCATGCACCTGGAAGGCACCCAAAGAGAATCATTTTAAGAAATTCACTTCATCTCACCCTAACAACAAAGCACAGCCTGCAGCACATGGATTTCACCCATGTGACATCAATGCTAATCCTATGTGTGAAACATCTGGGTTCATTCGATTTTTTAAAAATTAGTAACTGAGATGGGGTCTCGCTATGTTGTCCAGGCTGGTTCTCCAACGCCTGGGCTCAAGCCATTCTCCCGCCTCGGCCTCCCTCGGCGCTGAGATTATAGGCGGGAGCCACCGCGTCAGCCTCCACTCTTTTTGCGGCGACAAAGCCCGCCCGCCTGCGGGGCGTTCCGTTCGCAGAAACTCTGTGAGGGACGCCGCGGGGGCTTCCAAGGGACGCGGCGAAACCAAAACAGTCGCCGGTGGTTCACAAAACCACCTCAGAAAATGCTTCCAAAGGCACGTCTGGCCTCCACAAGGTGACGGCTTTTCAGCCTCCGACTCGAACTTGAGTCGTCCACAGCACTAGGCCGCCGCCAGCCCGGGCGAGCTGCCTAGGGACCGCGGACGCCGCAGCAAGCAGCTCCCTGCTCCCGCCACACCCGCCGAGCCAGCCGCGCGGAACCCACTCCCCCACCGTGGGCCCGCCTCCCGCCGCCAGCCTGCCCACGATTGGTCGACTGGGCTGCCCGTCGCGAGAGAAGGCGGTGCCTCCGGCAGGCCGGCGCTCCCATTGGCCGGGATGGCGGCGGCGGCGCGCGCGGCCCCGGCGAGCAGGGGAAGCCGGTGGCCGCGGCTGCGGAACGGGCGGAGGCTGCCGGTTTCGTAACCGTCGCTCCTCCTCGCTGACTCGCGGGCTGTGAGGCCTGGGTCGGCTCGGGCCGCACCGCGCGGGGCCGCTCGGAGTGGAGGCCGCCTGGGGGCAGGCGGGCTAGAGGAGCAGGTAAGGAGGCTGCGGCGGGCGCCCTGAGAACGGGGAGGAGGAGGCCGCGGCGACGCCGGCCGCTCGACTGGGTGCGGGCCCGGCTCGGGGAAACCCAGCCCCGGCCCCAGACGGCCCGCTGGCCCGGGAAGGCCACGCGAGGCTGGAGGCGCGGGCGGCGGCGCCGCGCGGCGTCTGATGCAACCTGCCGGCAACACCCGGCGGGGACGCTGAGCTCATTCCTGGCCGCGGCCCAGCGCTGCGGCGCCGCCCGTCGACCCCCGCGCTGCCCGGGGCGCCCCTCGCGGCGGGCCGGGAGCGCGCGAACGGCCGGGGAATGCCCCCTGCGGAGCCCGGCCCCCTCTCGGTGAAACGGGCGCTGTGACCCGCCAGGCTCGCATTGGCCCCTGGGGATGAAGGGTGTTCCCAGAATAGCAGAAGGTGGACCGAGTCGAGCTTTAGAATCCTGATCTTCTAGAAGGGCTCAGCTTGCGGTGATCGAAAATCTGTTCAGAAGTTCAAAGACTGATCAATAAAATAGGGAAAGCAACTGGTTTTTAAATGCATGACTTTGCAGAGATAATATTTTGCTTCTTTGTGGAGCTGTTGGAATGTCCTGCACTTTACTGTTGAACGTAGTTTAGAAGAACACGCAACACCTACGGGTCGAATAGAGAAGAAATGAAGCACTTCGCAGGCATAGTTGGAGGGAGCGGAGCAGGGCCGACAGCCAGCGGAGGTGACCAGATGCGAAGGATGGAAATGCATGTGTCGCGGGGGGAGGAGAGTGTTTTCCAGGGCAGCTGGTGTGTTGCTTCTCTTCCGCAGGTTTACGTGTTGGGTTTTCCTCTTGTTTGAAGTTTATACTGTAATCTGGCATCCTGAAATGTATAAGATTTAGAAAGGTCTCAATGTTGATGGGTGACACCAAAATTGGTAGTTGTGTCAGAATTGACTGCTTATATGAATAGGTTGTCACTTAAGGCAGACTTCTCCCAAAGAAATGTGACTCCCAGAGAAAATTTTAAAAGAAAATCCTATAAGGGCTTGCTTTACGAAGACATTCTACACCTAGAAGCTCTTGATATTTAAGATGTGGTCATCTGTTAGCCCTTGAGTAGTATTTGGGATAAGCTGTTCATAAGGTCGATTCTGCTTCTGGAAAAAGTTGCTGTAAACAAGGCTAAATAATTACAGGGTACAAGGGAGCTGAAGCATATTTCAGCTTCTTGATTCCTGCTTTTGGTGGGCACACTTGGCTGGTTCAGTTATTTTTAATACCTGCTTTTAAAAAAAGTAGATGGAAACAAAACTTCATTGAGAATATCCTTTAAATTCTCAAGATCACATCATGTCTGTCTGCAAGGCTGTCTGATCTTGGAGAGATGGTTTCATCCCTGGGAAATTAAACACTATGTGCTGAGCCCCTGGTAAAGACAAATAGGACCTCGTGGGGCTGAATTTGGTCTCGTGGTCTAAGATTGCCTCACTTGGTCACAGTAATGGTAAATACAGGTAGCCACGATTCCAGCTGTATTGTGCGTTCTTGGGAGGGTTGGTTCCATGGGTTGTTATATTGATAGGTACACTGGCCTCCTGCGTTTGTGGCTTTCTAGCTCTATCAGTAAAAAAAAGACAAAAATGAGCATGACCTCCTAATGGATGTTCATTTACAAATAGTCTATTTGTTTTGTGTGTTGTAAATCACTTCAAAAGGATTGGGTTAGAAAGATGATGTTGATGTTCTTCTAATGCTCCAGTGACCCACTTCTGTACTCCCAGAAAGGGGACGTCCCCTTCCTCATGGACCCTGCGCTAGATGCTTGTGAAGATCTGCAGGGAGACACGATGCGGCTGGAGTTGACAGACCTAGGGAACAAATTTTCCCAGATGCCCAAAGAAAAGAGAAAGCACAGACCATTTAGGATACAGATAGTGGTTTAGTACTGTCAAGATGTGGTGTGAGGGAGGAGAGAGGGTCAGGACCTTGGATTTGATCCTGTAGACTGGAGCCAGAGATGAATTTTCACCAGGAGAATGACTCACTCAGGTTTGAGTGTTCAATTGCTCTGGAGACAGAGGTTGGAGGAAGCAGGCTAGACCAGAGACCAGTGTCCCTGAGAGATGATAGTGGCCTAAGGTGATTTCGATGGGATTGGGATGGAGAGGAAGAGTAGATGGGAAGTTTTTTTTTTGTTTGTTTTAGGTGGAATTGTCAAATCCCAGAGACTAAACAGAGTTAGGACCAAGGAGAAACATCTGTGACTATTTTGAAATGTTGACCTTCATTGAGGAAATCGAGTGAAAAATTTATTTTGGTGGGCAAGGGGAGGAATATTGGGTTCTAGGTCTGTGGAGAAAAGGGACAAAAGGGTTAGGAAAATTCTTGATAGGTTTATTTTCCCAGGTGAAACTTGAGAAAAATTTGATTTTGTTTTACTCATTCTAACATTCTGCGCTTTCAGTGTGACTGACGTGAATGAACATTACTTGAATTAAGTTTGAATTAAAACAAAGCCTATTACCCACTTAGTCCACCATTCTCAATATTCATTGGGAATCAGCAGCAGAGGCCCTCAGACTTCAGTGTATTCAGAGTTACTTGGAGGTCTCCTTATGAAAAGATTACTCAGCTCTGTTCTTAGAACTCCTGATTCTAAGTCTGGGGCAGCCTGAGAAGTTACATTTCTAAAGAGTTCCTGGATGATGATGATGCTGGTCCAGGGACCACACTTTGAGAACCACTGCTCTTCAGCTTTCCTGCTGTTTCCTCCTTGAGTGATTCACATGGAAGGAAGCCAGGCGCCGCCCTGCATCCTGTAGCCTGAACTTTGGAATAGTGTTTGTCCACAGAGGAGCCAGACTTGAATTTAGGACTGAGTGTCCAGCTTTCAAATAAACACTTTTTGCCTGTTGTAGGTGTTCAGTAAATGTGTGTGGAGGAACAAAGCGTAAATGAGAGTGGCCTTTTCAGTGTAAAATCACTTAGCTCTTTGATCCCCTTTTACTTGGTTAATCTTCACTTTAAGAGCTATTTATATGGTTAAAGAACTTACTAAACAAAACATTCTTGGAGTTATTTTGATTATCTCCAAGTTTCTCTTTCTTACATTTTCACCAGTTTGTAGGTTCAGTGAATACTCTTTTCAGGCCAAAGGGCTTACCTTTAAAACCTCACCTACCACACACGTTCAGCCTAGTACCTTGCAAGATGAGTCAGGCAGAGGTGAAAAAGCCCTTCCCTGTTCCTGTATCTTTGGATACGGAAACAGGCGTGAACGTTGCTGAACGTGGACCCTGTAGTGAGTAAGAGCTGTTTGTTAGTGACTGAAGGTCGTGGTGTGTTGTCTGTAGGAAAGTGTCTTACTATTCCACATCCCTCATTTGCATGTGGGGAACAGACAGCCATGGAAGAAAAGAGATTTGCCCAAACTAAAATAGGGGGAGCCACAGCCAAGACAAGAACTGGCCTGGTCACTGGTCTCTACCGCTTTGGATCATTGCTATCTCTGAGCATGGACAAGTTGACTGTAGAGAGCTTTAAAGGCTAAAAATATAATTGGTATATTAAAAAAAAAGTAGAGAAATAAGGTGAACATGATTATGATTGTTAAGACAGTCTCAGGGGAGGTGTTAAACAAGTTCTTAAAAATTGAGTAAAGCACCTCTCACTTGACACCAAATGGATAATAATAATGTTAGGTGGCACTAAATGTGGCTCAGATTAATACTAAACAGCCACTTTTCTACTGGAAGAAAAATGAGGCAACCTAATGATGACCAAGGGAAATTGTGAACTGTCCATTACTGAAGATAGGCTTGGAGTGGATCGCCCTCATGGTTTGGAGGGATGCTTTTTGTCTTGCCTTAGTGTTGGCGTGAGAACAGATGACCTACTAGCTCAGAGTCGGCTGTGTGGCTTTGAAAACAATGGAAAGTAATGACACATGGACTTTTCAAAGCAAAGATGTTTTTTAAAAAGAGACCAATAAACAGTGTACAGAATTGCCTGGCTGAAGGTTTGGGTGTAGCTACTGGTGTTTGCTAACTGAGCTTTCCCTCATTGTGGGATCACTGCATAAATCTGACTCCAGATTTTTTCCACTGATGTGATTTTAGCAGTTTTGTGAAAAGAGAACAGGATAGTTTTATGTTCCTAACACTGCTTTCTAAATTTCTAAGAGTGCCCTGATTCCTTGGTGGACACCGTTCACTGAACTTAGTTTGTCTTGAAGTGGCCTCATGTTGATAGGATAGTCACACTTTTACACTTCTTGGGGCAGCTGTAGGGACTTAATTGGATTCAGAGTAATCCACATGTGACTGCTTTTCGAAACCGTGCCTTCATTTCTGCAGGCAGCAGCACAGGGATGCTTCAGAGCTGGTGCGTCCTCCGAGCTCACACGAGCTCATTTGGTAGCACGAAGTGGCCACAGGCACGGCAGCTGCTCAGCTCCTTTGTCCAGCCTGGGTCCCAGGACCCGCACTTCCTTGGATGCATCATGAGGGCTTCTGTTTCTTTCCTTGTGGTTTCAGGTTGAGTGTGTTTTGAGTTTTACTAATTATGTCAAGAAGAAAAAACACACTTTTTACAAGCTTGGTGGGATGGGGAGCAAATTGAGTGTCAGAGCTCCTAAATTCAAGAAACTGACTCAGTAAATTTGGTTAAACTGTGGAATTATCATTTGAGGTCATTAAAAAAATAAAGCAAAAAACTACCTTTTCAAAATATCCGATGAAGAGAGCTCTGGGAGAGAACTCAAGTCCTCGATGACTCCCTCTCTGCATATTAGAACATGGAACCCGCAGGGGTGATAGCATGAGAGCGCTGGAGACAGGGTGCGCAACCCCAGCCTTCTGTTTTGACTTGAACCAACAATGGAAACTTTTCCCCCCTTTCATTGCAGGTGTCTCTCCTACTACAGTCAGCTGCAGCTCCTCCCTGGGAGATTGTCAAGTGCTGTTAGTTCACATGCGCCACCTAATTAGTGGAAGTCTTTTGTTTTCCTCCCATTTTTGATAACAATCGCAGAGGGGCAGTGCCCTCAGGGATCCAGGTGGGCTGAGTTTCGCCTGATGGTGCTTCTGTGCTTACTTACCTTTCTAAGTGAAATGATTTAGACTTCAGAAACATTGGAACAGTTGGCAGTTGCTGTAGACTTTTCTCAGCAGAATCAATTAATGTTGGCCTGATGTTAGGTACGTACAAGTTTGATCTCATTTGATCCTGTCATTTCAAATATTTTAATGCAATTTATTTTTTAACTAGGTACATGTGAAGATTTTTTGGCAGCTTAGCGTGGAAACCATTGATCACCCTGCTCTCATTTCTACCTGTTCTGTGTTGGCAAGGGAGAGTGCCCAAATGAGCAAGATATCGCAGCAAAACAGCACTCCAGGGGTGAACGGAATTAGTGTTATCCATACCCAGGCACATGCCAGCGGCTTACAGCAGGTTCCTCAGCTGGTGCCTGCTGGCCCTGGGGGAGGAGGCAAAGCTGTGGCTCCCAGCAAGCAGAGCAAAAAGAGTTCGCCCATGGATCGAAACAGTGACGAGTATCGGCAACGCCGAGAGAGGAACAACATGGCTGTGAAAAAGAGCCGGTTGAAAAGCAAGCAGAAAGCACAAGACACACTGCAGAGAGTCAATCAGCTCAAAGAAGAGAATGAACGGTTGGAAGCAAAAATCAAATTGCTGACCAAGGAATTAAGTGTACTCAAAGATTTGTTTCTTGAGCATGCACACAACCTTGCAGACAACGTACAGTCCATTAGCACTGAAAATACGACAGCAGATGGCGACAATGCAGGACAGTAGACCTCACCCTTTCCAGACTTTAGAGCTTGTGGCTTGAATGTTAAAGGTGTGACCACCGACACCACTCATGTCAATGGCTGAAAGTTGTCCATTTCCATGACTCAAAGACCCATTGGAGGCTATTTTCTGGGATCAGCACTGAAGAGTTGATTAGCTAAAAATGTTAGCCTTGTAATTCGAATATCTGGTTTTAAATGATAGAGGTTTTTGTGGGAATCAAAATCCCCCAAATGTTAAGGTATATGGTAAAAAAAGAAATATCTGGGATCCCGATGTTCTTAATAAATCCTGACTTCCCAAGAAATGCTTCTTTTTTAAGTTGACAAAAGGAATGGGGAACTGGCAGGCCGCGCAGAAGGTTCTTGGTTTTAATGGATAGGCTGAATTGGATTAAGAAAAGTTGAATGCCACCTATGGTAATCTATTTGTGATTTTCTTCTAAATTATGTATTATAAATTCGTAGAGCTATAGAAAGCAATGAGTGTGTAATTTGGAGTGATTTTATATATGGCATAAACTTTGTTTTAACATAATTAGTACTGTTTTCCCCCAAAAGTACAAGTTTTTGAGTAGCAATGTCAGGTTAAGTAAAGAAACTTCATCACATCTTATAGGTAGTGTGTGGCCAATTGACTTAAAAAATACAAATAACATTTAGGAAGCAAATAGATTAAACACAAAAATAAAACTAAAGCATAGGAATTATGTTTTTGAGATACCTTTGGGCTTAGATTGGCATTGTTTTATTCTAAAAACCCAACTCAGTGGTGTAGAGAAACTTGTGTACCAAAATTTTAGTTTCTGCAGATGCTAGTGTTTTTTTGGATACAATTTTGACAACCAAGTTAGTAAACAAAATATCTTAACAGTTTGATGACACAAGCTACTGATGAGGGTTTGGAATATTAATTCAGAAGGTAGTTTCTCTTGTGTTCAAAATAGCTGCCATGGGGCTGTTACTTTTAAAGTCAAAATTTTCTTCTGAAGGCTCATTTTGGTATTTGATCTTAACCAAGTGATTATTAGAGAAATGTATCAACTCCATGCCATCTCCCAAAATAATTGTCTAAGAAAACTTGAAAGTGTAAGGTTTTAACCTTTAATTTATTTCTCTTAAATACATCTTTTGATATTGTTGTTGTGACATTTCTTTTTCTGGTTAGTGGGCTTTCCAGACTTTGTACCACTGCTTCTGTTTATTCATTTATATGCTTTTGTGTCCCATAAATTATTTCAGAAAATGCTGATAAAACTCAGGATATTGACATTTTTGTTGAGACTAAAAAATGGCAGTCGCTAAAGTAGGGACTCTAGAGTCTGGCTTACGTCAGTGTTGGTAGTTTAGATTGTCTTTGTCAACGTTTTTTCTTCTCTCTTTTGCTTTCTTTTCTTTCTCTTTTTTTCTTAGCACAGTTCTAGCTCAAATTTGTGTATTTTTTGTGTGCCTGGGCTGGAGATGAGAGACTGAGTCATAACTGATTTAAAAGTTTGTGTTATCAGGTATCTTATTTGAACATGGTCATTTTTGGCCACATTGCTGTTTCATACTAGGACTTGGGATGATGTAGCCAGAATAAAACTCAAGTTGCACCCTCCGGTTGGTGGAAGATTGCTGACCGTGCCGTTTCTGGGCAGGAGAAGACATCATGGTGTCCAGCAACTCAGCAAAGCCATTCTTAAGAGTCGTGAGGTCCTTCTGAATGTAAAACTGGAGCCCAGGAGAAGCTGTCCCAGGAGGGCTGTTAACTCCCTATAGAGCCAGGAGACAGGATAGGGGTTTCTAGGGTCCAACACCAGCTTACCTTGGAGTATGAATCTACCCATGAAGGATGAGAGATGTTTTGAAAAACTAGCCAGGACACACCCACAGGATCCTACTGGCTCCTTAGCAGCTGATTGGTGTTACATAATTAACTTAATTGGAGATGCATTAGGTCACTTGAATGTATAAGCAAGCACCTATGGTAGGCGCTACAGACATTTAAATCTCTTGGGAATTCGATGCTCCCATGGAATTTATACCAGTTATATGAATTGACTTAAGTATCTTGAAAAAGAAACTTTAGAGAAAGCATCAGGGGTGTGTACTCAGTATTTCAAATCAGAACACAAGATTGGAACTTTTGGAAAAATGGGTTCAAGCTTTCCTATTAGCCATGGAAATGCAAAGTTTAGCAGAAGCAAGCAATTAGGCAGAGAACAAAAATGTTAAGCATGGTGTTGTCTATCTTATTGAAGTGGTTGGAAATGAAAGCTTTTAATTTGATAGATTTATCAGTATAAAATTAGGGAAACCACGTGTGGGGAATGAATCAATTTAGAGCTTCGGGAATTGTGAGGTGACTTTTGTAACTTTTGTTCTGTGTGTGACCTGTGAACCACTAGGATGTGATCTGCCCTTGTGGGCAGGTCCAGCATAGTTAGGAGTTAGGCTTTAGCATAAATTTCTAGCTGCATCTGAGTCTCCTGGGATGGGTGCTCTTTGGCTGGTTTTGGCTGCGGATGGTGAGATCAGAGCAGCTCTTCCTGCTGCTGGCCCCTGCAATCAGTTGTTGGGATGCCAGTGCAGATCACTAAGTAGTAAGATTTTAATCAAACACGACCAGGTCCGAAATGCAGGTCATGAGTGTGAAATTCTCAAATTTACATAAAAAGTAGAAGTATAGACAGTTTAACATTTGGTATTAAAGGAGAGGAAATTGTAGCAGCTTTTCACGTTTCCCAGTCCCCATTAGAGGGCTTGAGACCTTGTACCTGAACAACCCATTTTGCACTCAGTGCTTTCTGATGCCTTAGGAGAATTGTTTTGTTTCACAAAAGCTGGGAAGGAAGAAGTCCATTCTGCAGCTGTTAGATCTGCCTCTCAGGAAAAAGTACTAACTTGTTCTTTTTGTTCCTGGCTTTCATCAGTTTGTGAGATTTCTCTATTTTTTTTAAATATAATTTTATTTCTTTCAACAAATATAAAATAAAAAACAACTTTGGAACAATGACTTGTCTTTCATCGTGGCTTTCTTTATATTAGATACCAAAAAGCAGTCCAGATGTTAAACAGCTGGGAAGCCCAGGCAGGTGCCTTGCTGTCTTTCCTGTTCCCACACTGGACGGCTGGGGGTAGGGGTGGGGAAAGTGGGGAGACAGGCAGAGGTATTTGTGTCCAAGTCTAGATCTCCCCGTTTGCCCTTAGTGGATAGGAAAATAGTTTTCTCTGAACATGGGATACATCTTTAGTTATATTTTTAGTCACTTGGTCTAAACTAAAAATTATACCAGAATAGGGAAAGGAATAACTGAATAAATGGGTTCCCGCTTAATCACCTAGTGTCTCAGAACATGGTTTCCATTTAGAGAGGGAAGAAATTCTTATGTTTCGAGATAGATAGTCAAGAATTTAAAGTAAGGCCTTTCCCCATCTGGAGTTTTGTAGTACATGTGGACACTGTCCTCATTTACGTCATAGAGTGTCTGTAGAGATGAATTTGCTGATTTCATAAACTGTTGAGTCCAGGGAGCTGATGTGAATTGAATATTTCAAGGGAATGCCATTTAAATGCTTTTCTTCTCTGATGCCTCAATTATTTTCATGTCTTGGGAAATAAATCTCTGCTTGCTGCATCTTAATGAAAAGTGGAGGTCAGGAATTATTTCTATGGGAAGTGTGGCCCGTTTCACTTTTTTGAATTAGTTGTGATTTAGAATCCAATAACGTGTCTTGGGGAATTTTACCGAGTGATGACATCTTTGTGAGGGGGGCCGGTCTTTTTCTGACAAAAGCACTTTTAGACCAGCTCATCCACTGCCTGTGCCTAGCCAGAGAGTTCATAAGCGTTTTACAGTTTTACATACATTCAGAGAACACCATTGCCTAGGTATTCTTTTACTGCAGTATCCCACTCCTCACAGAGCTCTAGGCCTGAAAGCTGTATAGAGGCATCTAGAGAAATGGGGGTTATAGAATTGGACTTGGAAAAGGAATAGGATTGTCAGTGAAACAGTCACGCGTTACACTTTTTGCAGCCCAAACGCCACCTCTTGTCCCTCCCTGTAAAGAAGCTGTTAAAACCAGATGCGCTTCCACATCGCCACCTTTCACTTCCACCTTCTAAATGGAGCTCCGGTACCTGTCTGCTTCACCCACCCCGACCCCCATGCAGAGCCATCCTCTTCGCTTGCCTGGACTTGGTGACTGGCTCCTCGTTGGTGTTCCTGGATGGCAGCGTCACTGCCTGCTCTCCAGAACCATCTGTTGCTCCCCATTGCACCCGGGGTGAGACTCAGTCTCCTTGTGTCGTGGCGTTTCCCCTCATCAACTTAATTTCCCTCCATCCTCCTGTGTCACTCTACTTCGGCTCTAGGGCTTTTCCAAGCTCTTTTCTGCCCTTCCTGGGACAGCTCCTTCTGTCTGGAATGAAGCATCTCCTCTGGCTTTTCACTAACAAGTTCCCTCTCTGTCTCAGCCCCCTGGCTGTCTACGCTAAGCCTATCCTGTTGCTTGCTTCATGGCACTTTGCAGTGTTTGAGACAATATATTTGTTCATGCTGGTTTGAGGTGAAGGCCTCGCAGCAGACTAGAGGCTCTGGAAGGAGGGGTCATGTTTGTATCCTGCACTGGCAGAGTAGATGCTCAATTATGTATTGAATGAATACCTAGACACTGAGTTTCAGAAGGGTTGTAGCACACTATACAGCTTTCTGGCGGGGTCTCTAATGGATTTCTGAAGCTACATGAATTTCTGCAGAGGTTAGAAGAGACAGAGTTAGGTACAAACATGGGGGTAGCGGAGGTAGCTACTGGGGCCCTCTAGACCTGTGCTTCCAAAGAATGCCCTTTGAGACAGGTGGAGACTCACGCCTGTAATCCTAGCACTTTGGGAGGCCAAGGCAGGAGGATTGCTTGAGGCCGGGAGTTCCAAGACCAACTTGGCCAACATAGCAAACTCCTGTCTCTATTTATTAAAAAAAAAATTTTTTTTTTAAAGAGCACCCTTTGACCTACTGGCTCAGGAAAAACGTGACCTCTCTGTTCCTAGTGACCCTCTGAAAAGTGTTTAGATAGAAATAAGAGATTTCTCCTTGCTCCTTTTTGTTCACTTCTTGATAATCAGAGATGTTTATGTGGAACGGGCAGCTTTGGTATGGAATGTCTGAAAGGAAGGAGAAAGATGTATGGTGCACTCAGCTCTGTTTCTCAATTAACAGAACTAAACTGTCCATTTTGAGCTTCATCCTGACTTTGAGTGGTTTTATCCTGAAAGTGGTGGAAATTAAAGCCCTGTACACCAGACTGTGTCTGTCACAGGGGAACAGGGGTGGAGAAGTGCTTGGTGAACTCTTCAACTTTCCTTACACTCAGAAGATACTTTTTTTTTTTTTTTTTTTTTTTTTTTAAGAGACAGGGTCTTGCTCTGTTGCCCAGGCTGGAGCGCAGTGGTGCGATCATAGTTCACTGCAGCCTTGAACTGGGCTCAAGCGATTCTCCCACCTTAGCCTCCAGGGTAGGTGGGACTATAGGCGTGTGCCACCACGCCCAGCTAGTTTTTTATTTTTACTTTTTTTAAGAGACGGGATCTCCCTATGTTGGCCCAGGCTGGTCTTGAACTCCCAGCCTCAGACGATCCTTCAGCCTTGGCCTCCCAAGGCATGAGCCACTGCGCCTGGCTAAAAAGACATAATTGCTACTGCTCAATGTCACAGATGGATAGCTTAGGGAATGTATCTGTACCAGCAGAAAACCTTAAAGAATGGATGTTATAAATCTAAGAAGCAGATAAGATAAATGGTGATTTGGAACTGAAATTGGCTTTTATTTTAATGTGACCACTTTATAAGCACTTCTGTGTTATTACCATAGGAAGAAATCAGTTTGTATTAAACTCTTTGGTGACTTTTTTTTTTTTAAAAAGGCAGTCTTGCTTTGTTGCCCAGGGTGGAGTGCAGTAGCATGATCTTGGCTCACCGCAACCTCTGCCTCCTGGGTTCAAGAGATTCTCCTGCCTCAGCCTCCGGAGTAGCTCGGATTACAGGTGTGTGCCACTACGCCCAGCTAATTTTGGCATTTTTAATAGAGATGAAGTTTTGCCATGTTGGCCAGGCAGGTCTCAAACTCCTGACCTCAAGTGATCAAAGTGCTGGAATTACAGGCGTGAGCCACTGTGCTGGCCTTTGGTGACTTCTGAAAACGTCTCTTAAGCTACAGTTTTCCACCCCCTCATCCTCATGGTTTCATCTGTGGCATCCTTCTCACTTGTCATCTTTCACCTTGGCTTGGGAACTCTTGGATGGGAGCTCTGTGAGAAGGCAAACCTGGAATGGTGTACAGAATTCTAGAAACCAGCTCCAGGGGTGGGCTGTTCTGCGGGACCCTGGGAGAACTGGACAAGCAGAGGCAAGGACAGATACTTCACCAGGCATGGCTGGGCCCTGGCTGGCTTCCTGCCTGGTAGAATTTGTTCAAGGACTACACTTAGGGAGGACAAGCGGTCTCTGCAAATTGGCTGTGGCGCTGCCTTCGTTGGCAGTGTCTCCGACAGATGCTGGCTTTGGCTAGTGTGTCCCACATGAAAAAGAAATCAAGGACAAGAGATCCCTGCAAGTCTCAGGTTTTAAATATCTGCAGCTCAAGCGCTACATGATTCTACCACCTTCAGAAATCTAGTTTGGAGGCAGTGACCGTATCAGAAAGACTTGTGTTAAATCAGTCCGCCCTTTAACTTGCGCAAAGGCATGGCGCGGGGTGACTTGGCCAGTCTGACCTGAGTGCCTAGGATCTTCCTGCAGCGTTGCTTGCCCCACCTCAAACCTCGGGCTGCGCTGGTACTGACAAGCTAAAACCACCTTGCCTAGGAGTACTTCTCACACTTGTCTGTCAGGAGCATCTGGCGGGCGCTTGTGAAATACACAATTCCTGGGCCATTGCCCCTAGACGTTGGGTCAGATGGTCTGTGGGGGTCCCAGGAATCTCTTACCAAATGCCCCAGTGGTTCTGATGCCTGTTAGGCTTGGGAAACCTTGCAGCAAGTGACAGGGTGACACCAGAGCCCCGAGTCCCAGGGGCTCAAAGCAGGCTCCTCGGGGAGGACTCTGCCCTTGTCCCGCCAGGCCAGTCTGAGGCAGAAGCAGCCGTTAGAGGGCCTGTGCTGCCAGCACCATCTTCCTGGAACTGACTTGATACTGACACCAGGTGAGCCATCTTTTCAGGGTGCACGGGGTCCCAAATGCTCATCTGCAAAGGAATAAAGGGGAAGCCACGCACAAAGGACCATTTTAGGAAACCTTTTATTGCAAATGCCATTCTGCATATTGATTTTTGACAGAAAGTATCAGAAATGCTTCTTTCCTGGGAAAAGGAATATAAATGACAGCAAGACACATTTTAGTTGCTACTAAAGAACAGCATTATTTTCAATCATTTTAAGTCGCTCATTTAATAAGCAAGGTATAAAACAGATTAAAGGTGGGAGCCTGCAAAAGGGTAATTAAAAAAGTGTTTCCTCCCCGGGAAACAGCACTGTTTGGTCTGATCAAATGCCGAAGCTGGGATCTGATTCTGGGTGCCGTCTCTCGCTACTGGAGTGCTGACCAGCAGGCTGCCCATCACGAAAAGAGGTTGCAAGGCCAGGCCCCCAGGTGCGCTGGGATTTCTGGCTGGCTCTACTTGGGGCCAGAGAAGGGGGTAAAGGCCTTGTCACAGCCTGCCATGCATGCTTCAATCTCTTCCACAGTGCGGGGCACGCAGGTCAGCAGCTCTATGCCGCTGTCAGTCACCACGACGTCCTCCTCGATGCGGACCTGGGTCAAGCCGACAGACACACATTATCATAGAGCAGCCTCATGTGCCAGGCTAGAGGGCCGGGCCCATTCCAGGCCCACCCCACCATGGGATGGGAGCAGCTGACACTCCCTGGGAGACGGGTGGCCTCCGGGCTCCTTCATGGAGCCATCTGCCCATGTCACCTGCTCACCCTGTCTTTGCCAGGTGGATGGGAGCCCCTGGAGCGGGCAGGGGTTTTGCAGGATCTCTGTCTGTTCCTACTGAGGGGTGAGGCTCCATCCTGTGACAGACCACACGAAGGGGCAGGCTAAGCCCACCTCAAGGGAAGATGTCACTAGGGCCCCTGTCTTGGGACTAAGGAGTCTGCAGCTGCAGTGGAGGTGGCAGATGTTCTGGGAGCAAGAATGGGGCCCGTGGGCACTCACCCCGCCAAAACCGCGAAAGCGCTGCAGGACCTCGCGGTTAAGGAAGGAGGCGCGGGCCGGGTCCGCCAGGGCCTCATCCAGGAGGTGGTCGATGAAGTAGATGCCCGGCTCCACGGTGAGCACCATGCCTGGCTGCAGGTGCCGTGCAGTGCGCAGGCTCCGCAGGCCGGGCTCGTCGATGCGCTCCACGCCCTGTGGGGAACAGAGGTGAGGGGCCTGATGAGCAGCTCCAGGGCTCACCGTGGCCTCATCAGGAGAGATGGGCATGTGAGGGCCGGTGCCAGTCTCGTGGGCTCTCTTGACCATTGGGGTCCTCAGCCTAGACTCGCCCCTGCTGTGCTGGGCCATGGGCACCCTGATAAGACCTTCCACCCTGCACATACCCCTGGATCTTGAGTGTCCCTGGCCACACTACCCTAGGGCTTGCTTGAGAAGCCCTGTGGCCACCCATGTGCACACACCCGGGGCAAGCTGCCCAGACAGGCCTGTGGGGCTGGCTGAGGGTTGGGCTGCCCTTAGCCAGGCCCCGCTGCTGGCCAGAGGAGTGGCAGATGCCAAACCACTGAAGCCAAAAAAGCTCTTAAGGCGGCTGTGAAGCCCCTTGGGGCCACAGCTTTCCTTCCAGGCAGCCCAAGTAGAAACTGGCCCCAGAAGTCGTGGTCCCAGCTCCCCTAGGCCGAGGCCCAGATTTTCCGTGTGACTGTCCAGGGAGGACAGGTGCCGTCATCAGGGTGGGTCTGCCAGCCTTAGTGCGCCAGTGCAAATGTGCCGTGTGCGCGTGGCTTGGCAGGTGTGGCTCCCAGAGGAGAGCTCGGGGCCTTACGGCAGGGCCCTGGGAAATAGCCCCCAGCCTTGGAGAACGCCTGAGGGACAGTGGTAGAGCCGCTCCCTGCAGGGGCCCCTGTCTGCGCCCCACACTGCCCCAGTGCACACCCAGCCTGGCCTTGTCCACTCACAGGCACAGCTGAGGGGGCCTCAGCTTGGCTGAGGGCAGCGGGTGCTCTGGGAATTACAGGAGAGCTCCTGCTCGCCTCAGGTCCCCGGGGCACCATCCGGCCGGCGGCCAGGGCCTCTGAGCCAGTGGGCACGAGTATGCTTTCTGGTCAGGGGATGAGCCTGCCCTGCCCGGCTGCACTCCCTCCCCAGGAAGCCCAGCTGCTGGAGCGGGAGCTGTCATTTCTGACTGTTTGGGGGCCAAGAACATCAGACTCCAATTAGCAGTTCACGTAAGGTAACCAGAAACAGGCTGGCTCGGCCTCCACGCTGGGCACGGCCAGAGAGGCTGTGACTGATTCCACGGAGGGCAGGGACAGCCACGCTGACCTGGAGAGAGCAGGCCAGGCGGGAGGCGATGAGGAGACACCACAGCCTGGCTGGTGTGGCCCCGGCCCCACAACACTTGCCTCTGGGCCGCTGACCGGGAGCTGAGGCCGGAGGGCAGGGATGCCCCGTGGCTGAGGAACCGTATGGAGTGACAGTCCCTCTGCGCAGGTGAGAGGTGCATGTGGACCGAGCTGGGGCCTGTCTCCTGCCCAGAAGCTGCTGGGGGTCCCAGGGTCTCTGCTCCAGGACCTTCCCGTCCCTGTCATCCGAAGCCTGTGCTGGGCTCCCCCACCCCACCGCCGCCCATCCCTCTCCTTCATGCTATTCCTGAAGTGTCCGTCCCTGTCTCCACCCACAGCAATCGAAGCCAGGGGCCTGGGGGAAGCAAGGGCCTGCCAACGTCAGGTTTCCTTCCTTCCAGTCACCCCTCCATCCCCATGGGCCCACCCCGGCTGCTCCATGGTACACGGTTGAGGGGCAGGTTTGTTTCCCCAGAGAAACGAACTTTCCTCCCCTCTGAAATCTTGAGGTCCACCACTGAAGTGGGGTGGGGGAGATTAGAAGGGATCCCCAGCGGGCACAGGGCAAGGCCTGCCTCAGCCCAGTGGCGCAGCTGCCCCTTCAGGGTGTTGGCTCTAGGGGCCTGCCCGGGGGACCTGCTGAGAACAGGGCGCAGGCGCCATAAGAGAATGGGAAGGGCTGGGCCGGGTGGAGCGCAGAGCCATGTGGGGAGGGCACGAGCCCCTGTGGCCCAGGAAGCGCAGCCTTCAGGGGTGGGGAGGGGTCCTGCCCTCACCGCGCCCATGCTCGCCTCTGCCTGGGCACAGGGCTTGACAAGGCCTCAACTTTTATTGGGCTCCAAGCAGAGGAGCCCCAGATGTGTCTGCAGGCCTGAAATAAAACAAATGACTTTTATAGGAAAAGCCATATTTTTTCCACAATGTTTATCTGTCAGAAGAATAGACTCTGAGCACAAAGAGGTGCTTACTGGAAAAGATGAAAACAGTTTGCTGCCAATTTTTGCTGGTGGAAAAAAAGCGCTTTGGCGACTAATGAATAACGAACCTCAGCTAACAATGTCTGGAAGGCCCAGCTCTTGGCTCCCTGCACACAATGGGATGAATAGACATTAGGAAATTAAAACTGATTTTGTTTCTCCAAATTTAACTGTTTACACTTGAGGAAAAAAATAATTGAATAATAATGCTTCTCTTAAGCAATTCCCCCCACTGCCCCCACCCTGCCAAAAAATCATTCTTAGTGCTTTCAAAACACCCTGCAGCCAAGAGGCTGAGCCTTGTCTTGGCTAACTGGCTGGGGGGCCCCAGGGCGTGCACGATTGCACAATCAGCCCCCTGCATTGGGCAGCCCGCCAAGGGCAGGGATGGGAGCGCCCCAGCCGCCCAGCCGAGAGGCCGTAGCCACCTGCCCGGTTGGGCCTCCCCAAGCCTCACTTACCCTCTGGGTGGTCCTCTGAGGGCCGGGGAACCTTGTCTGGAGATGGCCCCCAGCCTCCCTTATCTGCCAACGGGCCCCAGAATGCCTGGGGATGAGGAGGCTGCAGGGTCCCAGGTGTGCGGCCCAGGGGCCTGGGAGGAGAGGGCGAACCAGCGGCAGAGCAGGGCTGCTCCGGGTTTGTGAGGGGCCAGGGTGAGTCGCCAGTGGGTGGGGCCTCATCAACTCCCCACGCCCCAGGTCTGAATGAAGCCAGAGGCGGCAGGACGTGAGGGGTGCCACGTAGCTCCATCACGAAGACCTGTCCTTAGCACCACTGTCCTGTGGGGCCCCATGCACCGTATCCTGACTGTGTGCCACCTTCTGGACAGGTGACACCTGGGCCCAGCAGGCAGACAGCACCGCCTCTATGTCCAGTTCTGTGGAATGCTCACAGATGCACCCCTGTCTTGGCCAGGGTCCCGATTCCCCCCTCCTCATGGCCTCCGTATACCACAGGGAGCCATGGGGCCCATCCCTGCCATCCCAATACACGCCTGCTGCCTCCTAGAGTCCCACCCTGCCCTGGGGGTCAGGCTCAGCGGCAGCTGATGGGCAGGCCACTCCGCCTGCCATGTCCACACTGACCTCTGGGTAGCCTCCCACGTCGTGCACGTCAATGCCCAGGAAGTGGCCAAGCCCGTGAGGCATAAACACGGCCCCCAGGTGAGCCTGGACCATGGCGTCCACGCTGCCGCTCAGGATGCCCATGTGGGCCAGCTCCTCCAGGTGGATGCGGTCAGCCAGGCGGTGCATGTCAGGCCACCAGACACCTGTGGGCCAGAGGGAGCTGCCGTGAGCCACAGAGCCCAGCAGCCAACACCGCAGGGCCAGGGGCTGGGAGATGTGAAGCCCTCACACTGGCTGTGGTGGGAGGGCCTGAGGTGGGGGGTGAGGGGGCAAGGGTACTACATCGGGGGCCCAGGGGGACAAGGACTAGGGTGGCCCCCCGTGCTGGGCTTTCCCAGCAAAAGCTCTGGCCCTCGGGACCCTTCTTGTCCCTCCATTCTGCCTCTAGGGGCAGGTTCCTGTCACCTGTAGCCAAGGGCCCAGCCTGGGTCTACTCTGTAGCCCATGGTGTGTCCACCCTGAACAGCCTATGCTTCTGGGCCCAGGGAAACCTAGCCAAATCCCTGGGCACCAGGAGAAACATGCACGTCTCCCCAGTAGCAGACACCAGGAGACTCTGTGGGCTCTGGCCCTGAGGCTCAGACCCAAACCCTGGCTCAGAGCTCCGATGGGGTTTTGCTGCTGTGGTGCAGTGGGGAAGCCCGAGGCTGAAAAGAGGGGTCCCTGCACATCCCAGAATGGGGATGAAACACCCCTGGAGCTGCTGCAGGGAGCAAAGGTTTCTGGGGAGAAGGTGCGGCTGGCACGGCCCCACGAGCTGGCTGGCAGGGGTTCGGGGCCCCGCCTGCCAACAGCAGGGGCACCATCTCCAGGGGAGCCAGATGTCCAACTCCCGGCTTCAAATCCAACTCATCTCTGCCGCATGTTTGTGGGGCAAAGGCCACCAAAGAGAGAACTTCCTAAGCACAGAGCTTTGGGGGCCACACAGGCTCTGTGGGGCTCTGGAGCATGGCCGCTAGGAAGGAGGCCCTTAGAGAGCTCTCCACGTAGAGCCTCAGCAGCCCACGGGTGCGCCCGTCCCATCCCCGGACTCTGTGGAATCCCAGCATCAGCCTCTCCTCATGGTAGCTTCCACTGCTGGACTTGGCTTGAGCACCAGATAAGGACTCGAGGCCGGTGAGGCCTCCTGCCCTGGCCCCATGGGGGCTGGGTTTGGGCAGGCCACGTGCTGGCAGAGGCCGGGGCCCCAGGACACTCTGGCCAGGCACGTGGCGGGGGGCCCCTATCAATGTGCAGCTCACTGGCTGGAGAGGGCGCCCAGCAAGTCCCTGCGGCACCTCCTGGAGAGGTCCAGCCCCACCAGGCGGAGTGACCTTGGCTCCCGAGGGCCTCCCTGCCAGGCTTGCCTTGGCGCAGAGCCAGAGCCTGCTCTGCATGGTCCCGATCACTGCTGTGGGAGGGGCCGGGGAGACCCTGAGCTGGCGAGGGCTGGGCTGTGAGAAGCAGGGTTCTGAACCTCTGTGGCTGGCGGAGGGCAGATGATGGGCTCGGCTGGCGAACAGGGATGAGAGTCCACACTGGGACACAGGCCATCACCCCCGACACACTGGGCACAAGTCCTTCATGTTGGGACCCCTTTAAGTGCCAGAGTTGGCCACTGTGGTGCTGGGGTCTCAGGCGGGCTGGGGGTGCACGGCTTTGGGCAGGCAGTATGGCTGTTGCCCGCCATTCACAGCACAGCGCCCCAGCCACGGCAGCAGCCTAAGGGTGGCAGGGGTGGAGATGCCCAGACCTGCCCCCACCCCCCACACAGAGCAGGGATCCTCCTCAGAGCCCAGCTCCCCATCAGCCCAGCCTCCTAGGGGCTGAGGTGGGGGCGGCCGTCCCGGGGTCTGGGGTCTGGCGTGGGGGAGGCCGTCCCGGGGTCTGGGGTCTGGCGTCGGGGAGGCCGTCCCGGGGTCTGGGGTCTGGGGTCTGGCGTGGGGGAGGGCCCGGGGTCTGGGGTCTGGCGTGGGGGAGAGCCCGGGGTCTGGCGTGGGGGAGAGCCCGGGCAGACCTGGGGCAACTCTGGCTGCAGCTGCCCTGTATCTGGGGCAGCCCTGGGCACACACACCCCTGGCTGGCCCAGCCCGCACCCCTGGCTTTTCTGAGGGGCACAACATCCCGGAAAAGGACACCTGGATAACTGCAGCCCACTTGGCCGCTCCCCCGCCTCCGTGAGCCTCAGCTGCCGCTGGTCAAACAGCCCCACCTCCGTGAGCCTCAGCTGCCGCTGGTCAAACAAACAAACAGCCACAAGGCAGGCCCCGGGGGGTTGCTCTCAGAGCCTCTGTGTCACCTGGGGGCTGGAGGCAGCACCCCGGACAGTGGCATTGGCCACCATTCCTCCATCGCGCATGACCAGCCAGCCCTGGTTCCACACTTGACATTCACTTGTTCCTGGGGGTGTGCGCCAAGCCTGCCCAGCCTCTGCTGCTGCTCTTCTCTGAGAACCCAGCCCGGACAATCCTGGCCCACCTCGCCCTTCCTCTCTGCTGCTGCATCCTCCAGAGGCCAGACCACCCCAAGGCACACAGGCCGTTTTACCTCAGGCCCTTTGCTATGGCCTGTGCCAGGCCTTGACCTGTGATGCCTCATCCAAGGGGTCTCTGCATAAAAGCTGTCCCCTCTCAGAGGAGACCTTCCTGCCTTGCTGTCCCAGGCCTGGTGATTTCTCCTTGCACGGTCCATCCAGCCTGCAGCCGTCCCCTGGACGGATCTGCTCGTTTGCTTCTCATGTCTCACTCCGAGGGTGGGGGTCTCCCGAGGGCACCGCTGGGCCTGGCATAAAGTGAGTGCCCCTCAGGTCTCCCAACAGCCTGCAAAGTTGGCACATGGGGCTGGGAGGCCTCCTGTGAGTGGCTCGTGCCCCAAGCCCAGCTCAACTGCTTCCTCTCGGACGCGCCCTTCTCTGGTCACCAAAGGGGAGCCCCGGGAAGTGCAGCCAGCTTTCCAACCAGGCTAACTTCAGCAGTGGGCTACGTTCTTGGCCCAGCCTCCGCAGAGGGCGGGAATCAGGTATAAATCATGCTCTGCGGTGGCCCTTCCCGGGGGCAGGCCCGGCGCCGCCCAGATGTGCCGGCCCGGGGGTCCCCTTGGCGCCGCTGGTCTTCCTTGCCTGTGCACCCTCGGGGAAGGCCTTGCACACAGCTCTCTTGGCCGGGAGCAGGGAGTTTCTGCCTGTGTGTGGTTAGGGTTGTGACAGTGATTCAACCTCCAGCAACTTGGCCCCAGCCTCTGGCCCGGATGGTGGTTACGACACCCACCGCCTGGGCGGGGGCCCCTGGAGTGTGTGAGGGTCACTGTCCTTGCACTAGGCTGGCAGGGTGGGCACCAACTTGAGGGTTCCCTTGCTGGCCTGGGCCCACTCTCAGGCTCCTCCCACCCTGGCAGCCTGGAGACACCGTCAAGCTCTCTAGTCCAGGCTGGAAGGCACCCCCGGCCCCTAGCCAGCCTATACCCAGATGCCACACTGAGAATCACACAGCAGAAATTGGGCACCAGCTGCCCTGCGTGCCCCAACCCCCAGCAAGCACCAAACCTCATTCTGGCTTTCCCGAAGCACCCCTGCACCTGCCCCACCCCTCCTGGAGTCTGCCTGGCTCCCTCCTCCGCTGCACACCCCTTGGATGCCTGGGCCATCTCTTTAGAACGAACGGGGCAAACAGGGCCATTCCCGGCCCCGGACGAAGCCCAGGTTCTCAGCTTGGCCTGGTCTCCAGCCTCTCCCTCACCCACTCCTGGGTGGGGTGGCTGGACCAAGGCCACGGGTCCCAAGAACTGGCCCTCCCTACCTGCTGTTTCCTTAGCTGGGGCCACCTCCTCCAAGCCCGTTTTCCCAGATGTGCTCCCATTCCTCCTGTGGGCCTCTGTGGTGAGGCTCCTCCTCCAGGAAGCCCTCTCTGATTACCCCTTCCTGTACTTTGAGAATTCACGGAACACACAGCACAGCTGGGCCTGGTTATGACCTCTGGGCCTTGCAAGGGTGGTGCCCGTACTCTGCTCTGTGCCTGGCATGCTGCGGATGCTTGGTAAACGCCTGGAAGGAGAGGAGCCCCAGCTTCTCTCATGGCTCTCCTGCAGCCAGTGTTGTGCCCCATCCCCCACTCCTCTGTGTACTCAGACCCTAGAACGGGCAGGGTGGCCTCTAGGTTAGTGTCCCATCATGCGCCTCATGAAATGGCAGGGCTCAGAGGAACAAGCCCCGCTGCTCCTGCCACCCAGGCCCCAGGTGTGGCCAGCGTAGCCCCTGAGTGGTCTTCTGGGTCCACTTGGTCTCCTCAGGCAGCACCCGCTCCTGCTGGGCCTAGGGCCCAGGCCAGCTCCTTGGAGCCTCAAAGCATCCATCACAGCCCCGAGGCCTCCTACCCGGAGTGTGACAGCCCCAGGGGGCTCCCGGGCCTGACCGAGCTACAAAGGCAGCATCCTCAGAGCTGCCTCCAGACAAAGAGCGCACTTCATCTGTGGAACATGGCCCTCGGGATGGATGGGTGTGAGCCAGGCTCTAGGGGTGTAGGACAGCAGGCTCCGGCCGGGGTCCCAGGGCAGGCCCTGAGGGCTGGCTGAGCTGGCACGGGGCTGAGGACCTCCAGCTCACCCCACCCTGCACGGGACGTGAGTAGAAGAACCCCATCTGCTGCCAGAAATTCTGGGGACCCACTCACCCTGCGTGAGAGCAGGGTGCTGTGTTGGCCCAGGCTGCTCCTCGAGTCTCCTCCCCCACACCCTGGCAGAGTGCCCCGAGGAGTAAGAAGAGGCCAAGGAACTGGCTCACCATTGCGGCCGGCAGGAGGGGTGGACATGGTGCCCACACTGAAGACAGTCCTCCCCGTCCTGGCACCTGCCGCAGAGGGTATCTATGACTGGGGTGGCACATGGCCGCCATGCCTATCTGCCTGAGCCCTGCACTCCACGCCGTCTCGGAGGATGAGGACTGACAGGAAGTCTAGCTGCTGGGCCCCTGCCCCTGGCGCTGGCTGGGAGGGGAGCAAAGCTGGCAGAGGTGCCCCCTGACCACGGGGCCACAGGAGACACATGCCAGGTGGGCCGGGGCAGGTGCTGCTGGGCCCCTCTCCCAGCCACCTGGTCATCCCGCGCCTCAGTGCCCCTCTCTCGCCCCGTCAGGACTGTTTTGGAGGTGGGGACACTTCCTGCCACTTCTTTCCCCTCCTCTGACCTCACATTGGCAGCACCCCCGTCACTCACAAGTGGCCAGGACCCTGAGGGCAGGGACAGAGCCAGGAGCGGGGGAACGAAACACAAAAGAGCTCATGAATCGTGGGCCACCATTGCTGTTCCAGGTTGATAGGAGCTGGGCCCCCAGTGACAGGGGCACAGGAGGCTCCTGGGTGAGCACAGGAAAGAGTAGAGAAAGGCGGGGAGGCCAGGGAGGGTGGGGGGGTGAGGAGAGAGGGAGCTGGGTCGGGGCTGGGAGGCGAGGCTACAGGAGGCTCTGGGGCTTGCAGGCGGAGGGCATGGGGCCCTCAGTGCTGGGGTCCTCTGGAGCTCCAGGGTGGCTGCAGGGACTGAGCCCGCGGGACAGGGACAGCTGTGCTGCTTCTAGGAACAGCCTTCCTGCTGTGGCTGTGCCAATGCAGACCCTGACTCAGGGCCACCCTGCCGGGCTCGCCCATCCGTCCCAGCAGCGCCTCCCCCCATTCCCCTCACCATGCATGCAGGGGTCTGCATGGGGTGGGCAGCCTGCCCCAACACAGGAGCCGCGCTGAGCTTGGATCCCACCCAACCTCCCGTGCATGGCACTCCCCGAGGTCCTGCAGCTGCTGGGCCTGCCCTGCCACCCGCCTGTGGACTCCCAGCCGCCAGGGTAGGGTCTCCGTCTGAGCGAGCGCAGCCTCCTTCCTCGCCGACTGTGAATGACAGTGAGGAATGCTCCCCCACCAGCCCTAGGATCAGGGGCCAAGGCCTGCATTCCTCAACCCCCCAGGGTCCTGACCATTCTTTCCTGCCTCTCCTTTGGGCTTAGCTATGGGGTTTCCTGCTTTATTTACTCTCCCTGGAAGGTCACAGGATGCAGTCGGGCAGTCTCGGTGGGGTGTTTGTCTTGGCCCAGGAATTGAACCCACGAACCCAGGGCATTTCCGCTGGGACAAGGCAGGGGGCTGACCTGGCCACGGCCTCCTCGATGCTACGGGAGGCGACCTGCCCCATCCGGAGGGCAGCTCTGTGGGCCCAGGGCCTGCCCCACGGGCCTTCACTGTGTGTGATCCAGATGGAGTCCGACTCTGCCCTTGGGGGACACCAATGCCACACAGCTCAGTGTGGGTGGTAGGTGTGGGGGGGCTGCTGGGGGGCTGCTCCATTCCCTTACACAGGGATCCTCCAGACCCCAGGCTGGGTCTGGGCAGCAAAGCCCAGTGGTGGGTGGGAGCGGGGCTGGGGGAGGACCTGCCTCCCATGGTCTGAGATGAGCCTAGCTGGATTTGGCCTTGTGGCCCCAGACACCCCTGCCAGGCCTGAGGCCTGTGCCTGCCCCAAGAGTCAGCATGAACCAGGCAGCACCACGGGATGGGAGACCCAGCTCAGGCCTTTCTCAGTGCCACATGGGGCCTGGGGACTTGCCCCGAGGTCTGGCCACTTTCTGGACAGAATTGGGGCTGCTGAGTTGGGCCAGGGAGCTGGCCAGGATGCCAGCTGTGGAGATGCCACCCAGGTCCTGCCCAGGCCGCAGCAGGCTTTCCTGCAGGTGAGGCCAGCCAGGGCTGGGCCATCCCTGGTTTCAGCACAGGAGACTGAGGGGTAAGACAATGGCTTTCCCACCGAACACCCCCCAGGCCTTGGCCCCTATGCTGCGTCAATCCGCCGCCCTGCTCCCCGTGGCCTGGTGCTACCTCTGGCACCCTGATGGGCCCGGCACTGCCTGCTGACCAAGCTGAGCTCCTCAGCCTGATGCTTGGGTGTACAGGGTTGCTGGGCTTGGTGGGCCCCCGCCCCTCACAGGCTGCAAAGCTCTGCTTCGCCGCTGGGAGGCTCAGCCCCTTGCAGCCTGGGGCTCTGACTTTCTGGACATCTGGATTTCACGACTGCCCGTGGATGTCTGACACTACCACTTGATGTGATGGTGACACAGTTCGCAATGACACAGCCCACCTTGGCACAGCTACAGAGTGGGAGGCCAGCCCTGTACGTGAAGGGTGTCTGAGAGACTCTGGCCCACCTGAGAGGCTGTGCCCGGCGGAGGGCTCTCCGTGGAGGGTACAGGAGCTGGGCTCACAGATACTAGGTGAATACACCACAGGCCACGCTCACCTGCCAAATCCTCCTGCTGGATCTGAAACACTGATCATTCATTCGAGTGACTAGTGGTATTTAAAACTGAGCAAGAAATTCTCATCCCCAGAATGAAGGAAGGAGAAGGAGTGGCGCCCCTGGGCGACTGCTTCGTGGAGGCTGGATTGGATTTGACAGCTAACGGGGGATGCTTCCCATGGCTGAAGAGTCAGAAAGAATAAGAAGGGACGCAGCAAGCAAACTGTCCCGTCCCTTCCTGCACCTCCTTTATGGTTTTCACAGGCGCACGGGAATTCACGCTCTCACTCCCTCTTCCTTTTACCCACAAGGGCCCGCTGGCCATACCCTCTGGCGCTCTTCTGTCCTCACCCACCCATCTGCCTGGAGACACCTGTATATTCATACTCAGGGGTGGCAGCTCCTTTTTGTTTGTTTTTTGAGACAGGGTCTCACTCCATCACCCAGGCTGGAGTGCAGTGGTGTGATCTTGGCTCACTGCAACCTCCGCCTCCTAGGTTCAAGCGATTCGATTCTCGTGCCTTGGCCTCCCGAGTAGCTGGGATTACAGGCATGAACCATCACGCCCAGCTAATTTGTGTAATTTTAGTAGAGACAGGGTTTCTCCATGTTGCCCATGCTGGTCTTCAACTCCTGACCTCAAGTGATCCGCCCGCCTCCCAAGTGCTGGGATTATAAGTGTGAGCCACAGAGCCCGGCCTGCTGCTTTTTAAGCAAAGCAATTCCGCAGAAAATGCTGTTTTCCTCGGCAGCTGCTAAACCAGGTGAGTCCGATCAGCGCTGTCACCCCATCACAAGCTTATTGACTTTTGGATTTTCTGTCCTGTCTTCCTTTTGGGGCACATCTGGGGTCCCCCTGCTTGCACTCATGCGTTTGTCAAGCTCTGTTCCTGTTGGATGCGTGAAGGTGTGGGGCTGGGGCCTGGCACTGCCCCCAGCGTCCCTCCGCGGCTCCTCAGCCTCTGGTGGGGGCTCTGGAGGCTGGACTGGGCACCATCTGCAAAGGCCTGCCCACAGTCTGCCTCCTCTGAAAGCGACGGTGGCTGAGGGCCCCTCTGAAGCACACTTGGGCCGGCGATCGAGGCTGCAACTCATCCCAGCAACGGGCTGTGGGGCCGCAGGGACTGCTCAGTCGACCGCCGAGCCATCAAGTTCTGAGGCCGCATTCTGGAGGCTCCAGATCTTTCTTTCTTCTTTTTTCCTTGAACACTGAGGGCGCACTTGGCAGCTGCCAGCTCTCTGTGGGTCCTTAACAGAGGGCACTCCATGTCTAACTAGATGCCACGGTCCAGAGCTGGCCAGGCCCGCTCTGAAGTGGACTCTGCCTTGGGAGAGCAGGGGTCTATCCTTCGCCTGTTTGGGGCTTAAGTAAGGTACCTGGCCAGCAGGCGGCAGAGCTGGGGCTGGGCTCGGGGCACTCTGGGTCTGGGGCCTGCATCCTGGACTCTGAAGCCTTGCGCTACTGGGCTATCCCCTCTGCCCGCGGTAAGCCCACCTGGCTCCTGGAGGACGCCTGAGCTCCCCTACACAGGGGGCTGCCTTGGGCCTGCCTGTCTCTCTGGAGGTCTGTATAGCTGTGGGTGAGAGGCAGTGGGCGAGGGTGGGGGCAAGCTGGGGGGGCTGGACTATGACCTGGGCATGGCCAACACGAGGTGATCTCTGACCTCGACCCAGATGGAGGGACTCCAGGCTGCAGAAGGTGGCTGGGGCCTGTGTGCTGAGGGCGGGCCCTGGCCAGACGATCCAGCTGTGAGTACAGGGCCATTGTCCTGTGCCACTGCAGCCCTGGCCCCAGCCCAGACCTGATTTTCCACCTCTGTGAATTTGTGGCAGCCCCAAATGACCGAATTGGCTGGAGACTGTTCTGTTGCTTATAACCAAAGATGCAGAACCTGCGTGCCTTGGGGGGCCAGCTGTGCCTGGGCCGGTGTGGGCAGGGAAAGCCCCTCTGCGCTGCAGGCTGGACCCTGGCAGCTGCCGAACAGATCTCAGTCAGAGTCGTGGGAGCCATGTGCCTGTAGAGGGCCAGGCCTAGGGGTTGGCCAGCACATGGTGATCCCATAGGAACCTGCCCAGGCTCTGGTGAATCCAAGGATTACGGCAGGGGTGCTGTGTTGAAGCCCTGGAAGGCTTGAAGCAAGAACATGAGAAGACCACATCCCTCAATTCTCTCCTCTGGGCAAAGGTGACAAGCCAGGACCTCCCATCACTGCTGGGAAATGGTTTCTATTGTTGCAGGGCAGAGAGCTGGGGTTCGATCCTGTGGGTGCTAGACTCCACCCCTGCCAGGGCTATGGAGGACCCAGGGGTCACTCGGCAGGAGGCTGGCTGAGCGGGATGGGGACAGCGGGAGGTGCCCAGGGGGAACTCCTGAAAGCTGGCCTTGTTGGGAGGATGCTGGCTCCCCTCCAGGGGACCTCCTCTGCCTGCCCTGACAGACATCAACGGCGCGCGGTGGGAGGTCAAGAGGTACCAGTGGGGCCTGTGCAGGCTGCCTGGGGTTGGGAGGGCTGAGGGCAGGACAGGTTGGCCTACGCTGGCCGCTGGGAGAGAGAAACACCAGGCCCATCCTGGCCTCAACATGGCCATCATGGTGGTGACTGTGACCCCTGCAGGGCACTACCACAGGCCAGGCGGCCTTGCAGGTGCTTTACACAGCTTAACTCAGTCTCCATGAGTCGGCTGCTTCCCCATTTACAGATGTGGAAACGGCCACCCAGAGGAGGGCTTTCCATCCAAGGTCACAGAGCGCTGAGCGGCACGTGAACCTGCTCTGACCCCATGCCAGTGTCCAGAGTGGGTTGAGCCCTCCCTGGAGTAGACACCGCTTAAGGACAAAGCAGGAGACAGGCTGGCGTGCTAGTGGCCAGTGGAGATGCGCAGGTGGAGGCCAGCAGACCGGGGAGCCTTGGCCTGAGCCCCGCAATTCCTGGTTCTGTCTGTCCCTGCCTGGTGGTCAGCCTTGTTTCCTAGGAGTGACCCTGGAGACCTGACGCCACTGGAATCTCAGGGACTAAGCATCTGGAGTGTGGCAGATTCAAGTCACACAATGCAGACCCGTTCCCTGCAGGCACCTGCCACATAGCAGCGCCCCCAACGCCACGTCAGATGCGCCTCCCCCCACCGACCCGCTGCTCACCTGGCTTCATGGCACCCATGACGGCACGGGAGCTCCGCAGCACTGCCTCATAGACGGCCTTCTGGTCTGCAGTGAACTTGCCGTTGGCGGGAAAGGAGCAGGTGATGTCGGAAGCGAAGCAGTAATACTCACCGCCCATGTCGAACAGGCTGCGGAGAGAGGAAGGCAGGGCAAGTGGGTACTGGGGTGCCACCGCCCCCTTACCCTTACCGCTCCCCACCTGCCCTGGACTCGAGGGCAGCTGGCCCGGGTCCTGGATGCAACTCCCCCTCACAATGAGACCGGTGTGGGGAACTGCCACCTGGTGTCTCCCACGGGTGCGTGGGCAGCAAGGAAACCCGAAGCCATCCTGGAAGACCTGTGTCTTCCAGGGAAAAAGGGACTCAGGGCTCAGCCCAGGCAGGGAAGGCTGAGGGGAGTGGGGCTGTCCTATGCAGATGACACCCACCCCTGTGGCCTGGCCTCCAAGAGCTCAGAGCCATGGAGAATTGTTTGGAGAACTAAGGAGAGGCAGAGATGCCCCAGGACCCCGCCCGCTGCCTGGCCTCCACCCGGCACCCCAACAGGCTCTCCCAGGTCTCCCTGCACCCAGCACAGAGCACAGGCTGAGGCCGTGCTTGTGGGAAGCAGAGGAGGAGGGGGCTGGGCAGGGACCCCGGATGGGATGCACGGCCTAGAACTCCGGGCCTGAATCACACCACCTGCTTCTTCCAGGACCCAGAGCATCTGGGCAGACACTCAGTCGGCGGCTAGGGCCTCTGGCTCTGCTGCAGCTCTGGGGCCCCCTAGCTGGAGGGGTGTGCCCGACACTACCCCTCTGCCCATGGGGATGGGACGGACATATTCTGCCAGGGCCCAAGGGGAGGGCAGGGAGGAAGTGCCAGACAGCCTCATGTCCAGCAAGGCTTTCCCAGGGCCTGCTGGCCACATGTCCCCGAAGCCAGGTGGGCCCCCTCACCCTGTCCACCTGCACCCTGGCACCCTCCGGTGGCAGGCAGAGACCAGCAGGACACAGGCAGGGGCGTGGAGAATGGGGCAGAGGTGCCAGCTGTCCAGGACGGGAGGGGCCTGGGGGCCAGCAGAGAGGCAGGATGGCATGGGACAGATGGCGTGGGACAGACAGTGTGGGACAGATGACAGGAGGCCTGCTGAGGCAGGAGGATGGTGGCTGGGGCTGCCCTCTGGATGCCCTGTAAGAGGGACCCTTGGCACAGCAGGGCCCGGAAGGAGTAGGGCCTGTCCTTGCTGTGCAAAGGACCTCAGGGCCCTCTCTGGGCAACGGCAGAGAAGCAGCCTCCCGCTCATCCTGTGGTGTGGAAGGGACAGGATACGGGAAGGGCTGCTGGATCCAAACCTGGCTCTCAGGACTCCCCGGAAGCAGCCCAGGTGGACAAGGCTGGGCCTGGCTGAGGGGGCGGAGGGGCGCAGGTGGTGCCCCTTTCCATCCATCCCACCTAGGCACCTCGGGAGGCTGCAGGCAGCAGACACAGAGCGGAACCCTCGGGTCCACCAGCCCCTTCACAGGTCATGGCCAAGTCACGACACTGATGGTGATGACCCTGGCTGGCGGAGGCTGGTCTAGCCCTAGGACCAGAGCCCACCACGTCTGCAGGGTCCAGAACCAGAGCCAGGAGGGCTGAGGAAGTGCAGCTGCCCCTCTTTGGCTCCACCCTGGGCTTCCCATGGGGTCCATCTGTAGCTGGGTGAGTCCTGACAAGTCTGAGGCCAGGGGCACAGCCGCGGCTTCCGTCACGAGGGCCTCTCACCCAAATCCCAGCTCTCACGGTAAACACAACCACTCCACAAACATTCCAGAAGCTGCCTGTGCGCCTGCCTGTGGGGGGTCCTGTCCCATGGGAGGGAGCCAGGGGGTGGAGGACCCTGGCCTCATGTGGAGCAAGGAGCAGGGCCACGTGGCTGGACAGGCAGCGTCAGCCGCCCCATGGAGGCAGATTTCTAAAGGAAAAACTTGAATGCACGGCCAGGACGCTTTGCTGAAATCCAAAGTCCCCAGCCGGGCACTTTTTAATCTCCTGTCTTTTCTGATTGCAAAACACCATAAGCAGTGTCAACAGGGCAGAAAGGTCCAGATAACACCTCAGGTGACTCTCAGGCTGGGGGGAGGAGCCCCGCCTGCATGACAGGGAGCTTTGGGGTGGGTCAGAGTCACAGGATCTCTGGATGCAGTGGGCTGCTTAGGCCAACAACTGCCTGGAAGTCTACTCCTGCACAGGGCCTAGGCTTCCCCACGGCTGGCCGGGAAGGCGGGGCACATGGAAGCTCTAAACTGAAGGGAAACTGAGGCTCAGATCACGGGTCCAGGAAAGCCCTGAGTCAGGAGGGTAAACAACTCGAAGCCCAGCAATGGGTTCTTAGGTCCTGGCGGCAGTGCTCAACCTTCACGGCCTCAGTTTTTCCATCTGTAAAATGGGACCCTCCCACTGCTGTAGCTCTGGGGAGTGGAGCCATATGGAACACAGCCCAGTTTTGCCTGGGGACAGCTAAGCATTTTCATTTAGGTTCCCCAGAGTCAACCAAGAAAAATGGTTTGTGGTTTGTTGGTTTTAGAACATGCAAGAATAGCCTGGGCAGAGAGGACAGGGCCAGGAGTATGGGGGACACGGATTCCTAGGAGGCGCCAAATCAGAAGGTGACCTGCAACAGCAGCCGGGGCAGAAAGTCCTACCGGACTGTGCTGACACAAAAGAAAAAGCAGAAACTGAACTATCGTTTAAAAAACAACAACAACAACAACAACCAGGAAGCCCACAAGAATACCCCGAACAATGAAATCATCTAGGAATGTAAAAACAAGACTGTTCTCCAGTGCAGACCAGACTCAGATCCCAGTTCCCCAAACTCCCGCCAGCAAAGCAGAAAGACCATGGGATGGTGGGTGCCTGGATATCATCCGCCAGCCTGACTTTATCTTCCAGCTTGTAGAAGACTGTAACTGCATTTCTTGTTTGAAAATGATCTGCTTTCTGGAGGGGGAAGTATACACCCAGCCAGCCAGCTCCATCCTGCCCAGCGAGGCTCGGGTATGGAGCTGAAGTCTATTTTCGTGCTCCTCTCAGTTCCCTATCTTTTTCTGCCTTAAAAAAATCCCCCTAGAGTTTCTACACACATAAGTTATTCAGATGCAAGCTTTTCTGGAATCCAGGGACGAAAGCCATGGCTTTGATAAATCATCTCCCTCCCGCTCCTCTGCGTCCACTTCATCCATCCTCTGAATGCAAACCGACAATGGAGAATTCGGTCATACGTTGGCTCAATCGAGAACAGGCACGCAGGATCCCTCCTTCCTGGCTGTCTGGGGACCCTACCATCTTTGGCCGAGTGAGTCGATGATAATACAAGACATCTGGGAGACAGGATGCATCTCCAAACAACGTGCTGGCGTCTCACTCCCCACATGTGTTCTGAGGGCTCTGTTTCTGGCTCCTTCTGGGTAGCTTTGGGCCTGGGCTACCTGCCACCACTGGCCCACCCAGACCCTCCCTGGGCCCCATGGCAGGGACCCGCCAGCCCAGAGGCAGAAGGCCTCCAAGATGGGTCGGCCAGTGACGGAAGGCTTGGGAACAGTTTTCTGGGGGAAATGCTGCAATGTTTATATGAGAGCCACTTTGGACTTGGTTTGCAGTTTCATTTGAATCTCCTGAGTAGTGGCACGGCTCTTAGCTGTTCAATCCAACAGTTTACACGCGCTCATATTCGGGGCTGCAGAAGCACTGCAGACTCCGATGTGCAGCTGCCCTGGTCAGTGTCCCAGGCCAGGCTGGGGGATTGCTGAGCAGCAGGAAGCACTTGCTTCTCCTCAGTGTGAGACCGAAAGGGAGGCGTATGGGTCACTCTTCCCTTCATCTGCCCCAGTGGGCGGCCCCTGCAGACACGGTGGCGAGCTGTGGTCTCCAGGGTGCATGGGCCGGCTGCCTGCTCCCAGCCAGGCCTTCCGTGGAGTGCCAAGCTCCAAGCGTGGCCAGCAGGGACAAAGGCCACCACTCGGAGTCCCTGAGGCTCCCCGTGCCATGGCCTAACCCACCAAGGGGACCTCTCTCCAGTGCGTTCCTGGGCATCTCTGCCCCCTTTTCGTGTGACGGCCACTCCTCCAGGGCCTCGGCAGACAGGAAAGCTGCCCATGCCGCCAGCCCATGACAGCAGCAGCTTCTGGTCCCCAGAGCCAGCAATCCCTGGTGCACGCGGTGGGTGACGGGAGCAGCTGCGTCCTGTGGGCCTCCTGGGTGTCTGGAGGGAACTGGCATTGCCATTTTATGCATGACATGGACAGAGGCACGGCACCAGTGAGGGGCCCCGGGTCCCAGAAGAGCACTGTGGGGTGCCTCGTCCAGAGGTGGGTGAGACACAAGGACAGCTGCCAGGAAAGCACAGTGGGGTGAGGCCCGGGCGTCAGGGCAGTGGCCTTGGCAGGCGGGAGGGAGAGTCACACGCGCAGCACATGCTGTATTTTGCTTTTTTTGGTGACCAGTGTCTCATGATGTCTGGGAGCACCCAGGATGTCTGGACAAGTGCTGTTCAAACTGTGGGTCATGACATCAGCTGAGGAGGGTGCAGCCACGAAGCACAAACAAGAGACAAACCGAAAACGCGTGGGCAGGTGTCTGCTCATAACCAGGCCTGTCCATGTGTATGAGGACGGGTGAGAATGGAGAGCACGCTCCTAACTGGGATGGGATGGGACGGCCATGCCTGTGGGTCTGGACCCTCCTGAGGGCGTTCTGTGGCCCCAAGAGCATGTCTTTAAGACCGCAGAGTGCTCAGGGCAGGGCTGGCTGGTGACAACAAGTCTCCCTCGGAGGAAACAGCAAGGTGGTGGGGGAGAGCTGGGCTGGGACAGGCAGCAGAGAGCAGGCCTGGGGGCAACGCTCTACCCTGGAGCTCACCAAAGCATTGGGCCCCAGGTGGAGTGGGGCAAGGGGGTCCCCAGGAGCTTGTCACCCATGGGGTCCGCAGCGCGATGGTGGCAGACAGACTCAGGCTGAGTAGACAGCAGGAGTAGGCTGGCCGCATCCCAGGCTGCAGGGCCCATGTGAGGCCAAGGTGGCTGCTGAGGTCCTGGGTGAGCGGGCACCCCATGGCCTGCAGGGTCGAGGTCTCGCCATTATCTAGCCAGGGAAGGAGGGGAAGAGGGCACTGGTGGCTGCTGAGTGTGAGGGCTGGGACAGGTCTCTCCTCCTAGCCAGGCTGGCCACCCACCCCCCATGCCCAGGAGCAACACAAAAGACCAGGCCCAGCAGGGGTGAGGCCTGGCCCATCGTCCTGAGACAACACTGCCCTCTTCTGGCCAGTTCTGGAAGGACAGGCTTGCTGCCCACCAGCTGCATCCCGACTGGGACAACCAAGGCCTGGGGCATCCTGGGACACGTGCTCTAGAAACTCTGCGAGGGGCCACAGTAGATTAAGGCCCCCCTCCAACCCCCACCACCTGATCGGGAAGTGAGGGAGGCAGGAGGAGTGTCCCAGCTGCTTTCCCAACCAGAGCCCTCCACCTCTGCCCTGTGGGGTGAGCCTCTCCAGGACCTGGGGCGGCCTCAGGCCCGGAGTGCTGCAAGGGATGGTCCCTCTCTGGGCGCACTGCTTCCCAGAATCGTGGACCATGCGCCCCCTGCCCTAGCTGCGAAGCTTGCTGGCCTGCAGTGGCTCTGGTGCCCACAGCCCAGGCTGTTTGTGGAAGGAGGGGGCAGCACATGGGGGCTCAGAAGACGACCAGGAGAAGCAGGGGGATGAGTCCTGGCCACCTCTGTGCTCACACAAACCTGTTCGGGGCTGGAGTGAGTGGGGAGGGGTCTTCTGGGGCCTCCCACTTAGGAATGGCCTCCAGTGATCTCAGGCACCTCAATCTGTGTGAACATGTTGAAAGTGTTAATTAGCAAGTGTGCTGCGCTTTTGTAACCCTGTTCTTGAAGGTCTGCCTGAGGGGTTTAAAAAGGAAAACAAAAAAAGCAGCGAATGGCCCCTCTGGTACAGTGACTTGGAGATGGGGTTCATGGCGAACCCCAGGATCACAGCGGGAAAAGACTCTGAGAACAACAGCAAAACCCCCGGAGGCTTGACGGCTACAGGCCCCACATGGGGCCGCTTGGCTCTGAACCAGGCTGAGGGTGTATGCAGCCACCACAAAGTCCCGTCCCTCACCCCTGCGTGCATGCGAGTGGGTGTGGTGGCATCACACCCAGAGAAGCGGGAAGGGGCCCGGGGGTGGCTGGCTGGGGGTGAGGGACGGCCCTCAGGAAGTCTGTCTCAGTCCTTGGCTGACAAGCCTGACCTGAAGCAGGAACCAGGGTGTCTGGTTCATAGGCCCTCTTGGACCATGACTGTGGCCAACAGTGGACTCAGCCTAGCTCCAGGGAAGCTGCTGGAAGGGTAAGGACGGAGCAGTAGGAGGGGGGCCTAGCCAGCCCCAAACCCCGCTTGATGTACGCATCATGGAGGACACTTTTGGGTCGAAGACACGGAACAGGACAACCAGGGGACGGGAGCTGTCTGAGAATAAACCAGGCCTGGCCTGAGCTCTGCCTGTGGCTCCCACCTCCAGCCTGTGCTGCAGAACCAGCTGCTGGAAGTGGGCATCAGGGCCTGGCCTGCCCAGCTCGGTGAGGACACCGGGCCTGCTGCTCTTGCCCGAAGAGGGCCCACGCTGTGCCAGGTGGCCACTGCGAGAGAGGGAGGCAGGGGCTTACACTGTGATCATTGCAACGCAGCACAGCCTCGGTCAGTTCCCTGTGTGTGTATCCATGTGTGTGCGTGTTGGGGGAGTGCTCATATCTGGGACTGTGGAGAGAGGGATGGAAAAGGCTGGCCTCCTCTTAGTACCCCCCACCCTTCTGCAGTACAGCTGTATAATCTGGCTGCCCTGGACCAGCTCTGATTCCCCACAAAATCCCATTCCTAGAAGCTAAAATATCTCTGGGGTGTCTTCCCCCAGTCAAAGGACTAAAACCCAGAGCAGGCCATTGCAGCAGGCGCACTGCTCTGGGAGGCGCTCGGCTTCGGGGGAATTCTACGCTGGGCTCATGCTTTAGTTTCATACCTTAGGATGAAGCATCGTGGCTTTCATGTTGGGATAACAGACTGATTTATTATTTACCGAACGCAGTAGGCGCTCGGCAGATCAATTTCAATACAACAATGGACTATAAATGCCACCAGCAATCTGGCAGTAGCAGTAATCAACAAAACATGTTGTTCTAAATGCTGCATAATAAATTGACTACAATAAACTCATAATTACTCTACTGGCTACATTTCAAAGTTAGCACTAGAAAAATCAAATCACCAATTTGGACTTGGCATTAACATCCTCGGATCACTCCTGCCTCTACAGCTGCAGCTGGGAGATGCAGGTGCCATGTGCTGTCCCGGAGGGCCGAGGCCACAGCATCTGGGATTATGCCAGGACCCTCTCCGGGGCAGATAAAGAGGGTCATAAAGGAGCAGTCACTTCTTCTGGGGTGTGCTGAGCCCACAGAGGAGAAAAGCTCATGGCCACGTGGCTCTGGCACAGGGCTCTCCAGCCACCCAGAAGTGCCCCCTGGACTGTGGGGACCCACTGATGTGGCCTCTGCCGTGAGACTGGGTTCCCATGTCCTGTCCTCCAGGCCCAGCCAGAATGCGCTACAGGGTTAAAGAGCTTTAGAAAAGGTTTCAGGGCTGGGCACCGTGGCTCACATCTGTAATCCCAGCACTTTTGGGAGGCCGAGGCAAGAGGATCACTTAAGTCCAGGAATTCCAGACCAGCCTGGGCAACATGGTGAGACCCTGTCTTTTTAATATTAAAAATAAAAAAATTAGCTGGGCATGGTGGCTTGTACCTGTAGTCTCAGCTACTCGGGAGGCTGAGGTGGGAGGATCTCTTAAGCCTAGGAGTTTGAGGCTGCAGTGAGCTATGATTGTGCCACTGCACTCTAGCCTGGGAGACAGAGCAAGACCGTCTCTTAAAAAGTTTCAGGACACCAGGTGGTGTCTGGAGCCACTGGTGGGTCCACGGTGTGGGGGCAGGGCTGCCACCCCCTCTCCTGCTCTAGTCCCCTGCTGAGCCAAGTCTGAGTTTGCCAATTCTTTCCCCAAGTGCCTCTGGCCTCACACCTGGGCCTGGTGCCCTCCTTGTGTCTGAGTTCCTTGGCCCACACATGGGGTGAGGTGCCTACATCGCAGGATCAGGGCGAGGAGTGGGTGAGAAAATCCACAGAGACCCAGAAGAAGGGCCCAGTCACCTTGTGGCCCCAGGCATGTAGGAGGAAAGCTGAGCTCCGCTCTGACCCTCCCAGCCCCGAGCACGGTGGCTACGCAGGGGGGACTGGGGACTCGCCCACCATTTGTGGGGCTCACTGTGGTGCCAGAGTGAACCAGGATCCGTGGAGCCAGTGCTGTCGGGTAGGCCAGGGAGTCCACTAAGGCCCAGCGCGCAGTGGGTGGCGGTTCCACTGGCCTGCCTCCGCTTGCACCCTCAACCTGCCGTGTTCCTAACACAGCCCTACTGTGGCGGCATATGCTGGCCCCACCCAAGGTCTGAGCTGAGCTCCTGCCAGCATGGCCTGAGCTGGAACAGCTCATCAGCTATGGACCTGGGTGAGCGGGGAGCCCGGGCAGTCTCAGTAGGCCATGTGCCCAAGGGCAGGGAGGACCCCGAGACTGAGTGTGTTCCTGCAAATACTCGGCCCTGACAGCTCAACGCTCGGCAGCTCTCTGGGCAGCTGGTTGTCTGTCCATAGGTCTGGGCATGTGTGTTCCTGTCCTTCAGTGGGCATGGCTGGGGACTCTGGGGGGTGGGCTCCCACGACTACCTGCTGTAGGGTGAGGCGGGGTCCAGGCCGGTGAGCAGCCATCATGGGAACTCCCGCTGGAGGAGCTGGCACATTGGGGTGGCTCCTCGATGGGAAGGCGGAGGCAGCCCAGCTGGGCGCCACGCAGGCCTCAGAGGACATGCCATGCTGCTGGGGGGCAGAGGGCTCTGCAGGAGGCTTGTTCGGGTGCATCTGCCATAGAAGAAAGGGCACCAAAGAACTGGGAGGGACAAGGCACATCCTCTGCTAGTCAGTGACCACAGTGAAATGTCTGGAGGCCAAGACAGGGCCTGCGTGGCTGTGGCTGAGCCCCAGGGCTCCAGCACTGGGGTAGCTCTCAGGAGCTCTGCACTGCCTGGGCTGGCCCTGGCTGACATCTGACGTGCAGGGCACAGGCAAAGAACGCGGAGGGACTGAGCAGAGGCCAGGCTGCAAGTACTCACACACCTCCTCCCTGCCCCGGGGCAGCGGCCCAGCTGCTCTGCCCTGCACACCGAGGGGCTGTGGGTAGGACTGCAAGTCCTCCAATGAGAGAAAAGACTACCCGAGGGGCGGAGGCCGCAGGGCCTGCCCACATCTCCTTGTCGTGGCTTCTATGAAGAACTGTGAGCACGGCACATCGTGCTCAGGAAAGCCCTGCACGCAGCCACGGGTCAGCACTGCTGACTTGCTGAACGCAGGGCCGCAGAGGCCACGGGCTCCTGCAGCAGGAGGATGGCAGGTTTCAGAGCGTGGGAGGCTCCCTGCGGTCTTCCCAGCTCCAGACCAAGAGGCCTGCCCTCCTGGCACCAAGACAGAAAGATGCGAGCGTGGTGCCCCCTGAACGGAGAGGACAGCCTGGACAGAGGCTGGGGATGGTTCAGGCCCCCTCAGAGAGCCCACAATCCCATGGCCCACAGGAAACCATCGGGGGCCCCTCTCCTGCACCCTCTCTCTCAGTGCTCCCTGGGGGGTGCAGGCTTTTGGCCCTGGAGAAGGCACCACGCAGGCCGATAGCCTTGGCAGAGAAGTCTGGGCCAAGAAGCCCAGGGACTTGCTGTGGTCAGCCCTCTCAGGACAGGGACCCAGAGGCTTCTGGGCCATCTTGAAGTTGAGTCCAACCTTGGCCTGGCTGTTCACACACAGAGCCAGGGCCGCTGGCCCTACTTACCACATATCCCCATTCTGGATCGTTCGGTCGTTGGGAGCTCCGGCGTGTCCGTAGTGTAGCACGGCTGAGTTCTCACCACTGCAAAGAGCCGGGGGAGGGTGATCAAAGCCCATTCTTCTGCAGCAGGCTCTGAAGGAGGGGGTGGATGCTCGATCCCCTGCCCATGAGCAGCACTGTCCCCACCTCCAGCACAGGCCCAGGCGTGGCTGGACCAGGTCCACAGCCAGAGGTAAGGCCGGGGGACATGGTGGCCCTGTCACCCCGCAGTCACATGGCTGGCAACCAGCCTCAGTCTGCAGGCAGAGCCTCCTGGCTGAAGGCGTCGTTAGGCGGCTGCCCTCTGGGCTGGGATGTGGGCATCATGTGGAACACATGTAAAACTTAGCAATGGGCCGGGTGTGGTGGCTCACGCCTGTCATGCCAGCACTTTGGGAGGCCAAGAAAGGCAGATCACTTGAGCCCACAAGTTCGAGACCAGCCTGGGCAACATGGCGAAACCCTACCTCTACAGAAAATGCAAAAAAAATTAGCTGGGTTAGGTGGCTCACAGCTGTAATCCCAGTTACTCAGGAGGCTGAGCTAGGAGGATCACCTGAGCCTGGGAAGTGGAGACTGCAATGAGCTATGATCATGCCACCGCACTCCAGCCTGGGCAAAAGAGGGAGACCCTGTCTTTAAATTAAAAAAAGAGCAAAAAAGGGGAACAGCAGTTCCTGGGCCTGGAGAAGGGCCCTACGGAACCCCTCCTTTCCTGGTGGCCAAAGGGGAGAGGGCCTCTATGGAAAGGGCCCCGGCTGTCCTGGAGCTGCCCTGGCGTCCTGACCAGGCTGGAGAGAGAGGAAACCAAGAGGATCCTCGCTCCTCTGCCTGAGAAGGCTTCCCTAATGAGCGATGCCTTTAAGAAAAAAAGGACTTTTAAGTCTGTCCAAAGGGGGGAAGGAAACCCCCACCTGGGTGTAATATTTATGGCCCTGCTCAGGAGTCTTGGGAATCATAAAAGTAGAAATAATGGTTTTCTCTCCATCCACCAGAGAAGAACATTTCCAAGGACTGAGATTTCACATGTATTATTCATGTGCCGGGGACGTGCGCATTGGCAGAGCTGCCTGGCTCCATCCTGGCCGGGCAGGGGCCAGACCCGAGGGGCAGAGAGCAGGGAGACTGGCTGGGAGAGCGCAGGAGACGAGGGGGCCACGCCCACAGCCAGGACGCATGTGGGGGCAGACACACCCCAAGGGACACATGCCGCTGTGCATGGCCCACACAGCATGGCAATGATCCCATATCACTGTCATTTCTACCATGTGTGTGCCTCCAAGCACACCCAGCCAGGTGTTGATGGCACACACCCAAGCGCACACACCCACACAGAGCCCTGCCCCTCGGCACCATGTGCCACGAGCAGGCACACCAACAGTGACATGCACACCCACATACAGCAGCACTGGTCCCCACGCAGCCACACCCACATAGACACACCACCACCACTTTCTGCACTGACCCTTCCACACTCCACCCCTGCTGCACACAGAAGCTGCCCAGCCTGAGCTCACAGCCCGGTCCCCACATGCTGTGTGTGTGCCCGTGTGGAGGAGTGGCCTTCCTGTGCTTAGCTGCTGTGCTGACCAGCTGGGGACAGGAGGGAGGGGACGCCAAGCAGCCCCTCTGCAGTGGGCAGGCCATGCTCCCTCCTTCACCCAGTGCCAGGTCCTGCAGGCAGAGGCCACCTCAGCTCCGGGAGTCTTGGGAGGGAGGAGCGACTTCCAAGCTTGGGCCGGGCGCTGGTGTGGGCGTGTGAGTGAGCAAGTGTGGCTGAGCTGGGGGATGGTGGAGCCCCCCACTCACTAACTGCCCTACCTCCTCCCACTGGTCACCCCCAGGGGAGCCAGGGTGCCCCGCTTACCTGCCGCAGATGCAGGTGTAGGAGCTGTGGCGCATGCCGCCCCGGGAGTAGCAGTAGTGCTCGAAGAGGCTGCAGGGGGAGAGACGCGTCAGGGTTGGGGCACTAGAGCAGGCACACCCCACTCCACGAGCCCCATGAACCCCAAGGGAAGGCCCTCGGCCCATGGTCTCCCCTGCCGTGGCCCCACAATGGTCCAAACTCTCAGTGTGAGTCTGTGAGGCTTACAGCCTGGGGGTCAGTCATAGGCTGCAGAATCTCAGAGGCCAGTGTGGAGTGACAGAGAAGCTGGGGGCCCAGCAGGGCGCAGCCACCTGCCAGAGGAGCTCGCCAGCCTCCACTGACTGCCATGGCGAGTGGCTTCCCAGGCACATCAGGACAGATGGGACTCCTGGAGCCTGCGCCCTGTGGGAAGCCGGGCTGGGGCAGAGGCCACACATTTCTGCAGAGCTGGAGGAAGTGATTCCCTGTGACTCCGTGCCCAGAGGCCACCACCCACCCTGCCAGGAGGGGCTGGATCTACGGCCTGCGCTCACCCGGGGAGAGGGCACAGGAGCTATGGGCAGAAGGGGCAAGGGACAGGCCTCCTGCAGGTGGGGCAGGGCAGGGTGGTCTCCAGGGATGTGGGAGAGGCAAGGCCTGGGGCACACATCCTGCTTCTCCCTCCTTGGAACGAGCTGCCTGCTGGCTGGGCCCACTCTACAAGCTCCCACCCTGAGCGGGTAGGGCCACAGCCAAGTCTGGAGAGAAAGACAAGCCCTGGCCCCAGGCTAAGCCCAGAACCTGCACCGGGGAGGCCTCTAGGATGGCGGATGGTAGCACAGTCACTGCATGGATCTTTGAGCTCCAAGGGACTGAGCCATTCTGCCTTGGTCTTCCTCTACTGAACCCAGCTGGTGAGGGGTGTGGTCGTGGGGAGCTGCCCTCACCCCCTCCCTGAGGCCTCGGCAACAGCTTTCCTGCCGGACCACAGCTGGTCCACCTGCCACCACGTGAGACAGGCCCAGGTGGCCCCCACCCGCCCACCCCCGACCAGGGCAGTCGTTGCGGCCGCCCAAGGGCACGCCACATGGCGGTCCTGCCCTGCACGTTCCAGGCCTGCCTTAGAGAACGTCCATACGAGGGAGTTTCATCTTCTAGGCACTGTCAACACAAATTATGTATAATTGTCATGATTGGATATTAAGCAGTTGTTATGCAGGAACGGCTGTGGTAGATTCAATGGGCTTTCAGACTTGCCTTCCAAACCTCACAGGATAATTGGGTATCTGCGAGTGAAATATTTCCTGAAAAGAAAGGATTTCAGGAGCTGCCAGGGAAGCAAGAAAGCCACATGCTCCTCTCCTCAGCCGCCCCCGTATTCGTGGTGCAAGCGCTCAGGAGGCCGCTTCCACCTCGCTCCTGGGAGTCTCAGCGCTGAGTTTCGCCACAGTCCAGGCACGTTCCTACCAAGGCAGGCAAGGGCAGTGCCCCACATGGCAAGCCCTGTGCGCCAGGCCAGACAGGCAGCCTCAGAAGCCACTTCACACCTCTGTGGCGCCCTCCCAGAAAGCCCGAGAAGAGGCCTGACCCACGCCGTGGAACAGGGGTGCTCCCTTGGCTTTGTGAGATGTGGTCCTGCACCAACAGAAGCGAACCTCAGAGGTCACATGGTCATTCTCGACGTGATGGCGACAGCGGACCTCTGTGGGACAAGTGACCTGCAGACAACCACGGGCTGCGCTGGGACTGGCCGGCTTCAGAAAAGACAGGCAGAGGGACAGAGATGCCATCCGCATGTGCAGAGGAACTCACATATTCTACAAGAAAGGAGCGGCAGGCCGGGCGCAGTGGCTCACACTTGTCATCCCAGCACTTTGGGAGGCCAAGGTTGGAGGACTGCTTGAGGCCGGGAGTTCAAGACCAGCCTGGGCAACACAGCAAGACCCCAGCTCTCAAAAAATCAATCAATCAATCAATACAAGAAAAAAACATCAGAAAGGGGAGGCAGTGAGGAAACTTGGCTCTCTCGCCTGCAGCAAGCTTCCCCCTGCATAACCCACTCAGTGGAGACAACTGTCTTTGAATGCCTTTGCTGCTTTTTAAGAAAAAAATAGTGCCTTCAAGAAGGCACAGCTCACAGAAGCATCAAACTAAAGAAAGGCTGACCCAGTTTTCACCTGCAAAGTGCAGCCCGACACTGGTCACCTTTGCCGGCCACGTTGACAACTCCACACACTGTTCCATAGGAAGGAGTTGAAAAGAGGAGGAGCACCACGTGCTGGATATTCACGCCCGCCTAAAAAAAGCTGAAATGCTTCACAGTGGACTTCAGTCCTGAATTTTGTTTTAAATGACCTTTTCTGACGCAACTTGAGGACACACTGGTGCTTTGGTGGCAATAACAGGTGGGCAAAACGAGCCCACGTTTTCTGCAGACTTTAGGCTTGGGGTGTGGACGCACAAGGGCACCCAAGTTCTGGGCAGCTGTGGCGGCACAGGGGGCCTGTGGAAGCGTGTGAGCCCGGCGCGGCACAGTTCTGATCTTCAAGCGGTGAGCACTGAGGGGTGGACATTCCAAACTGGGGCCCATGCTTGATGCGGACGCAACGTGTGCCCCCGCACAGCTGGGCCAGAGCTTGGCGAGTGGTGCTGGGATGACCAGGAGCAAGTGTGGGCTATGAGGACAGGCTAACAGCCTGTCCCGTGGATGACCGACATGCCATGGCAGTGGCAGCATCACAACTCCTCCAAGTGCGAGGCAGGAGGGGTCCAGCCAAGTCATCCCTGGAGCAGGCTAGCTACTACCCACCCAAAATAATTAACACCTGGAACAGGCTCTCCAGCAGAGGGCAGCAGCCAGCAAGACAGGCAGGAGTGTCACCGCCCCACTGCGACCATCTCCATAGGCTCCTTCCATAAATTTATGACTCACATCGTGCAGCCCCGGACCAGCTGGGTCTAACAGCCCCTGCTCCCTCCTGCTCACCTGGAAGGCGGATGGGGTGGTACACACACCCCAGCCAGGCTCAAGCCCAGCGCGCACCTCCTCCCCAGCAGCAGGGAGGGGCTTCCTGATTGGCTGAGAGGAGGCCGTGGTCTGCCTAAGTCCCAGCCAACGACATCCCGGCTGCTGTGTGGGCCCCGTTGTTTTTCCTTATGTGGCCATTCCTCTAACACCCTCACCTATAAATTTCTCCCAGGCAAGACTCGGGTAGAAGAGGCTTGTATCCAGGCATAAGTGAGAGAGCCCTTAAGCAACCTGGGGGAACTGCATGAGTGGTGAATAACGAGGTGGATGGAGTTACTGCAGTGTCAGTGGGGCAGGCACATCTGTCAGTGCCAGGAGATGACAAATGGGGCAGGAGCAGCAAGTTCCCAGACCCAGATCTGCAGGAATGGGGTCCCCAGAGACGGCGTCGCTGGGCCTCCCACTGGGACCCACAAATCCAGCCCGTGGAGCGCTCCCGGGCACACGGCCCAGCTCCTGCCCTCAGAAGTTTATCACCTAACATGAAGACGAGTCACAGTCCTATAAAAATGCTGCAGCTGCCCAGACAGCGGTAGAAGGGCTGCCTGGCAGCAAGTGTCGGCCAAGCTATGTGCCTCGAGCATGGGTGGGGTAGCGCCGAAGAGGTTAGTGAGGCAGTGTAAGGGGTGGCCCTGGCCACATCATTCCCTTTCCCCGGCTGGGCCTCAATGGATCTCAGGTACTCAAGAGGTGGAGAGGGGAGGCTGGGCCGGAAACAGAAGCTTGGGAGTGAAAATGCGCAGAGCTGGTGGAGCCCCCTCAGCTGGGCAGAGGGCTTAGGAAAGCAGGTAGTTGGGACATGGGGTTACAAACCTGAGGTGGGGAGGGTGTGTTCCGCACCCCGGTCCCTGTGCTGGGCTCCCTGCTCTGGGCCCCACATACCCAGCCTTCTGGGACTCAACACCAACCTCAAGGGCAAATCTTGGCTCTGCTGCTGGCCAGCTGAATGGCCTCTCCGTGCCTCAGTTTCCTCATCTGTAAAATGGGGATGATAGCGGTGCCTCCCTCCCAGGGCTGCTATGCCAGTCGAATGATTTAACATACATGGAGTATACACAATGGTGCCTGGTACCCAAGGAGCTCTGTGTACAGTGACCTAGCCATCGTGGTCACTGTTCAGAGGCCTGGAGGGAGGCTGGAGAATGGGGATCCCTCCTCAGGCAGCAGGAGAGGAGGTCGTGGGCATCCTGTGCCAGGCTTTGAGAAACAGCCTCTTGACTATTCCTTTAAAACCAAACAGAATCTGCATAGGTCCACGGCCCGGACACCCACTCCCGCACCCTCCAGGCAGCCAAGTTCTCTACAGAAGTCCTTCCTGGGCCCACACACTCCCAGCATCTCCAGGATGTTCACCAGCAAAAACGCGGAGGTGTGTCCTCTGCACCAGCTACCGGGACACGTGCGCACAGACAGGCTTCTGGCTGGACAGAGGGGGCCTGTGCCCACCATCCCTTCACAGCTGCCCCTCGCCCTCACGGAGCTGACCCAGGGTCCCCGCCTTCCCGGGGTGCGCCCAGGACTGGGGCACATAAGAGGGAGAGAGCCACAGAGAGTGAGAAGTACCTCATGATGTTTGGGGCCAAGCAGTTGTGCTGTGTATAGTCGTCTCAGCACTAAGTTGCTTATAATTCACATTTATTTTAAGTAATTGCTGCGATATTTTCTGGGTACACATGACCATAATTGTGTCATTAACGTGATACACCACTTACTAAGGGAAAATCCTTTTCAGAGTAAGGGCCATACAGTCCTGCAGGGGATGCCCTGAGACACCTCAGGCCGAGCAGAGCGTGCCTTATGGTCCCCAAAGTGGGAGCAGCTACTATGGAGGACTTGGAGCCAAAACCGGATGTTTCTACCAGTGGAGCCCTGGCATAGCTCCTTTTGCATGGAACCAGAAGCACGTACTACATTCTTCTTGAATTCCCATGGAAGGAGGGGAGCTGCTCCACGCCCTTCTTCTGGGGTGACCAGTGGGTCATCAGAAGGCACAGGCGAAGGCGCCCAAGCCCTACCCTTGGAATCGCCGCCTGGGTGGCACCAGCGACCTATCCAGGACCCCAACTCCCAGGCAGGTCCTGGCTCTTTTAGCACTGTTCCCCGTAGGTCTTCCAAAGAGCAGGTACTGGGACTTGGCAGTGAACTGGGGGACTGCTGCGTGCCTCCCCTTCCCCAGGCCCCAGCATGACGACAAACACAGACAAAGCTAGGAATGAGCACCCTCTGAGGCTCCGAGTGCCTGAAATGAGCAAGAGGCATTCACGTGATGTGTCACCAAGAAGGGACTGACCTGAAGCCTCGGACTAAAGCCAGAAATGCATGATTAATAAAACTGGTGCTAGCGGAGAGCTGGTCAGCATCACCGTGTAGCCGGCACCAACATGGCAGCGTCAGACACAGGCCGTCTGCAGCAGATGCGGTGCTCGGCTTCAGCAGCTTGCTCTGCTGCCCGGAGCTCCTCACTCCCTCTTCCTGCCGCTCCTACACCAGTCCTGGCCCACAGACAGAGACTGTTTGACCTGGGGCAACACCTTCCCACCAGGGCTTCCAGAAGGCCAGCCAGCATGGTCACAGGGTATATGGGGCCAGGCTTCTTGGGCTTGCATGGACCATCTCCATGTGGGCAAGCAGATGAAGTCACACTCCTGGAGCCCCACTGCTGCCCAGATCACTCTCCCTGACTACTCAGCTCCTGCCAGGGAGCCCCACAAGGCACTGCACTGTGGGGATGGGTGGGCAGACTGATTCAATCCAGGCCCTGCTGCCCACTCAGTCTGAGGCTTGAGGCAGGTTGTGTAGCTGCTCCAGTAAGAAAAACTGAACAGTCAACTGCAGCATTTAGCATGATAACAACCCTTTGGGGGCTGAGGGATCTTCCCACTGCACAGAGGATGCTGCAGTCAGAACAATGACGGGCTGGGGTCAGGAAACCCACTGAATCCGTGTTCGGGCTCGGAGTCCACGCAGGGTCTCCGACTGCAAAGCTTATGGTTTTGACCCGGATGCCTCTGAAACCTCAGGTCTGTCAGTAGGTGGGGGCTGGAACAGTGCTGACCTCGGGGCTTGCTGTGAAGGCTGAAGAAGATGCAGGGAAAAGCTTCAACTCCATAAACACTGGCAGTGGGTGATGCCATGGCTAACGCCTTCCGGAGCCCTGACCTTGCACCCATGCACAAGGCCAGAACTGAGCAGAAAAGGGTCTGCAAGGACAACTGGCCCACCAAGTCCTGGGCGAAGGAGCCCCAGGCCAGCCGGTGGAAAGCAGGAGCTGGGGTCTGAGAGAGGCCTGGGATGCTGAGGCCCCGCCCAGAAGGGGGGATCCGCCAATCACAGGCAAGGGCAGCGGCCAAGACAGCAGCGGTCACAGCAGGAGGAAGAGACACAACAGACAGGAGCAGCTCACTCTCTCTCTGAGAGCTGCCTTATCAAGGCACAAGATAATTAGCATTTTAATTGGATAATTGGGAATTCTAAATTGCCTATCTTGTATTAAGCATAACTGAGGACATAACATGACATTCAATTAACAAATCTTCCCCTTTATTTTCAACGTGCTTGATTAGGTTGAGTTTCGGAGTTCCTCGGATCAGTTACGGATAAAACATTCTATCTCCTTCTCCGTCCCCAAGCCTGGCTCATCAGACTGTAATATACTTATGTTTTATATGTACATGGAGAAGTCTTAGAAATTCTCTGCACAAAGAAAAAAAGTCACTGATCGTGTTAACACCCAGAGGTCTTCTCTATCCAATATTTTGTTGAACATTCTTCCAGGCATTTTTTTTAAAGGTATAAACACAGATTAATATTTAATAATTATTTTAAAAATAATTAGCTGTGGCCGGGCGTGGTGGCTGACGCCTGTAATCCCAACACTTTGGGAGGCCAAGGTGCGTGAATCACCTGAGGTCAGGAGTTCGAGACCAGCCTGGCCAACATGGTAAAACCCGTCTCTACTAAAAACACAAAAATTAGCCAGGCATGGTGGCAGGTGCCTGTAATCCCAGCTACTTGGGAGGCTGAGACAGGAGAATTGCTTGAACCTGGGAGGCGGAGGTTGTAGTGAGCCGAGATCGCACCAGTGCACTCCAGCCTGGGCGACAAAGCCAGACTCTGTCTCAAAATAAATAAATAAATAAATAAATAAAAATGATTAGCTGTAATTAAAAAAAAAACTCACCTTTTTACAGAAGTGGGACATACATACAGAAAAGAACTCAAATCCTACAGACACAGCACAATGGCCCAGCACAACTTGGGCACGCCTGTGTGCCTGGCCCCCCTCCTGGTCAGTCTCTCTTCCCCAGGGGCAGCCTGACTCCTATCACCATAGATTAGTTTGCCTATTTTTTAACTTCATGTAAATGGAATCAAACAATATGGTCTCTTGCGTTGGCTGCTTCCGCTGCCACAATGTTTGTGGACCCGTCTAGGTGGGCAGCAGTCCCTGGTTGGTTCTCACTGCTGGCCGGTGTTCTACTGCGGGGGTGGGCCCCCGTGTGTTTCTCCATTCTTCTGTGGGTGAGCGTTCGGGTTGTTTCCAGATCACAGCTATTATGGGTAGTACAGCCATGAGTTCTTGTACAGTCTTTTGGGGCCCATGCATGCATCTCTGGTTGAGCAAACAGCCAGGAGTGGAAATGCTGTGTCACAGGGTTTTTGGGGGGTCAGCTTTAGTAGACAAAGCCCAACAGGTTTTCTGAGTAGTCACATCTTTGTGGTCACTGTCCTGAAACTTCCTCCTCTCCATACCTGTGAATGGGGCCCAAACTGGGCTGAAACAAGTCTGCAAGGACAAACAGCCTAGCCCGGTCCAGCGCAGGGGCTGGGCTGACCCACTGAAGGTTCTTGTTAAAGCAAAGAACATTTTCCTTATCAACAGATACATGTATGTACTTTTTATTTTTGTTTTTCATTTTTATTTTTAGAGAAAGGGTTTCACTCTGTTGCTCAGGCTGGAGTGAAGTGGTGCAATCACAGCTCACTGCAGGCTCAAAGTCCTGGGCTCAAGTGATTCTCCCCCTTCAGTTTCCTGAGTAGCTGGGACTACAGACATGCACCACCATGCCCAGCTAATTTTTTTTATATGTTTTGTGGAGATGGGAGTCTCGCTACGTTGCCCAGGCTGGTTTGGAACTCCTGGGCTCAAGCGATCCTCCCACCTCGGCCTCCCAAAGGTCCGGTATTACAGGTGTGAGCCACTGTGCCTGGCCTATTTTTATATTTAATGCTGTCACTATGTCCAGAATCTGACCACTTCTCCGCACCACCACAACTCCCTCCCTGGTGCAGGCCAAGGTTCTCTCTCCCCTGGGAGATGGCGATGGTGGCTGGGGATGGTGAATGGTGATGGTGGTCTGGCTGGCCCCCCTGCTTCAGCCCTTGTCCCCTACAGAGTGTGCTCCACAAACGGATCCTTCCACAACTTAAGTAGAATCACAGGACTCCTCTGCTCACACCAACCCCGGCTTCCCATCGGCAGCCCACCTCCCCCTTACTCCCCTGTCTTGTCTTGTCTTCTTAGTCGAACTCCGCGCTGCTCCTGGAACTGCCAGGCAAGTTCCCACCAGGCCACTGGAACAGCTTTTTCTCTCTGCCTGGAATGTCCACCCCAGAAAGCCACAGCATGCTCTCTCTCCCCCTTCAGGTCTCTCCTCCCCTTCACAGGGAGGCATCCTGAGTCCCTGGATAAAGGTAGCTCCCTCCCCTGTAACCCTCACCACCATCTGACATGTTTATCTAGCTATCCCATCAATCAATCAATCAATCATCTGCCTATATCTACCTACTTATCATCCATCTACCCATCCATCCATCTATCCATCACTCTAGATCTACCTACCTATCATCTACCTACCTATAATCTATCTACCCATCCATCTATCACTCTATCATCTACCTATCATCCATCTACCCATCCACCTATCCATCTATCATCTATTTACTTACCTATCATCCATCTACCCATCCATCCATCCATCACTCTATATCTACCTATCTACCTAAGTGCAATCCAACTACCCATCCATCCATCCATCCCTCTATCATCTATCTACCTACCTCCTACGTACCTATCATCCATCTACCCATCCATCCACCCATCCATCCATTCCATCTACCATCCATCTACCCATCTATCCATCCATCCCTCTATCAATCATCTATTTCTGTCAACCTACCTACTTATCATTGATCCATCCCTCCCTCCCTCTATCTATCCATCCATCCATCCTTCTATATCTATCTATCTATCTATCCATCTATCCATCCATCCATCTCTCTATATCTATCCACCCATCCATCTATTCCTCTATCAATCATCTATTTCTGTATCTACCTACGTATCATCTATCCATTTATCACTCTATCTACTCATCCAATACTCTGTCAATTATCTGTTTCTATGTCTACCTACCTACCTATCGTCTATCCATCCAGCCATCATCCTATCTATCCATCCATCATCTATCAAGGTGATGATCATCTATATCAGCCTACATACTTACCTACTTATCATCCATCCATCCATCCATCCATCCATCCATCTATCCAACCATCTCTAGCCTCCCATTAGGCTTGAGCTTTATCTTTTTGTTCACTGTAGTATCCCTCAAGAGACCAGAACAGTGCTTGGCACATCAGAAGTCTTTGGTATACCTCTGTTGAGTGACTGAATAAGTGAATGGCTGTATGAGCAGCACCACAGCCTCTAATTTACTTAACCAACTTCCTGCTGTTAGAGATGGAGGCTTCTTCTGCCTCTCTGTATGATGGCCACGCATGGCCTTGTGCCTCTTCACTGTCCTCGGGCTAAATTCCTAGAAGGGAGATTATTGACCAAATGCACATTTCCAATTCTCAGGGCATGTTCTGCAAAAAGGACCCCTGAACACTCATAAGGATTTTGGGGTCCTGAGCAGCACACTGCAAGGCTCGTCTGCCCACAGGAATGGGAACCTGGTGGGTAAAACACAAAAGTATTTCACTGTTTCACTGATGAACTGACAAATTTTAATATGCTTATATGTCTACTTCCTCACATTTCTTCCTTTCTGAATGGCTTGTTCCTTTTTTAAAAACTGCGAATGTTCATCATTTTCTTATTGATCCTTAAGGGATTTATACAGGAAGAACACAGGCAGTGGATCTGACTATCATTTATGTAACAAGTTTCCCCTTTGCTCCTTAATTTTCTTTATGGCATTTCTGGACAGATAATTTACATTTTTATTGGCTAGATCTGTTACATTTTTTTCTTTATGGCTTCTTCCTTTAAGAAGTCGTTCCCTACCCCTATGATTATATAAACTCTATCATCTTTTGTGGGCTTCCTGTTTGCACATTTACTTAATCAATGAACCTAGAATTTATTGTGATGTAGGTCATGAGGCAGAATGCCATTTGATTATTTTCTTTGCTTTCACTAACTGCCCCTTGTGCGCTGGCTTGGAGCACCATCTTGTTGAAAGATAAATCCTTTACATAATAAGGGTGGTTGGGGGCTGCGCCTGTCACCTGCTCCTGTGCTGGGACTTCCCACTGCCCTCACTGGGGCTTTCAGGGCAAGTCCACCCCCTCCCCAAGCAGCTGGCCCTGTAGTGACCCCCTCCAGTAAGTACCTTCTCTACTGATTCCCAGGAAGAAGGACAGGACACCAGAGGCAGAACTTGACTGGTGCCTGGGAGGCTGACAACACAGAACCGAAAGAAATTCAAAGCTCGCAGTACCCGCCTTGAGGGAAATTCGCAATCTGTGACTCTAGACCTGTGTTTGGCACCTTGAGCCAGCGAGGGAGCTCCGGCTTTGGAAGGCCTGGGAAGAGCTGTGTAAACACAAGCACCATTGGCCAACTGTTCTCTGACTTATTCTGGGATCCACACCTGTTCGCGTCTGACCCAATCTCACTAATCCATGCTGACTGTAGAGATGACACCTTTCTTGGCCCTAGAACAAAAACTCCCCCTTTTAAAAAGGACCAGAAGGCCAGTGTGGTGGTGCATGTGTGATGGTGTACTCAGGAGGATGAGGCGGGAGGATCGCTGGAGTCCAGGAGTTTAAGCCCAGCCTGGACAATCTAGTGAGACCCGGTATTCGTCCATTTTCAAGCTGCTGATGAAGACATACCCGAGACTGAGTAATTATAAAGGAAAAGAGGTTTAATGGACTCACAGTTCCATGTGGCTTGGGAGGCCTCACAATCATGGTGGAAGACAAGAAGGAGCAAGTCACATCTTACATGGTGGCAGGGAAGAGAGAAAATGCGAACCAGTGGAAGGGGTTTCCCCTTATAAAACCATCAGATCTCATAAGACTTATTTACTACCATGAGAACAGTATGGGGGAAAGCACCCCCATGATTCAATATCCACACAGCCAAACCATATCAGACCCCAGCTCTTTAAAAAAACAAAAAAACAAACAACAACAACAATAAAAACCAGGTTACCCTCAGATACATCCAGAGAGGCTCAAACCACATGACCAGGAAACAAAAAGAATTGCCAGAGGCCAGGTGCAGTGGCTCACACCTGTAATCCCAGCACTTTGGGAGGCCGAGGCGGGTGGATCACTTGAGGTCAGGAGTTCAAGGCCAGCATGACCAACATAGTGAAACCCTGTCTCTACTCAAAATATAAAAATTAGCCAGTCGTGGTGGCACACATCTGTAATGCGCCACTGCACTCCAGCCTGGGCGACAGAGTGAGATTCAGTCTCAAAACAAACAAACAAACAAACAAACAAAAAGGCTTGCCAGAGTGGCAGATGATCCTAGTTCAACACAACCCAGAGGCCACATTGTCCCTCTAAGGAACGCTGGCACCCTGTCTCCATCCTCCCCAGGAAGGTGTGGGGGAAGCAAGCCAGGTATGCAGGGAGCTTTCTGGAGGGGCGAGCAGGGGCAAGGGGAGGGAAGGGGCTGCTTTTAAGTTCACATTTCCCAAAGCACAATACGAGTCCACGGGATGACATTATGTAGTACCCCACTAGCATATTTCCTTCATGCACTAGGTATTTATCTTGAAGCGCTAATGTCTGTTAATGGCAAATTAGATTGGGTTTCATTCATGACGAGGATAAAAAGCATCTTAAAACATATATTTAAAGGAAAAAAAATGAGTCAATTGAAAGAAAACGATTAAGCAGATAATAGTAGAGGTGAGACAAGAACTTGACCAAAACTGCCAGGGTGTCTCATGGAATGACTAACTCTGGGAGATCCCGCCTTAAGGCTTCTTTGAGGAAAAGCCTGGTTTTTCGTTCTTGGGCAAGGCCTTTGGTTCAGAAGCTCCCCAAGTCCCCAGATGGCAGCCTCAAACTCCTGGGCTCAAGCAATCCTCCTGCCTCAGCCTCCTGAGTAGCTAGGACTACTGGTGTGCACAACCACACCTGGCTAATTTATTTTATTTTATTTTATATTTGTAGAGACAGCATCTTGCTATGTTGCCCAGGCTGCTCTCGAACTCCTGGCCTCAAGTGATCCTCCCACCTCGGCCTCCCAAAATGCTGGGATTACAGGTGTGAGCCACTGTGCCAGGCCCAGGTTCAATATTTAGGGAACACATGTTTGGCAGAGGATCTCAGGTCTCATGTCACTGCACTCCAGCCTGGGCAACAGTGGGAGTCACCCAGATCCCACCTTGTAGAGTGAGGACAGAATCCCCAAGTCACCCCTTCTAGAAAAAGCAAGTGCTTTGCTTTGGATTCCCTCTAGGGCATTTTTCTGTTTTGTCTTGAAAGAGTCCAGCACTACTTTATTTCTAAACATCAAATTGCTTTTTCAGCCTTACAATCTGAAAATACTTCACAAATGTGTCGTTTCAGATCTAACTTTCTCTGGAAAGTGCTGTTTCCTATCAATGTCTTTCTAAAGCACTGTCGCACCTGGGCCCAGCTCTGGGCAGCCCCTGCAACTCACTCAGTTCATCCTGAGGGTCTAGTACCCAGTTCCCTCCCTATCGTCCTCTGCTGAGGGCTCTGGAGAAGAGAGGAGAAGCAGTCTGTCCACATGGACTCACAGCCACTCTCGGTACTGTGAGCACAGGACACTGGATACAGGGACCTGGTCACCCGGGAGGCAGCGCCAAGCCAGTGGTCACTGCGCAGCAGGTGGCCTTGGCTACCCCATTAGGCTGGAGGGAACCAGGAGGAGCTGGGTCACTGAGGAAACAGGAGGAGCTGGGTCACTGCAGCCCCAGATCCCCAGCACCTGCAGGAAGCGAGGACCACAGATGCCTGTGAAAGACGTCTCCTCTCTGAGAAGGTTCTTCCAAGCATCCAGGAACCACAAGGCCCAGGACGCAGCGAAATGTGCCATGGAGGGAGGCCCAGACACCATCTGTCAGGGCCAGCCTGGACAGGCCCTAGGTGGGCAGGGCCCCTCCACCGCGTGCGGCTGTGTTTTATGGCAGCGAACCGGCTGTTAGGCGTGAACTGCCGACAACCCCTCTTCTAATGAGCCTTTCCATCCTCACTCACGACTCCAAACGTTATTTTAGTCACACTTGGCTGAAGGAACAACAGGAACGCTATTTATCACTTTGAAAGTCTTTATCTACTTAAGATGATGAATGGGGGTGGCAGTCACGCCGCCCCTACAGAGAGCAGCCTTGAGAAGAGGAGTGCCTTGGCCAGGGATGCACTCCAAGCATGGAGCTGGGGAGGCGGAGGCTGTCGTGGCTCATGGCATCTCTAGCATGTTCTGCACCTGTGCCCCATCGGGGACCTCTCAGTGCGGATGCCACCATCCAGGTCCTCAGCACCCTCTCGTGCCACAGAGCACAGAGGTAGGAGATGGGGGAAGTGGGACAGCCCCAGGAGCCCCCCATCGGTCCCCACCTGCAGCAGGATGTCCACTTTGGCTCCACAGAGGATGGGAGGGGCGATTTAAGAACCAACTCACATGTCCTAAACCTTTGCTGCTGACATCCCAGAGACACAGGGCAAGTTCCAAAAAATCCTCCAATCGGAGGATGCCAGGAATAACTCTTGCAAATTCAACTTTGGGGTAGCTTAAACCTATTTATCAATAGCTAATTAATAAAGTCTAAGTCTTTGGATGACAGGATGATTAAACTGGTTTTTAAATAATCCATTTTTAATTAAAATGCTACCCTCTTTTGGCTTCTGGATATATTCAAAAGGAAGCCTTAACAGATCTTGTTTTTAAATATACATTATACGAAGCCAATAATTAGAAGAATTTGTGCTTTTAATTATATCTTAATTATTCTTTGCCTATCGATGCAAAGTTAAATATCCTTTCTTTATGACACCAACACTACTCCCCAAAGCCAGTAGATTGCTAGCAGGAATTGTGTGTGTGAAGCCTGCTCCCGGAGATCCGTGCAGCAGTGACGGTGCCTGTAGGCAACCCATACCCCCGTCCTGGCAGGCGGCAATCTGATCATGGCAAAGCACTGGCTCTGGGCAGCACTCTCCTGGCCCCCACCTTGTAAGAGACACGCTTGAAGACAGAAGTGGTCGTTATGTGATGAGGGTCTGGGCCCCCCTCCTGCATAGCCAGGAGCCAGGAAGTTCCTTGACTTTACTCGCCAGCCTGCACACACTCTGAAGCATCTCGCCAGCGCCACCCACTGAAATTTAGAAAATTCGCACAGTGCCAAGGAGGGCTTGGAGGATGCAGAAGAGGGAGTCACGCCCGTGGATGCCGGGTTTCCTGATGTGCTTTGCTGGGTCCCCGCAGGGAGCCCAGGCATCACACACCTGTCCAGCATACCCCGAGCTCCCTCTTCCAGGACCCACAGCAACACCTATCCCAAGCCCACCCACTTCTAGCACCTTCTATCGGACACCTTCCACACTGACCCTCAACCACCTGCCAGTCTTTAACAGGTCCCCTCCTGGCCCACCTTCCCACCAGGAGGTCATGGCTAGAGGGGTCTCAGTGGACTCCTGGCAGCTGCTGCCCTTCAGGAGCTGGGAGGATGTCCACGCTCCACCTCCTGCTCACCGCCAGTTACCATCCAAAACCACCGTGGGCCAGGCTGACGCCCCTCTCCAGAAATCTCCCTGGGTTCCCCAAGGGGCTTCTCCCACCTCTCACCACCAAAAGCCCTCTGTAGGCAAGTCCCTCCCCACACTTCTACACTGCAGAACTTTCAGCCTGGCACCCTCCCGTTCCCTCCCAGTCTTGAAGGGCACTCCTAGAGGCAGGCCCATGTCACCCATACCCAAGGCTGGCCACAGTGATGAGCACACAGTAGGTCCTCAGTAAACATGTGAAGAAAGGGTAACGGATGGCAGGAACAGCAGGCCTGAACATGCCCAACAATCCAAAGAACATTCACACATACATGCACATATGCATATACGCACACATCCACAGGCAGCCGAAACCCTGTCTGCCCAGGCAGCCCCGAGTGGAGATCTAGCCCTGTGTTCACTCTGCTTCCTCTTTCTGGGCACATATCTTAGCCTCCCTGCAGCTAGGCTGGGACCATAGGACTGACTCTCATCCCAAGAGGAATATGAAATGACATGTGCTGCTTCCAGGCCATGGCTTTTAAGAGTGGGTGTGAATTCTTCATGTTCTCTCTCTTCCTTCTCAGAGGGGGCAGAGTTGGGCAGTGGAAGCAGCCCTGCATCCCTGCTGGAGGAGAGCCACTGGGCCAGCCACAGATGGCAGCATGAGCAAGAAATGAGCCTTTACCGTGCTAAGCCACCGAGATCTGGGTTTCTGTTGTTACCACCCCAAAGGCTACCCTATACTGACTAATACACCTGGGAATTTAGAATACAGCAAAAATGGAATTTTACAATGGGGGGCAAAGACATTACTCCAAAGACAACAGGTCACTTAGTAATTACGCGGGGGCAGAAAAGCCAGAATCCTTGTTTATATATTATTCTTAAATGCAGTTTAGCTCAATTAACGTATTAAATATAAAAGACGAAACCATGTGGATACACAGATATCTATTAAACTATACACAGCAGTGTTTGAAATATTTCATAATTATGCAAAAACTGTTATTTAAAAGAAAGTCATCAGACTATAAAGATAGAAAAAACATGCTGATAACTGGATTATATTGAGGTAGTAGAAAAAGCAATTTCGCAAAGGCATAAACTATACAGGAAAGGACCAACATGACAACTGATATTTACAATTTCTGTACATCAAATTGGGAAAAATATTTCCAACACACAGAACAATAGTACAAAGAGCCCAATTACAGAGCAATAAGTCACCCACAAATGTCCCGATTGCAAATGGGCAAAGGACTGAAAACCCACAAAGATAAATGCCCAAGAAATACTTACAAGAGAAGTTTAAGCTCGTCAGTAATCAAATCAGCAAAAATAAAGACGGGGTATTACTTTTCCCTAATCAGAATGATAAAGGTGAATAATGGAAATAACACAATTAATCTTGAGGCCTGGGTGGGCACACCGGCACTCATGGTTTGGGAGGAGGGGTGTCCTGCACGCTGGCTGAGAACATGGCTTCTGGAGAGAGGCCACCTGGCTCCTCTAAGACCCATCTGTCTACTGTGGGGTCTCTATAATGCAGAGAGGATGCCACACTCCTCTCCGCTCCCCCTCACGGGATTAAATGAGAACATCCCCGGGAAGGACATGGTATCTGCTCACCAGACACTAACCCAGCCCCAGCCGTGAAGGGAGAACAACTTTTCTAGATGGCACTGGGCTTTGGGCATCAACATTTTTCCAGCAATTCCATTTGCAGGAGTTTACCCCAAGGACACGGTCAGTTTGACACCCGAGAGACGGCGAGGTAGGGTTGACGGTCGAAGTGTCGTTCACACTGGGAACCACCTGGCTTCCGGGGGCAGTCTGGGTAAGTGGATTATGATGCAGCCCCAGTGTGCCCCAGTTCACTGCCAGGAAGAGACTTCTGCTGCAAAAACTCTGCCCAGTGTGAGCCCAGCAGATCAAAGCCCGTCTGTCTGTGCCCCAGAGAGACCGGAAGCCTGTTTGCTACAGCAATAAGGTTTTGTGTGCCTCTGCATCAAAGGGTTTTTTTCCTATCTTGTTTATAATGTTCTGTACTGACTGGATTTCCTACTGGCATATGTATCTTTTTATCAGAGTAAAGCTATTTTCATTTTGAAAACACTTTTGGGAAGAAATAAAAGCTACCTGTCAAAGACCTGCTCCCCTCGCCCCAGCCTCGCCCCACTGGCCCCAGGGGGCTTCTTGTCCTGATGTGTTCTGCCCAGTGGACACAGCGCACACTCCCCAAGCACAGCTGCCACCGAGGACGACACTGGGAAGCTGCCACCAGAGGTCGCAAGTGCACGCCGTCTGCCACGCACACAGAGCTCCTTGAAAAACCTTCAGCCTGGCTGAAGGAACCACAGTGTATCTCTGTTTTGATACCATTGTTGTGGACAAAGTAAAAAATAAGCAATCCAGCCAGGTGCTGTGGCTCAGCACTTTGGGAGGCTGAGGCAGGAGGACTGCTTGAGCCCAGGAGGTCGAGGCAGTGAGCTATGATCGCACCACTGCACCCCAGCCTGGGCAACAGAGCAAGATCCTATGAAGGAAGGGAGGAAGGGAGAGAGGAACAGAGAAAGGGAGAGAGGAAGGAAGGAAAGAAGGAAGGAAGGAAGGAAGGGAGGGAGGGAGGGAGGGAGAGAGGGAGGGAGGGAAGGAGGGCAATTCAAGCCCAATTCCTTCCCGAAGGAAGGAAGAGAGGGACGAAAAGAAAGAAAAGCAATTCAAGCCCAATTCCTCCCTGACTCTATCAGGAAACTCTACCATGGGTTGAAATCACCCAAAATCTGAATGTCCAGGTCCCCGCCGGAGGCCAGGGCTGGGGGCCCATCTTCATCATCCCAAAACTCATGTGGGAAATTTCCCCAAGAGGAGACAGAAAACAAAGCAAAGATTTCCTCTCTTCATTCCGCCCAAGACAAAGCATCTGAAATTCCACTCTCGATGTTTCCTTCATTATCTCCCACTTTCTACCTCTCCTTTTTGCCACAGGGGGAAAAATTCTTCCTGGGAAGGACATCCTCGGAGACACTCCCCTCCCAATTAACACCCATCTGGCAGCACCTCTGCCTGAAGATGGGTAGCAAATGCTAGTGGAGGGACCACTCTTTCCTGCTTCCTGGCCTCATGATCAAAATGGGAAGATTAGGCAGGTCGTGGTGGCTCAAGCCTGTAATCCCAGCACTTTAGGAGGCTGAGGCAGGTGGATCACCTGAGGTCAGGAGTTCAAGACCAGCCTGGCCAGTATGGCAAAACCCTGTCTCTACTAAAAATACAAAAATTAGGCAGGTGTGGTGGCAAATGCCTGTAATTCCAGCTTCTCGGGAGGCTGAGGCAGGAGAATCGCTTGAACCTGGGAGGCGGAGGCTGCAGTGAGCTGAGATGGCGACACTGCACTCCAGCCTGGGTAACAGAGCAAGACACCACCTCAAAAAAAAAAAAAAAAAAGGGAAGATTAAACCCAGAGTGACCATTACGAGTCTAAGAGTCATAGGCTGAAGCTAAGAAGTCTTCCCAGGTAAGGGCCACTCTGGGAAGAAAGTGCAGCCCTATCCCTTCCTCCACCCAGAGCTCCTGAGCTGCTCCACTGCACCGGCAGGTTTGGAAGCAAGCTCTGTCGGCAAGGCTCTCTGGTATGCAGCCTGGAGAATCCAAGCCCCTAGAAGGCCTGCCAAGTCCTGCTTCAGGAGCCCACTTAGCCTTCTTCTCTGGAATCAGATTCTTTGGCAAAACCTCTGTCTGCACACGGAGGTATCCCTTTTGCACAGGGAGCTAGAGAAGTCAGAGACTGGTTGGAAAACAGCCTTGCTTGTCTCCTCTGGCTAAACACTCCCCACACGGGGCACCCCACCCTGGGGACCACCCACCCAAGCAAAAGGAGCCCACCCCACCCCAGGGGAACACCGACAGCTCAGGTTTCCACTGCAGACAGGATGGGGCAGAACCCGCAGCTCTGAAGAGCCGATTGAAAAAGCAAATTTCCCTCTGGTGCTCTCACTGGAAAAAAACATGATAGCTCTCTCCCCTGGGAGCAGGAGGAAGCCTCTTTGTCCAGGAGGACTGTGCTGTTCCTTGGAAACGAGCCTGCTGCCATGAACAGATCCAGCAGGTATGGGCAAATCACCTAGAATGCATAAAACATTACGTTCGCCAAATCCCCCTGGACAGAAATCTCGGATTCAGCAAACAGCTCAGATCTGAATGGATTTCCACTCACAGCTTTGAAATCCCCCAATTAAAGGCACAAGCGCATGGCAAAGTTGGAAGCTTTGGCGCTTCCGGGCTCCCAGTACCCACAGCCTGGATGGAGATGGTGGCAGTGACATGGCCTGGGTCACATGCACACGCCTTCCAGAGGCACCTCGGCCTCCTCGGCTATAGCAGCTAGCGGGTGTGGCTGGCCTGGAGCGACAGGCTCCCTCACTGCCATGCTGCCTGCAGCTGGGTTCCCTTGAGTGAAAACACTTTAAGGGAATTGTTTCTATCCCTCCATTCCTGAACAAGCCAGTGGTCCCCAGGGCCCCAGGAGCTACACACCCATTTGCATGTTGTCCCTAATCAACTGCAATCCATGTCAATCAGGGCCTTACTGGTCTCGGGCACAGAACATGCTGGGTGATGCCTCAAAGTGCCAGCCTCCCCAGCAACTTCACTAAGGAAGAGGTTTCTTTATAAAATGTCTGCAGTCTGATGGCTGGCTCTCCTCTCTTTCAGTGTGAGCTGCTGTTTTCTCCTTAAACTGCAGAGCCAGAGCTCTCTTCTCCCTGCCAAGGGGGCACGCCCACTCCACAAACACACAAGGTACACCAAAGCCCTTGAGACACTCTTGGAATAATGATGCCCACTCTGTACCTCCAGGGGACTTAACTAATTTATAAGGCAATTTTAATAATAACCATATATTAATTTTACATCCCCTTTTTTACCTATTTCAGTGGCTATGAACTGTTAGGAATTAGGTAATATATTACAATGGGCTCCTGGGGTCTTTTTATTAACTAATGCCCCATATTTAAAAACCTTCTTGTCAAATGAGAAACATTAAGAAGCGCTGTCCCTTTTATAATTGCTTCTAATAGACTCGATATTCAGGTCCTGGCCTGAACAGAGAGCCCAGGCGATACTTCCTTAAATTGCATTTAACTTTTCATTTTCTTTCTGTCATCGGCCAACCGAATAATTCTGCAAGTGCACAAATGGTCATTTTACCGTGTCGGTCTGTAGCTCTGGAGATGTCTGTAAATCTGCAAGTTAGGAGGACCACTCAGGTCAAGAGATGCACAGCGTTTCTGCCCGGAGTCTGGCCGCAGGAGCAATGCTTGGCCATTTTGGTGTGTGTGTGCAAGCCTATTTATCAAAATATATGCCAGTAAACCACACCCATCTTAAATACCCAGATTGATGACATCTCACAAACGTGCCCCGTGGGTGAAGACCCCAGGACATTTCTTGTCTCCTAGAGGGTTCGCTCACCACCCCTTCTCTTCCCCTCTCCTCCTCTGTCACCAGTTTTGCTTGCTGGGAACTTTATGTCAGTGGGATGGTACGTGCCTTTCTGAGCCTGGCTTCTTTTGCTAGACATCACTTTCAGCGCTGTTCGTGTCCCTGACTGTGGCAACAATCTGCTCGTTTTCACTGCCCGACAGTTCTCCCTGTATGGACACCCACAGTTTACCCACCCGCCATACACAGGCTTGGCATCTCCCCAGCTCTAGACTCCTCCCCCACCTCATGTGTCTCCGGTGCACATGGGGCAGGCAAAGGGGGAGTGTGGGGCGCCAGGCATGGAATGCTTGGTTTTGTGTGGACGCTGCCAGCTGTGTAACGGCGATGGTTCTAGCATCTCTGTTTTCTGCTTTTTTATCCCCCCTGGCAGAGAAGAAACTTTGAAGCTCATCACTTTGTGGGCCTAGGCTGGAGGCATCGGGGCACCTCAGTAGGCCCAGGGGCTACTGGGCATTCCTCCACTGCACCATCCCTGGCAGGGCAGGCGGGAATGGGGTTCTCCTAATGTCAGGATTCCCCGCAGGACGAGGGCGCATCTGGCCTCCCTTGGTCTCGGGGGTGAACTTCACAGAAATGGAAAGTTTATCGTGAATGAGGAAAGGGCAGTAAAACCCAACCCCATTTACTGGGTGGGGAGAAAGCTGCCACCCAGGGTGTCCAAATCAGCTGGGAAAGGTCACGCCCTTTGGGTGGTCACTGGGCCTTGGGAACGGGGCCAGAACCCAGCCAGGTGGAGCAGCAGAAGCCTGGCACATCACACATACGGTCCAGCCCTCCTCGGTCCCTGACCCTCCCTGTTCTGGGAGTGAAGGACTGAGACAGGGCACTCAGGTGTTAAGGTTGGGGGGTGGTGGGGTGGAGGGGGCAGGTACAAACCCCTGAGGACGGCCTGGAGGGAAGGCAGCTGGGTAGACAGCAGCCTCCATGCCCAGGGACTCGGGAAAGATCAAAGTGTGAGCCGGAATGCGATGCCAGAGGAAGACGAGGGATGGAAGAGGCAGAGAACCTTGGGCGCTGGGGAGGCCAAATGAGGTGGCTGAGACGGTAGCTCCCTCATCCATCCGGCATCTCCAGGCAGAGGAGAGCAAAGGCCTGGCCACCCGCGGCTGCCCGAAAGCCACCAGGATGGGATCCTTTGTTTTCATTTCCAAACCCAAAGGCCCCTCGGCTGGGCCGGCGTCTGATCCCGACTCAAAGCCACAGGGAGCCTCAGCTGGGACGCAACCTGAGGGCTTGGAAAATGGAGGACCCAGAGCCAGTTTTAGCAGTTGATGAATAATAAATGTAATTAACATGATGGAAAACAGAAGCTGGAGGCCCGGCTGAGGCCCCAGAGAGTGACTCATCAGCTGCCTCCCTGTCACTTCCGGCTGCCCGGGCCCCTCGGCAGGGACAGGTGCCAGGAGGTGAGGGGCGCCGAGCCCAGACGAAGGACAACTGGGGCAGGTCTGGCTGGGGACAACAGCCCCTCCAGAACCAACCCCCCTCGTTCGGTCCCAGCAGGGCCTGCCCTGGTGCTGGGGTCCCTGGGCCCTGCAGCACGCCTCTCTGGCCTCAGGTGCTGCGCTTGTAAAGTGGGAGTGACAGCCACGCTTTGGCTGTTGTCCTCTGGGCACTGTGTGAGAATCTGCTGATGCTCGTATGGCCGTTAGTTCTCAATCACGACAGGACTGGGTGTCAGAACCTCCCAGGGCCATGGGCAGAGGCCGTGCAGCCCAACCCACGCTCCCATGGCGTCCCTGGATTGGTCACTGGGATGCTCAGGTGAGTCTGAGGCCAGGGGGTGCCCTCCAGGCTCTCAGCAGGTCCTCGGCCTTCCCAGGGCTGTAAACACTGGTGGAAGGTGGGGGCATGGGAGAGGCATACTGGCCTCCAAGAAGCGGTGAGCAGGGAAGGGTGTGGGCAGCTGCTGGAGGAGAATATGGGTCTGAGGTTAGCGCAGCCCAGGGCTCCCTCTGACATCTCTGCCCCCATCTTGGTTTCAGGGCACTGCTTTTGGCCTAGAAGAGCAGAGGAGAAAGAAGCAGAGGAGTGGGAGGAGGAGAGCGGGGAGAAAAGAAGGGAGAAGGGAGGAGAAGGAAGATGGAGGAAGAGGAAGGAGAGGGAGAAAGAGGAGGAAGAGGAGAAGGAAGAGGAAAGAGAAGAGGGAGAGGGAGAGGGAGAGGAGGGAGAGAAGGAGAGGCGAGCAGGAAGAAGAGGAGGAGTGAGAAGAGAAAGAAGCATGGGAGGAAGAGAAGGAATGAGGGTACTCACCAGGCAGCCTTCCCAGCAGGCCCCATGCCCTGCCTAAGAGGCAGGCGGGAGCCGTCCTCAGCATCTCCCAATGGCCGAGTACAGGGGTGCTTCTGCCTCATCATGATGGGCCTGGTCTGAGGGCTCCAGTCCTGCCTGGGCTGCAAGGCTGCATGGCTGCATGGGCTATGAGCCAAGTTCCTGCCTGGCAGGCCGCACTCGAGAGACCCACCCCACTCCCCTGCAGGGGCAGAGGGGCTGGGAGAAGAAGATGTTTAGGTCCTGCCAGGAAGGTCCTCTCACCACAAATTCCACCTTTATGGGAAAATCAATGTTATTACCTCCTCCATCTTCCCACACTTGCTGCTGGTCTAAAGCAATCACCTCATGGGCACTGAGCCAGAACTGAGCCAGCGCTCTGGGGTCACTGGCCTGCCCACCCCTGCCTTCCGGGAGGGCCAGGAAGGGAATTGGTTGGAGAGAGTCAGCATGCCTAGCTCTCTGGGTGCGAAGAGAGGCCCCTGGGGCCGGTTCATTGGGTCCGAGCACCAGCCATGTGATGCCTCGCTCACAGCACTAGCAAGGCAGGCCCCTAGTCCACAGGGAGGAGGGAGATCTTGCTTAACTACAAGAGCGTTAAAGTCCGATGAGGCAGAAGCCACAGGGTTTGATGGAAGACTTCCTGGAGGAGGAGGAAAGAAAAAGTGGGAAATCCAGAGAAGCTGGCACGGAAGAGGAGCAGCAACCAGGCAGAGCAGCCAGTGCTCCAGGGGCCACGGGAGAAGCAAAACAAGTGGGGGTCTCTGAGAACACGGCCCAGGAGCCTAAAGAAGAGACACACCACCCCCAACCACCGGGCTCCGGCCCTCGGAAAAGCTGTGTTGCCTGGCTCTGCACACTACTCTGAATGTTAGTGTCTCAAAACAGTCAACTTTTTCCTTTCAAGAGTCTTCTAAACGATAGTTTAACTACCTCCATCAATTGGCTGGCAATTCCACGAACAAATGGTTCTCTGCTTGTCTCGAAGTTCAACTACTTTTATTTGTCCCCAAGTATTTGGCAGGAACCAGTTGCATCAATAAAGAAATGCCAATTTTCAACAGCCACACGAGATGCAGGGGTTCAGATGGATTTTGTGTCGGCAGACAGGGCGCCTGGAGGAGCTGTTATTAACAGCCAGAGGAGACACGGGGGCAGGCCTGGGAGACAGCACTCCAGAATCAGACTAGATTAAGAAGATACTGTAGGCACCAAGCCTCTAAGCATCATAAATAATGCTAAAATTTTAGACTGTGGTTGAACTCTCTGCTGTCACAATCGTTTAGATCATGATGCGTTTGATGTTTTATAGCAAGATGACAAATATCTTTCTCAACTGCTAAGTGCAGAGAGCCCGTTGGAATAAATCCAACCAAACTGCCCACCACAGGTAAGTAGGTGGTGTCATTAGGAGGAGACTTGGGGGGGCGGTGGTGTCAGAAATGCCTCAGGCAGTGATTTCCAAAGGCACGCCCCGACCGTGCAGTTCAGGCCATTTTTCTCAACCCTCGCCAGTTTCTGGCACATAATCTCATTGTTGGAAGAGGCAGGGTCCAAACTCTGAATAACACATGGAGTCTGACACCCTGGCTCTCCCCTCAGCAACAATGAAGTCACAGCAGAGCCAGAGAAAGGGACAGAAAAAACAATGCAGGAAGGACAATGTGGTGAAATGTCTAACCGTGAAACAGGAGCCGGTGCATGAGAGCCACGGGCAATTCTCCTGGGCTCCTGGAAGTAGCCCTCCAATCACACCAGCTGGCTCCCTGCCCAGACACAGGCTGCAGGGATGTCCAGGAACCCAGCTGGGATCTCAGAGGGCAGACCCAGGGTGCTGGGTTTCTAGCATGGACCCTCAGCTGGGCACAGAGAGAAGAGAGCCACCTGCTTGCTGGGCCCAGAACGACTCCCCACAGTTCTCCCAGGGTACAGGCTGTGCCCACTCTGCAGGGAAAACAATGCCCATCTTACAATCCTGCCCTGCAGGGGGCCCCAGACCAACACAGCTGGCTATCTCTTCTCTGAGCCAGACCAGGGTGACTCTTGTGGTTGCCAGAAAATGCCAACTGCGGGACATCAAGAGAAGAGGCAGGTCCAAGGGTCTCTCTCCCCTGCCCTTTGCCTTATGAGGTCTGATGCCAAGACCTACGTCAGGGCACTCTATGCCCCCAGTCTTGCCAACGGTGAGTGTTTCCACTACCCAGGACTGGAGTGGCCCTGAGGTGATGGGGGGCGGGCAGGGTTCTGCTGGAAGCCGACAGCCCAACCCTGGCAGGGGCAGCTGTCCAGGAGGAAAATATTCTCCCCAAGCTTTCTCCTCCTCGGAGCTGAACTGTGACACCTCAGTACCAACCAATGGCAACCCTGGGACAAAGGAGTGCTTCCTGCCCTTTTGAGACGGAGTCTCATTCTGTCGCCCAGGCTGGAGTGCAGTGGCACGATCTCAGCTCACTGCAACCTCTGCCTCCCGGGTTCATTCAAGAGATTCTCCTGCCTCAGCCTCCTGAGTAGCTGGGATTACAGGCACGCACCACCATGCCCAGTTAATTTTTGTATTTTTAGTAGAGATGGGGTTTTGCCATGTTGGCCAGGTTGGTCTCGAACTCCTAAGCTCAAGTGATCCACCTGCCTTGGCCTCCCAAAGTGCTGGGACATAAGAGACAGGTGGCGTGCCTTCTAGTCAAACAGGGGCCTATGCTCAAGGCCAGGCCAGTGGCACAGTTCTCCTCCCTGGCAGTGCAGAAGTGGCTGCCCAAGGACAGGACATGGAGTCGAGGTTGGAGGGGCTGCTTGAGACGTCATGGACTGTTTACCCCACGTGCTTCCCCTGAGGAGGGAAAAGTGCGACGTGGACAGGGCTCCCATAACCTGGGCACATCTCACATGCATCACAGCCCTGAGGGTGCCCCACTAGCACCTTAGTCCTGTGCCTCCTGGCCTTCCTGCCCCCTGCCTCCCTCTGGGCTGGGCACCTGAGCCGAGGGGTCCTGGCTGTTGGTGGCCCTGACTTCTGGCAGGACCCTGAGGAGCAGCACCAGAGCCTGCAGATCCTGTCCCAGAGGGGCCAGACCTCAGGCATAGGCGGGTCCGAGTAAAGACTCCTCCCCTTTGTGCACATGGGCCTGGGAGTGCGTGGGCCTAGGCCAGGGCGGGCTGGCCTCTGGTGTGGGCTGGCTGTGAGGTTCATTGAGCCTCCCCAGCTGCTCTCACTAGCAGGGCTGCCCGGCAATGCCTCTGGGGCCCAGGTCATTTGCTTTAGCTCCTTGGGAGCTCTCAGCAAAGGAGACACCCCAGGTGGGAAGGATCCGGCTGAGGGATGCCCACCACAGGGGTTTCCTCTAGTGTCTGTGGGTCACACAGCCCAGCACCGTCCTGAAGAGGCTGTCCCCAGCTCGTGTGGGGTGGCTGGCACCCCCGACTGTCAGCCTGTCCTGTGATTAAATGAGATCACAACCTACAGGGTGCTGCCACCCTTAAGGCTGATAAATGCCATTTATAAACTCCCTGGAGCAAATGCCAAACTTTCCAAGGTGGGGTTCCAAGAAAGGTTCTTGTTTTTGTAGAGATGGGGTCTTCCTGTGTTGCCCAGGCTGGGCTCGAACCCCCGGCCTCAAGTGATCTCCCTGCCGTGGACTACCAAAGTACTGGGATTACAGGTGTGAGCCAAGTGTCTGCCAGAGAGGTTCTTAAATGATTTGACACTGGCTTTTCCTCAAGCGTTTCTAAACCTTCTAAATGACAACCACTGGGACCTGCGCAAGACGAGTGATCCTGGCTGGAAATGAACCTCTGAACCTCTCCCCAGATGCTCTTCTGTTCATCCCTCTGCTGCCTCAACTTCCCCAGGCACAAGGGGTCTGGACTCTTCTCCCTGTCTTCCCCACCTCACTCAATAGCAGCTCCATCCTTCTGGCTGCTCAAATTCAGACCCCTGGAGTCATCCTGGACTCTTCCCACAACACCCAGCCCTGATGGGCTGCTGAGTCCTGCTGGCTCTGCCTTCACAACCTACCCAGGGCCTGCCTGCTCCTTCCCCATCCACTCCAACCCCAGGGCTACAGGAGCCTCCTCCTGGGCTCGCTGCTCCTGACCTGGCCCCTCCATCTCTGCTTTGGACAGTAGCCAAACAGCTGGACCGTGGCCCTCCTCTGCTCGGCCCCTCACCTCTCTGGCCCCACCTCCCACCTTCAGTCCTCTCCTCTGCCCGAGTCTCCTGGCTGTTTCTGTTCCCTGACACCCCAGAGCTCAGTCCCTCGCCCACTTTGGGTCTCACTTGACTGTCCGCTCTGTGCAAGGCTTTCAACATCATCCTACTCAACACTGTCAATCACTCCCAGGACTCCCTCTACTGCCGTCCCCGCTTTTATTTTTCCACAGTCCTGGTCACTATTGAATGCACTATGTATTTTACTTCTTTATTTGACTGATTTCCCCTCTAGAGCTTCACAGATGGGATTCCTTCTGTTGTGTCTCCCCAGCTCCTAGAAGAGTGCCTGGCACCTGTTGTTACTCAGCACGTGTGTAATCCGGTGAGGGGCACTGGCAGGCTGGAAATGACGAACACTCACCAGCCAGGTGACAGGGCAGGTCCATGGGCAGCCTGACTTCCCAGGATGGGTGGTGCATGATGGGCACCCATCAGCCTGCTTGGCCGGGAGCAGGGAGAGGATCGGGAGACCCAAGCTGTACTCCAGGCAAACCCTCTGAATGGTCAAATTGGAGTTGTCTGAAATGGACAACCCTACAGGTAATGTTTAGATGGTTCTGGCCCCACCTATGGCATCTGGAAACGATGTCTGATCCTGAAGGGATGATGAGCCTGGTTCTACTATCTCCACCAAGCCCAGGGAGCTCAGCCCTGGCTCTCCAAGGCCTCCTGAGATGGCACCTTCAGAAACACGCCCTGGCATTTAACATCTTTCGGGTGAGGCTGGCCTTTGGCCCTGGGACCACCTGGGAACGGTTGCCACATGCACCTCATTACAACACCAACACGTGCCCCTTATCAGCCAGCCCAGTAGTGCAGACCTGATTCCTCGATAACCACTGGGCTATCAGGCTCACTGGGGTTGGTGACCACATCCCCAGGAAATACGGCCGCCTGCAAGAGTGCACAGTCCCGGGGAGGCCGCCACCTTGCTCAGACCTGCACGTCTTTGCGCCCAGCCAGGCTGAATCCCTGGAGGGCTGAGTGAGGAGCCCACCCAGTCCTCCTTCCCCACCACCAGGGTAGGAGGCAGCCCTGTTCCTTCCCTTCACTCAGGAGCATTTATGAGCGCCTGCTGTATGCCTGACTCTGCCACAGAGAAAACAGTGTTGGGGCTGCAGCAATGGCCCCTGGCTTCCTGGCTGAGGCCGACCTTGACCCAGAGGTGGCTGGGGGATCTGAGCCCCTTCCCAGGCAGTCTCTTTCCACTTCATCAGGCAGAAACTTCTTCCTCACTAGAGCTGGCCTGACTCTGGTAACATGTCATTTGTCATCATAATTCATAATGCAATAGGTATTTGTCCTTTTTATGGGTATTTTAAAACTAGAACTTCTCTGCAAGACAACTGTGCCTTTCCAGTGCCCTGCACTGAGACAGTAACTACCGGGTTGGAAGAAGCAGGTCTCCTTCTGTGGGGCAGAGATCACCATGGAAAAGTGGAGCACAGGCCCTGGGGCCAAAGATCAGGGTTCAAAGTTGGCCTCCCCCACTAGCTTGTGGTGTGATCTTGGACAGGTTACTGAGCCTCTTTGTTCCTCACCTGTAAAAGGGGCTTAATAATAGTCCCTGGGCCTGGCACAGTGGCTCATGCCTGTAATCCCAGCACTTTAGGAGGCCGAGGTGGGTGGATTACCTGAGGTCAGGAGTTCGAGACCAGCCTGACCAACATGGTGAAACCCCATCTCTACTAAAAATATGAAAAATTAGCCGGGCATGGTGGAGGGTGGGGGGCACCTGTAATCCCAGCTACTTGGGAGGCTGAGGCAGAAGAATTGCTTGAACCCGGGAGGCGGAGGTTGCAGTGAGCTGAGATTGCTCCATTGCACTTCAGGCTGGGTGACAGAGTGAGACTCTGTCTCAAAAAAAAAAAAGCCTGGGCGCGGTGGCTCACGCCTATAATCTCAGCACTTTGGGAGGCTGAGGCGGGTAGATCATGAGGTCAGGAGATCAAGACCATCCTGGCTAACACAGTGAAAACCCATCTCTACTAAAAATAAAATAAAAAAAAAAAATTAGCCGGGCGTGGTGGCACACACCTGTAGTCCCAGCTACTCGGGAGGCTGAGGCAGGAGAATAGCTTGAACCTGGGATGCAGAGGTTGCAGTGAGCCGAGATTGTGCCACTGCACTCCAGCCTGGGCAACAGAGCGAGACTCCATCTCAATAAATAAATAAATTAATTAAATAAATAAAAATTTAAAAATAAATAAATAAAATAATGGTCCCCTTACTCAGAGGGTTGCTCTGAGAATTAAACCGATCTTACCTGTCACTTAATTATAGACACGTGCAGGGCCCACACCAGAGGCTGGTATGTGGTCAGGCCTCGGGGAACGTCCACCGGGGCTGTCCACTGGCTCTCCCCACAGAACTGTGCTCCACGGGGGCTGGGCCTTTCCTCCACCGCTGCCTCCCCAGGGCCCAGAACAGCATCTGGCACACAGTAGGTGCATCATAAATGTTTGCTGACAAAACCAATTTCCTAACATTTTTATTACCCACCAAAGAAACTCGGTACCCATCTGCAGTCACTCCTCCCTGCTTTCTCCCCCACGGTCCTGGAAGCTCATTGCCCCATCTCTGTGGACTTGCCTGTTCTTGACATTTTGCACAAATGGAATCACACAGCGTGTGGCTCTCTGACTTCTGTCACTGAACACCATGTTTTCAAGATCTATCGATTCTGTCATATGTCCCTGTGCTTCATTTTAAAAATTACTGAATACTATTCCCTCGTATGGCTAGACTGCACACCACACTTTATTTATCCGTGTAGGAGTTGGTGGACATTTGGATTCTTTTCCACTTTGGGGAGAATGTGAGATTGTAATTTGCCACTCTTGATACATGACTGAACAAGTTAATAAAAAGATATTTAAATAGAAAACCAAAAATTATTATTCATTTAAATTTATTCATAAGATTATATGCTTATTTATGATTCTATTTCCTACATAATTGCTGTTTATAGGTATGAACATAATTGCCATGTACACAATACCATGTGCCATGATAAATGGCAAATTTCTTTAAGGATTTAAATTTAAAAAGAAAACGACATAAAAACAAGTCAAAGATAGGAAATTTTTTGAAAACCCAAATAAAGAAAAGCCTTTTAAACTCTTATTCCAAAAAAAAAAAAAGTTTGCTGAACAAATGAATGGGCTGAAAGAGGAGTGATCTGACAGGCAGGTGCAGGGTGAGGGGGTGCGCGTAATGGGTGTACCATACGCACATGCGCATGCACACAAGCACACAGTGTGTCCTCAGGCAGGGAGGGTGAGAAGAGTGTGTAATGGGTGTACATATCACACACTTGCGAACATGCGCGTGCACACACACACACAGTATCCTCAGGCAGGGTGAGAAGAGTGTGTAATGGGTGTACGTACCACATGCACTTGCATGCATACAAGTGCACGCGCGTGCGCGCGCACACACACACACAGTGTGTCCTCAGGCAGGGAGGGTGAGAAGAGTGTGTAATGGGTGTATATATCACACGCACTTACGTTCGTACATGGGTGCGCGCACACATACAAAGTGTGTCCTCAGGCGGGTAGGGCGAGAAGAGTGTAATGCATGTACATATCACACGCACATGCACACACACACGCTGTATGTCCTCTGGCAGGCAGGGAGAGGGGTGCGTGCAATAAGCGCATACACCACATACATGCATGCATGCTCTCAAGGCTGGGACATGGAACCCAGCCAGGCTGGGACAGAAAGCGCAGCGCCAGCACCCTGGGGATCTCTCTCCATTCAAAATCATGGACTTCATAAAAGCATAGGCTGTGGGCAGAGCCTCAGAGGTTTAAGCAGGAAACAGCGACTGTGAGGCTGGGATGGAAAAGGCAGCGACTGATACAGCCCCGGCTGTGTCCCGGTAAGGGGCCAGGCAGCGGATGCATGCCATGTGGGGCCTGACTTAGTCTAGACACTGGCTCAATGCCACTGGGTGGTGGGGACTCAGGGCCCCTCCTCCTCCCCTTCCACCCCCTGCATCCAATCCACAGGTGAGCGCTCTCAGCTTCACCTCCAAACTCACCCTCCAGCCCCCTCCCTCCCATGGCCAAGCCTACCAGTCTGCCCCCATGGTAGCCTCCTCACTGTCCTCCCCACAGCCACCTCCGTCCACTCACCCCCCAAAGCCAAGCCCCAGCTGGGCCAGGCACTCCCCAGCTCCCAGAAACCACTTAGTGTCTCATGGAGACCTGGCTGTGTGGCCCACTCCTCTCTTACCCGCCACACCCCATCCACCATGTCTCTCTCCACGTGGCAAGTGCCGGAGATCCTCACCCCTCTCGGCCTCAGCTCAAGGGTCACCCCATTTTCCTGGACAACATTTTATCACAGTGTGTAATCCTCCCACTTGTCTGTCTCCTACTTTGGGATGTTGGCTGTGTGTCCAGGCTGAGGCCAGCCCAGCCCTTCAGAAAGCTGGAGGTCACCACAGTGAAGTGCAACGCAGGCTCCAGGACCAACGCCAAGGTTCAAATCCTGCCTCCCCCTTTAGCCCACAGTGTGATGCTGGATGGATTACTCAGCCTCCTCAATGGTCCCATACACAGAGGGTTGCTTCGAGGATTAAATGGATCTTGTCCCTCATTTAACTACACACATGCAGAGGGCCCAGACCAGAGGCTGACACATGGTCAGGGCTCAGGAAATGTCCACTGGGCTGCCTGCTGCCTCGCTGCTGAATCAGCATGTATGAACCTACAGATAAGGCACCAGGCCTCGTTTCTCCAGAGACCAAATGCACTATTTTAATCAGCTCAACAGTGTTCCCCCAAATTTATACATCAAAGCCCCAATTTACAGTGCCTCAGAATGTGACTATTTGGAGACGGTGCTTTAAACAGGTGATTAGGCTAAACTGAGGACATTAGGGCAGGCCTAATCCACTCTGACTGTTGTCCTGATATGAGGACATCTGAGCATATGAGAGAGACCCCAGGGATGCGTGCACACAGAGGAAAGGCCGCATGAGGACATGGCAAGAAGGCGGCAAGCCCAGGAGAGAGGCCTCAGAGAGTAGCAGCCCTGCCGATGCCTTGATCTTGGACTTCCAGCCACCAGAAGGGTGAGAAAACACATTTCTGTTGCTTAGGCCACCAAGGCTGTGGTCTTTTGTGGGGCAGCCCTAGCACACTCACACAGGCACCTTCAGGCCAGAGGGTGGAAGAAAGGACCCCAGATCCACCAGTGAGTGTGTGAACCACCAGGGCCTGCACTGCCCATGACCTGAGCTCTGAACTCGAGTCCCACCAGGCTCAAAGCCAGGACCTCAGAGGACATCAGACAGGTGTGATGAGTCCCTTCCCCCAAGCCAGCTCTGGCCACAGCCTGCTGCCCACCAGGAGCGGCCTGAATTATTCCCCGTGGCAGAAGAGAGAAATCCACGACCTCTAGCCTGCCTGCCCCTGCCCCCACCACCAAGGAAGGGCCGCCTGTCCAAACCACCTGGACCCCGCAGCCTGTTCGGGATTCATTTCTTTCCTCTTCAAAGCATTACAGATTGATTGCCAAGTCTTGCCGTAAATCAAAAGACAGTCACTACTCATTACCTACTTAGAATTCCCCGAGTTCTTCCTGGGAAGCCATTTCTCATCTGTTTGATCTCGGAGCCACCAGCACTATCTCCAGGCACGCCACCCATCACGGCAGCCGCCAGACACTTTTTTCTTCTGGGCTCCTTTCTCAGCACCTAGATGAATTTCTACCTTTCTCCAGCTTTAAGAAGAGCTGCCAAGATAAATGATTCAAAGACTCCAGCTCATGCTGAAAATATATGGACTGCTTAAAGCCTATTATGAATCAGCCAACACTGGGGAGAGACGCACTGGCTGCATCCTCACCGGACGGGTCATCCTGGCTGCTAAGACCTAGACCCACCCGGGCACGTGGACACTCTCTGGAGTCTTTTCACCCGTGGGATCATGACACTTGCCCAGCTTCAACCAGCACCAGGTGCCCATGCCATCCCCAAGCCTCTGCGACCTCTCAGCACAGGGTGGCCGAGAGCCCCACAGTCACATGCTGGCCTAGCAGAAGTGAGGGGTCCCCTGTTTGCACAGTGCATCCAGGAGGAACTTCGGTCCCCAGCCTTGAAGCTGGGACCCCTTTTGCAAAAGCAGCATGCTCTCAGCCACGGCTGCTCACCACCCAGAGGGGAGGGCCCAGCGGGCATCAGGACCCCGCACCGAGGGTGGTGAGGCCTTTCTGCCACCTCTGCTGATAGGGTCCCAGGACCACGGCTTTCCGATGTGCCTCCCACTGTCCAGTCTATGCGCCAGTCTCCACAGCCATCAGCAGGCCCCACGAAGGGCATCTAGCCCCTCTTATCTTGCTGGGATGGACAGTAAGAAAGTAAAACAGCACCAGCAAAGCCCAGCCAGGCTCCGACTCAACCAGCCACCCAGACATTGGCTGTGTGGGGGACTAGACCGCCAGGGCCCTCCAGCAATGAACTGCGGTCACCTTGGGCTGGAGAAGTAGCTATGGTGCACTTCGCCCTAGCTGGGATGCCCAGGAGGGCCACCTGTGCCACCGTGCTGCTTCTGAAGGTTGTGACATGGGAAGAGTTCTATCCCCAGGTGCAGACATGGAGGTCAGCAATCACCACTCACCAATGAGGGGACCCCAAGTGCTGTCACAGGTGCATCCACAAGGCTTGTGGCACACTCATGGAGGGTGGCCCCAGGGGAACACTGCTGCACCAGTGCCGGATGACTGTGGGTGAGGAGGGACACAGACTCATGGACCCTGGGGCTCTGCCTCCACAAAACGGGCTTTTCTAACAAGAGGGTGGAATTCACATGAAGGAAGCTGGCTGGTTCTGTGGGCAGCAGTGACAATGACCCCAGATCCATTTCCCGCTGTCCCCCTGCCAAGTTCCTGCAGGTGCAGGAGCCCGGGATGCATGGCAGTGACAATAGCATTTGTGCAGGCAGGGCAGGGGCGTGCTAGCCCAGGCCAAGTCTGAGGCCTGTCACTGACATGGGATGGAGCCTGTGCCCACCAGCAGCCTGGCTCCTGGGCATCTAGGCCTGTTCAAAACCTGTAACACGGAAGCCAACAGAAATCCACAGCCAGAGGGAGCTGCGAGAGGACGGTGGCTGAGTGGGTGGGGCCAGGCCAGTTTCCCTCCTGCTCAGCCACCCCCAAGATGCTTCCTCACCCTACTCTGGGGCAGCTGAAGAAGGCAGCTGTGGCCAGGCCCATGGCTCCCTCCTGGACAGCTGCCAGAGGAAGCACGAAGACCCACACTGCCCATCCTCCATGCCACAGACAGAGTCCAAACCCTCAGCCTGAACCACAAAGGCAGAGGATGGCCTTGTGCGGGAGGTTCCTGAGGACGCAAACTCAGCTTCACAGCCCCGGAACACAGAGCCTGCTGTCGGAGTATCTAACAGGGATGGGGAGGAGCCTCAACTTTGGTTTTATCATAAATTACCTCCAGGCTTCAAGAGCAGACATGCCTGCCGGCAGGTATGGAGACAGCCCTTCCTGGATGAAACCATTCATGTCATCCACAGAACTCAGAGCTAGGAGGAGAAAAACTCACGGCCCGGAATAATTACTCCCGCAGGGAGCGTCTTTCGCACCAGCAGGTGATAGGTCTGGATGAGGATTTTCTAAAAACCGGCACCAAACCTCACAGCATAATCACTACTGCCTGCCTGTTCTGGGAGCCAAACCTCAATAACTGCTCCTGCGGGGCTGCTCCTCACTAGATGCGCCCAGGACTTGGAGCCACGCCTTCTCACGGGCAGAACCAGACAGGACACAGCCACCTCCGAGGTGGGCGTCTGGTCCACCTGCCCAGCTAAACACCCTCCCATCTACCACGGGCTCCTTCCGGCATGGAAGAACAGGAAAGGCTCCTTTAGAGTGGGGGACCAGCTCCAGAGGCCTGGAGGCACCCACAGGAGTGAAGCTGGCCAGGTAGTGGCATGCAAAACAGAAAAAAAAGTCTTTTTTTTTCCCCAGAGCTCTCCTATTTTTCTTGAAATACATGACCCTTTCGACTATCTTTTTTTTCTCTTTTGATAGAGATGCTGGTATGAGAAGGCTTTCTCATTTATGAAAGAACCAACAGCATGAAAGCCATGAAAAGAGTCGGCTTCAGTGCTCGGGGAGGTGACGGGGAGCGGTGGGGCCTGTGGCGTGCACCCTGAACGAAAGCTATGTAGCAAGCACCACGCTGCTGCTCTGTGGAAATTCCAGCCCACGGTTACCAGCTACTCTGATTTTCAGGAAAAGCCAAAAAAATCTGATTTTTCAAATTTGGTTGACTTCAATGAACCAAAATAAAGTGTTAAAATACCTATTGCCTGGGCCAAACGGAAACTGCGTGTGTACTGGATGTGGCCCAGAGGCCACCAGTATATAAACTCTGGCCTTTCTCTTGCTAGAAAATTCTTCCTGGAGAATGAGAGGTGGGGACCCAGGGTTTCCCCACACTCCCCAACCAAGACCCTGACGGGACAGAGGCCCCCAGAGGCTGCAGTCCACTCTCACAGGGGCCTCGGGGGAAGGCAGGCAGCAAATGGGGGTGTGGCCAAAGCCAACTCCAGGTAGCTGGCCCACTGTAGAGAAGACATCTTCCATGTCCACCGAGGTGACTCGGTACTGTCTGGACCACCTGGTGCAACTCATAGCCCCCTCCTCAGCTCCTCTGGGGTCGCCCATCTTGCACAGTGAACCTACAAGCAACCTAAACCGTTCCTCCCCCTTTCTTCTGGGCCTGAGCAATTTCAGCAGAGCCCCGCATGGTGGGGTCAATCAGACAGCTCTTGGCCAGCTGTGCAGAAAGAGCCAGAGAGGTCTCCTGGGTGAAAAATGAGAGGAAACCTAAAAAGATCCACCAGCCCATGTTTTCTCAGGATCCATGAGGAGAGCTCACCGGAGAAGCCTGCGCCAAAACAGGAAGGGACCAAGCCACAAAATGCACACAAGAAAACAGCAGCAGAACGAGTGTGCAGGGTCACAGCAGGAGAATGGGAGACAGGCTTGAGTTTCTCACTGGTGCGCAAGTGGACATCATGAGAGGAAGCTAACAGCCCCGGATCACATCCAGGAGACCTAGTACGTGAGGAGGAGGAATTTCAAAGATGACCCTGAGATGCAGAAAGCTTTCACTGCTCAGATGAAAGAAGTCGGTCATAGACTATCGCAGGTGCTCACAGGGACCACCCCAGGCGGTGTCCCAATGTGCATGGCTCCGATCCCAGCGGGTGCCACGTTACCTTCTGAAACTGATAAGGAAGCCACAGAGAAACCAGGGAATGAAATCTGTCCGGGGTGACATGATCAATAATTATATCACAGGTCTCAGGTAGCAGGACCCAAGGGGATGAATGCTTGCCTCTGGGAGTGACCAGGGAGGTAACAGACAGGAAGCAGAGCATGTGATGCCCCCGCTTGGGTGCAGGAGTGGCCACTGCCACTGGCCTGTCCACTGTGTGCAGACCAGCCTTGCTGGTGGCCAAGCTGCCTCTGTCTCCGCAGATCTGTCACATGCACCACCTGGTCTCTGTGTTAGGTGTGACTGCTTCTTCTTGACTTTTTATCAGTCTAGGTCAGAACACACCCGATGTGAACTTTATGGCCTGAGTTGCTCGTCCCTCCAGACCCCCCGTGCTGCCTACTGGCTGAAGAACTTGGAGGCTAAGCAAGCCCCGGCTTGTGCCCCTTCCCAAGGAGCCTGCCTTCTCCTGGTCCTCCCAGACAGCTGGCAGGATTCTAAGCCCTGAAGTGCAGCCCCTGCCCAGAAAGGCAGTGAGACAGATCCTCAGGAAATACTGTTACTTCCAAGAATCAATAGTCCTATAAGCATCCAGGGCAAGAAAATGAAAAGTTCCCTGGAAAGAAGGAGGAATATGATTTGCTAAAGATCTCTGGCAACAAAGGAGGGAATGGTTTTATGGAACAAAGAGTCAATACCCACTGAAGCCACCATTCACGCAGGAGACAACAAAAGAACCCTCCAACAAGCAAGGCACTGAAAGTACTGAATCAAAACTTAAAGCACTCACACGAGCAAAGGGAAAACATGGTACAAAATTGAGGTCCACATTGGATTGAGTGAGACAGTGCTCACTAAATAACCGTTGGTAAAATGATGGTAAGACAATGCAAATGTTGAAAATAAAGGAAAAAGAAGTTATATAATAAAAAACTAGAAGGTAGGGGAAAGGGAGATTATAAAGTAAAACTGAGGCAGGAGGCGGGACTTGACTCTGGAGGCGGGGCTCGGACACCAGACCAAATGGAGAACTAGCCAAAACAGGTCCCAGGTAAAAGCAGCTTTCCATCAGACACGCCCACCAGTGCGCCATGTCAGTTTACCATTGTCATGGCAACACCAGGGAGTTACCACCCCTTTCCATAGCAATGACTTGATGAACCAAAAGTTACTAACCCCTCCCTAAAAATGTCTGCATAAACTGCCCCTTACTCTGCATGTAATTAAAAGTGGGTATAAATATGACTGCAAAACCGCCCTGAGCTGCGGCTCTCAGCACACTGCCTGTAGGTAGCCCTGCTCTGCAGGGGTAGTCACGGAGCTGTCACAATGCCTGAACTGTAACACCGCTGCTTTAATAAAGCTGTTTCTTCCTACCCTACTACTGGCTCACCCTTGAATTCTTTCCTGGGTGAAGCCAAGAACCCTCGTGGGATAAGCCCCACTTTAGGGCTTGCCTGCCTTGCATCAAAACTATGCTAAGTTTCTAATTTTTTAAGGAAAATTTTCTAGTTTTTTAAGGAAAATTAGAAACTTAAAATTGTTAAATTGTTAAAATTAGAAAATTAAAATTGTTTAACTTTTGAACATAAGTAGAAAACAGAAATACAGGTCTTTTTTTCTTGATTTAAAGGTGATTCTACATTTAACATGGCATACATATAAAAGTGAGCAAAGGAAATTTCACCAACCTTCCAAAGATAGAAAAACTTTTTTAAAGCCACAAAGGAAAAAACAGAAACCAGAAAACACAAAATAAGGCTGTAGAAAAGAGAACAGATGCTGATTATCACTGTGAATTCAAACAGCTCTCCTAACACGGGGAGGCTCTCCATTTGAACAATGAGTATGCTGCACCTTATAAACAACCTATTTTAAAAAGTTAAAAATACAGGGATAAGCAAAGATATGCCAGGAAAATGTAACAACAACAACAAACATAGCAACACCAGTGTCAGGCAAAGTCAGATTCAAGACATAGATTAAATAGGTTAAAAGGGGTTTCTTGAAAGCTATAAAAAGCAAAATATATAATAAAGACATAACAATCATCAACTTTTATGCCTCAAACAATTTATCATGGAAATGAGTAAGACAAAATCTATCATGAATCACAAAGAATTATAAAACCATCTCTCTAAATCTTAGAGCAAATATACAAAAATAGGGGAGGGGGCAGAGGACTGGAATTAGATAATAAACCTGATTCATGTACACCAAAGTATATATTCTAAAGATAAAAACTAAACACTTTCCAGTATTCCATAAAATACTGACCAAAATATTTTTAAATAAGCCACGAAGAAAAACTTCAAAATTAAAAACCAAAAAGATTCACACCAGCTGCATTCTCTAGCTCCAATGGTGACAGAACTAGCAGCTAAAAACCAAAAGGTCACCAAGAAAAATTCAACCACATCTACTGGGAAATGAAAAGAAATACACTAGGTTAGTTCTTAGGTTCAAAAACAAATCACTCTAGACATACCAGGATATAGCTAAGGCAGTATTCAAAAATAAACTAGCCAAAATCTATTTATTACTAAAGAGGAAAAAATAAAAAATAAACTAAGATTCAACTAAACAAGTTAAAAGACAGATGCGTCAAAACAAGGTTCAGGAAGAGAGGAGAAAGGAATTAATAATAAAACTGGAAATCAATGAGTTTGACCAACAGTAGAACTGAAAAATAAATTTAAGAGCTGATTTTATGAAAAGGCCAATAAAGAAGATAAAACTCTAGCAATTATAATCCATAGAGAAAAAACACAAGTTACATTAGGAATGAGAAAGAAAAAACAGCTACAGATATAAAGGAGATATTTTAAAAACATAAGATTTTAAAAATATATGAGAATAAAATTGGTTACTTGGTTACAATGTAAAATCTTTGATGAAAACTAAGACTTTATAGGAAAACATACTTACTGACTCTAAAAGTGATGAATTTGGACTAAAACAATCCCATAGGAAAATCTGAAAAGTTACCAAAGAAATCTTCCCCAGAGAAACAACAGGGTCTGAGAGATTCAAAGGACTTCATGCCTTCAAGAAACAGCCAAGCCCTATGCTTTCCAAGTTGTTTCAGAAAACAGAAAAACATGGGGGTGCTTCCCAAAACATGATCTCAAAAACCTTGGTCTCAAAATATGGCTAAGAGAGTTAAAGGAAAAAAATATATAGCTCAATTTCCTATTTTGAGCCTGTATAAAATGCTAGTGAAAAAATAACAACAATGGCCAGGCATGGTGGCTCACGCCTATAATCCCGGCACTTCGGGAGGCCGTGGCAGGAGGATCGCTTGAGTCCAGGAGTTGGAGAGGCAATATAATGAGATCCCAAGTCCACAGAAAAATAAAAAATTAGCCAGGCATGGTGGCACGTGCTTCTAGTCCCAGCTACTCCAGAGGCTGAGGGGGGAAGGTCACTTAAGACTGGGAGGTTGAGGTTGCAGTGAACTGTGATTGCACCACTGCCTTCCAGCCTGGGCAGTAGAGCAAAACACTGTCATAAAAAAATAAATAAATAAATAAATAAATAAAAAAGCAACAACAAGCACCATAAGGATGCTTAGTGGATGTCCATCTGCTCCATGTGTTATGCATACAGGCATGCCTCATCTTACCGTGCCTTGCTTTCTTTTTTTAGAAATTGAAGGTTTGTGGCAACCCTGCGTTTAGCAAGCCTACTGGTGCCATTTTTCCAACAGCATGTGTTCACTTTGTGTGTGTCAGCATTTTTTAGCAATAAAGTCTTTTTAAATTATGGCATGTACATTGATTTTTTGAGACATAATGTTATTGCACTCTTAAGAGACTACAGTATACTGCAAACATAACTTTTATATGCACTAGGAAACACGAAAATTTCCAATATTTGCTTTATTGCAGTAGTCTGGAGCTGAAGCCGCAATATCTCTGAGGTATACCTGTATATCAATTCATTGGATCCTCCTAATCCTCCTATGAAGTGCTATTATTTTTTTCCAGATGAGGACACTGAGGTAGTGTTATCAATGTGCCCAAGCTGGTAATCAGCAGAGCTGGGACCCAAACCAAGAACACTAGTCTCTGGGGACCATGCTCTACCCACTCTACTATACTGCCTCCTAAGTCGGCTTCTTAAAGTCCTGATAAACCACAATAAAGTAGTGTGTACTGGGATGCCTCACTGGCTCTGCACCAGGACGTCTGGTCATAAAATTCATCTAAGGTGCACCCAGCACCCAATCTTGGTTTCTAATACCATCCTCCAATAAAAGGAACCGGGCTCCTTAGTGAAATGGCTAACTCTGAGGTTGGAGCAGGGAACAGACAAGATGAGCCCGGTGCAACCCGCAATGCCAGAAAGGAAGGGAATGCTCCAAAACTAAAATGACGGGGTGCATCAGAAAGACACAGGAGTCAAACGAAAGAGCCCTCGATGCCCAAAGCTGGAAGGATTTGAGCATCACAGAATACTGGATTATAAAGTATAAAATAAATATCCATGGGTCTATACAAGTTTTTTAAAAAAGAGGCCAGGCGCAGTGGCTCACACCTGTAATCCCAGCACTTTGGGAGGCTGAGGTGGGAGGATCACTTGAGGGCAAGAGTTTGAGACCAGCCTGGCCAACATGGCAAAACCCTGTCTCTACTAAAAATACAAAAATTAGCTGGGCATGGTGGTGGGCACCTGTAACCCCAGCTACTCGAGCGGCTGAAGCAGGAGAATCATTTGAGCCCAGGACGTGGAGGTCGCAGTGAGCCGAGATTGTACCACTGCACTCCAGCCTCGGTGATGGAGCGAGACTCTGTCTCCAAAAAAGAAAAAAAAAAGAAAGAAAGTACAATTTCAAGTTTAAAAAAAAAAGGTTGAACAAATAAATAAATGAGGGAGAAGAGACAAATGTGTACAGAAGGATCACAAATAGCATAATTCCCATGCCTTAAGTGTGGGTGGCACACAGTGACTGCTTTCCAAGAGTACAGAAGAGTGGGTAGGGGAGTGACTTTACAGTGGAGAAACCTGACAAGCACTACCTTAGCCAGGTGATCAAGGTCAACATCATCAGTGATAAGTCATGCTGATGTGATGTGATGACAATGGCACTTCTGTGCTCTCCTTCCCAGTAACTCATAACTCCTGTCTCGCTGAAAGAAAAACTAAAATTGAAAGGCATTCTTCAAAGTACCTAGCCATACTCCTCGAAAGTGTCAAGGTCATCAAAACCAAGGCAATTCTAAGAAACTGTCACAGCCCAGAGGAGGCTAAGGAGATGTGACAATGGAACGTGATATGGTCTCCCAGATGGGATCCTGGAACAGGAGGAGGGCATTAGGTAAAAGCTAAGGCCGCTGGAATAAAGCATGGACTTAAGATAATAATTAAGTATCAATAACGTGCATCCATGGTAACAAATGTTCTAAAGTAATGTTAATAACTTTACTAATACATAATAGGGAAAATGGGTGCCAGGTACATGGAACTCTCTAATGTTCCTGTGACTTTTCCGTAATCCAAAACTATCCTAAAATAAAAAGTTTACTGATTAAACACACACGTGGAAAAGGCCAAGGGAGATGCTGAAAAGGCAGCTGATAAAATTCGACATCCTTTCCTGATAAAATCTAGTAAGCCAGGAAGACAATGCTACTTCCTTAAACTCGTGATAAATATTTATCTGAAATCAACAGTCAGCATCAGGTTTTTGGCTTTTTTTTCTCTTTTTTTTTTTAAGAGATGGAGTCTCACTCTGTCGCCCAGATGGGAGTGCAGTGGTGTGATCATAGCTAACTGCCGCCTTGGCTTCCTGGGCTCAAGCAATCCTCCTGCCTCAGCCTTCCAAGTAGCTGGGACTATAGGGGTGCGTCACCACACTCAGCTAATTAAAAACATTTTTTTTTTTTTTTTGTAGAGGCAGAGGTCTCCTATGTTGCCCAGGCTGGTCTTGAACTCCTGGCCTCAAGCAATCCTCCTGCCTTGGACTCCCAAAGTGCTGGGACTACAGGCATGAGTGTGTAATTACCATGCCTGGCAATATCAGGTTTAATGGTGAAACACTAGAGGAAAATCCATAAAGATGTCCACAGGGAGCACAGTTCCTTATGATTTCTAATATGATTCTCCAGGAGCAATGCGCCCAGCATTTGAAAAGACAATGCCTATTTATGTTAGTTTTGCCCCAAAATCTCTAGTCCTTCATCGACCAGGTTACACATTTGCAGAAAGCTCTTCTCTCTGGTTCTCTGTCCAGCTTTCTGGCTGGACACCAAGTTGGTTTTCTCCACATGCCCATTCCTCAGTTACTCCTAGAGGCAAAATGAGCCATCCCTGCTTTAAGCCACAGGGTCCCACAGCCTGACCCCGCTGAGAGCCCCAGTTTCATTCTCGGATCCCTGGCTCTGTCGAATCTCTGGTGGAGAGACTCTCCACACTCGCCTGTCCCCAACTCCCTCCCTCATGCCAAGTGGTGTAGACACAGCAGGATGGACGGGCACACAGGACCTGCCCTGCCAGCACAGGGTAGGCTCTGGACTAAGGAATTCTCCACCCAAGACAGCCCTGGCTCTTGGGAAGGGCTCAGCTTAAATCCCCCTAGGCATGGCCAGCCAGGGTGCAGGACTCAAGGACTGCCCTCCTAGGGCTTGGACACGCAGATGGTGTTTCCTGACTGCTCTCATGATAGGCTGGGGCCCGTCTCCAACAGCCAAGCAAGTGCTAGCAGCAAACCTACTCCAAGCCACCTGAGGCAAAGAGGGTGTTTCTCCAGCCCAGACCTGTGTCTGAAGGGGCCCTCTTCTCTGAATGGGCTGTGCCAGTGCCCTCACCCATCAACACAGCCTTCAGAGAAAGGATGTGTCTGCTCAGCGGGTGCAGGGTCCTGCCCACGGACACACAGCTGGTCCCCAGGGCCCATCACATCCATTCTTACCTGGGGGCTCCGGTCTCAGAGGCCGCCTGGACCCAGACTTGTTCCAAACAGTCCTCAAAACTGCAGCACCCTTTGTGGGGGTGGCTAAATGGATGGCAGTCTCACTGATGCCCACATTTGTCCAGGCTGAGAGCAGATTAGGTCAGACTGTGCCTGGATGATGGAGACTGCATCTCCAGGACCTCCCGGAGGAAGACGGGGACCTCCTAGTGACTTCCCTCTCCAGTGAAACCTGCGTCCTCTGCATGCCCTGTGAGGGGCCCCAGCCCTGGTCAGAGACACACAAGGTGTCTCACCATCCACCCAGAGTGCCCGGCAACACAGCCTCGTGTAGCCCCACACGGGAGGAGGACCATGTGGGCACAGGCATCCGAGATACAGTTCTTCAGGAGTCGCTGCACAGGAGGGACTCGGATGAAAAGCAGAGGGTGCCAGGCCGGGCATAGTGGCTTATGCCTAGAATCCCAGCACTGTGGGAGACCAAGGCAGCAGGAATGCTAGAGCTCTGGAGTTCTAGACCAGCCTGGGCAACAAGGCAAAACTCTATCTCTACGAAAAATAAAAAATTAGCTGGGCAAGGTAGTGAGCACCTGTGGTGCCAGTTATTTGGGGGGCTGAGGCGGGAGGATCACTTGAGCCCGGGAGGCAGAGATTGCAGCAAGCAGAGATCGCCCCAGAGGGGCGTCCTCTCTGCGGCCCCACGCCCCCTGCAGTCCTGAGCACTGTGGGCTGGCAGGGATGAGGGGGGCTGCCCACAGACTCTCCCACCTCCTGGCTGTCCTTACTGGAGTCAAAGTTTCTAGTCTTTTTTATTTACTTATTTTGAGATGGAGTCTCGCTCTGTTGCCCAGGCTGGAATGCAGAGGCTCACTGCAACCTCCACCTCCCAGGTTCAAGTGATTCTCCTGCCTCAGCCTCCCAAGTAGCTGGGACTACAGGCGCCCGACACCTAGCCCAGCTAATTTTTTGTATTTTTAGTAGAGACGCGGTTTCACCGCGTTAGCCAGGATGGTCTCGATCTCCTGACTTTGTGATCTGCCTGTCTCGGCCTCCCAAAGTGCTGGAATTACAGGCATGAGCCACCACACCCAACACCCAACCAGTTTCTAGTCTTAAAACAAGAAAACAAACAAACAAGCAAACAAAAAGAGAAAAAAATCTGTCCTGTTTAACAAGAATGCAGCAAGGATTTTGCAACCTGCTCCCAGGCTGGATTCACGGAGAGCTCCAACCCCGCCCCCAGCACCCTCGGCTCGGGTGGCTCTGTATGGGTTGGGGGGCGGGTATGTATGTGGTATGTCAATGGGTGTGGTACATACCGTGTATGTGAGGCATGTGGTGGGTGGCGTGTGTATGGTGTGTAGTGTGTGTATGGGGATGGTGGGTACATGTTGTGTGTGGTGTGTAGCATATGTGGTATGTATGGTGTGGTGTGTGCATATGGCTGTGGTGCATGTGTGTGGTGTGAATGTGTATGGCTGTGGTGTGTGCAGGGTATTGGTGTATGTGGTGTGTGGCTGTATGTGGCATGCGATGTGTGGTGTGTAGGTGAATGTGGCATCAGATGTGTGGTGAGTGTGGTGTGTAGGTGCATGTGGCATGCGATGTGTGGTGTGTGTGGTGTGTAGGTGCATGTGGCATGAGACGTGTGGTATGTAGGTGTGTGTGGCAAGTGATGTATGGTGTGTGTGGTGTGTATGGCGTGTCATATGTATGCAGTATGTGGTATATGTGTGGTGTGTGTATGGTATGTGGTATGTGGGGGTTGTGTGTGGAGGTGTGTATGTGTGGCGTACATGGCGCATGATGTGTATGTGTGGTGTGTGTGTGGTGTGGGGTGTGTGTGTGGTATGTGGAACGAGTGTGGTGTGTGTGTGGTGAGTATGGTGTGGGCGGTGTGTATGTGTGATGTGTGTGGCGTGTGTGTTGTGTGTGGTATGTGGCATGTGTGGTGTGTATGGTGGAGGTCTGTGGTGTGTGGTGTGTGGTATGTGGCATGTGTATGTGCTATGCAGCATGTGTGTTGTGTGAGGTGTACGTAGTGTGTATGGTATGTGTGGGGGTGTGTGAGGTGTGTGTGGTATAGGGCATGTGTGTGGTGTATGTGGAGTGCGCAGGATGTGTGGTATGTGGTGTGTATGGTGTGGCGTGTGTGTCATGTGTGTGGCATCTGGGGCATGTGTCTGGTTGGGGGAGACCCTCAGGTCGTGTCCCCTCTCCCCAGCCCATCTGTACTCGAGGGGCGCTGGGCACACAGAATCACAACTTGCTCCATGTGGCCAAAGAGTAAGAAAAGCACCAAGGCCTTGAATGAGAAGGAGCACAGCTGGGCAAGCCCCTCACTCACAAGGGACTGACGGGGACAGGAGCTGCGATTGAGGGCTGTCGCCTGTGGCAGGAGCGCCCAGAAAAGCCCAGGCCTGTGGAGAAGGGTCTCCAGTGGGTCTTGGCCTGGAAGGGGACGCCACCACACGGTACCCGTCACACTACACAGATCCTCTCCCTTTCCCATGATTCTCATGACCCCCCAGAAACAAAAGGGCCCCAAATGCCCCATTCACAGCTCAGAGAGAAAGAGCATAATTTCAATCAAGGTCTCAGGCTGTCATACACATCGCGTTATTAATCTCCTTGTGGCAAATGTGAGCTGGGACTCGCTTACACAGCCAATGGAGCATGCTCTAAATTAGCGTTTGCAGGTAATGGATCCGGCCGCCAGCCCCACGCCAGCTGGCTACAAGCTGGGTACGCCACTAACATGAAATAATAGGAGGCGGAAAAACGGATGGCCTGATTGGGCCTGCTGTTAGAGCCCAATTTACCCAACACGGACGTCTTATTGGTTTAACACAATTTACTACACCTCAATTGCGGAAAATGATTTTCATTCCTCTGAACCCTCAACTCCCAGGCGCCGCATGAGGGAGGAGTCTTCATAAATGCCATCCGCTCGCTCACTTTTTTTTTTTAACATGCCTTCAAGATTTTATAACAAATCATAGATAATAAAACAAAAACAGATGAGGCTTAGAACTGGAGGTCCAGGCCACCATCGCTTGAGTCCTGGGGTGGGTGGTGTGTCCACCTTCGAGAAAACCAGCCCTGACTCCTGCCCCGAGTCCTGAACTGCAGAGCTCCCTGCCTTCATGCCCAGTGTCCCTGTGCAAGGCTGAAGCCAGCCAGGCCCCCAGCAGAAAGTCCAGCAGGTCTTAAGGATGCCCACCTTGCTCACAGGGTGCTGTCAACACATATAGAAGAGCGGCTGGTTTCCTTTGAACCCAGTGAGTCAGCGATTCACACAGCAGTGCAGCTGCCCCCCAGCCTTCCCTGGTAGCAGTTGAGCCTGTGTTCAAAGAGGCACACCCCCGGGTAACCAAAAACACGGGCTTTAGAAGAGATTTTTATTCCCCGACTAGTTAAGAAAAGAATTCTCAAGTTCCCAGTGACACAGAAGATGGCAGAAAAATCACTTAAAACCTTTTCTTCTCTTTTCCACCCACATACATTTCCCGACACCTACAGTGGGTCAGACACCGCGCAGATAAATGAGACATGGTCCCCAAGAAGGCGCCTCCAGGCTCTCCAGGACAAGGACCACAAAACTGCATCACATAGTGATCCTGCCCTGGAGAGGGAGCTCGAGGCGGAAGAAGTGTCAGCCCACCTCCCTGGCTGCAGATGTCCCCAGGGGCTTCAACCTGGACACTGGCAATCGGGGCGCCTCCTCAAATCTGGCCAGGGATACTCCATGATGTGACACTTTCCCCAGACACCCATCTTCCCACCATCTTCAGAGGGGGTGACCCCTCTCTCCCAACTCGGTCCCCTCAGGAACAGCCTCCATCTCTTGTTCTTCCTGTCTCAGTCCCCGTACCCACCCCCCTGCTCTAAGCTCTCAGGGGCCCACAGATCAGATAGCTTCCCTGGTGGGCACGGTTTCCCCTCCCTATGTCCTGTGGCCTGCAGCAGGTGGGTGCACATGGCAGGTGCACAGCATGGGCAGCAGGTACACACGCTGACCCGATGCCACTCAGCACCCTGTGGGAGGCTGCTCCTGGCTGAGAGCTTCCCGGTGCACTCGGCTGTGGCCTCTGGCTTCGAGCTCATCTCTCCAAGAGCCACTCTGGTCCACGCAGGAGGCGGCAGCAAGGCCAACCCAGGGTCTTGGGATGGGGGTGGAGGGAAGGTGGAGCAGTTTGTAGACAGGGGTGACATCTCCCCAGAGCTCAGGTTCACGACACCCTGCTTCCAACAGCAGCCAAGTACAACATGTGGACTCTGTGTGGATCCTGACTTGAACAAACCAATGCTAAAAAGAGTTTAGGATCAATATGGACTAGATATTCATGACATGAAGGAGTTACGGTTCGTTTGTGATAATGAATGTGATATTGGCATGGTGGTTATGTAAAAGTAGAAAAAAGTTCTCACCAACTGGAATACCTACTGAGGTATTTACAGGTGCTATGACACGATGTCTAGGATTTGGCTTTAAAATGCTCTAGCAAACAAAACTAAACACAAAAACCTGGTGGGGACTTTGGGGTTCATTATACTTTTCTATTATTTTGGATACTGAAATTTCCTGTTTAAAAAAAAAAAAAGACCTCCATTACCTGGAAGGCATGAGGGCTAAGGAACGGCGGGTATTCCAGGTCCCCTGGCCCCTGACCCATAGCCCATGCAGCCCTGTCCCCAGGTTGGGCAGGGTCGGGCTCTGGGACGCTGTGGGGAGGGAGGCTCAGGGCCCCTCCCAGTAGCCACCTTGGGAGCAGGACTGCCTGCAGCACGGGGCTCAAGCAGCCAGCATGCAGAGGACGGCAGGGTTCCACACTGGGCTCAGCTATTCCTGCCCCAATTTCTCAGTTATTTTTATTTGAAGCATCAGCTATGGGTCACTGTGATTCAACTCAAGCTGGGACAGGTTTCCGGGGCAGTGCCAATCTGAGGGACCCACTGTCCAGCCCACCTCGCTGGAGGAGCCCCACAACACACTTCCCATCCCAGATCCTCGGAGCGGGCAGGGGGTCCTGGGAATGCTGGGCCACAGACACCGCACTGCAGAAGGAGACCACGCAGACGCAAGTGCTGGGATAGCTCTGCGAGCCCTTCTCAGCCTCCCCGGCTGACGGAGCTGGGCTTCTGATTAACGTGTGTTACACGGCCCCTCCCAGGATGCCAAGCACCTGGGTCAGGCCATTTTAACCTCCTCCTGGGCGGGGTAAGGAGAGAAGCACAGGCACTGACTGCTCAGAACTCCTTCCAGGGCAAGACCTTAAAAAGACACTCGTCCCCTAAGCACAGCCACAGCGAACTGAAGCATCCAAGCAGCCCACTACGGGCCCCATCCGACCTCGGCCCTGCACCCCACTGATGGCAGGCAGGCCAGCCTGGGAGGGTGATATGGAGCCAGCACCCCCAGGGCCGGGGCTCTGAACAGAGCAGGCCCTGAGGACATCTGGGGTGGACTTGGGCCCTGCAAGGGGGGTAAGGGATACCAGAAACCAAGCTCTCACAAGGACAGGCAGGAAAGGAAAGCCCAGAGTGAGGACATGGGGATGGCAGCCTCTTCAGTGTCACCTCCCCAGAGCTTCCAGGTGGTACCAACACTGGTGGGAGGTCTCGGAATGGGGGCCTCCTGCCCCAGGACACGGGTGGGAAGGGAGCCACTGAGGCAGTTTGGGTCTGACCCAAAGGTTTCCTTGTACCATGGGTGGCAGCACACTGACTTCTGGGTCCTGGAGCGGGGCTGAGCTGGCCAGGCCACACCCGCCACGGCTGGGCAGCCGCCGGAAGCTCCCCGGGTGCCACTGGCTCGCTGCAGCCCTAATAGGAGCAGAAGGCCAATGGAGCTCTCCAGAGCTCTTTATGGGCCATTTAACCATCCCTCAACCCAGTCGCCCGAGCACAGCAGACATAATGGCAGTGTTTACACATAAAAACGGCAAGCTGTTTTACTGGCGGCTTTCAGAGTCATAAGAGCAGCAATTTGGTAAAGTTTCCTGCAAATGGCAGAAACAAAGTCCGAGAGTAGAATGGTGGGGCACTAAACCACCCTGAAAAGTCATCGAAAACCATTACATCAAACACTCTGCCAAGAGCCAGGGAGGCGGGCGCAGTCAGAAGAAAAATAATCTTTGCTTGTGATCCTGAAGCCCTGTTCATAATCTCCGCTCACGGTGTGTGTGCCACTGCGGCGTCTCATCTGTTACTCACTCAGGGAACATAAATTACTGTTTTTTACCTTTTAATTTTACCCGGAGAAACATGGTGGCTTACCTTTCCAACTCATATTCTTTCATTCCCACTTTTACAGCCTTCATTACCTGGAGGACGGATATTAAGCAAAGACATTTGTATTAAGCAGATCAGTAACACAGCGTGATAAATAACATACAGCACTTCTTCAAAAGCACCTCTTCTTTAAAAAGGAAAAAAAGAATGATATGTGCATGCAGTGGTACAGACATGTGACAAATTAGAACTTTTTAAAAGCTCCAAAATCCATACAGTTTATTTAAACTGCTATGAAGCACTTCCATTTGGAAGCCGATAAATGCCATGCCTCAAGTTACAGCTCAGAGGCCACCAGCAGCCCGAGGACAGTGAGGATTTAACCACGAGGTGCTTGGTGAATACTTAATGCCACGAAAGCTATGACGATCACTAAAAGGCCTCCTTTGTTTAACTTTCATAAAACACGGAGAGCATTATCTCGTACAACAGAGTACGCTGCCCATCAATTACCCTTGTCTGTTTCCTAACACAAAACTGCAATGTTCCTGAGCAGACGGTGGGCCATCCTCATCTTTCAAGACATGTGTTTCCTTATTTGGTCTCATTCCTCCAGTAAAGCGGGAAGGTTTGGAAGAGAAATTTTCAGAAAATGGATGATGGTAATCAGTGTGTTTGAACCACAGTTAAGGACAAAAGATTCTTTAAAATGAGCTGAGAACTGCTGGGATATGAAGAAGGAGCACTCTACCCTCCCAGAATTGGGACTTTTTGTTGGATAATTTCCTGAGGATTAGTGTCCACGACTGCATGATGGGCAGGTGCCCTAAGCTGAGGAATTGGGGCAGAGCCCCTTCTGTCCCTGCCCTGTGCCCACCAGGGAACAGAAAAGAGAACAATCACTGTGTAAAACTTCCTACCTCTCACTTGGCCCTCAGGGATTAGAGCCCACCTGGAAACCCTTCATCCTCACGCAGTTCTCTCGCCACACAGCAACACTGCTTTCCCCACTCAACCAGAGCCGGTGCCTGACTTACCTCACGGTGGGCCTCGCTGGAGATTTTATTGGTATAGCGCAGAACCTCCAGCTCCATATCCGTCTTAAACACTCGGCTTCAGAGACAGAAGAACAAAGCAGCAAATCAGTGACTTTCAGGAGGCACTGGCTGGACCCCTCCAGGGAGAGCTCAGGGCCTACCACACCCTGCACAGCCCAGAAGGCGTGTTGTGCAAGGCCAGAGTGGGGCCACCAAGGCCCAGGAGTGACAAGCTCCATGGAACAGTCTAGAAGAAAACCTCTAGCAGGGAGCAGAGCTGCTGCCCACCTTCCCTAACACCAGCCAGCGGGCAGACTGTTTCCAGGGATAAGATCTGGAAGCCGCTGCGGTGGGAGAAGAAGCCTGGTTGCTGCAGCTTGTCACAGGCTGCCTCCCTCAACCTCAGTTTCCCCATGCATGGAAGGGGGATGAAATCTACATGGCATGGCTACTGGGCCATAATCCTAAGCCTGCTGCCTCCCAGGGCTCTGTCCTGTTGGCTGAAGAGGCCTCGTTTCCTCCCCACCCCCACCCACCTGCCCACGGGTGGGTGACAGGGTCAGGTGAAGGGACAGAAGCCATTCCAGTTTCGTGTGTGCTGGTACAAATGTGGAAACAGCTGGACAGCAGACACAGCAGGAGACCAGGAGCAGAGAAGAGGGAGGCAGCCACAGATGAGAGGGTGGTCTACGTGGGCAGGGGAGTCACAATCGAGGGACCCTGCTGTCCCTTCCTGGCTGGGCTGTGCCTCCTGCAACTGGACTCCTGAGGCTTCCAGGTCCTCCCAACAAACTTGTGTTAATTTGCCCAAATGTGGTTAGGTTTCTGGTGGTTGCAATCAATCTCACCCGCGAGTAAGACCCACAGAGAGGAGCCAAATAAGTATTCGTTTTCTACCTCCACCCATTTAAAAAAACCCTGGGTCCGCGGGCACAGAAAGGGCAGCCATGCTGAGGCATTCAGAGCACCGGCCTGGGAGAAAGGCCCTGGGCTCCAGTTCAGCTCCACCCCTTCCCAGCGGTGTGGCCAAGATCCCTACTCTGTGCCTCGGTTTCCCCATCTGAAAAACGGAGATATGAACACTGTTTTCATCATAGGTTTGCAGTGAGAACGGAGTTGGCATTTTTAAAGCACTAAGGACAGTGCCTGGCACACAGTAAGTGCTGTGTACACTTGTTCCAGAAACCAAGCGAAATGCAAAGCCTGCAGACACCACGTCATCCATACTTCCCACCCCAAAGCCAGGTGGAATGCTCTGATGTCCTTAGGTAGGACATCTTGATTCTCATCAAAACATTACTCCCCAGTATTCATGACAGGCCCACAAAGCTAGAGAAATCTCAGCAGGCAAACGCAGCTTCCCTTCACTTTAAATTGCCATTTACTGGGGACCCGCCGCATGGTGGGTCCTGTAAGTTGCAGTGGATGCTGGGTGCACTGCCCAACTCATCCCCTGAGGCCACACCCCTCTACTGGTCTCCTTGATTCGATGGAGGGAGCCAAGACTCAGCTCCCTCGCTTCAGCTGGGGACATCTCTGGGGGCCACTCCAGCACCAAAACTCCCCATGGGAGCAGCTGAGATGCCCTTGTGACAGCATCGCAGCCCAAGCCTGCTCCCTTACTCTGACACACACGCTGATCCTGAGAGCACTCCTCAATACGCTTCCTGCCTACTTGGCTCACAGACTCAGCTTCCCATGGAACCCAACCTAGAACAGGTACTACCTTCCCATTTTACAGATAGCGACACTGAGACTTAACTGAGACAATGTCAAAGAGCGCATGACCCACTCTGTTACACTCACCCCCTTTTTGTTGCACTCCATGCAAAAATTATAGAACCCTACACCCAGACAAACTACTAACCAAATACAGAAGGAAACTAGTCCTTTTTAGACATTCAAAAACTCAGAAATTGGGGAAGTACTTAAGGATGTACTCCAGCAGAGAGAGAAGGGTAGAAGGGTGGGGAGAGGGAGAAAGCACAAGCCAATAAAGAGAAGGAGGTGATATAATGGGATATTTTTAAAAACTGGAGTCAATCCAAAAGTATAATTAGACACTGGACAGCAAGCCTAGAAAGCAATCAGTAGAAATTAGAACTCCAAGTATGTGGCTCTGAGAAAAACATCCACAAAAAGAATGGCATGGATTCCTTTCTGCAGATAAAATCAATAGGAAGCTTAAAGCTCTTAGTGATATGGTGAAGAAGATATGTTTCTTCTCTCAATAAGAAAGACGAAAGGCAAATTAAAACTCTAGGAACAACAAAACAAAACAGATATATGTATGAAGGCTGCATTTATTCACATGGTACCAAAGTAACACCAGGTAGATTACTCTCCAGGTCAAGGGGGAAAATGTAACCCAGTGATCAGTCTTAGCATCACTGATTGTGGGTCAACTAAGTATAATTTGTGTCTGAATGCAGTGCAATAAGAAATACACATCACCTGGGATGTATTCTGGCAAATGTTTTAAACTTCTATGGCTTTAGATCTAACTTCCAGTTTGCAGGAAATATGGGGATAGAAGAACAAGCTAACCACCAACACAAGCGAACAACCATACAAATCCAGAATTGGGATGCTGTGGTACAACTGGTCCAGCCTTTCAGTATCTGGGGGGAAAACCATCACAATACCCAGGTAAGAGATAGAACTATATTGGCCACGTCCAGGATGTCTTATGGACAACTGGAGGAATTCCTGTTTATGTGAACTTTCTAACTTTCAGCAATGCATGTATATATGTTGCTTTTGTACTAATGAAAAAAAAAAAAGAAATAAAAATTTTTTTCTAATAAAAAAACCATTCTTTAAACAGAGAATAAACTAAAATATGGAGTGATTTTGTATAGCTGGTGGTTATATAAGAAAAACAGTCTAGGCCGGGCGCGGTGGCTCAAGCCTGTAATCCCAGCACTTTGGGAGGCCGAGGCGGGCAGATCACGAGGTCAGGAGATCAAGACTATCCTGGCTAACACGGTGAAACCCCATCTCTACTAAAAATACAAAAAATTAGCTGGGCATGGTGGCGGGCGCCTGTAGTCCCAGCTACTCGGGAGGCTGAGGCAGGAGAATGGTGTGAACCCAGGAGGCGGAGCTTGCAGTGAGCCGAGATCACGCCACTGCACTCCAGCCTGGGTGACAGAGCAAGACTCCGTCTCAAAAAAAAAAAAAAAGAAAGAAAGAAAGAAAAAGAAAAACAGTTTATGTGCTCTTGATGCTAGGAGCCTCCTCTTGAGGGAGGCCCTGGGCTTGTGACATCCGACCCAAAGAGAAGGCACTCCCGCCCTGATACATTCCTTAGTTCTGCATAGACCACGGTCACAGTCATCATAGAAACACAGTTTTATGGCTTTTTTTTTTAACCTTTTAGAGTTAATGTCTCCCCCAAACAGGTAAGATTTACTGCTCACATAAATGCAATGGAAATATTACAAACCCTAACAAGGAAACAGCAACAGAAGTCGGGAGGTAAAGACGGGTTGGAGAAAAGATGTGTAGAGAGAGCAGGGCCCCATCTGTGCAGCCTCAGCTCACCCAGGGCAAAGGCAAGATGGGGTGGAAAGTTCACGGAGCAAGAACTAAAGGAGGCTCAAATGTAGGACAAGAAGGCAAATGGAACCCATGGAAGAACCAGCAATAAACATATGATGAAAAGATGGGTGGAGGTGACAGAAATGGCCCAAAGAATTCGCTTTGGGGAGGGGTGGTGTGGAGAGAGATGAGCTGGCAGGAGTCGCTGGTTTCATGATAACCTAGCTTTCCCGTACTGATTTTGTACTAGTGGCTTTTTAAACCAAGGGTACATATTGCTTTGATAGCACTTTAAAAACCTTAATGAGGTGCTGTCCATAATGGTAAATGTCCATTCATTCATTTCACATCACTAATAAGTAAGTGTTAGCTGGATGTACCAGGCACCGGTGATGGAGTGGAGTGAAAGGGCCACGTCCTCCCCTAATGGAGCGCAGAGACCATGGAGAGACGGATACAGCGCGAGTAAACACACAATGATGGAGTGGAAGGAGGGCTGCTAAGAGCAGGAGCCGGGGTGCTATGTGAGGGAATGATGGAGAGGCACGAGCCCTTTCGGTTTGGGGCTGGCCACCCGGTGAGGGAGGTCTGTAATACTGAGAGACCTGGAGAATGGAGGTGGGCAACCCAGCTGAGTCCCTCTGCACAAGGCAGAGAGTTCCCGGTGCACCCCCTGGCCAGCTCCTTTTCCTTTACTAAAGATGACTTACCTGCACCAAAGCTCCCAAAGGCCCACCCGTGACTCTCACAAAGGTATCAATGCAAACACTCTCAAGATCAGCAAAGCTGGAGTGTCTGAGGATGCAGACCAGCACCCACCCCTCTGTTGGGAGCAAAGCTGGGGTGTCTGAGGACGCAGACCAGCACTCGCTCCTCTGTCAAAGGGCACCTCTCCTGCATCTCCTCTTCCTCCTCCTCGGCCTGGCCAAGAGCCCACCTGAGCTGGCCTCCATCGAGGCAGCCCAGACAGAGGCCCCGAGGCAGGCGAGGATGGCGGGAATGCGAGGGGCCTGGTGGCTCCCCCACTCCCATCAGAGGCAGCAAGCCCTTGGGAACTTCAAGGGAGCAGCCCATGCCAGCCAGCCGCTGACTCACACGGTCTCCGTGACGCTGCACAGCTGGGACAGCCAGCCATTTGTCACTGGGAAACGAGGCGGGCACCCTGCAGCGCAGCGACACCTTCCCGAGACCACAGAACCTTCTGGGGAATGTGGAAAAAACAAACCCACAAGCCCAGGGAGACTTTCTCGAATGAACGCCCTTTCTCTCGGCGGAGGCAGCCCTAAAGCCTGACAGCATGCTGTTAATCATCATGAAGGTGTCTCTGATGCCGCCGTATGGCGGGTGCAGTCCCATTATCTGGGACCAGGCACTTGCTCCTGTCCCCAGAGGGTGACAGTTCAGAGCCATGGGCAGGACAGGGGCCAGCAGCTCAGGCTCCCGAGGTCCGAACCCACTTGTGGTCCCTCAGGTGTCATTCCCACTGCCACCCTCTATGACGCCAGCCCGGGGAACCCGCTGTCAGGGAGCAGGTCTCTCTTCTCTCAAATGCAGTGATGATCACTGGGTGACAGCATGGGTGAGGGCCAGGATCTCCCGCCCTCCAACCCCTTACTTTCTCCTGGAGCCGCCCTCTGCCTTCATTCGGCTTAGATCCCTGGCCCTTCTCTATGGCCACTACTGTTGCCAGTGCTGTAGACTCCTCAGCCCTGTGCCCACCCATCCCCACAGGCTCGGCCTGTGCCTGCTCCAGGAGCACTGAGCACTGCCAGGGGAAGTCATGCACTGGCAATGGCCAAGCAAGCCCCAGTCACCTCAGCGAGGCCCCAGCTCTGCCGTGAGCTGCAGGGGAACCCGCAGGAGGGCTATTCTCAACTTCCCGCACCTTCCGAAGATATCTACCCCCAACTTCTGCCCCCCACGGGAGCCGCCACAGATGAATGAATTCCACTCCTACTTCTTGGAGCGCGCAGCAGCCAGCAGATGGGTCCACTCTCACCTCTCCTCCTCCAAACTCCCAGGACTCCCCATCTGTCCTCTCCTCCCTCCCTTTTAAGGGAAGGTGCATCCTCTTCCCAAGCTCACACGCCCACCTGGGGATCCCAGCTCCAACCTCCACCAGCTCCTGCTAGAAGCTCCATGGCCACCGAAACAGCTTCCTCTACAAGTGAAGAATCCTCCCCTCACTTGCCTCCTTCTCCTCTTCCAGTCAAGCCTCCCCTACGCTGCCTGCCAGGCCCTAACCGTCCTTGCCTTGGGGGAGGAGGGAAAGCAGCTTTTGCGTTCTATTTTGAACTTCCTCCCCATCTCCTCCCCTCTCCTCTCCCCTCTTTGCTTCTCTCTTCACCCCCATCATGCTGCCAGCCCTCCCCTCCCCTTCTCGCAGAAGGCGTGGTTCCCTCTGCCTCTCCCTGCTTTCCCTCTGCACCCACCTGTGGGTCCTGGGTGCCCTGGAGCTCAGTGTGCGAGAACCCCCACCGTGCCCCCATCTCAATGAGGCTCTGCCATCTTCCTGCTGCTTCAGCAGAGACCCGGGCGTCATCCTAGACGCCCTCTCCCATCACATCCATCCGCTGCTTCCCACATCCAATTCACGGCCAAGGGCTGCCACTCCCCCTCCACGACCTCCCTCAGGCCCCCCCATTTCTCTCTATCCAGCCCCAGCCTCTCTGGCCTGGACAAGCCCTCCAGCCTCTAGGCCTCCAGCCCACCTGCCCTGATAGCAGCTGGGGATCTTTAGGAAATGCAAACCTTATCAGGCTTCCCCTCGTTTCCAGTGGCCTTTAGGTTTCCAGTGGCCTCAGGATGAAGGTAAACCTCTAGTAGAGCACAACTCACGTAGGTGCAGGCCATCTCCACCACTCACCCCATGTGCTCTCCCAGCCTCCTCCCTCCTCTGCCTGGAACTTGTTCCTGCCCACCTCTAGCACCCACCCGAAACACACTTTTCTAGGGGTCGGAGACGACCCCCTTCTACCCTCCCACCCTGGGCTAAATCCCTTCTCTGTGTTCCCTGGGTAGTCTAGACGAATCCTCAGAAACCTCTAACACTTAGAATTCTTTTAATTTAAGTCTCTTCTGAAAGGCCATATATAGTCCTGGAAGACAGGGTCCCAGCACCGGCACAGACACACAGTAACTATGTGTCATCAAAGCTACCTGTCCTTCCACCGAAGCCAGACAACAGCTCATTTCCAACAAGGAGAGCTGATGGCCTCATTTCAAAGAGAAAAGGAGGCCTCTCCACCCAACCTTCCCCACCCCATGGCAGCATGGGATGTTGCCAAACCGGGCACAGCAGGGGCAAAGCCTCCTCAGGCTCCAGCAGCCCAAAATCCCTCTGCCACTGCCTCGTCCCAGTCCCACAGGTAGGAAGAGCAGCCCAGGGTGGACCACAGGAGCCCACACTCCCAGGCTCTCCACTCTGCCTCCCACTGCAGCTGGGGCATCCTCCTATGGTGATGAGCAGGAAGAGGTCGTAATCTGCCAAAGGAGAAAGGACCACATCCTCCTCCCAGCAGAGGTGATAATCATCTCTGCCATCGAGGCCCAGGGACCTACTTGCTTTTCTAATCTTACTTTGGGGGAAGTGGAAAAAAAAAATCAAACTGAACCAGGGCAAATTATTCTACAAAGGCAGTTCTCTGATGAAACCAGCCTGGCTGGGCTTTGGCCTGGCCCAATTGAATCTATGCTTAAATAGACGTCTGCTGTGTGCTGGCTTAACCAATTATCCGTAGGGCACTCTGGGCCTGAAGTCTCACCCAGGCGCCAGGCATAGAGGGATGCACCCCAGCCTGGCCTGGTTATCTCACAGCACAAACACCAGAAACTGTTTTTAAGATAACTGTAGAAAAGAACAGGATTTTCCAGCATTCCGCGCAGTTTCTCCCTGTCTTCAGGAGGAATGCACCACCCTGAATATGATGAGCCCATTTCCAGTGTTCTTGAGCATGAACAGATGAGGACAAAAGGGTGCCCCAGCCTCCGTGGGTCCACCGGCCCCTGGAGTGAGAGATGCATGGTCACACTCAGTCCCAGCCTTGTCTGCCCCAGGGGATGTGTGGGGTGGTTGTTAGAAGTATGATCTACAAGGCTGACAGCCCCATGAGAGGACAAAGGCCACCTCCTCCAGGAAGCAACAGAGAATCATGGCTCAGGACAGGATGACAAAGATGCCACCTAAGAAGTTTGAGCAGGCCAGGCATGGTGGCTCTCACTTGTAATCCCGGCACCTTGGGAGGCCAAGGCTAGAGGATCTAAGGCCAAGGCTGAGCACAGGAATTCGAGGCCAGCCTGGGCATCACAGTGATAACCTGTGTCTACAAAACATTTAAAAATCAGCCAGATGGCCAGGCACAGTGGCTCATGCCTGTAATCCCGGCACTTTGGGAGGCCGAGGCAGGTGGATCACCTGAGGTCGGAAGTTCAAGACCAGCCTGACCAACATGCAGGAACCCCGTCTCTACTAAAAATACAAAAGTAGCCGGGCATGGTGGCACATGCCTGTAATCCCAGCTACTCGGGAGGCTGAGGCAGAAGAGTCGCTTGAACCTGGGAGGCGGAAGTTGCAGTGAGCCAAGATTGAGCCATTGCACTCCAGCCTGGGCAACAAGAACAAAACTCCATCTCAAAAAAAAAAAAAAAAATCAGCTAGGCATGGGAGTGTGCACCTGTAGTCTCAGCTACTCGGGAGGCTGAGGCGGGAGGATGACCTGAGCCTGGGAGTCCGAGGTTGTAGTGAGCCATGATTACAACACTGCATTCCAGCCTGGGCAAGAGCATAAGACCCTGTCTCTAAAAAGAGAACTTGGGGCAGAAGTCAGCTCAGGCTCTTTGGCCAGGAAAAAACGTGCCAGGAAATGTGGGCACTGCACAGCCTCACAGAGAGTCCCCAGCTCATGGCCACGCTGTGGGCATCAACATGCCTGGAGGCTGCTCAAACAGACAGGGAGGCTGGGAGGCAAAGTCTCCTACCCCATGTAGGCCTACTCTCCTGCTACAGACCAAAAATCACAAAAAGTAGATGAGGCAAAGATGTACTTGTGCAACCTTATTTTTTTCCTTAAACATTCACAAGTCACAGCACTGCCTCTGAGCATTAAACCCTGAATTAAGATATCAATTAACTGAGATCTAAACACTCCACTGATTAAAATAGTAGTGAGACAAGGATGAAGGATTTCCAAAATCAGCCTCTAAGCATCAAAGTGGCACCGTGTTGAACAAAACTCATTTAAAGGGCCAGGAATTCCATCTCTCCTGGAGATGGATGTGCAGGGAATGATTCTATTGGAGCCAGGTGGGCGGGAATTCAACACCACTGAACCCGCAACAACTATCCCTCCCACACTCCATGACCCAGTGATGCAAAGGATAAAATCCCACAAGGGGAAGGACAGAAAGAAAAGAGCTGGTTGGAATTACATATCCTCTGGGGAATCAATCAATAAGTCCTCTCCAAGAAACCAAAGCCATGAAGAAAATGATGGTTTAGCTCAGCTGCGAGCTGAGTGTGCCTGAAACCTAGCCAGGGACGGGCAGACGTGGGGCAGAGGTCCACCTCCACGCTGGACCAGGGCCTGGCCACGCCTTTCCTTCTGTCTGATGCTCCCACATCCATCTCCTGCCTCCTGGCGCGCAGTGACTCAAGTTCTCACTCTCCCCTAGGAGTCCCACTTCCCATGTGGCTTTCTTGCTGGCGTAGGGTTAAATGCCTATTCATGAGGACACAAAGATGAGCAATGCTACTGGAATCCTTTTCACAGACACACCGAGAATTTAGGTCATCATCTACGTATCTTTTCTAATTTGGGACATGTTACCCAGGATGTAGAATCCTGGGACACGTCTACCTGTGAACCAACCACAGCTTCCCATCTCCTGTGCACACAGAGAGGCCGGGGAGCAGAAATAGACATGTTACCCACCGCCTGATTAATGCATGCAGGACACTTTTCGTTCTGTGTAATTAACAGCTCTAAAACCGGCAGATGACTCAATTTAACACAGTCTCGCTTAAAACCCAAGAAGGCACACGGCAATTGCTGACACGCCTGCTCTCCCCTGACGCTTCCAGAGGTACTTAACCGAAACCCAAGGCACTGAGCTATCAGGTGGTATGAAAGCATCTCCTTTTATTTCCCACCTTGCCTTCAGATCAATTTAATCATCTGCAAAACAGTAAAGCAGAACCACAGCCTAAATTATGGAAGTAAGATGCCTGCTCTTTTGAAGTTTCAACTTTTGACCTTCACATTCAAACTGCACTACCCAGCACAAGAAAAGAAATTATCCAGTTATGATCTCATGTTTGTGGGGAAGAGTATGATTATAGAGGAATTTACAGGCAATCAAAAAGGCGCTCCTTGAGAGAATGGAAAACAATAAAACAGTCACAGGAAGGAAATGAATGACAGCCGAACAAAAATGAGAAAGCGAGTTTGCCTGTGCTAGGAGAGGCTGCTTGCTGCCTTCCAATCAAGACAGGCTCCTGAGGAACCCTGTGTCCCCAGCCAAGCTGCTAGCAGAAGCTGGGGTGCATGTGGGTGCCAAGGAAGCCAAGCATCTGCCCCCTGGTTCTCCACCCTACTATACCCTGGCCCCAGCACAAGACCATTCCAAGGGTGCTGGACCGTACGTTCAGTGGGACCAGCAGTGAGCTGGGAGGATGACTGACACTCAGGCAGCCCCACTCCACGGGTGCCCCCTCAGAGCTGCAAGGAGCAGTGCAAGAGCCTGGGATCAACAGTCTGGGCTCAACTGGCATTTTCTTGGGCAAGTCACTAACTTCCCTGTACCTCAGTTTCTTCATCTGTAGCATGGAAATAACTAGAACACTTACCTAATACACCACAAATATCTTTAAATACAGTGACATGTGTTAAGTGCTTAGCACAACACCTTGTACACATGGAGTCTCAACAGGTGACAGTCAGTGTTATCAAGATGTGCCAGGCTGCAGCCTGGCTAACATGATGAAACCCCATCTCTACTAAAAATGCAAAAAGTAGCCGGGCATGGTGGTGCGCACCTGTAGTGGGGAGGCGGGGGCTGAGGCACAAGAATCACGTGAACCCGGGAGGCGGAGGTTGCAGTGAGCCAAGATCATGCCATTGTACTCCAGCCTGGGTGACAGAGCAAGACTTCATCTCAAAAAAAAAGTGCCAGGCTGGGTGCGGTGGCTCACGCCTATAATCCCAACACTTTGGGAGGCTGAGGTAGGAGGATCTCTTAAGGCCAGGAGTTCGAGGCCAGCCTGGGCAACACAGGAGACCCCATCTCTACAAAAAACAGAAAAATTAGCTGGATGTGGTGGCGTGTACCTGGAGTCACAGCTACTTGGAAGGCTGAGGTGGGAGGATCGCCTGAGCCCAGGAGGTCAAGGCTGCAGCAAGCTACGATCATGCCACTGTACTCCAGCCTGAGAGACAAAGTGAGATCCTGTCTCTTAAAAAAAAAAAAAAAAAGACATGCCAGTCCTTCACTTATACTCTCATTCAATCTTTGAGCCTACTTTGCAGGTGAGGAAACTGAGGCTGGGTGAATCTTCACATCCGTACCATGAGTTAGGTTTCACCACATCTCCGTTTTACAGATCAAGAAGCTGAGGCTCAGAAAAGTCAAGTGACTTCCTGAGCAGGGAGGAGATAGGGCTAGAATTCACATGTGCCCGAGTTGATGGTTTCCTGTTATCCCCATAACCCTCCCACAGAGAGAGGGTGGTGAAGGCATTCAAGACCTAAGGGCAAAAGATGAGTCCCTGAGTCGTAATCTAACATCATGGAAAGCCCACCCATTCCTGTTAATAAAGGACCCGCCCGCTGCCCCACACAGCATCCTTCCTTCAGTGCCCCAGGGAGTGTGATGATCATGACTACAGTGGACCCACCGAGAGTGACTGGGACCCAGGCTATTAAAACATACCCCTGAGCAGCAGGGACAATGTGACATTTCTAAAATGGTTCTACTGCCATCAACTTTCTGCTGCTTGCTTTAATAAAGTTGGGAGGTATGCTTAGGAACGCGGGCTCGACCTCAAAGCCTCGAAAATGTCACTTGAATTAAAGCATGCTTCTTTGAAAGTGACGAATTAATGACTTATCCCTTAGGAGATGGCAGGAGTACAGGACCCAGCCATGGTCTCCAAGGCACCCAAGCTGTAAGTGACCACAAGGGAATGTCCCATGTGAGGCAGTATAAGTGGACATGGCCCATTCTAAGTACCCAGGATTTATTCTTCTGCCAAATGGGGGCTACAGATAGGACAGGCTCTCTGGTTTCTCTTCAGATCCTATGAATCATTTGCCTTTTACGGACAAGTCAGGCATTTGTTACTTTATTTTTTTGAGACAAGGTCTCGCTCTGTCACTCAGGCTGGAGTATGGTAGCATAATCATGGCTCACTGCAGCCTCGACCTCCTGGGCTCAAGCGATCCTCCTGCCTCAGCCTCCCAAGAAGCTAGGACTATAGGAGTCCAATGCCGTGTTAGGCTAATTTTTTAAAATTTTGTTTTTGTAGAGATGGGATCTCTCTATGTTGCTCAGGCTGGTCTCAAACTCCCGGCCTCAAGTGATTCTCTCGTGTTTGTCTCCCAAAGTGCTGGGATTACAGGCGTGAGCCACCAGCTTGGCTTTGTTACTTTATAAAAACAAGAGGTGGCTGTGAACTTGAAGAACACCAGCCCTGTCTTCACAGAGTGTGGCTGTGAGGGGCGTCGGACCCACTGGCCTCTAACCCCGAGGGTCAGTATTAGCGCCTGTCATCGGCCCTCAGTTCTCCACCCCCAGCTCAGCCCTCTCTCCCACTGGCACCTACCTCAGACTCAACACACCCCAAGTCCCAGATCTGCCCCGGTATCTGGCCCTCCCAGTTGTCCCCATCTCAGTGACACACCACCTAGCTATGCGGGACAAAAACCTGGAGTCACCTTCAACTCTGCCCTTCACTCACGCATCATAACCGGTCCCTCCCAGGAGCTTTCCCTCTTGACTGCGGCTTCACCACTCAGATCTGTCCTGCCACAGCCCTCCACTGCCAGCTGGACCCCTGCAACAGCCTCCTAACTTGCCACCTGTTCCCACACTTGCCCTACAGCTGGGTCTCTAGTCTGAGGCCAAAATGATTTCTTATTTTTTATTTTATTTTTTTTGAGACAGAGTCTTGCTCTGTCGCCCAGGCTGGAGTACAGTGGCGTGATCTCAGCTCACTGCAACCTCCGCTTCCCAGGTTCACACCATTCTCCTGCCTCAGTCTCCCTAAGAGCTGGGACTACAGGTGCCCGCCACCATGCCCTGCTAATTTTTGGTATTTTTAGTAGAGACGGGGTTTCACTGTGTTAGCCAGGATGGTCTCGATCTCCTGACCTCATGATCCACCCACCTCGGCCTCCCAAAGTGCTGGGATTATAGGCCTGAGCCACCTCACCCGGCTCGAAATGATTTTTTAAATGCAAACCCAATTCTACCATTCTCCTGCTTAAACCCTTCAAGGGTTTCCTGTGTTTCCCATTCCTCTCAAGAAAAAGTCAAAACGGACACCAAGGCCCACCCAGCCACTGCCTGTCTCTCCAACTGTTCTCGGGCTCTGCTCCCTGGCTCCGCACTGGCCACACAGAGCCACCACCCTTTCTCTTGTTTCTGTGAACGAGTGGTCCTTTTGCCAGGGTCACTCTCTCCTACTCCTTCTTTTTCCACAGCCGATGCCCATTCATCTTTCAGGATACCTCCTTGGTCCCAAGCTCTAAGACGAGGCGAGTCAGAGCTCCCAGCTAGACAGGAAAGAAAATGTGATCATACAGACTTAGGGTCATATGTGAGAAGGCTACACATCTCCTTGGCAAGTGATGATGTGGCAAAGGCCTGGCCTTGCCTCTCTTCTACATTCTCAGTACGTGCAGCCATCCATCAAAGAAAAAATGCCTTGCTGCTGTCAAAGAGCAATGCGATGGCTTAGGAAGAAAACTGGTGGCACACTGGGATGCGAGGGCCACCTCCAGGGCCCACAGAGGTGGCGCCCAGCATAAGACAGCTCACTTTGTAGGCAGCTAGTAGAAGCCAGTTGTGCAGCAGGTAAGGGCTAACAGTATCACCATGGGAAGGAAGAAGGTGACAGAAGAATGCGTAGAACAGAATGCCACCTTTGTCAAGACACATGCGTGACATGTTTACCTTTCTGGCAATGGGATTATGTGTTATGTTTATTTCTGCCCTTTTCACCATCTACCTCGTGCTGGAGCTATCTAAGTTTGGTTTACTTATGGTAGGAGTTTTTGTAAGATTGCAAATAAGGGAAATAAGTTTAACTGATGTTTAAGTGACTCACGTCCTTTCAAAAAAAGTACGGCCAGTCAACCAACAACAAAGAACAAGCAAAACAGAAAAGGCTATGGGAGAAGGTTCTGGGAATCTGCTTTCTGAGGGGCTCTCTGAGACGGTGTGGGCAGGAACAACAGGGCATTCCATCCCCATGAGCCGAGCACAACAAACAGGCAAGGTGACCACAGGCCGTACTCACCACTCAACGATCTCTGGGTGAAGAATGGTATTGTTGACTTCGAACCTGTAGGGCGAAAAGAAATCAAGCCCATTAATCCAACGGTCTGTCATGTCCCAGCAAGAACTACCTCATTCAAGACATGCACACGTGATGCATTAAAGAGGGTCCCACACTTTAATTTCATGACTTCCTGACCCACAAAAGGCCTGTTGATCCCTTCCTTCAGCAGACCTGGCAGCCTGGGCCATGTCCTCCAAATGCAGTCAGTTGGAGAGCAAGCTTTATGGCTACAAAACACCAGCCCTGATCCCCACTAGGCAGACAGCATAGTCTCTTGTGTCAAGTATATCAAAATACACACAATAGGAGTACCAGAAGGAAAGAATGCAGAGAAAGCAAAAACCTCACCAATTTGATGAAAAACATTAATCTACATATCCATAAAGCTCCATGAACTCCAAGTAGGATAAATTCAAAGATATCCACACCTAGACACATGATAATCAAACTGTCAAAAAAGTATCTTGAAAGCAGCAAGAGAAAAGTATTAATAATTCATCACTTACAAGGGATCCTCAATTAGATTATTAGCTGATTTCTCATCAAAACCTATGGTGGAGAGAAGGCAGTGGGATGACATTTAAAGTGCTGAAAGATTAAAAAAAAAAGTCCACCAAGAATTCCATATCCAGCAAAGCCATTATTAATAAATGAGGGAGAACTACAACATCCCAGATAAGCAAAACCCAAGAGAATTTATTACTAGCAGACCTACCCTGAAAGAAAAACCAAAGGGAATTGTTTCAAATAAAATGAAAAGGTACTGCAGAGTAACCTGAATCCACGTGAAGAGAAAGAGAGCACTGGCAATGGTAACCATACAGATAAATATAAAGACAGTATAAATGTATTTTTTGTTTGTAACTCCTTTTCTCTCCTGACTTAAAAGACAACTGAATAAAGCGATAATTGTAAATCTGTATTGATAAGTACAAAATGAATAAAGACGCAATCCACATGCCATAACAGCACAAAAGAGAATGAGGAAAAGGAGACATATAGGGGCAAGCTTTTGCATGCTATTTAAATTAAGCTGACATTAATGCAAACTAGATTTTCAAGTTTAAGTAGTCAATTGTAATCCCCATAATCATTAAGAAAACAGCTAAAACATACAGAAAAGGAAATGAGAAACCAAAATGTGACAATAAAAAAAAAATCAAACACAAAAAAATGTAATGGAGAAAGTGAGGAACAAAAATGTTATAAGACATATAGAAAACTAATTTTAAAATGGTAGAGTTTTTCCTTATCAATAATTACTTTAGATGTAAATGGATTAAATTCTCCAATTACAAGGCAAGGATTGGCGAATGAATTCTTTTTTTTTTTTTAATTTTAAGTTCAGGGGTACATGTGCAGGTTTCTTACATAGGTAAACTTGTGTAATGGGGCTTTGTTGTACAGATTATTCTGCCACCTAGGTATTAAGTCTAGTGCCCATTAGTTATTTTGCTATTTTTCCTGATCCTCTTCCTCCTCCCACCCTCCACCTTCCAATAGGCCCCAGTGTGTGTTGTCGCCCTCTATGTGTCCATGTGTTCTCATCATTTAGCTCCCACTTGTAAGTGAGAACATGTGGCATTTGGTTTTCTGTTCCTGCATTAGTTTGCTGAGGATAACAGCCTCCAGCTCCATCCATGTTCTTGCAAAGGACATGATCTCATTCTTTTTTATGGTTGCATAGTATTCCATGGTGCATACCATACCACATTTTCTTTATCCAGTCTACCACTGATGGGCATTTAGGTTGATTCCATGTGTTTGCTATTGTGAATAGTGCTGCAGCGAACATACACATGCATGTGTTGTTAGAACAATTTATATTCCTTTGGGTGTATACTCAGTAACGGGATTGCTGGGTTGAATGGTATTTCTGTTTTTAGGTCTTTGCGGAATTGCCACGCTGTCTTCCACAATGGTTTAACTAATTTACACTCCCACCACCAGTGTGTAAGTGTTCCTTTTTCTCTGCAACCTTGCCAGCATCTGTTACTTTTTGACTTTTTAATAAAAGCCAGACAGAATGATTTTTTAAAATATGATCCAATTATATGCTCTAAAGAGACACACTTTAGATTCAAAGACACAAATAGGTTGAAAGTAAAATGATGAGAAACGATATGCTACACAAACAGAAACGAAAGTGGAACTAGAATGGCTATACTAACATCAGACAAAATAAGCCCTAAGATACAAAGTTTTACTAAAGACAAAGAAGGGCATTTTATAACGATAATTAGGTCAATCCACAAAGAAGATAAAACAATTACAAATATATGCACATAACAGAGCCCTAAGATGTATGTATCAAAAACTAACAAAATTGGAGAGAGAAACTGACAATAGTTGGAGACGTCAATAATCTACTTTCGGTAATGAATAAAACAATTAGACAGAAGATTAAAAAGGAAACAGAAGACCTGAACAAAAACGCGGTGGCTCACGCCTGTAATCGCAGCACTTTGGGAGGCCAAGGCGGGTGGATCACGAGGTCAGGAGATCCAGACCATCCTGGCCAATATGGTGAAAACCCGTCTCTACTGAAAACACAAAAATTAGCAGAGCATGGTGGTGAGCGCCTGTAATCCCAGCTACTCAGGAGGCTGAGGCAAGAGAATCGCTTGAACCGAGGAGGCGGAGATTGCAGTGAGCCAAGATCGCACCACTGCACTCCAGCCTGGCGACACAGCAAGACTCCGTTTCAAAAAATATATATATATAGCGTGTGTGTGTGTGTGTGTGTGTGTGTGTATATCAAAAACCTAACACGTAGCTCTAAAATACTCAGCCAATAGCAGCAGAACAGCCATTTTCTCAAGTGCACATGGATCATTCTCCAGGATACACTTTATGTTAGGTCACAAAACAAGTTCCAATACATTTCAAAAGACTGAAATCACACTAAGCATGCCCTCTGACCACAATGGAATGAAATAAGAAATCAGTAACATAAGGAAAATAGAAAAATTGACAAATATGTAGAAATTAAACAGTAGACTCCTAAATAACCAATGGATCACGTATCAAACCTTACAAAGGAATGAAAAAGGGGGAAATTACTACTGACTTTACAGAAATAAAAAAGTTTATAAGGGAATATTATAAATAACATACAGTAACAAATTGGATAACCTATTTGAAACAAATCCCTAAAGACACAAACTATTAAATTGATATAAGAAATAGAAAATCTAGGCTGGGCGCAGTGGCTCATGCCTGCAGTCCCAGCACTTTGGGAGGCTAAGGCGGGCAGATCACCTGAGGTCAGGAGTTCGAGACCAGCCTGGCCAACATTGCAAAACCCCATCTCTACGAAAATACAAAAATTAGCCGGGCGTGGTGGCTTGTGCCTGTAGTCCCAGCTACTCAGGAGGCTGAGGCAGGAGAATTGCTTGAACCCAGGAGGCTGAGCATGCAGTGAGCCGAGATCGTGCCATTGCACTCCAGCCTGGGTGACAAGAGTGAAACTCCATCTCAAAAACAAAAAAAAGAAAGAAATAGAAAATCTAAACAGACCTTAACAAGAGATCAAATTTGTAATAAAAAACTTCTCATAAAGAAAAGCCCAGGACCAAATGTCTTCTATGAAATGAATAGAAATTCTATCAAATGTTTAAAGAATTAACACCAATCTTCATAAACTCTTACCAGAAAAGGGCCAGGTGCAGTGGCTCATGCCTGTAATCCCAGCACTCTGGGAGGCAGAGGTGGGAGAATGGCTTGAGGTCAGGAGTTCAAGACCAACATGGCAAAACCCCATCTCTACTAAAAATAAAAAAAATTAGCCCAGCGTGATGGTGCACACGTGTAATCCCAGCTACTTAGGAGGCTGAGGCAGGAGAATCACATGGACCCAGGAGGCGGAGGTGCAGTGAGCTGAGATCACACCACTGCACTCCAGCCTGGGAGATAGAGAGACTCCATCTCAAAACAAACAAATAAACAACAACAACAACAACAAAAACAGAAAAGGAGGCAATACTTTTCAACCACTCTACAAGGTCAGTATTACCTTGATGCTAAGCTAGACAAAGACACCTTAAGAAAACAAAATTACACACCCAAATTCCTTGCGAATAGAGACAAAAATTTTTCAACAAAACACTAGCAAACAGAATCCAGCAACATATAAAAAGGATATATATACATCATGACCAAGTGGGATTTTTTCCCAGGAATACAAGATTCCTTCAACATACAAAAAGAAATCAATGTAACACATCAATCATATTAATAGAACACATAATAAAACCATATGCTTGTATAAATAGATGGAGAAAAATAAACTGATAAAATCAAACACCTTTTCATAATAAATACTCAATGAACTAGGGAGGGAAGGGAACTTCTTCAACTTGATAAAGAGCATCTACAAAAAACTCCCTCAACTAACATCATAGCATACTGAATGGTAAAAGACTAAAAGCTTTCCCCTAAGATGAGGAACAATGCAAGCATGTCTGCTGTCTCCAATTCTATTCAACTCTGTACTGGAGGTTCTAGCCAAGGCAAACAGGCAAGAAAAGACATGAAAGGCATCCAGACGACCCTGCAATTCCACTTCTAGGTATATACCCAAGGGAACTGAAAGCATATGTTCACACAAGAAGTCTGACATCTATGCTCATAGCAGCATTACTCAGAACAGCCAAAAGTTGGAAGCAACCCAGGTGTCCACCAACTGATGAATGGACAAACGAAATGTGGTACGTATCCATAGAAAAAAATATTTTTCAGCCATAAAACAAAGTAGTAGTGACAGAATAAGCAAGCAGGGAAATCAGGAAAGATATAGAAGATATAAACAAGAAATTAACCAACTTGACGTAATTGACATATACAGAACACTATGGCCCATAACTGCAGAATACATGCTTTCTTTAAGTGTATGTGAACATTTATCATAATGGTCACGTGCTGGAAGTTTCAACATATTTTAAAGGGCTGAGATGCAGAGAACATTCATTAATCACAGTAGAATTAAATGAGAAATCAAAAAATATCCATGGCTCAAAGATAAAAATACAATGAAATTAGAAAATAACAATATGAAATATCATAACCTGTGAGAAATGCAGCTAAAGCAGTGCTTACAGGAAAACTCATAGCTCTAAACATACACAGCAGAAAAGAACACTGAAAATCAGCGATCTAAACTTCCATCCTAAGAATGACCCTTGAAGAAAGCAATGAAATAAAAAGGAACCATATAAGAAAAATCTACAAAGCCAAAAGCTGCTCTTCGATAAGATGAACATCATTGAAAAGGTGACCCCAGGAGACAAAAGGATCAGGTCAGAGCACATCTCTGACACAAGAGAACCCTGTGTGACACAGAGCTCAAGCTGGAGAACAAGGTAGCCTAGCACAAGCTATAGGCCTCAGCAGAGAAGCCTCGGCAAGACTTCAACTCTCTGGATTCCAAGACCTGCTCCTTAGCCAGGTGTGGTGGCTCACACCTGTAATCCCAACAGTTTGGGAGGCCAAGGCAGAAAGATCACTTGAGCCCAGGAGTTCAAGACCAGCCTGGGCAATGTGGCGAGACTTTGTCTCTACAAAAAATTTAAAAATTATCTGGGTGTGTTGGCGCACACCTATAGTCCCAACTATTCAGAAGGCTAAGGTGGGAAGATCGCTTGAGCCCAGGAGGTTGAGGCTATAGTGATTCATGATTGCACCACTGTACTCCAGCAGCCTGGGCAAGAGTGACTCTTGCCCAGTCTCTTTAAAAAAGCCTGTCTCTTTAAAAAAGAAAAAAAGACCTGCCCCATCTTAGGGAAGGATAGCACACACAAGCACACGCAGGGTCGTGACCTCCTGTCCTCCTGCCAGCCAGGGACCCTCCATGGCTTCGTTAATGGTGTTGAAAACACCTATGTAATGCCATGGTTGTGAGGCCAGCAGCCCTTCTAGCTGAGCCAACTGAACAGGGGCAGGGACAGGGGAGAGAAGAGAGAAGGGGGTAACAGCAGACTGAGAGGATTCCAGATGTCTGAAGCTTTCAGGATCCTTAACTATACAAACAGAACTATATGATTCAAAGTCAACCTAAATGTTGTGGAATCAAAGCCTTACTTATGAAATATCAAAGAGACTACGGGCAGCCAGTGTGGTTCAAAGTGAAGAACAGGGCAGCAGGTGACATAAATCAAAACTACAAAATAGACTCTGGCTCCCACTGCACCAAATGCCACTTTGACCCTAGGAAAAGCAGTGGCCAATCTACTCAGCAGCCAAACACACCACCACCATTTCATCTTACTCAACGTACGTACGCATACACACGTGCACATGCACACAAGCAGCAAAGTGACCCAGCACAGAGTGACTCAGCACATAGACACAGATGCACACACGCAGACACACAGAGACAGGCATACGCTTGGAAAAGAGGCACACACGGACACATACAGCCATGTGCACAACAGGGGCATGCTCGGACACACATAGATAGACCCCACTGTATATGCACACACACAGATGTAGGCAGGCATGAACAGGAACACATACACACAAACACACACTAAGGCACAAGCTTAGGGGAATGTAGACACACATATACACACACATACTCAGACAGGCAAATACTTAAGACACACAAAAAGATCCACACCCTGATATACACACATACAGGTAAACACAGACACAGATCAATGTGTATACACAGATAGACACACACACACACACTCAGACACAAAAATATACTCAGAGAAACACAATCAGACACACACGGAAGAATCCAAAAGACAAGGTTAACAGGTTGAACCCTGGGTAATAAAATTCATATAGTTCTCATTTTTGCCTCCATGCTGGTTAGCATTTTCTACAATGAGCATGTATTAATCGTGTAAAAGTATCAACGAAATCCCACTGGGCCTGTGAGGGTAGGCGTGCCCTGGAAGCAGAGTGTAATTTCCTGATGAGCTCTAAATGTGGGCTGGGAGATGAGAGGGCCAAAGCCCCTGTCCCAGGCCACTGGCTTCTTTCCGGGCATATCTCACCCAAAGATGAGGCAGCCCCTCCACTCTGCTCCCTGCCAAAGGGTTGGGTCAGGTTCTCACCTCTTGAGGGTCCCTCCCCTCACCGAGAACTCCATGGGTCACAATTAGAAAGCCAATCCTGGCTGGGCGCGCTGACTCACACCTGTAATCCCAGCACTTTGGGAGGCCGAGGCAGGTGAATCACCTAAGGTCAGGAGCTCGAGACCAGCCTGGCCAACATGGTGAACGCTGTCTCTACTAAAAATACAAAAATTAGCCACGTGTGGTGGTGCGCACCTGTAATCCCAGCTACCTGGGAGGCTGAGGCGGAAGAATCATTGCAATCTGGGAGGTGGAGGTTGCAATGAGCTGAGATCGTGCCACTGCACTCCAGCCTGGGCAACAGAGCAAGACTCTGTCTAAAAAAAAAAAAAAAAAAGAAGCCAATCCTAAATATTAACTTGATATCCAAGTTAACAGTAACCAGAAAACCACGGTCCTCAAACCACAGATTGGTATTTTGCTGTAATCGTCAAGTTTTAATAATGTCCCTCTACTTCCTGGGTTTTAAAATTCACATCTTCGGATATTAATATTCCTGCATTAACAACCCCCAAATTCAGAATTTCATCTTTAACTGCTTGCTTAAATGGAATCAATTCGTTACCAATTGTCTTCAAATATGCAGGGTGATCTAAGTAAATGCCGAAAGATAAGAAATACACTTAGCCTGAATAAGTGTATTTCTTACACTGATGTAAGAAATGTAAAATACTGACCATATACAATGGCAGGAAACGGAGCCCCTGTCACTCGCTGCCCCGGCCCAGGGCTCCTGGGTACAGCTTCTGTCTGTCTGGGAGGCGACTGCCTTGTGCCAAGAAGGCACCCTCGTTAAGGCATGGAAACTTGATGGACAGGCATCCCTCAGCTCAGGCCACCCAGCCCCTGCCAACAATCCCCCAACAGACCATCTCTCCTTCATGGTCAGTCTCCTGCTCTCAGGAAAACCTGCCCTAACGTCTACCTCCTTAGATGTTTTCAGAGATCTACCATGTCTGACTTTGCTCCCAGCCTTCAGGAGCCAAGTGTTCCAGGGAGCCTATCTTGCCATCCGCAGGAAGAAGTCTCAAGTCTCTTGCTGCAGGGTTCCCCTCCCCATCTCAGCCCCCACTAGCCCCCAAACCAACCCCCCATCATGCCCCCGCCAGGACCTGGCAATGAGCACCCGACCCCATGCCCACACCCACCCCTCCTGCCAGAGCCCGCAGCAAAGCCTGCTCTTCCCAAATCTTCCTTGGGACTGCTCCAATCAAGCCACACACGGAACTGCTGCCTGGGCCGGACCCCAAACTCACAAGCCCCTACAGACCATCCCGGCCTACACCCTTCACGCTACTGTCATCACACCGAGCCACATCACTGGGTGAGCCCAGGGGCCTCAGTCCACAGGGTCTCTCTGGCCGTGTGCATGCCCACCACCCTCAGCCCACCTCTGCCCTGTCCCCTCTGCTCCTTGTCCTCTGCTGTCCCCACACCTCGAGACCCCACACACTCTTACTGCAGGCAGCAGGCGGCCTGGCCCTGATCTGGGGAGGTGGAGGGAGGTCTGAGACCAAGGCTGAGCCCAAATGGGACAGACCCCAGGCCAGGCACCCCGAGTAGCCACACCTGGAGGGGTCCTGGCCCAACCATCCAGCTGGACCAGGGTCCCAAGGGTATAGGCTGGGTGGACAGGTGGGGACCACTGTCTACCACAAGCTCCTCTTCCCTGCAGGCCAGGGGATAAGGGGAGCTGGGGGGGCCCATCAGGTCAAACCAAGAGGCCAAACCTGAACTTCTGTTAGAGGAGGAGGTCAATCGAAGCCCAAGGTGCAAGGTGCTGCAGAGACATTTAAAAGGGTCAAAAAGGACAATGCCGGGAACAAGCAGCTTCATCAGAGCAGTGAGAGGCAACTGGGGCGGAAGCAGCTGCGTATTGGAGAGGAGGACGACAGCAAGATTCATCTTGCTTGGGAAACAGGCTATTAATATCCCAGCTAGCAGCTGGAGGTGCACCCGGCAGGCAGGGGAATGCGGTTGCTGAGCGGCAGCGGCTCTTGGGGACGTGGTCTCTGCCCAGCCCGGCACAAAAGTGCTGGCAGCCTGGGTGAGTGGAAGGCAGGGGGATGAGCTGCACCTGGACCCCAGGAATGCAGACAAGACTGTCCACAGGGAAGCGGCTGGGAGCAGCTGGAGGCAAAGGCTGGGGCCCCATGTCAAGGCCCACGGCATGCAGGGTAGGGGGCACCAGCCAGAGCTCCTGCCTCAGTGAAACAGCCCTGGTGGCAGTGAGGTGGAAGGCCCCGAGGGGAGAGACATGGGTGGATGGCCCCCTGCAGGGGACAAGGAAGGGAGGGAGGAGAACAAGCAGGCCAGAGATGGCCACGAGGGTTCTCACCCGCTGCGCATTGCAACAGCCAAGTCAGAGACTCGGCCAGCAGCCCAAGGCGTAGGTGCGGAAACTGACGCACCAGCACCCGGGGTGGGGGGCAGTGTCTCAGCCCAGCCCCCAGCTGAGGGGCCGGGTGAGCACCCCCCAGTCAGCCCCAGCCTGGCCTGGATCAGAGATTGGAGAGGTACCAGCCCGGTGCCTGGGGAGATGGTGCAAAAGTAAGGCAGTCCCTGGCTCTCCAAAAAGTGTCCCAGTGGTGACAGGGTGGGGTGGGGAGTTTGCAGAGCACAGGCTCCTCTGGGCTCTTGGCAGAGGCCACAGGGACTGGGGGGCAACAGGTGACAGAGACTGGGATGAGAGGTCACACCTAGGAATCCTCCTGGGGGGTAGAACGAGACCTTTGCTTCCTGACACTCACTGACAGTGATGAGGGCCCTGGGGAAGCCCAGGGCCCCACCTGCCTTCCTCGGGGAACCTCAAGGAGCAGCTGGCAGAGCTCTGCTTCAGAGGCCACATCTTGAGCTCCTGGCTGGGAACCACACCCACCACACAGCTGCCAGACGTGGTCCAGGGGGGCTCAGCATTCTCTCTAGAGGAGGAGCAAGCAAAGCTCTCACCGCTGAGAAGGCCCTCGACTCACTGACATCTGGGAAACTGGGAATTGGTGATCCTGGAGCCCACCTGGCCCACCACGCAGATGGGGAGACTGAGGCACAGAGGAGCAATGGGATTTGCTGGGGTTTGCATGCGGGCAACTGTCACTGAGCACCAGCTCTGTGCCAGGCTCCAGGTGAGCATGATCTCCTCCAGTGCCCACCACAAGCCCAGGCAGCACCAGGTTACACGTGGAGGAGCTGAGGGTCCCCCTGCTGCAGAGACCCAAACAGAGGCCATAGAGAGGTTCCATGGCATGGTCGAGGAAAGGTGTGCAGGACACTGGAGACCCAGCACCAGGTAGTGCTGGGGGGATTCAGGGAGTCCCGGGACTGGGACAGGCAGCAGCTGGCTGTGCCCGTAGCCCCTCTGAGGGCCTGGGGGCCTGGGGAGAGAGAGCAGCTCCATGGCCAGCATTTCAACAAGCTGGGCTAATTGCTGCCAGGCGTGGGAGGCGGGGCCGCTTTGGGGAAACTCCCAGGAGGACACGAAGATCTGTGCAGTGAAAAAGCAAACCTACTACCCGCCCCTCCACCCGCCCCACTGCTCTTAGCATAGGGGGAGGTGGGAGGTGATACATATTCATGAGCTCATAATCCCTCATCACCCCTACATCACACACAGAGATTCCAGCAGCTTGGGCTCATACATAATTATAAGGCGGTTCCTCCATCACTGCCTTGGTCCACCAGAGGACAACAGAAGACATGGGGGCTGTAGGGGATGCATGATAGGGGAGGGGCTGGGGATCCAGGTCCCAAAGTTGGGGCTGGGAGCTGCCCACTGTCCACGTGCAGCAGCCTCGAGCGCAGGGGCCTTGTCTGCTATGGCATCAGCCAGCAATGCAGGCCACAGACCCCCAGGGCCAGTCACCAGCCAGTCCAGGGACCCAAGCACATCCAGTGGGCAGGGCTCTCCCGCCCTCTCCAGGCTCTCCCGGGGGCTGTGGGTGAGGGGTGACAAGCAGGGGAGGGGCGTCTTTCCCTGTGCCCAAGGTCTGTCCTCCTGCCTGGAGAGAAAAGGGGAACCGCTTCCCAAGCAGGGTTTGGAGGCTCAGCCTGGCGCTTGGTTAAGAGTGAGAAGAGGTTAAAGGGATCCTGCCTGGGATTAGGACAGCAGGGGACACAGGGGAGCTGCTGAGAGCCGGGTTGGAAGGGGTTAATGGCTGGGACTAAGAGAGGGGGCTTGGGACAGGCACGGTGTCTCACATCTGTAATCCCAGCAGTGTGGGAAGCTGAGGTGGGTGGATGACCTGAGGTCACGAGTTCGAGACAAGCCTGGCCAACATGGCAAAACCCCATCTCTACTGAAAATACAAAAATTAGCCGGGTGTAGTGGCGGGTGCCTGTAATCCCAGCTACTCAGGAGGCTGAGGCAGGAGAATCACTTGAATCCGGGAGATGGAGGTTGCAGTGAGCCAAGATCGGGCCATTGCACTCCAGCCTGGGTGACAGAGCAAGACTCCATCTCAAAAAAAATAAAAAAATAAAAGAAAGGGGGTGGTGGCTTGATGCACAGACCACAGGGGCTCACAGCAGATGTTTAGAGGGAAAACAACCCACCTGTGCCTGCCCCTGCCCTTGCCCCTGCCCCTGCCCTGGCCAGGGCTGCCTGAGCACTTTCCTTATGGAGCAAACAGACACGGGGCACCTTTCCTTCAAGAAAAATCAAGGTGATTTTTGGCAAATTATGCTTCTAAACATTTCCTCAAAATGCCCAAACTCCTTAAAAAGAAGTTTGCATAGTTCATGTCTTATTTGTAGACCGGGAAAGACCTGCTAGTGAAGGTGGGAGTGGGGGATGGTGGGGAAAGAGTCCCTGGGGGCCCAGGACTCACTTGCTGATGCCGTCAAAGGAGGCCTCCCTGCAGACACTGCCGCTGTCCGTGTTGACGCCACGCTGGGGAGAGAGAACACAGACATGACACACGGGGCCGCATGGCGCCCCCACAGCCTGCACCCCTGAGGCCTCCAGCTAGGCTCAGGACAGGTAAGAACAGGATCCCCTCCTGCCTTCCCCCAACAGATGAGCCACCCAGCCAGGTAGCTCCAGGCCCGGCCCCAACACAAGGACAGACCTCTTTGCTACCACTTGCCAAGTGGAGGAAGTGGGGGCCCCCCAAACTCTGCAGCATCCCAGCTGCACAGCAAGGCCTTCTCCATGGAGGTCAGAGCACTCTGCTGAAACCAGCCAGGCTGCCCAGGCACAGGCGAGGACCCGGGACCACTCCCAATATAAATCTGCTCTCCCCAGCCTGGTCCATCTTCCCTCTCCTGCACACACTCCCCACTAACTGTATAACATCCGAAAGAGTCCTGTCGAACCCAGCCCTTCTGGGGAGGTGTGCAGGACCTGACTGTGGCAGGACTGCTGTGAAGCAGGGAGACATCCCTCTCTTAACTCCAAGGAGACTCCAAATGGGACTTGGACAGGAATGGAGACAAAACAAGGGACTTGGAGAAAAATGGGCCCTCTCCAGAAAGGCAAGGCATTTTATTTCATTTATTTTACTTATTTTTTTTTGAGACAGTGTCTTGCTCTGTCACCCAGGCTGGAGTGTGGTGGCACCATCTCGGCTCACCTCAGCCTCCACCTCCCAAGTTCAAGTGATTCTCCTGCTTCAGCCTCTCGAGTAGCTGGGATTACAGGTGCGCACCACCATGCCCAGCTAATTTTATATTTTTAGTAGAGACATGGTTTTGCCACGTTGGCCAGG